>NC_000001.11:194434587-195684587 GCF_000001405.40 Homo sapiens
TTGTTCCTCATTATGCTCTCATGTATGCATATAGAAAAATAATTAAAAATATGCATTACTTGATAGTATTATTTAATTATCTTTTAATGTTTTCTTTATGAAAACCTGATAGTATAATAATCATTTTCATCAAAGTTTTTTTTAAATTATACTTTAAGTTTTAGGGTACATTTGCACAACGTGCAGTTTTGTTACATATGTATACATGTGCCATGTTGGTATATTAACTCGTCATTTAGCATTAGGTATATCTCCTAATGCTATCCCTTCCCCCTCCCCCCACCCCACAACAGGCCCTGGTGTGTGATGTTCCCCTTCCTGTGTCCATGTGTTCTCATTGTTCATTTCCCACCTATGAGCGAGAACATGCGGTGTTTAGTTTTTTGTCCTTGTGATAGTTTGCTGAGAATGATGGTTTCCAGCTTCATCCATGTCCCTACGAAGGACATGAACTCATCATTTTTTTTTTTTTTTGAGACAGAGTCTCACTCTGTTCTGTCACCCAGGCTGGAGTGCAGTGGCGCGATTTCGGCTCACCGCAAGCTCCGCCTCCCGGGTTCAGGCCATTCTCCTGCCTCAGCCTTCCGAGTAGCTGGGACTACAGGCACCCGCCACCACACCTGGCTAATTTTTTGTATTTTTAGTAGAGACGGGGTTTCACCATGTTAGCCAGGATGGTCTCGATCTCCTGACCTTGTGATCTGCCGGCCTCGGCCTCCCAAAGTGCTGGGATTACAGACATGAGCCACTGCGCGTGGCCAAACTCATCATTTTTTATGGCTGCATAGTATTCCATGGTGTATATGTGCCATATTTTCTTAATCCAGTCTATCATTGTTGGACATTTCTGTTGGTTCCAAGTCTTTGCTATTGTGAATAGTGCCTCAATAAACACACGTGTGCATGTGTCTTTATAGCAGCATGATTTATAATCCTTTGGGTATATACCCAGTAATGGGATGGCTGGGTCAAATGGTATTTCTAGTTCTAGATCCCTGAGGAATCGCTACACTGACTTCCACAATGGTTGAACTAATTTACTGTCCCACCAACAGTGTAAAAGTGTTCCTATTTCTCCACATCCTCTCCAGCACCTGTTGTTTCCTGACTTTTTAATGATCACCATTCTAACTGGTGTGAGATGATATCTCATTGTGGTTTTGATTTGCATTTCTCTGATGGCCAGTGATGATGAGCATTTTTTCATGTGTCTTTTGGCTGCATAAATGTCTTCTTTTGAGAAGTGTTTGTTCATATCCTTTGCCCGCTTTTTGATGGGGTTGTTTTTTTCTTGTAAATTTGTTTGAGTTCATTGTAGATTCTGGATATTAGCCCTTTTTCAGATGAGTAGATTGCAAAAATTTTCTCCCATTCTGTAGGTTGCCTGTTCACTCTGATGGTAGTTTCTTTTGCTGTGCAGAAGCTGTTTAGTTTAATTAGATCCCATTTGTCAATTTTGGCTTTTGTTGCCATTGCTTTTGGTGTTTTAGACATGAAGTCCTTGCCCATGCCTATGTCCTGACTGGTATTGCCTAGGTTTTCTTCTTGATATTCAGACTTGCAGTCATTTTGATACTTTAGAGATGCACCTCTTTCTCCCTCTTGTTCTCTCCCTGTCTTCATCCCACATAACTTAAAATTGCTGCACCTTATGTAGTAAGTATATAAATACAATTTTCAAAAATGGGGTCTTGAAATTAACTACTACTGGTGGCATTGTAAGCTATGTTCACTATTATTGATTCTTGACAAAGTAAATAAATTCATGGTGAAACAACTTGCCCTCATGTGTACTTATGTTTAACGAATCTAAAGATAGTACTAGAGCAAAATAACATTAAAACGATCTGACTAGCACTTTTTTTTTTTTGCCACCTGCATAGACAGGCATCCGGGAAACTGTAATTACTTTGCAGTCACTTTGTTACATATATACATTTAAACAAAAATTCAATAATATTTTTAGCAATCCTGTAGACTAAACCTATGTCCCGTGACTCAACATATTTTGTGTAACAGGACCTTTAGGTATCTGATGAAATTTATAGAACCTCAGTGAGAAAAGGATGTGCATATGTACATACAAAGAATGATTGGTATATTATGCTAAAGTCTTTAATGTCTTCTTTGAAGGACATCTGTGAAAAATGCGTGTTCTGTATATTTATAGATGAAACAAAATGGGAAGAGAGGGCAAGATGGCCAAGACCCAGCCAGGTGGAACAGCTCCCACAAAGGGACTGAGAGGACTGGCGTGCGTTTAAGCGATCTTTAGTGGGAAGGCCGAAAGTGGATGGAGGGAACACACAAAAGCTGAGCTGAAGTGTGAGAAAGCTGGGAACCCTCCATGGAGCTACTGCACACCGGGACTCAGTTTTGGACCACAGCAATTCCAGGGAAATGGGTGAGTTAAACTGGCAAAGAGCAACCCACTCTCACCACAGACCTCTGGAACCCCAGGAGAAGGGGAACCCTCGACAACCACGGACACTTGAATTGTCAGGGATAGCTGCTTAGAGAAGTGGTAGGGGCAGCAAGACAGCTGATGTGGAGCCCAGAGGGTTTGATGTAGGAGTGTTTGTAGCTGAGCATGGTCAGGGAGGGCCATCCCCCTATGCTTGACTTGCTCCCACAAGAGAGTTTAGCCCTAGGGGAACTGTGGGAACTGATCTCTGCAGGGCGTTCTTGCACATCAGACAGGGCTGGTCTGACCCTAGGACCCCTCTGTCTGCTGGCCTCTCTTGGGGCCCCAGTCTAGCCATGCCTGCTTGCAGGGCAGTCTCAAGTACCCTGGGGGCTCTCACTGTAGCTAGGTTGCCCATTCCATCCCCATACTGCAGCCTCCCAACGTCTCATGGCAACTCAACACAACTCCCCACATCACTTTGCTGTATGTCTGCATGGGCAGGTTTTGCTTTCCTTGCTCCACCAGCATGCAAGAGTGCAGTCTGCCTTCATCCCTCCTCCAACAACTATTGCAGATGGAGCCTTGGTGGGAATAGAGCCAGCAAGCCTGGCCCCACCAGCACACTGCCCTTGTGCTAACACTGGGCAAGGAAGAGTGGATCCTCTTCCAACCTAGGCAATTACTCTGGCTTCGAGGGCACAAAGAAGACACCTAACCTGAGCCCTCCAGCACACTGCCGTGGAGCCAACCCCACCTCCAGTGCAACCACTCACACAGTCTCCAGCAGTGGGCCCCCTTCCCCCCACCTCCACCCCAGTTATGCTGCCTCTGCCACTGTGGTGAGAGCCCACAGGGAAGCAGGCACCCCAGCATCTGCTAGTTCTTTGCCACAGCTGCTACACCTTGGCTGAACCAGCACAGTGGATTCCAAACCTCAAGAAGCAGAAGCCAGAGAACAGTTGGGTCTCAATACAAGTCCCCCAGAGTTAGAGCATGCAGTCTGACAGGATCAAATTCACACATAGCAATACTAACCTTAAATGTCAATGGGCTAAATACCGCAATTAAAAGACTCAGAGTGGCAAGCTGGAGAAAGAATGATCAACTGGCATGCTGTATGCAAGAGACACATCTCCTGTGCAATGACATATATAGGCTCAAAATAAAGGGCTGGAGAAAAATATACCAAGCAAATGTAAAATAGAAAAAAGCAGGGGTTACAACCCTAGTTTCTGACAAAGCAGACTTTAAAGCAACAAAGATAAAAAAAAAAAGACCAAGAAGAGCATTACATAATGGTGAAAAGTTCAATTCAACAAGGAGATATAACTCTCCTAAATATATATGCACCCAATACAGAAGCACTCAGGTTCATAAAGCAAGTTCTTAGGGACCTTCAAAGAGACTTAGACTCCCACACAATAAGAGTGGGAGACTTTAACACCACACTGATATTGTTAGGCAGATCATCATAACATGACAGAAAATTAACAAAGATATTCAAGACTTGAAGTCAGCACTGGATCAAATGGACCTGATTTATATCTACAGAACCCTCCACCCAAAAGCAACATAATATACTTTCTTCTCATCACCACATGGCACATACTCTAAAACTGATCACGTAATTGGAAGTAAAACACTCCTCAGTAAATTTAAAATAATTGAAATCATAACAAATAAGACCACAGCACAATCAAATTAGAAATTAAGACTAAGAAATTTACTCAAAACCATACAATTATGTGAAAATTGAATAACCTGCTCCTGAATGACTTTGGGGTAAATAATGAAATAAGGCAGAGATTAAGACTTTCTTTGAAACAAATGAGAACAAAGATACAACATAAATAACAGAATGTCTGGGACACAGCAAAGGCAGTGTTAAGAGGAACATTTATGGCATTAAATGCCCACATCAGAAAGTTAAAAATATCTGAAGTTAACAACCTAACATCACAACTAAAAGAACTAGAGAACCAAGAACAAACAAATTCAAAAGCTAGCACAGGAAATAACCAAAATCAGAGCTGAACTGAAGGAGATAGAGACATGAAAAGCCATTCAAAAGATTAATGAATTCAGAAGCTGTTTTTTTTAAATTAATAAAATAGACTGCTAGCTTGACAAATAAAGAAGAAAAGAGAGAAAATTCAAATAAACACAATCAGAAATGACAAGTAGGGGTATTACCACTGATCCCACAGAAATACAAATGACCATCAGAGAATATTATAAGAACCTCTATGCACATGAACTAGAAAATGTAGAAGAAATGGATAATTTTATGAACACGTACACTCTACAAAGACTGAACTAGGAAGAAATTGAATTCCTGAACAGACCAATAACAAGTCCTGAAATTGAATCAGTAAATCAATTTAAAAAAGCCCAGAACCGGACAGACTTGTAGCTGAATTCTACCAGATGTACAAAGAAGAGCTGGTACCATTCTTGCTGAAACTATTCCAAAAAATTGAGGAGGAGGGAGTCCTTCATAATTAATTCTACAAGGACAGCATCATCCTGATACCAAAACTTGGCAGAGATACCACAAAAAGGAAGACTTCTGGCCAATATCCTTGATGAACATTGATGCAAAACCTTCCAAAAACGTTGGCAAACCAAATCCAGAAGTACATAAAAAACTTATCCACTATGGTCAAGTAGGCTTTATCTCTGGGATGCAAGGTTGGTTCAACATACACAAATCAATAAATATGATTCATCACATAAACAGAACTAAGATAAAAATCAGCTCAATAGATGCAGAAATGGCTTTTGATAAAATTCAACAGCCCTTCATGTTAAGAACACTCAATAAGCTAGGTGTTGAAGGAACATATTTGAAAATAATAAGAGCCATCTATGAGAAACTTGCAGCCAGCATCCTACTGAATGGGCAAAAGCTGGCAACATTCTCTTTGAAAATTGGCACATAACAAGGAAGGCCTCTCTTACCACTCCTACTCAACATATTATTGGAAGCCTGGGCCAGGGAAATCAGGAAAGAGAATGAAATAAAGAGATCCAAATAGGAAGAGAGAAAGTCAAACTATCCTTGTTTGTAGATGACATGATTCTATATCTAGAAAGCCCCATCTTTACAGCCCAAAAGTTTCTTAAGCTGAAAAACAACTTCAGCAAAGTCTCAGGATACAAAATTGATGTTCCAAAATCACTAACATTCCTATACACAAACAGCAATCAAGCCGAGAGCCAAATCTGGAACACAATCCCATTCACAATTGCCACAGTAAAAATAAAAAATAAAATATCTAGGACTAGAGCTAACTAGGGAAATGAAGGATTTCTAAAGAAGAACTACAAAATACTGCTTAAGAAAATCACAGATTACACAAACAAATGGAAAAACATTCCATGCTTATGGATAGGAAGAATCAATATTGCAAAAATGACCACACTGCCCAAAGCAATGCATAGATTCAATGCTATTTCTATAAGACTACCATGGACATTCTTCACAGAACTAGATAATACTATTTTAAAATTCATATAAAACCAAACAAGAGCCCGAATATCCAAGGCAATGCTAAGCAAACAGAACAAAGCTGGAGGCATCATGCTTCTTGACTTCAAACTCTACTATATGGCTGCGGTAACCACAACAGCATGGTACTGGGACAGGAGCAGACACATTGACCAATGGAACAGAACAGGGATCCCAGAAATAAGGCTGCACACCTACAAGTATTTAGTCTTTGACAAATCTGACAAACACAAGCAATGGGGAAAGGATCCCCTATTCAACAAAGAGTGCTTGGATAACTGGCTAGTTATATGCAGAAGATTGAAATTAGAGCCCTTTCTTACACCATATACAAAAATTAACTCGAGATGGATTAAAGACTTAAATGTAAAACCCAAAACTATAAAAACCCAGGAACACAACCTAGGCAATATGACTCAGGACATAAGAATGGGCAAAGATTTCATGACAAAGATGCAAAAGCAATTGCAACAAAACAAAAGTTGACAAATTGGATCTAATTAAAGAGCTTCCACCCAGCAAAAGAAACTATCAACAGACTGACTGAAAACCTACAAAATGGGGAAAATTTTTGCAAACTATGCATTTGACAAAGTCTAATATCCAACATCTATAAGGAGCATACACAAATTTACAAAAAAGCCAACAATCCCATTCGAAAGTGGACAAAGTACATGAACAGACACTTCTCAAAAAAAGATATACATGTGACCAACAATCATGAAAAAAAAACTCAACATCACTGATCATTAGAGAAATGCAAATGGAAACCACAATGAGATCCCATCTCACACCAGTCAGAATGACCATTATTAAAATGTCAAAAAATGACAGATTCTGGTGAAGTTATAGAGAAAAGGGAACATTTAAATAATGTTGGTGGGAGTGCAAATTAGTTCAGCTATTGTGGAAGACAGTGTGGCAATTCCTCAAAGACCTAAAGACAGAAATACCATTTGACCTGGCAATCCCATTGCTGGGTATGTACCCACAGGAATACAAGTCATTCTTTTATGAAGACACTTGCTCATGTATGTTCATTGCAGCACTATTTACAATAGTAAAGACATGGAATCAACCTAAATGCCCGTCAATCATTGACTAAATAAAGAAAATGTGGTACATATACACCATAGAATACTATGCAGCCATAAAAAAGAACAAGATCATGTCCTTTGCAGACATATAGATGAAGTTGGAGACCATTATCCTTAGCAATGTAATGCAGAAACAGAACACCAAATACCACATGTTCTCACTTATAAGTGGGAGTTAAATGATGAGAACACATGGACACATAGAGGGGAACAACACACACTGGGGCCTATCAGAGGGTGGGTTGGGAGAAGGAAGAGGATAGGAAAAATAACTAAGAGGTATTATGCTTAATACCTGGGTGATGAAATAATCTGTACAGCAATCCCCCAAGTCATAATTTTACCTATATAACAAACCTCCATATGTATGCCTGAACTTAAAAGTTAAAAATAAACTTGAAAATAAAAATGAAGAAGAAATACTCCAGTAACTGTAATACGTATTTATAAAGTAAATTATTTAGTAAAATAAATTAATTCTTTTCATAGTATATTTCATATAATTTATATTATGTTAAATATTGTACACATATTGCAAATGCAATAGTTATACATAAATATTTGTAGATTTATATACACATAAATATAAATTATATGATATATATGGAGATACTGAGAGAAAAAGAATTTGAGTATTGCAGACAATTTTTTTCTATTTTTATGTGGCTTATCACTTGGATAACTGTATTACACATGTATTTCATTTTATGCAGAGATATATGGTTTTAAATAACATAATTTACCTTATTTTCCTTTAAGAAAAATAGGTGTCAATAATAACATATTTAGCAAGAACATGTTGCCAAATTAAATCTATTCAGTTTATTATAGATGCAGAGTGGTAGTTTTAACATCTGCATTCACTTTTTGCCCTTAAGCACTTCTAATTGGCAAGTGTATATGTATTCACTGAGAAGAGCTTCACTAGTTTGGTAATTTCATTCAGTTACGAGACATTAATTGATTCTCAAGTCTGTATGTTAAACTGTTAACTCATATAGAAAATGTAATGATATTTAAAAGGGAAAGTAGCACTTCTATTTGCTAAGATTCCTAAAGTGGTTAAGGGCAGAAAATAAAACATTAAAATGCAATTTATATTAATACCCTAGTTCCATTGGCCTTTGAGACAGGTATAATTACCTCTCTATCACTGAAACAGAATTGGATAGTCCTTAATGCTTCCAAAGATGGTTTTGTCCAGAAATATATTATATTTTATCTATATTTACCAATAGCTTATCATTTTTCCTTTTTATTGTAGTAGTTTCATGCTACTGCTATTTAAGAGCAAAATGTGGTACTTTAGAAATTGGAAGCCGGCGCTGTCATTGGAAATGTGCAAAAGGCTGTGGCGGGTGCTCTCTTTTGAGAAACTTATCCTTTCAATGTAAAAAGCCTTAAGCAAATCTACAAAAGCCAAGGCAGCCTGTATAAAAGAGAATTGTGATGCTAGAATTGGCACAATCGTACTTAGGACTATTCATGTGGGAAGAGCATATGTGACCCGAATGATAAAAGTGAGAATCATGCCAATGATGCATTCTGAAAGTTAAATACGAGAGTAACTACTTCATCAGTCAGTATTTTTTTCTGCAAAAATTTGCATTTTGTTATATAATGCACTTTGGGGTGTTTATGCATTAAGTAATGAGTAAGAAAATATTTGCTCTTCTAAACAAAGCAAGAGAAAACACATGTACTTTCCTATCCGAATATATTAGTGGCACTTCATACAAATCAATAGCTGAAAGGTTAAAGTAGAGCATAGTCACTCATGTGGTGCCCAGCGGGATGCCTTAGCTCAATCTCCTTTCTACTAAGTCCAAGTCTAGTGGAATATTCATTTTCGCATAAGAAAGAAGAAGATTTGTTTTTCATTACACAGTCAAGCCAATGAATGGAAAAACAATTTTACCTTTAGCTTCTCTTCTTTCTCTGAGGCTGTACTAGATACTGATATACATTTGGTAATTTTATATATCTGACCTTTCTATTTTCCAACAAAAATTACACACTTTCACAACAGTTTTGGGTTTCTTATGTAAGCATAAATAAGCTTTTGAAGATTATGGGTTGTACACAAAAATCCATCTATATAATGTCGGTTTTGTAACGGGATTTATGTATTACACCCAAACCCTTGAAGTACAGTAGTCTAAAACATGGCAGAAAAAAATATGTTGGTATATATTTTAATATATTTGATTATAATATGACAATGAAATGAAATATATTTTTCTATGACATTTCTCTTCAGTGATAATTTGTCTGATTTTTACAAACAAATTTGATATTCTAATTATTTTAACAGCTTTATTAGATGTATATTTCATACCATTCAATTGAAGTGTACAATAGGATACTTTTTAGTATAGTCACAGAGTTGTTCAACCACCAACTGCAAAAGAAATCTAATAGATATTACAGACACTCCCCATTGCTCCTCAGCCTCCTAATTCCTTGCTTTAGTCTACTAATAGACTTTTTGTCTTTAAAATTTGCCTTATCTAGACTGTTCATATACATGCAAAACTACAACTTGGGGACCTTTGTGGTTCTCTTTTGACTTAACATAATTGCAAGTTTCACACATGTCTCAGTACTTCATTCATGTTTATTGTTCAATATTATTCTATTGTACTACTTTTTATTTCTCTATTTGTCTGTTGAAAGATAGTTGGATTGTTCCCACATTTAGGCTATTACAAATAATACTGGTATGAACATTTGTGTACAAGTTTTTTTGGTATATGTTGGTTTTCTTTTATCTTGTATTATATGTGTGTGTGTGTGTGTGTGTGTGTGTGTGTGTGTATAGCAGTGGAATTGCTTGATCCTATGGTAACTTTATGTTTGATTTTTTTTTGAGCAACTAATGAAATATTTTCCAAAGTGGCTGCGCTGTTTTACATTTTTACCAGCAGTGTAAGAGACTTTAAATTTATCTGCATCCTCACAAATGCTTGTTACATATTATTTATTATGACCTTTCTAGTGGAGGTGGAATATTATTTTGTCATGGGTTTGATTTGCATTTTGATGTTGGCTGATGTTGTCAAGCATATTATCATCTGCTCATTGCTCATTTGTATATGTTCCTTGCAGAAATGTTTATTCAAATCCTTTGGCTATTTTTCAGTTGGGTTCTTTGTCTTTTTGACTGAATTGTAAGAGTTCTTTGTTTATTCTGGAGATAATTCCTGCATCAGATATATGATTTTCAAATATACTCTCCCATTTTATTCATGATTTCTTTTGTACTTGAGACATTCTTTAAAGCTCAAGGGTTTTTTGTTGTTGTTGTTGTTTGTTTCTTTGTTTGCTTGTTTTTGAGATGGAGTTTTGCTCTTGTCTCCCAGGCTGGAGTGCAGTGGCATGATCTCAGCTCACTGCAACCTCCACCTCCTGGGTTCAAGCAATTCTCCTGCCTCAGCCTCCTGAGTAGCTGGGATTACAAATGCCTGCCACCACTCCTGGCTTTTTTTTTTTTTTTTTTTTTGGATTTTTAGTAGAGACGGGGTTTTTCCATGTTGACCAGGCTGTGCTCAAACTCCTGACCTCAAGTGATCCACCCACCTCCGCCTCCCAAACTGCTGGGATTACAGGCATGAACCATCGTGCCCAGCCTAAAGTTCAAGTTTTTAAATTTAATGGAGTCCAATTTATTTATTTTCTTTGGTAAATTGAGCTTTTGATATCTAAGATTTTGCCAAAATGAAGATTTCACTGATTTAATCTTACATTTTCTTCTAAGATTTTTACAATTATGTCTTTTACATGTAGGTCTATGATTCCTTTTGAGTTAATGTCTGTTAATTGTGTTAGGAAGGGGTCTGACGTCATTCTTTTGCCTGTGGATATCCAATTATATCAACATCAATAGTTGAAAATACTATTCTTTCCCCCTTTGAATTGTCCAGGAAGTCTTATCAAAAACGAATTGATCACAAATATAAGGGCATATTTATGGAATTTTAATTTTATTCCATTGACCAATTTTTCTATTATCTTACAAGTGTTACACTGTATTGATTGGTACTATCTTACAGTGTTTTCAAATTAGTAAATGATGGAATCCTCCACTCTTGTTCTTCTTTGTCAAGTCTGTTTAGGCTATTCTGTGTCTTTTTTCATTGCGTATGAACATTAGGATCAATTTATCAATTTCGGGGAAAAAAGCACATGGAATTTGACAGATTAACATAGAATCTCTAATTAAATTTCAAATGTGGTAACATATAAATATCAAATATTATGAACCTAGGATTGTTTTTCCCACTTACTAATGTTGTCTTTAATTACTTTCAACAGTGTTTTGTAGTTTTCAGAGTACAGGTCTTGCACTTCTTTTCTTAAATATATTCTTAGGTGTTTTATTATTTCTTATGTTATTAAAATTATTTCCTTAATTATTTTTGTTTGTTCGCTGCTAGTTTATAGAAGTGCAATTGAATTTTGTATATTGATGACAGTGTTTTTAGCAGTGTTTTGTCTCTTTCTCTGATCTCTCTATTAAACCTCCTGCCTCTGTTGATTTCATGCCCAGCTATTAGGCTCCACTAGTTTTTAGTGGATTACTATTGAGCTACAGATAATTCTGCTTTTATGAACTGCCTCTACCCTGCAAGAACCTCAGTGCTACTGCTTGCGAAATGGATGTGAGGATAGCAACCTGCTTCTCTTGGTGTGACACTCCTCCTTTAAAAGCAGAGATCTGGGCTGTTTGATGGTTCTTGGTTTTGTTTGTTTGTTTGTATGTTTTCTTTTCTGGTTGTGGAAATTCTGACGTATAAGTGAGCTGGGTGTGAGTGATTAGGTGATTGGGACCCAGTATTTTCAGCTTGCAATGCCTCAGAGCTTCCACCCTATAAGTGGATGCTGATTGAGAAAAGAGCACCTTAGAACACTTGACTGCTCTTGCCTGAAATAGCTTTCATAAAAAGTGGGGATCGATTAGAAATGCTAGGGGTCTGCCACTCTGGAAGTAGCCTTAGACCGGAAGGTTGAGTGATAAGGATCCCCTTTCTCTTGGTTGGACCTGCCTGGAATATAGCTTCTGACACACAGCGCTTGTTTGGGGGTGAGGAAGAAGAAGATAGTTTGGTTCCAATGCCACCGATTTTCATTGTTCTTACAGAGATTTAGTAGATTTTCCTGGGTAAATGTTTCTACATTTGCTATATGTTCTAAGGGCAATTTCCAAAATGTTAAATGGTCACTTAAAAATAGTTTTCACATTATGTTTGTCTTCCTGAGAGTGTCCACAGAGCTCCTCATATCTCCATTTGGAAGTACTCTCTTCACTAATTTGTTTTTGAAGAATTTCCCACATGTAAAATCCTAGCTCTCAGCTTTCAACTGCCACAACCTCATGCTTAGCCTTCATTTGAAGAGGAATGAACATTAAATAAGTAAGAATATGTTTATATTTAAGGTAAATGCAGATTGGAAGTTGTTGCTAAAAATATTTTCCTTCCATCAGCCTTTTTCTAGTCCTTTTTTAAAGAGCAACTAGTATTCTAACAGCCTTCTCCCCAGTTTTCAGCCATCCCTCATGTTGTCTTGGTTGGAACTGTGAATTTTCTTCTTATCCCAAACAGAGCTTTTAATCATAGATGATTTTAAATTATAGTTGTAAATGAGAAAAATGGGCTCATTGAGTTGATGTCACAACATAATTCTATGTCTTAGATTTATTTTTATTGATCACTTAGTATGTTAGTTTTTTCTATATACTCACATTTATTCTTAGCCTGAGAGAGATTAGTCTCACATGAATAGAAATGATAATTCTCTGTTTAACTCATATGAATATATATCCTAGTAAATTAAATGCTAATATATCATTTATGAAAATTCAACTTTTTGTAATTCATATCCTCAATTATGAATTCTTTACTAAAGAAATTTTCCAAGAAGTAATAATTTTTAAAATTCACTACAAGTTTACTGGATCAAAAATTCAGTTTCTAATTGTTTGATGGGATATAGTGGCTATTTCTGTGAACGGAAAATCAGTATTTGATAGACCTACTGCTATTTTAATAACTTAGAGGGCAAACGACTACTAGATCAAACCAAAAGTGTCTTAATTCTCCATGTTATGCTTAAACTATTAAGAATGGCTTTAAAGTTCAATTCCCTCATTTAAAAATCTGGAGCATCCTTAATGATCCAGATGCTCTTAAAACCACAAGCCAGAACTGAAATTCTGACTCATGTGTGATACACCCAGAGGTGTCACTTGATGAAGTCATTTATCTACTTAATTGGTTGGTCAAAAAATATGCATGTTTTCATTCTAATGTAAGGAATTTCCGTTTAAACCAAGACTTCCCTTCTCTTACCCTATTTTAGCAGAAAAAAAGAAATGTACTTTGTGGTAGTATTGGATTCTTATTTGTAGTTTAAATCATCTGTTTCTCTGACAATATTAATGGAGGCATGTTATTAATTTCACCTTCATTTTTCAGGTAATCAGTCATCTCTCTGTTGTTTCTTATCCACAGACGGCAAGATAACCCTGGACAGCAATAATGCAAACTAATAAGGATTAATAAGGACCTAATTAGAGCAAAGTTAGTCCTACTTCTCTCAAGGCTTCCCCTACACTTCTCTAAGCAGTGTCCTCTAAGCAGTCTTCCTTTCACTCAGATTCTTGAAGCTAGTTGCTGTAAAATTAATAATATTTTAATCTGCTCCCTAGCATTATTTCTTCATATTTTAATTATTTTCTTCTACTTCTCTCCTGAGTCAAAAGGAAAACAAGTTGTTGTGTCAGCTTCTATTTTGTTATTAATGTACTTCTACGACTTAATACATGTCTAATGTGTGATTAGAATTATAAATGTTTTGTATATGTCTCCTTCTCTCCAGCCTTTAGAAGTAAGTATATTTTGCAAGATTAATCTTTGTTAAAATTTCTTTTTATCTCATAATCTTCAGTCTCAGCTAGATTCTTGGTTCATCTTGGTTCATTACCATAATTTTTTTTGAGAAACAACAAGGAATAGTGGCTAAAGCTATTGCTACAAGCTACTTGTATTCAATTTCTAACTCTGTCTCTTACTAGCTTTGTGACCATGGCCACAGATTATTAGTCAATCTGTACTCCTGTTTTTCTGTTTAGAATTGGGTATTATGATACCACCTATCTTACAGAGTTATTAGAATAAATAAGTAGGCCACATGTGTGATACGTATAAAACATTTATATGCCTTACATATTGCAAACACTCAATAATATGTGTATGGTTATTCTTCAGTTTTAGCCATTTCATTTCCATAGTTCATTCTCTTGGCTTATTACCTTGCTTGGGAGTTTTCTTTACTACAAAACAAAATCTTCATACAAACCTGATTTTCCTTTAATTTTCGTATATTTATGCTTTCTTTATTGCCAAAATTTGAGAAAAATGTTCTGTTTCCATTACTTGAAAACTCTTAATTTCTTGTTTCTACTGCTTGTTCCTCAATGAACAAATGACTTTTTATGTTCTTTCCTACTTAAATTCTCCAACAGTTGACATAATTGATCACTTTTTTTCTTAAAATAGCCACATTCTTTAAATTACGTGCTAGAGCACACATCTTCTTCATTTTCTTTACTACAGCCATTAAAAATTCTTTAAATAATTGATATTATTATTAATATTTTATATACTAAGAACTTTCCTATTTAATAGGGTAAGATGGTCCCAAACAAATATCTTATTTCCTTATAAAGTTTATGGAATATCATGAAAAAACAGAATGAGGAACTATGATGGAGAAGGCAGGCTACTTTATGGCAGATAGTAGGAAATGGGTTTTCTGAGACATAGCTGATATCTGAAGTTCTAGGAGAAGCAAGTAATGTGTTGGGAGAAAATAACTTCTAGTAGATAAAATATCATAACCAAAGCACTGATCAAGAGATAACCTGTTGGAGGGTGTTGTGATGTATTTCTTTTAAAGGAAAATAGTGTAAGTTTAGTTAAGTAGGTAGAAAGAAGATTTTTTTGAAGGCAGTTTGAAATTGGTGAAATGTCAGTAATTGTGATAGGGCTTATACACACGATATTTGTATTTCTTACAATATTAAATTACATGGAGTTTTTACACCCATTTTAAAATAAAAAGATGAGAAACTATACACTAAAATAGAATATGAATTACCTGTCATCTTTTGGTCAGTAACTTCTAATAACATCCATTTATTTACTTAATATCTATTACATGGCAAGATAATAACATCCATTTATTTTTTTAATATCTATTACATGGCAAGAGTTATGCTGGGAGCCAACTTGTGCTATTTGATTCAGTCTTCATAAAACACCTTGAATGTAATAATTGGGTGAGTTTGTATATACATATGCTGTGAGTGTAAACATTTTGTTTCAAAGTCAAGCAACATGTAAGAAAGTTTAAGATTGATTTTAATCTCTCCAACTCAACATGTTAAAGAAGTTTGAACCAACTTCAGGAGAGCAATAGGTGCTAGAGTATAAACAAGAGCCATACTTTGAGTCTAAAAGGAATGGCTTGCTCAGGATATTTTAGAAAATAACAGTCCTCCAAGAGGGAGGCTTTCCAGGAGAAAAGTGGAAGGTAGTGAGATAATACCATAAGAGATTTTCAAAACAGGGGATTGTTCTAGCAATGTGAGAAGTAAACCTTCATTGTCCAGGACTAATTCCCTCCATGGTGAACTTAGGCAAGGGAGTTAGCTTCCTCAGTGTTTCATGAACGTGAGCTACAGCTTAAGGAAACTAAACCTGGCAAACTCCTAGGCAGAATATCAGGGCTGGGAGACATTATGCTACTGTACATCTGCAACCTCAAGACTTAGATCTCAGAGTTTGCTCATGCCAGGAGAAGAATTAATGTTGTATCAAGAGAAAAATATAGATGTGGCCAAATGTGAATGAAGAATAAGCATCACCTGTTTTATGTTTTTTAATCATAAAGCTTGGACTCCAAGAGGAGCAGCTGATTACTTCTCAAACATGTATGTCTTTTTAAAAAATTTATTTCAAGTTCAGGGGTACAAGTGCAGGTTTGTTACATAGGTAATCTTGTGTTATGGAGGATTGTTGTACAGACTATTTCATCACACAGGTATTAAGCCTAATACTCAGTAGTAAGTTTTCCTGATCCTTTCCTTCCTCCCATCTTCCACACTCTGAAAGGCCCCAGTGTGTGTTGTTACCCTCTATGTGTCCATGTGTCATCATTTGGCTCCCACTTATAAAGTGAGAACATGTGGTATTTGATTTTCTGCTTCTGTGTTAGTTTGCTAAGGATAATGGCCCCTCGTTCCTTTCATGTCTTAACACTCCACCACCAAATTATGGCTCTCTGAGTTCAATATCCGACCTGCATTGCCACAGAATATGTTGAGAATTTGGAAAACCTAGATACCTTCAACTGCATATGTCTCAATGGGTTTTCCCTAAGGTCTTTTTCCAGAAGACTTATTTTAGACTACCTGGTCACTGTTCCTCATTTCACAGTAATTGTTGCATCAAGCAGGAATGGTGTGATAACTGCTGTGGTATAAAGCAAACCAAAAAGTCACTATGGGAAATTAAAAATGTCCTCCTAGGTCTACCTGTCCATCTAGTCTTCAAAGACTTAAATGCTGTACAACAAAAGTCTATAGAAACTAGATCCTTGAAGCCCCAAGGAACTCAAGTGGTGGATACTCTGAAAAGGATGTCATCAGTGATTAGATTGCAAACATAGACATCATGTTGTTGTTAGTGGCTGTAGAAAGTTATAGCCAAACATAAGTAGATATCACTAAAGACAAAACCAAACCCATACTCCTGATGAGATTATGATGGGAAAAACCTGATTGGTGGAATATATCCTTGAATGATACATTGGTTTGAAAAGAATGTTGGATGACTTATCCTATCAGGTCCAGATAAGCAGGTTTTTCTCTGATACTCATCTTCCAACAAGGACAGCCGGTCTGAGACAGCATAGGTTATTCCGAAGCAGCCCCTTTAAAATCACAGCAAAGAGCAGGGAGGCATAACCGTATGAACCCCACAATAACTTACATTGTGTAGAAGGTCCATCCAGAAAGATAAAGGGAGTCAAGAGAACGGCTGAGAAATCGTCTCTAAATAGGCTACCTTTTGTAAAGACATGTTGTTATTATGCTTTTTAATTTAGGGGACAAATGTGATAAAGTTGATAGTGTTGAAACAGTAGGATATGAGTAGTTCTCACAATAGGTTGAAAGGATGGGTACACTGAAAAAATGATATAGCAAAAAAGATACTATAACATTAATGAATGGCATCAATCTTCCACAAAATGAGAATGAAGATTACCCCAACATTTCACCGTATGGTTTATTAATGTAATCAGTGTGATGGGCTGATCCATAAGTTGTCTTTAGTTTACAGTCCCTGGATGATGAGATGGATGCATTAGCTATCCATCTACCTGAACACTCCCTTCATCTCCACTTCCACCCTGATAAATAATTCAAATATTAGAGGGACAACCCTGAATACTATTGGGATACACAAGCACCATCATTGGACAACAGAATTTTGTTTGTGGTGCAGGCCAAACAACATAGCATTGTACCCAGTGGATATTCAACATTCCTTATTTTACATAGAGTGTGGAGAAAATAAAATTCTGAAATGCATGACTCAAAAACAAATTGTGGCAGTCTATCACTCACTCACTTCCTATTAGCATCTGGTTAGATCAGTTGCATAATGCTAAACATATCCCAAAGACAACTACCTCACAAGTGTTCATCTCTTCTTTGCTTTCTCTTGACTTAGAATTCAGGTGACAGTGTGGTGTCCAGAGTGGTACAGTTAAAGTATTTGGGACCAAACTTATACTTTTATATATCTTTTCATGCACTTTATTTTTATTCCTCCAGCAAGACCTAAACATGATCAGGAAGCCTGGTTTGTAGCCTGAACCAAGGAAGAGTGCTTACCCAGCTGGAAAAATGCTGCTGTTTTGTTGGTGTTTAGTTTTGAATTATGTTGGAAGGTGTACATTATCATTATCCTGCCCTATGTGACCTTTTGCTTTGGGATCAAAAACCTAGGTATATGGCCACTCTGCTGGCATGTGCATTCTTATATATGTGCAGATGAATACAAATCACCTGGCATAAGACTTTACTGAATACAAGATGCTGTTGGCCATTAGGCAAAAACCTAGGTCTTTCCCAAGATGATTAACCAGGGTATAAGGTGCCTCTCACCTGCCAGAAAATAAAAAGAGAAAAGGGACAAAAAATACCAGAAAGTACCAAAGGTGGGATAAAGGTTGTATACTAAAGGTCATACACCTGCATCTCTTCAAGAATCTTGTAATGTAGATTACCCTTAATTTGATACAATTCTTAAGGCAGTGACTGCATCTGCTAGCCTGTTGAGATGCTGGGTGTCCCAGTATGTAGCAAAAATAGAGCTTTCAGCCATGCCAGTTTCTGCCAATGACAAAACTCTTTCTACCAACCAGTACCTGCCAATAAAATAGACTGCTAACAGTGGATTGGGTTCCAGGATCCAAGTTTGAGAAAAATATTCGGACTGACTTTTTTCCCCCTCTGACATGACAGAGTCCCCAGACATTGGAAGATGCTTGAGAAGACTGAATTTGGTCCTAATCAGCCTTTTCTCGATCCTCGTCATAATCCATTTTGTGCTGTTATAACAATAACAACAACAAAAGAGACAAACTTGGTAATTTATGAAGAATGGAAATTTATTTTCTCACAATTCTGGGGGCTGGGAAGTTCAAAGTCAAGGTGCTGGTAGGTTTATTGTCAGGTGAGTTCCAGTCTCTGTTTCAAAGTTGGGACTTTGAATGTGGCATTATTGAAAGGGGAGAAATACTATGTCCTCACGTGGCAGAAAATGGAAGAGCCAAAAAGGGTGAATTCACTCCATTAAACCTTTTCATAAGAGCATCTATTCCCATTCATGAGGGAGGACATCTTATAACCTAAGCACCTCTTAAAGGCCCTACTCTTTAATAATATTACATTGGCAACACTTGGATTTTGAAGGAGACACATTCAAACCATAGTACTTATGCTGCAACAATAGATTGTTAAGTTCCATACAGCACTTAGGTCTGTCATGATGATATATGAAACTTTCTGAACTGAACTGCCTGCTCTCCTGGACTCTTCTGTCTATGAAGACAAAGAGACTTTATTTGTTTGTATTGACTAAATATGGCCTGCACCCCAATTTGGGCACCTGGGTATTTCAAGATTTTAAAGACTTCCTTCCAGGACGTCATATTTATCTGCTGGCCAAGACTAAAGAGTGATTTTCCTGGGACAGGAAAAGGCGTATGTATTTTATAACTACGGACATGAACCTATTCCTGGGTGGGTGTAATTGACCTGATGACCATAATGTTTGTCAGCTACAAAAAGCTAAATAGCCATTATTTTCAAGCAAAACTTTATGACCTAGCATATTAATTTACTTTCCTTGGCAACAATATGAGACAATAAAACCACCCTTAGCTATTTGTTAGCCCCAAAGCAGGAATTTGCATTGAGCAACTCATCATGTCATGCACAGGTTAAAACAGAGTGGCCAAATAGAAAAGTCTATCTCCTGTACATGCAAATAGGCAGAAAATTCTCTTAAGCACGTCGATCAGTACCTTAACATCTCATTGCTGGGTTAATCAGGGCTCCTTTAAAGAAGAACTTCAGGCATTACCCACAGGCTTCTTTTGTGTGTTAATTATTCTTATTATCCTCTACTGTCTCATTCAGCAATATCAGCAACTATCCTCACAACCCCTTAGGATTTAGATGATATGATTGCCCATTAAGAAGCTACATTTTATTAAGGATGACGAACTAAAAGATAATGGTTAACTTATTCAAGATTGACTTCCACAGGTTAGCCACCCAGCCATAGAGATGGCCAGGGCTCCCTACAGGTGCTTATATAATCATCCTATCACCAAAATCTTAAAGTAACTCAGCTGGGAAGACAGAGTATAGTTGGAAGTTACTAGACCTCTATGGCATGGTACTACCATGACCCAGTTTCATATCCACAAAACCAATCATAGTAAGAGATGATCTAGTGTACTCCTAACATATGAACTCAGAAGTTCAGAGATGTGCATCATCTTTCTACCACATCATATTTCTATAACCATAGATGAGATCTCTAGCCCATTGCACACTTTTGAGAGAGTGAGTTGCAATTCTTCTCCAATTGTGAAGTTTATAAACATGCAGCCTAAAGACCATGTTTTATTTCCATAAGTCTAGCTCTATTGGTGTATTAGTCCATTTTCATGCTGCTGATAAAGACATACCTGAGACTCAAAAGAGCCTCCACATGGCTGAGGAGGCCTCAGAATCATAGTGGGAGGTACAAGACACTTCTTAGAAACCTCTGATAAATCCATCAGATCTTGTGAGACGTATTCACTATCACAAGAATAGCTCAGGAAAGACCAGCCCCTGTGATTCAATTACCTCCCCCTAGGTCCCTCCCACAACACGCGAGAATTCTGGGACATACAATTCAAGTTGAGATTTGGGTGGGACACAGCCAAACCATATCATTCCACCCATGGCCCCTCCAAATCTCATCTTCTCATATTTCAAAACCTATCATGCTTTCCCAACTGTCCCCCAAAGACTTAACTCATTTCAGCATTAACCCAAAAGTCCACAGTCCAAAGTTGCATCTGAGACAAGCCAAGTCCATCCTGCCTATGAGCCTGTAAAAAGTAACAAGCTAGTTACTTCCTAGATACTATGGGGGTACGGGTATTGCGCGGGTATTGCGTAAATACAGCCATTCCAAATGGGAGAAATTGGCCAAAACAAAGGGTCTAAAGAGCCCACGCAAGTCCAAACTCCAGTGGGTCAGTCAAATTTTAAAGCTCCAAAATGATCTCCTTTGACACCAGGTCTCACATACAGATCATGCTTATGCAAAAGATGGGTTTCCATGGTCTTAGGCAGCTCTGCCTTTGTGGCTTTGCAGGGTACAGCCTCCTTTCTGCTTGCTTTCATGGGCTGGCATTGAGTGTCAGTGGCTTTTCCAGGAGCATGGTGCAAGCTGTCAGTGGATCTATCATTCTGGGGTCTGAAGGACGATGGCCCTCTTCTCACACCTCCACTAGGCAGTGCCCCAATAGGGACTCTGGGAGGTCCGACTCCACGTTTCCCTTCTGCACGTCCCTAACAGAGGTTCTCCATGAGGACCCTACCCCTGCAGTAAACTTTTGCCCGGGCATCCACGCATTTCCATACATCTTCTGAAATCTAGGCAGAGGTTCCCAAACCTCAATTTTGACTTCTGTGCACTTGCAAGCTCAACACCACGTGGAAGCTGCCAAGGCTTGGGGCTTTCACCCTCTGCCATAGCCCAAGCTGTATGTTGGCCCATTTCATCCACGGTTAGAGCAGCTGGGATACAAGGCACCATGTCCCTAGGCTGCACACAGAATGGGGATCCTGGGCCCAGTCCACAAAACTACTTTTTCCTCCTAGGCCTCTGGGCTGTGATGGGAGGTGCTGCCGTGAGGGTCTCTGACATGGCCTGGTGACATTTTCACCAAGGTCATGGGGATTAACATTAGGCTCCTTGCTACTTATGCAAATTTTTGCATCCAGCTTGAATTTCTTTCCAGAAAATTAGTTTTTCTTTTATGTCATATAGTAAGGCTGCAGATTTTCCAAACTCTTATGCTCTACTCTTCTTATAAGACTGAATGTCTTTAATAGCACCCAGGCCACATATTGAATGCTTTGCTGCTTAGAAATTTCTTCTGCCAGATACCATAAATTACCTCTCTCAAGTTCAAAGTTCCACATATCTCTAGGTCAGGGGCAAAATGCTTCCAGCCTCTTTGCTAACACATAACAAAAGTCACCTTTGCTCCAGTTCCTGTCAAGTTCCTCATCTCCATTTGAGACCCCCTCCCCGCCAGCCTGGACCTTATGTTTCATATTGTTGTCATCATTTTGGGCAAAGCCATTCAACAAGTCTCTAGGAAGTTCCAAACTTTTCCATATTTTCCTGGCTTCTTCTGAGCCCTCCAAACCGTTCCAGCCTCTGTCTGTTACCCAGTTCCAAAGTTGCTTCCACATTTTCAGGTATCTTTTCAGCAGTGCTCCACTCTACTGGTACCAATTTACTGTATTAGTCCATTTTTATGCTGCTGATTAAGACATACCCAAGACTCGTAAGAAAAAGAGATTTAATTGGACTTGCAATTCCACATGGCTGGGGAGGCCTCGGAATCATTGCACTTCTTACATGGTGGCGGCAAAAGAAAACAAGGAAGAAGTAAAAGTGGAAACCCCTGATGAACCCATTAGATCTTGTGAGACTTATTCACTATCACAAGAACAACACGGAAAAGACTGGCCTCCATGATTCAATTATCTCCCTCCGGGTCCCTCCCACAATATGTGGGAATTCTGGGAGATACAATTCAAGTTGGGATTTGGGTGGGGACACAGCCAAACCATATCAATTAGGTTTTTAAACGCTTCAGAATATAATGGGGAATGGAGAGCTGAGGCACTTGCAATGACTAAGGCCTCTGTGATTTCCCATCAGAAAATGATTCTTTGGAAAAATGGCTGGATCCTTGATCTTAGTTGTTCAACAGAAAGACACACCAAGAAGAAACAAAGACAGCAAGACCAAGAGGATAGTGGGGAGGAATGGAGATATCTAAAGGAGAATATAACTGTAATTCAGTACTTGACTTTGATTCAAATAATAATATTATCAAAATAATATTAAAACTATTTCTTAATATTATTAGATTAGTGTTAAGGGAGCAAAAAGTATGATAAAGTGATTTATAGACAGAAATATAAATAGTTGCTGCATATATAAAATATTTATTAGTTTTATTACTTGTGATGATTGAGTGTCAACTTGATTCGATTGAAGGATGTAAAATATTGTTCCTGGGTGTGTCTGTGACAGTATTGCCAAAGGAGATTAACATTTGGGTCAGTGGACTGGGAGAAGCAGACCCACCTTCGGTCTGGGTGGGCGCCATCTAATCAGTTGCCAGCACGGCTAGAATAAAACAGGCAGAGGAAGTTGGAAAGAGCATTCTTGCTGAGTCTTCTGGCTTTCATCTTTCTCCCCTACTGGATGTTCCCTGCCCTTGAACATCAGACTCCAAGTGTTTCAGGTTTTGGACTCTTGGACTTACACCAGCAGTTGCCAGGGTCTCTTGAGTCTTTGGCCACAAACTGAAGGCTGTGCTGTCAACTGCCCTACTCTTGAGGTTTTGCAACTCAGACTGGCTTCTTTGCTCCTCAGCTTGCAGACGGCCTATTGTGGGGCTTCACCTTGTGTTCCTGTGAGTCAGTACTCCTTAATAAACTCCCCTCATATATACATCTATCCTATTTTGTCACTCCAGAGAATCCTGACTAATACATTACTAATCAGAGAAACATAGATTAAAATGCAATAAGATGGCACTTTTAACCTTGGTACTGGGAATCATTTTTAAAAAGCTGTAATTTGGATCTCTGCAAAAGTGTGAGGAAACTAACACTCCCATAAACTGCTTGTGGAAGTGTTGAGGCAGCCATTTTGGGAAAAAATTACAAAATATATTAAAATTTTAAAAGAGAGTATTCCAATTTCTCTTTTCATGTAAATATAGTATA
This sequence comes from Homo sapiens, assembly GCF_000001405.40. NCBI lineage: Eukaryota > Metazoa > Chordata > Mammalia > Primates > Hominidae > Homo > Homo sapiens. The sequence continues at coordinate 194,458,278 of NC_000001.11, forward strand.
TACATATATATATGCACATATATATGTGTGTGTGTGTCTGACTATATATAATGTATGTGTACACATATATAATTATGTGTCTAATTATATACATAATCTGAAAGAATAATGCTATTGTCTCTTACTATTATTGTGGACTTGTACCTATCTTATTTAAACTTTATCAGTTTGTGCTGTTTCAGTTTTATTCTTACTCCATTTTCCAATGTGTCATTCACTTATTCTTCCTCCTTAATTTCTTCTGCCCTTAATTGTGTATGACCTTTTTTTCCTGGTCTATCTCTAATTTATTTTTTTAAATTTTCTCTGATATTATGTCATTTATTTTAAATTGATATCTGTTCCATCCAACTTAAGAATCTCTTATTTTATTAGGTGTATAAGCTGTCTCAAAGTTATTGCATTCACCAATTCATTTTTGACACATTTCTATTTTTTTAACTTTTTTCTCTATAATGATTTACTGATATTTATTTTCCCTTTCTTGTCATTTGCGGGATTAGTCATGTTTTCTTTGACCTATTTTTCTTCTTCTATTATTTTAGAAGATATGCATATGATTTCTATCATTTTAGTAACAATCATAAAACTTTTAGGTTTTTAATAAGTTATTAAAGCTAGCCAGTATATGAATATTTTAAAACTAAATGGCATAAAATCCTTAGATGGCTTAAAGCCCTTCTTCTTGGCTTCCAACATTCAGCTCCCATGTTTGTATCATCATCATCATTTAAGAAATATTTTTCTTCTTATATGTTTAGCAAAACATAAATTTAAACACAGCATTATAGTGTTTCTAAGTTTAGATATATTTTTGCTGCCGCATTATTCCTTTCACTTTGAAGTTTCTTTTTACTTGCTGGAATACATTATGTTAGCAAGTGCATAGAAATCATGAACTTGATGAGTCTGAATATGTCATTTTTACCTTCATACTTGAATGTTACTGTAGTAGTAAAAAGTATAAGTTTAATAATTTTATTTACATTTTAGACAAGGTTTTGAATTTATTGAATATGTAGATCTGTTTTGCATCACATTTTCAAGTGAGGCCTTTGATATTTTATGATTTCTATTTCTATTTCTATTTCTTTATTTCTGTTCTCTGTTTGGAGTTTGGGATTTGTTTTATTCCTGGTGTTAGGATTTTAAAATTTAACAATTTAATTCTAACTCAGTTTTGAAAAGATTCTTATTCTTCTACTTCTATTATTTTTTTAAAGAAATTTGCTTAGCTTACTTTGTATTCATTTGATCTCTATTTTCAATTCAAGAAATGATGCATCAATTTATTCAATTTTATTAATTCCTTTAAAATATTATCTCCATGGATGCTTTCCATCGTCTTCTTTGGTATGTTTGTGGTATAGATCTTGCAATTTGTACTTTTAATCTCTGATAGTGTAAATTTTATTATGATCTTTTCATCTCATTATCTTTTTATGACACATTTTGGGAAAACTGTTGGCATTATATTTGAAGCTTGATCATAGCTTAGTAATTTGCTTTGCATCTTTGTCAATTCTAATCATTAACAAACATGTACATATTTATGTTCAGTAAAGATACAGTCATTAATTTTTATATTTAATGAGTATTCCATCATAGTCTATTTGTGTTTATTTATGTGATAAGGTTTCACTATTCTTAGAAAATAATACTTCTTTATCTCAATGCTTATTTATCTAAAGTTGCTTCAAACTGTATAATACTTTTTACTCATATGCATATTTTTATAATTTTTGTTTATTATAAAGATATTATGTCAAATTGTTTTTTTAGTTCAGTGCATCTGTGAAACTTCTTCCATATGTATTTAAAATCCTACTTAGAAGAATAAAAGCCAGTACTTCTACCATTTGCAATTTAGCCTGTTTTTCGAAAGAATGGAGGAGGGATGGTATGTGTCATGAAAGAGCTTTTGGTAGACAGTTTATGAGTTAGTACTTTCCATTCATCTTAGATGTCACCAGTAGTCTGAAGTTTTGCTTCTCTATACCATAACTGTAGGCTATATCAGTCCTCTCTGGAGACAGATGTTACTGCTGTCACAGAGCCCCTCTGCATCTCTGTATCTGGAAGTGAGGTGTTTTTGTGGTCACATTCAACGTCTACAGAAGGCTATCCTGAATCAGATTTGAGGGTAATATTCTTCAACAGGATTATCTCTGGTTCTTATCTTCCTAAAATGTTTCATACTTTCTAGTTTCATTCTGGTGTTGCTCATATATTCCCACATTTTTAATCTTACTGGTCAATTTTGAGAATCTAGTACGTAAAGGGCAGCGTGTAATGAATGGACAAATTTCTGGTATATTATAGTTGCCGAAGCAAATGTCATGCAGGTGCATATAAAAAATGCAATTACAATTGAAATGAGAACCCATTTAATAGTATATTCAGATAACTAGGTGAATAAGATAGATGAAGAATCATTTCCTGATTTTAATTATGGTATATCTTCAAAAATATATTTACCAGCAATTCTCAGGACATTCAAATTCTCATGACTTAAACATTGTGTTTTATTTTAGCCCAGTTAATATGTCTGGTAGTAATATTGATTAGTTTTGTCATTATTATGTGATCAAAAGGAGCATTTTATTTAACAATGACTCTGAAATTGTTTTATGTCATTACAAATAAATGGTAAATGTATGATATTAGTGGAAGCTGAATTCAACAATTATTTATTATCAATAAATATAATTGTAGAGGTAAAATACAGAGGTATTATGTGATTTATTTAGGATGTATGACAGATAACATTAGTACAAACGGTGGCTTAATCTTTAATTTCTACATTGAAACATAATTTCACTATATAATGCACATTTTAATTTATAACATAGCGCCATTTCAGCATAAATACTGAGTATAGATAGATAATTTTAAAAGAAGTGCAGTTTCTTGAAATATGGATTGTTTTATTCCAGTGTTTAGCACCCTTTTTATTGATGATAAAGTAAAAAAAAATCAAAAAAGGAATTCTGTCAGCAGACAAGTTTGACTAGTTCACTGATGTCAAATGCATAGCAAAGTATACATGATGCTTACAGTCTTAAGTTTCAGGATTTCAAGTGCCTGACCTCCTACAAGATAATGTGAAAATTGCAGCCCCAGTGTTAGACAGACTTTCTACAGGTTTGTATTCTTCACAGTTACCACATGAGCCCTCCACGACTGGAAAGCAGGGAAGAACTAAGTAAACCTCTATTTTGTGGATGCAAGAGGGTAGCATAAATTTCTAAACATAAGAGTACAAGTTCTACTTTCTCTAATGGGAGGAGGAGGAGATTGAGGCGGGAGAAACAGACAAATTCTTAAGATCTTTCATATTTTCTAGTTTCAGGTCTCAGCATGCAAAATTTACAACATTAAAAATTAATCTTCATCAATTGGGCTTCTTAAATGTGGTGTTCTGGTAATTTCCTAGCCTCCACTTATAATAATAAAAGAATTAGAGGAAGAAATTTAGAAAATACTCAAGTTTTAAATGCCCAATGGCAACATTTGTGTTGAAGAGAGAACACACAATGAACTACACAATTAAATAAATAATGACAACAAACAAAGATAATGACAAACAACTATTTTATATTCTGGAAACATACATGCACAAACATTTCCTAATTTATACAATTGTGGATGTTAATGAATCTGATTTTTCCCCCATTAGCTGTTTTGATTGCCTTATATTAGGCAGTATAGTGATTCACTTCACAATACTGGGTTTTTCAATGGTTTGTTTTTGTGTTGCTCTTCATGGTCACTGTCAGAGTAAAATATTTTGATCTTAAGTAGTAGCTTTCAGAAAGATACATATAGATCACATTTGTCTCCTGGGAAAGAAGCCTGTGAAATTAAAAGTAGGCTTGCCATAAAAGATCCAAATTTAAAAGCCGCTCTGCAGAATCATCTTCCTACTTCTACAAATGTATGCTCTAATATTATATATATTTTTTAAAATAAAATAATTACATTACCTTTTTATTTATATGTGGCCTGATCCCATGACTGGTCCTGTGTTTGGCAGTTGTCTCACCGCCATTATCTGTGGGTATAATCTCTCCAAAAATGGTTTCTCTGGAGTCCTAAATTAATCACTATTGGAATAATCCATTTGTATACTTTAAAGTACATATGAAACAGATACACAGTATGCAAAGGGATTCTCTTAACTAAAATGTAATGTACTGATGGTTTGTTCTTTTTTAATTCTCTTGCAAAAACCATTACATTTGAGATGTACTAAGTTATTGTAATTTTCTTTTGATATATGTAAATCAGATATTATGATCACTTAATTTATAAGAAACTGATTCTTAAGAGATTAGGTGAATCCCAAGGTTCAGAAGGATTCAGGGAGAGGCAGGACACACGTCATGTTCTTCTGACAGATAGACCAGTAATTCTTCCTTGTGGTACCTGGCCTCTCCTTTTGAATTGCAAGAGTTGACTTGCAAATTTTTCTTTCTCATGAGCATATATTCATTTATCACATCAACCAGCTGCAATCTCTTAAAGACTGGTGTCATGAGAAAATGAAACACTAAGCAGATATAGCTTTCAATATAGCTTTGGGAGAGAAAGGCTTGGAAGTTTAAGACTGTAGTGTTGTTATTATTATTTGCTTGAGAATTTCAGGGGCACATAAGGCATTTGGAAGCAAAAAGTGGGTAGTGTTAAAAAACAAAATGAAAATAAACTACCAAACATTTTAAGAATAATACATAATCTATAATATCCTTTTTAAAACAATCAAACTAATGAAGGATTAAAAAGTGACTACAAAATTGTCAAAGTGTAATGAGTTAGACACCCTCATCTTGTATGAGGTTATGAATTGGTCTAATCTTTGGAAAATGTACGTATAGATAGGTAATAAAAATGTCAAAAATATCCATATTCTTTGGTTTTGAATTGATAACTTTATTTGCTTGTTTTTTCCAAAGGAAAGAATACAACTATGCCTTTTATAGAGCTGCCATTTTATTAAGTGAATTATATTTACAAAATATAAATTTTTATTATTTGTATTAAAATTAGCAAATTGGGAATAGCCTAATTTTTCCAAAATAGAATAATGCATAATCATTGAATACGTATTATGTAACTATAAAAACTCTTTGTGGAAAAAAATAATGACAGAGAAATATTCTTATAATATTAAGTGAAGAGAAATTATACAAAAAATTACGTGGTACATATGTATCATATATAGAAAGGAATAAAAAGAAACAGCTAATCACATTAATTTTAAATTTACCAAGAAAATAAATGAAAGAAAATACAATGAACTATAAATAATGACATTATCTTGGGAATGAGGATAAAAAATGCTCATTTGATTTTTATTCTGAATGCTATTATTTTACAAATTTCTAAAATGACTCTTTAACTTTTATGGGAGATAGGAGGAAGATAAGCTTTTCCTACATAAATTTCCACTTTCGCTTTTCAGATTTTAGCTTCAGAGATCAATGTTCAGATATTTCATTTCTTCTTCAGTCTTCCTCCCCTACACAGAATAAATACAAACTTGAAACCATGAATTCTATACTGAAGCAAAAGTTGTAAGTGTCACTGGGGATGTTGATTTCCTAGGACAGTTTTTTATTATTATTATTATTTTAAACATTGGCAGTTGTATTTTTAAGGGAATTTGCCTGTCATCAGTTGTTGGAGCATGGAGTGAAGAGTCCTGTGATGTATGTTGGGGGTGCACAGCAATTCTATCTAAGCAGTTTTATTTTACTCAAATGACATGGTGATGTGAGACAAGAGTAGATTCATGCCCATGATATACTCCCCACTTCAATTACAAAACTAGTTTAAAATCACTTTAAAGTGTCTACTGACACTTTGATGGAAACTAACTGATTCTGTATATGAATAGACAAAATATTCTGGGGAATACTGAAGTCAATTGGTGAAATTTAAGCTTCGTTTAAATTAGTCTCTAAGGTGAGGGTCTTCTCTTTATGTCTATTCTGGAGAGTGATAATGTCGATTACTATATATTTTATAAACCTAAGGCTGACATTCCATGGAAATCTTAAAAGGATGCTGTTAGATGCTATTGGACCCTAAGGACTTAAGGTCATTATCAGCGTTTCCTTTAAATTATAATGTATGCTGCAATTTATACAAATAAGTGTTGGCAAAAGATAAAACTGTAGATATGATTCTTAGCACATAAATTAATACAAATAAAATTATATTTTAATTTTAATTTTAGAAAGGTGTGTACTTATTCCAAAATAGAAAACTGATTATTTAGATCTGAAGACTTTAGTAGTCTTCACTTTAAATATTAAATTTATGATGAAATCATTATTGGCATGGTGATAGTTTTTGAATTCAGTCTTCTAGTGTAAATAACATTTTCTCTAACCATGCCTAGATAATAGTGTCATATATTTCACTAAGTAAGACAATGTAATAGCCATTTTTAAATGGATTATGAAGAGAAAGGTGAAAATGCAAGTTCACTTTTGTAGCTTATACATAAATGGGTAAGAATATTAAAATCTAAAAACTGATGTGGTTTAGCTATGCTTACAAAATTAAAAATTTTTATTCTTATGGCCCATTTAGTTAACTTCATATCTTCTGATTACTTAATTAAGCAAAATTCCTCTTGGGATCTTTTTAAAAAAATAGTTGTGGGTATAGTAGGTGTATATATATATGGGGTATATGAGATATTTTGATACATGCATGCAATGTGAAATAAACATATCACGGAGAATGGGGTATCTATCCCCTCAAACATTTGGGGTTATTTTCTTAAGTACATTGAAGATGTACAAGCAGATTACAAAATCACAGTATTTTGAAACTATCAGAGTGCTAAGGATACTAAGATCTCATTACAATCCCTTCCTATGAAGAAAGAAACCATGGCTGCTTTCATCCCTGGTAGAATGAAGAAAAAAACAATCATAAAGAGAAATAAGAAAACATAAGTTGATTTTAATGAACTTTTAATGGTAACATGCATACACAATGTTAAATAAGCCCCTCAGTACTTCCCCACATTTACTGCAGTGACCTTTCTATGCCTGTGGCATGGCCAACTTGTTCAGAGAAATATATCCTTGCAAGGTCCATACTCTGGACCTTTACTTAGGCACTTGCAGTAGCTCCCCAAAGGTTGGAGTCAGAGCACCCAGGTGAGGGGGTGATCTCCTGAAGTGTAGAATGGCAGGGGCAGGACTGTAGAAAAAAAGAACACACAGAGGAACCAAAATATGAAAATCAAACTGCAAAATAGAAATAATCACCCAAAGGGTTAAAAAGCTGGTGGTTGGGTTGTAAATCATAAAGAGATCTCTCAGAGGTTCACCGGTGCTCAGATTAGAAGCCTTGCTGAAGGAAAAGTTATCTCACCCTTTGAAAGGATGAAGCAGATGATGAATTGAATCTGATACTGCAAAAAAGCCTAGAGACTTCTCAGCTACAGACTAGATTCACCAGCTATAGTGACTCAATGTGCAACATTCTGGGCAAAAATGTCGTTTACTTCTATTTCTATGGTTTTTTCACACACAATGTGTGATATGCAATAAAAATAATGTATGAGAAATGCAAAGAAGCAAGGATACCCATGGACAAGAGTGGAAACCATTAATAGAAACATATACAGAGACAACTGAGAATTTGGAAGTATTCTAAAGGACTTTAAAGTAACAATTAAAATTGTTCAGGAGGCAATGGAAAATGTAGAGAGCATACATGCATAAATAGATCACTTTAGAACTTGATATTGTTTGAAAAAACAAATAGAAATGCTAGAAATACATGGTAATGGAAATAAAGTGTTTAGTGTGCAATCAGAAAACTGGGCACAGAAGAGGAAAGAATCAGTAAGCTAGAAGACAAGTTAATAAAAGTTATTCAAAGTGGAACACAGAAAAAAAGATACAAAAACACCCAGAGCAGAGCATCTGAGATTTGCATATCAAATAGTTTAACATTGAAGAGTCTCCAATGAAGTAGGGTCTCATAATTTATTAAAGAATTGATCATTTCATCTATTTTTATCATTTTTTATATAATACTGTCAGATCATCAGATTGATGATTTGGAACTGTAGTTATAATGTAATAGGCATTTAAAATCTACTAACAATTTGCAATGTCCTTTAAGTTTGAGGTTGAGTGCCACAAAATTATCAGACCAAGAATAAAAGGGCAGAGATAGAAATATATCAAACCATAATTTTTTCTGATACCTTGAATATGGATTTAAAGAAACATAATCAGATCTATTTCATTTAACAAGGATTTATTGAATATTTTCTCTCATGCATATTTTTATGTGTATTTGAACAAGATTTGCTTTGTGGTTGGTCATATTCAATATATAGAATTGCATTCTCTTATTTCTTTTAAGTTGGGAGAACATCAACTTGACCCTGAAATTTTCTATTTGCTATATTCTTCATGTACCTATATTTTGTTTACATTAATCTTATTTCAGTGCTCTTAAAATATACTTGTGGCAGCAACTAGATAATTCATCAAGCCTGTTAACTTCGTTATTCTGGTTAAGACGTGCACCGTTTCCAGGCTTGACCCCAAAACGCTTCCTACTGCATCTTCCAATTGCTCTCATCTCCCATCTAGTGGCTGCATAATATCAGAGCATCCCCTTCTCTGGATACAGTGTGTATCAATTTCCTGACCCTATTCTCACTCCAGCACTCACAATCACTACCAAGTAGAATTTATGTGAATGAGAAATAGCAATCTCCCAGACAAAATCATTGAACCTCCATGTACATCTGTACAGCTTGTGCTACTCTAACTGGTATAATGCTTCATACTTTTTGTTGAGTTTTATAATAAAAAACATGGTAATAGATAAGTCAAGAAGAAAAGGTTAAACATGGTGTTCCTCCTCATTGCTAAGCTTTTTGTGAAATTGTGTGATATTTTTATTATTATTCTGAGATCACTCTACTTTATGTTTAAAGTTGTGTCTCTACTCAACCCACAAAAATACTCTCCCATTACAGTAGATATTTTCTTTGTACCTTCTGCGATACTTAATACTTTCATGTGTTTAGCTCTTGGCAAATAAATGTTATTCTTAATGAACAAATGAAATGAGTAAATATTTGAATATACTATTTAGTCAACTGAGTTAATATATTTTATTTTTATAGCAAACTATGAGAACATATTTATACATATACATTGTTTTACTTTACAGAAAATCTCCAAAAGAGACATGTAGGTTTAAAGCAAAAAAAAAAAAAAAAAAATAAGAAGAAAGGCAGTAGTATTGTTCATTACTTTTTGACTGAGTAGTCAAAACCAAACATTTATAAAACACCTTCCTTATTTAAGGTGTTTGGTTAAGTGGTGATTATATAGTCATGTCTTTGCTAATTACACAATCTAGTTAGAAAATCAGACAAGTAAAAATTACACACAGAAAAAGTGACATTAATAGAAAAGCACTATTACAAAGAAAATTACATATTAATAATGGAGTACTAGGCTCAGAAATTAAATTTTTCATAGTATGAAGACAGTTTTAGAGGAATTCTCATAGGAAATGAATTTTAGCTGAATCTGAGAGATGACGATCAAGAAAAGAGAAAACAGGGTTTTCCCAAGCTAAAAACCCAGTGGCATGTGAACAGACAGGAAGCTTTAAGAGAAAGCAGTATCTCTTTCAGTAAGGACAATATTTCCGAAGAGTAAGTGGAGAATTGTGGTCGGCATAGTCCAAACTCTGAAGTTCTAAGGATGTCGTTCCAAGGATTTGGGGGCGTTAGTGGGAAAACCACTGGATGCTAACAACATACCTTAGTCCAGAAGGGGACATGATCACTTTTACCAACTTCTCACTGTGTTCTATAACACTGGTGCCAACCATGACAACTCATCAGAAAAATCAAAAGCTTCCTAGCAGTTGTCTCATTTTTACTTTCATTCTGCAGTCTAATTTTTATATTGTAGCCAGAGTATTTCACTCTAATCTAAGTCTGATAATATTTCTTCCATGCTTAAAAAACTCCAGTAGATCACACTGAAATTAGAATGAAAAAATAAAATTCACTTTTTTACCATAACCCACATAAACGGAACACTGTCTATCTCTCTGAAGTCATATCCTACTTCCTTCCCTCGTATTTACTGTTTCATTGCTGAACTGGCACTTTTTCTTTATTAAAACAAATTGTATCTTATTGATTTTTTTTTCCTTAGGCATCAGACACACAAATTGAGACGATTTGTTCATAGCACCTTTTAATCACCAGAGTCTATGCAAGGTCTGTGTTTGATTTTTAATATTTAGTTGATTCATTCATTCATTGATTCCACTCAATTTTGTAGCCATCTCCCACTATCCTCTCCCCATATGAAAGTAACAAATTTTATGTATTTAATATGTATTTTTATAAGACTATACTCTTACAAAAGGAGGATATTTATTATTGTGCATATTTTTGTTGCTGTTCCAGTAAAATTTGTTTTGTTATATATCTCATATTTCTTGCAGTAAGAATTTTCTTAAGATCTATCCATGTTGCTAATTCTACATCTAATCTATTATTTCAAAGCAAGCAATGTTTTCTTTATTTGTTTAAGGTAGGTATTATTTTTAGTTGCTGTCATAAAATATTGGCTACTCATTAGTGGTAGTGGATAGATCAACATCAGTGAGGGAAAATTCACCGTTAAGCAAGGACACCTGTTACATGGTACTTGTTGAAAGGATGTAACTTTGCATTAAAACTGTAGTGGTTTCCTCTATGCCTTTTTTTCAGACATGACTGAAGCTCAGTAGAAAACATGACCTCCCATAGAGAGTGAACACCATTGGATATACTGAATCACAAAACAAGAAAAAAAATGGTGATATTGCATGTTAAACCATCAAAGTGAACACACACCCTTCCAAGAGACCATATCTGTGGGTTGAGGAAAGGATAGCAGTCTGACATTATTAAGCATTTTGGAAGTGTGAACAAACTGTTCATGTAACTTTCTTGGATTTTGCACATTCTTACCCTAGGTGTATATAGACCAGAACTACTTGATGAGGAAATAATGCCAGGAATATCTTACTTTATAGCTTTGTGGATTAGATTATTCCCAATTCCTAATGAGCAGTTGGGGTTTATTGTCACATGTCACCTCATGATAGACATATAGTCTCCATCAGTGTCTGGCAGCAAGCCAAGAGTAATTTTCGATCCTAGAAATGCATCTTACTAAGATAGTTAACAAATATTTGTCATTCTCTTCTCTGAGAGTTCCATAAGGATAATTCCATTAAGGTAGTGAACCATTGTGATGTCCTGTGGGATGCTGGTGAGATATCAGTTTTCCAGCAGACTAAGTTGTAGCCAGAATTGAAGAACTGATATAAATCTCAAGCAATACAGTTACGCTATATTGCAGTCCCTACTATTTTCCCTGCTCACTAGGCCTGATTTCTAATGCAATGCACATATCAGAAGTTGCATATGGGCTGCCAGCGACTCTATGATACACTCAAGTAAGAACAGCACATCTAAAAAAACAATTTTGTTGTCATAGTTGACATCTGATTACAATAATAATTTATCATTACCCAATCTCTTTGATAGTGCCTAAAATGGAGACATTATTCATTCAGTTAATAAATATTTACTGAGACTCTACAGACTCAGGACTGGGAATGGAGGAGTAACCTCCCAAAACTGGGAAACTGTGAATAAACAAAGGACATAAATAAGCTTCATATTCAAGCTTGAACTTCCTGGGCTACCCGTTTCATCTATGACTCTCCACAAACACAGCAAGGTTTTCTGATGGAACTAAATATGAACTAGGCTCTTCCCGTTAGGACTCAACTTTGGGATGTGAAACACAGAGTTTTTTGTCTTAGATACTTCAGCATGTCAACTGTGCTTACACACTCCTTAGCACTCAACTTCCCCCTCCCACTGCCGCCAACCCCAACTAAAATACAGAGGAAAGGAAAATAAATGTGGTTATGATTACATACAATTGTATTACATTCTAAAAAATACATAGAACACAGAAAACAGTAAAAAAATACAACTTTCTTTATCCTCATGTCCATTTTAGACTTATTTGGTGTCTGCTCAATTTACTTATGAGTTATCCTCACGTCAAACTATTTGATCGAGGCCTGTGTCCCAGTCCTATGCCCAAACTTTTACTACTTTCTAAAGTTTGAAGGTGTACATAAGAAAACAAGTGTGATAATTACATAAGTATTAAATTACTTGACTTTAATATACTGAAGATTTTTGGATAATGACAAAATATGAATTCTGGAGAGGAAGACACATGAAGTGACTTGTAGTTTTATGAAATCAGTTTCCAAATAGACATAATTTGAAAAAGAAAATTAATAGATGCATAGTTCATGTAAAATGTCGTTTATAGACTATTATTTGATAATAAAATTTTAATAAAAGACTTTTATTGCAATTTTAAATAAAAAATAATGTTTGAGAACATCAGAAGATAAGCTATAAAATTAAGCTGAATAAATGTTTCATAATATTTGAATGGCATAAAGTCAACGATATTTTAGGATGCCCTTTAGAAATGCAAACTGGATAAAACAGCAATTTCTGTTGGAAGGAAAATCAAATTCTCCCATTCTAATATAAATGAGCAGAGGATTTCTCTGAAAGCTTTTAATCCACTCCAGGCAGTCAATCTTCTTACGGAGGGAGCTGTCCTATTATTTAGACCTTCTAAGAAAATTTCTACCTGGATTAATAGTGATTGCATTGCAATAAAAAAAATAAGAGCTGGCTTATATGTATAAGTTCTGGTCTTTTAATTGTGGAAGGATTACATGGTAAAGTCTATGACACAACTAAAAAAGTTCATACAGTTGGCAGGTTACTTCTGATCAGAGTATATAAATAGTTGTTTCTGGTTTAAATTTTCTAGTCCAACCTATTTAGGGTCAATGGGTGAGAATTTGAGAGTGATTTCTCTCTTCTCTTCAACTCATGTTAAACAATTCATTGGTGAAATACACTTTAATGTAGACTATGGGTCCTACATGCCCTTCTACATACATGTCCTCACTAAACTTTATTTCTAGAGTGTGCAACAGCCTCTGCCTTCTTGAATTTTTTTCCTTTTCCTCATTATCTTATAGTCCCAATCAAATCACTCCATTTCCCGCACCCCAACTCAGTGCCTGGCCTCAGGCAAAATAGTCATTTACTTTCCTGTAATTATGTTGCTTGAAGTACTGGGAGTGGTCCCATATTTTACGGATGAGGGATAGGAGGGGGAAAAATAGGGCTCTACTCTGGTTCAATTACAGGTGATTTATCTACACCACAAAAATATGTATTAAATTACTAAGTTTAACTTCCTGATATAAACATTCAGTTGTATGGCTTTATTCTAAACATATCCCTGTTGGGTTTGCCTCCAGCCCCAAGTGCATTACCAAAAGTCTTTTATTTTTATCCAGTTTTTCAAGGGAGAGAAGTTTGTAAACAGCTGTGTTGCCATATGTTTTACATAAACTACATTAAAACAAAACAATGCTATGTTTCCAAGTTAGGCTGAATTTCTAATACATCAGAAAATATATTTTCCTCAAAGTTCTTATTTTTATTATGGCTTAAGAATTCGTTATGGCAGCAATAGGAATCTAATATACATATTAACTTTTAAGAAGCTAAGTGATCCGCTTAAGTAAGGTTGTTTAAAAAAATTGTTTTTTTTTTTTTAACAGTCAATTGAAAGGTAGAAACATCATAAAGGATTATAACTAAAAGCTAAAAACTGTTAAAAAATTATTTTTTCCTGATCATTGCCTAGGGTTACAAAATGTATTCTGTTGTTGAGTATTATCTAAAATTGTGTGTAAACACTTCTTTAAATTTCTGATAGAGTAACAGATGAAAATTCCATAATATTAATCAGGAATACAAAGCATTTGAAAGTCACCTACGGGGTGACTATTAAAGTTCTCATCCTGAGAAGTTCCTGTCATTGAACGCTTCACCATTAGCACTTATAGGGATTCTTTGAACCCAGGAGATCTGCATGTAACATATCTGACAGTGAAAGTAAAATATATGAGATTATAGGAAGATGGTAAGTGCACAGAGAATTGAGGTAGAAAGTTGATGGTACTAGAATTGAACATCAATATATCTAATAAAATACGTTCCCAAAGTTAAATCTGTAGGTGTTTATATTGATTAGCATCTAGATAAGCCTATTTGCTTATTGATGCCTCAGCCCAGAAGAGCCATAACACTTCCCACCACACTCAGTTCTCCCAACTCTGACCTTGTCTCCATTTTCACATTTAGTCTTCTTTACAAAAAAACGGCCTAAGCAGGAAGATGTTGCTGAAGCATTTGGATGAGGCAGCTTGCCTAGCTGTGTGTGGCCATCTTTAAAATGTTGGGTACAATTTTAGACCCTACTGGCCACAGAAAGAGTTCCACTCAACATTGTAATATAAAAAGTAGTTTAGAAGTCTAGAAGATTGAATAGATTTGAGATTAAAATGTTTTTCTTTGTAGAATTAGAATGGTAAAAAAGAATACTTTTTACCATTAATTAAATAACTGTTAAAACTTTTGTGACTATGACGTTTCAAAATTCAGTAATAATTGATGCAATATGTTTATTTCTAACTTTTTAGAAAGATAAATTAAAATTTTGATTTTCTTCTCTATCATAGTCTCTTCACTTTATATCTATGTATATATGTATGTATGTATGTATCATCTCTCTTTTATTTAGAGATCTCTGGGTAATATCTCAAATTCTGGACAAAAATCACAATGAAATTAAATGTGGATATATATTCACAAGTTCCAATGAAATAGGAGAATTTACCCATATTAAATGAGAAGAGAGAAGTGAACATATAAAGGTGAGGAACAAAGTTAAAATTGTAATATCTTGGGAAGAGCTGGATCCAGATATAAACCTCAGTATTTAGGGATGTAAGTTTTAATTAGCACAGAGGGAATAGAGAGAAGAAAAGGAGGAGGAAAACAAGTATAGAAAAGAGAAAAAAATAATAAGTTACAGAAAAAAAGATGATATGTTAACACATATTCAAACATAGCAACTCTTTTAGTAAAAATAAAATGAGTTGATTTACTGGTCTAAAGACAATAAAACCAAAAGTTAGACAATAAAAAAATAGAAAAAGCATACTGGTGTATGTATGAGTAGCCATCTAAGATAAAATAGATTTAACCAAAAGAGCATTAATGGTTTAATGGAAGTATAACTTAACAATTTGGCATATAGATAACAATTCTAATTAATTTTAATTCATCAAAAAAGAGAGTCATGAATCTCTATGTATCTAATAATGTAGCCTCAAAATATATATACAAAGAATTTGAAAAATGAAAACATAAACCTACAATCACAGTCAAAGATTTAGCACATAATTCTCAGGATAAAGAGATTAAGCCAACAATTTTAACTAGGGACTTCCAATGATAACGTAACTATAAAAATCATCACTTTCCCTTTTTCCTCCGGAAAGCCACCCTAAAGCAAAAAGGAAAATGAAACATTAAACATAGAATCTAATTTGAGTAAGACTAAGAAAAATATATAACCCACCAACTATGAAATAAATCTAAGGGTTGACAATAGCAGCTGAGAAAGGGGTAGAGCAGATGGGAGAGAAAGAGTTGTTTTTGGAAAGTACAGCAGCACATTTTGGCAAGTGTTCACATAATGTATATTTCCCAACAGTGATGGACACATTTTCAGATCAAAAATGGTATATTTTGTTTACAGTAGGCATAGAGCCTGGGGTGACTATAAAGGGGACAAAAGTTCTTTTGTGCAGTTTGCTTGTTCAGGATGCATGAGGGCAGGCTGTAAGAAGACTCTCACAAATAGCCGTATTCTAGGGCAGCCAGAAGAGAACATTGGAGTGTGAAAGTCATCTATCCTGGACCTCTCCCTTACCCTTCTAGTCTCGCACACACCTTGTGAAAACTGCTGTTCGTTGAAAATCTTTCTCCATGGTGAAGAATAAATAAGGGCCTGTTAAAGCATCAATGCAGAAGTGCTAAAACTGAAAGGAACAAGAGTAGGGGGGGAAAAGCAGCAAAACTTAAAATTGTTGCCACGGAAGAGATAACAATTGTGATCATTATTTTTAAATGAATTAAAATTTAACTTAATGAGATTATTTTCTTTATGAAAGAAGACTATAAAAGAGAAATGAAAAAAAAATCTTTAAAAAGCCAGAGTAAAATTAGAAGAATCCCAAGACAGACTAGACAATATGATAAACATAGTAAGCTGAAAAGGGACAGATGGAGTATGCAAAGCTGGAGAATCAGGGCTGTTCCTAAAGTTGTACTTTCCAAAGCCTCTACCCCTTCCCCTTCCTTCTCAAACCCTCACTGAATATTACATGGCCATTACACAGTGTTCCTTTGACACTTAAAACACAAATGCCCCTGGTAGCAACCACGGTCCATGTCCATGATGGCTGGAGGATTACTCTGAAGCTTTCCGCCACTCCTTAACCTTGCTCTATACTTGTTGTCTCAGAAAAGTGAATTACTCATGCTCATTGCACTCAATGTCTGTGCTAACTCAAGCAAGTTGCCATTAGACCGGATTGCAAACCATCCTCCCATCAGGGAGCTCTAGATGAAAATGCAGAAGGTGACTGGTATAGGGCTTTTGGCAAATGTTCCAGGGCTAAGTAATTGAAGATGTCAGCCCTTTGTAATCTGTCACCAAACTATCATTTGAGTTTCCTTCTCAGATACTGCAGCCTTAGAATAACACACTTGCCTTACAATCCTGACAGTTGGTGTTTCTGGAAAGCATTTTTCTGACCTCTCTTTGTTTATGCTGGAGCCTCTGCCTGAGAAATAAGTTTATCACCTAGTTCAATTAGAAAAAGGAGAGTCCTCTTTGAAGGCCTAACTTTAATATTTTTTTTTCCCTTTCAGTGACCTGCTCAAAACCTTTAAGTTGAATACCTTTCTTATGTGTTCTCTTATCCCTTTATACTAACTAGAGAGATAAAACTTACAAATTGTTTGATAATGCCACAAAGTAATACATTATCTTGAGTAGGATGAGGGTAGTACATTCAGTGCCACAAACAGAGTTTCCTTAGATTAAGCAAAAACCGAAGCATCTGGAAGAACATTTAAAAAACTTAGTTAGTTGGGTTTGAGATGTGCATTACACATCTTTAAAGAGACAATGAGAACACTTAAATAATCAATATTGATTTGTCTGCCCTTTTCTATCAGTGTCACTTCCACTAGATTCTCTCTCTGGTCAAGACTCAAGATAATCAGATTTTTAACAAACAATCTACCCTGTTTAGTAATCCTTTGAGCATCTTTAGTATGATTTTTATGCTAAAAGTGTCTATAGCTCACCTTAATTTGATTTATGCTTGACTCTAGAGAAGGAGTGTAGTGAATTTTTATAATTTTATGTTGCCTTGGAATCTATTTGAAATATAAGTTTAATTTTCTCATACAAGAAACGGGCTTAGTCACCCTTAAAACAGTTTCCAGGCTTGCAGCACACCTTCATGGCTCAAGTCAGTGGCCACAGATAAGAATTTAGAAGCACCTTTCCCATGAGCAGACTTGATTCCCTGCTTTCCTAACCCTTCCTTTAAATGGACATTTTAAGTGTTTGCTCCTGCCGTTTAAACTGTCCCACACCCTACTCTTATATATAGAGAGAGAGAGTAAATATGTGTATACACACGTATATTGCTAGTGGCTACATGCTTCTCTCTCCCTCTGCTCACTCTTCATTCTTGCCTCTCATGACCCAAGATGGAGACTGCCCTCATGACTATGTCCTACTTGCCCAGGGTTTGAAAGTAAAAATCTTTTAACTTGCTTCCTACTGTGGTGTTGTGTTGAATTTGTACCCTTTATTTAAAGAACAAGGGACTACCCTAGGCTGCTGTTTTCCAGAATGCTGGAGATGGGTACCACAGAGTCAGGCTCCCAGCACCAGAGAAGTAATCAAGCATGTGTAAACTGTCATGGGAAAGACAAGAGCCATGAGGGCATTTACCAGTATCAAGTTTCCCTAATGAAAGATGCCATGGTCATAGGTCAGACAAAGAGACATGAATCCGTCTGTCAGGTAAAAGAAGTATTCCATGAAAGTCATACCAGAAAACACCATGTCCAGTTCCCCTTCAGTTCTTGTTAGGACAGGGTTGCTAGCCACTCTTGTACTTCTGCACTGGAACCTCAATTTAGCTGGGGACCCCCAAAACAAGGAGGAAGTGGGAAGCAGAAAAGTCTCATTTAATCTCAGTATACTAATTAGGGGAATTTCCCCTACTGAATTGAGATTCTGAAAGACAAGTAGTACGTTCTATTCATCTTTATTCCCCATGCCTAGTAAGATGTGAAAAACATTAAGGACTTCCATATGTTTTCCAGAATTCAAGTACACATTTAATACTTACACGTAAAATATATTTAATCAGTTCATAAAAGGGTTTGGTTTACATTAACAAATAATAATATCTGTAGCACTCATAGTATAGAAATTGGAATTATCTACTCAGGTGCAGCCCTAAATATTCATTAGAATACTCTGGTGTTTGTCAAAGACTTTGTGTTTTACTTTGTAAATTCTTTTCATAACTGGAATGAAGAGCTTCTTTTCAAAATAATAAAAACGTGACACCACTTTAATGATTCAGCCAAATAGTATTTTGAGTGCTCAGTGAAAAGTTACAATAATAAAGTTGCTAAAATAAAATTTGCCTTTTTCTCTGAAGCATGCTTGTGTGTCACTATGCCATTGTTCAAGTGCTTTTTAAAAGGAACTATCTGATTGTGATGACATGTGCTAAAAAAAATCTATGCTTTCAAGCTATAAGAAAATTAATCAAAACATTACGGTCTCCTATTTTATGGCAGTAGCTTCAGTGCTCTTCAGGAAGAAATATACATCACTAATTTATACAATATTGCCTAACAATCTTGTGTCTTAAAGTGTTTAGCTGATTATTTAAATGTGTATCTAACATGCAAAAAATTATAAGACAGAAACCAGGCACTAGTGTGTTTATTCTTAGGCACACAGTTAGAACTCTTAATTGGTCATTTGTAGATAGTCACTGAGAACTTATTATGTAGTGTGATAATTACTAGTCTACACTACAAGTTTTGGTCTCTTGGTTTGATTTCCCTGGGAACTCTGAGATGGAATTCTCAGTTAAAGCCTCCGCCAACCCTACAAGAAACTCTGAAGCAGGAATGATTCTTCGAAGTTTTCCCAAACAGGGAAAAAATCAAGACATTTTTACCTCAAATAGATCAGCTACTGGATAAAGGCCAACCTGAGAAAGGAACATGCCCTTTAATGAGGATGTTCTTTCCAACGAGGCAATTCCCAAAGGATTTTAAGAAGTAAGGGCTATCTGCCATAAGCTGGGAAAATGGAATAGATGATAGATAAGTCGATAAATCAATCGATAGCTACTAGCTAGATAGTTAGCAAATTATTATTGCATGTAGCTATCTATTTTAAGAATAAAATTACATTACAAAAATTAATTCTTATTAGTAAAACAGAAAGATCTGGTTTATCCCTCAGTGGGCTATACTATTCATGTTTTAATTAAATTTTTTAAAGGTATAGACAAATTCTGCATTGGTATTTTTTATGGGAATGGTTCTATGAGAGTTGGTCAAATTAATATATTTGACCATTCTTGCTAAAGGTAATGGACTTATATCAAACCTTAAGTAGAAATGAAAATGTAAATGTATATGTGAAGTACAGATTTGAGTATCCAGTTGGTGATAATATCACTCTAAGTTAAAATTAGTTTCAGTTCCTCAAAATGTATGATTTTGACCTTCCTCAGAGTTCTCTTATGCAATTCATTTTATCTTTAATGAAAGAAGAATGTTAGACAGTTTTTAAGCCTCAGGAATCATAGATTTTGTCTTCTACATATTTTATTTTGTGGCTTGCCCCAACTAGGGAAAATTACCAAGTGATTAATTATTTCTATAATTCTACACTGTATAATTATTGTCTATGACTTTTTAATCAAGTATTTTTTGTGAATAATTTTATTTAACCTAGTTGTTTATTAGTAATCATTTGAAATTTTAAAATGTATTCAGAATCAGTGGAGCATATTGGACATAATAAGCCAATATTATTATTAATTGTTACAATAATTTATATTTTATTCATTAGTAATTTCAGCATGAGAGCTGCTTTACATGCCATTTCACCATACAACCTGCTTTTAAAATGTACAATATTTTAAACAAAGGGATTCATTGAGTATATGACTTGAAAAAATTATAATATTAATAAATAATATTAACTTTCAAGTAAGTTTTCAGAAAGAGAACAACTTTGAAAATGATACTGACATTCAAATAAATATAACATTTTTTACTTAACCCAAGGTTAAGTTTTCTTGAAGTTGTTATTGCTAAAACCTAAAGTTAAGTTTTTGCTTGAAATTGTTATTGCTGAAATTGTTATTACTGAATTTAAATGTATAGCAGTAGATCAAATTTCATTCTTTAAAACTTTCTTCATGCCCATGACAAGAATACAGAACATGGCAGATTTCCTTTCCAAATTCCTGCAAACATGTCTTGCAGGCCTGGCAGCTCAGACAAATTTTGGAAAGCACACAAACTCTGTTACACACAATGGTAGTCAAAAAATGATTGCATTCTGCAGCTCTTTTTTGTCGCTCTTTGCCAATTTTCAAAGGGCCCCTTTTTATAGATGTTTGAAATTATTTTTTCACAAACAATTTAAACATTTTTAGAGAATGCATAGCTTTTAATGATATTTCTGTGAAATATTATAATTAGGGCCTTAATTAAATGGTGAAAAGTATAGGTAAATAACTCATATCATCAGTTATTGAAAAAATATACCTACAGCCATATAACTAACATTACTTAAAGGATCAATCTAGGATATTTTAGATAGCTTGTTTTGAAGTAGCACATTTATGGCAATACACTGAAACTATTTTATGAAATAAGAGATATGCAGAATTATTGGGACTTTGCATTTTTTACTATTATGCCATTCATAAGAATAACTGAAAGTTCTGTAAGACAGTTGTTATTGTTTTACTTATTTAGATAATATTACTGAATTTACAAGTATACAAATTTTAGCTAATGTTCTAATATATTCACAGAAGCCAAGTACATATCATTTTTAAACCAAAGGGTAGTATATTAAATTTTAAAGAAGGACCTATTTATCATTGTAAAAATTTAGAAAATGCTACATGCTATTGGTTTTAAACACTGATCTTTATGTTACATACACTTTTATGTGTATTTTTAAGGATTAAAAAATGAAAAACTTTCTGCATACATATAACTATTGTTTGACATTTTGCATTTAATTCACAAGTTATTTTCCAAGAATTTTTTCTTTACAATCAATTGATGTTTACCCCAATACTACAAATTAAAATATTATCCATCACTGACTTTTTTTTTTTTTTTTACAGAGTTTTCAATTAACTTTCAGGGATGATAAAGCAAAATAAATTGCTGCTACTGAAATTCAATTTAATAGGTGTGTTTTTTCATTTTCCAGTAAACAATAAACCAGGTATTTGAAATACAGATCAAAGTGAACGTAAGATTGTCAAAAATACACAGTAGCGCCCCCTCCCCCCTTATTTCCTCCTTCACTTTCTGTGGTGTTAGTTACCTGTAGTAAACCATGGTCTAAAACTTTTAAATGGAAACTTCCAGAAATAATTCATAAGTTTCAAATTGTGCGTTTTTGAGTAGTATGATAGAATCCCACACCATCCCACTCAGTTCTGCCCACTAGTCAATTATCCCTTTGTTTAGTGTCCATGCTGTATGCTACCTGACATTTTAGTACACAGTTATCTTTTAGCAGTTGTCTGGGTTATCAGATCGACCCATCACAACAAGGGTGAGTAAAATACGATAAAACATTTTGTAGAGGTAGAGACCACACTCACAAAGTTATTATAAATGTTCCATTGGTAATTATTATCTTAGTTAATCTCTTACTGTGCATAATTTATAAAGTAAACTATCTGTAGAAATATATGTACATGTAGGAGAAAATATAGTTTATATAGGATTCAGCTGTATCCATGGTTTCAGGCATCCACTGAAGGCCTTGGACCGTATTCCCTGTAGGTAAGAAGGGACTAGTGTATAACTCAGAGAACAAATGTTCACAGTCTTAACAATTTTAAACCTCTGAAAGAGTAGCATTTCAATTCTAAATTAATTATTTTGAACAGTTATTACTGTAACATTTGATTTACATTCTAAAATGTAAAGTAGTAGCCAAATAATAGAAAAGTCCATATTTTTCACGGGAAATTGTTTTGAAAAAAATTGGAGTCACATATATTTAAATGCCACAAAAAAGGAAATGTTAAAGCTTTTGTTTTCTTAATAAAGTAGCCATGTTTTCTTAGTTTAAATATTTGATTTCAGAAATTTTACAAATAGGTTCTAAAAGTGTGATTTTGTGTTTAAATTTTCTTCTGTTTTGACTTCATAGGATTTCTTGAGTCTATGATTTGTTGTTTTATGAAATCTTTGAAAATTTCTCAGATGTTCTCTCTTTGAACATTGTTATCTACAGCATTCTTTTTCTCCTACTGTGAGACAATATACACTTATATGAAAAGCTTATGCTGTTTGCTTGATAAATCTTTGGCTCTTTTAATCAAACATTTTTATAATTTTTGCTCTCTATGTCTTAGGATTGTTATTTTTTATTTATCTGCTTTGTAGTTGGCCTATTATCTTTTCTTCCATGAAAAACCTTCTGTTATATCCCTCTATTGAATTCTTAATTTCAAATATTGCACTTGCCAGTTCTAGAATTATATGTGTGTGTGTATATATATATACACACACATATATATTTTTAAAATATATATATTTAATATATATATAATTTAAATATATATATTTAATATATATATTTAAATTTAAATATATATATTAAATATATATTTAATATATAAATATATATTTTAAATATATATTTAATATATAAAATATATTTAAATTTATATACATTTTTAAATATATATTTTATACAAAATATTTTATATAAAAATTTATATATTTTTAAAAGATATATATTTAAATATTTTTAAAATATATATATTTTATAATATATAATTTATATTATAATGTGTACATAATATATATTATAATATAATATATATAATACTGTATATTATATTATATATATTATAATATATATTATTATATATTATATTATATATAATATAATATATATTATAATATATTATATTATACATATTATAATGTATTATAATATATATTATATTATATATTATAATATATATTATATTATATATTATAATATATATTATATTATATATTATAATATATATTATATTATATTATATATATTATAATACATATTATAATACATATTATATAATATATTATAATATGTATTATAATACATATTATATAATATATTATAATATATTATATATAATAATATATTATAATACATATTATATATAATATATATTATGTATATTATATATAATATATATTACAATGTATATTATGTATATTATATATATTATATATCATATAATATATATTATATATAATATGATATATAATATATATTATATAATATATTATATGATATATATAATATGTATTACATGTAATATATATCATAATATATATTATATAATATATATTATATATTATATATATTTAAAGTCTAGTTATCACCTAAATATCTGCATGCTTCTTTTTATTTCCTTAAATAGATTAATCACACAGTCTCCATCTTTTGTAACATAAATAATGGATAATCTGTCTGTTCCTATTGTCTGTTTTTACTCCTGATCCTGTTTCTTGGTAACTTGCAATTTATCACTTGAAATCAGATATTATCAATGATAAACTGTTAAGTTTATCTATGACATTATTTTCCTCAACAGAAATGTTGCTATTTTAGAAATATAAAGTGTGAAATATAAAGTGTTATTATATCACTTCCATTCAATCAGAAAACTGATTTGAGGCTTGGTAGCATGTTTTAAATATGTATCTGGCTGTCTCCATTTCTCCTAAGTAACCCTCCTGAATTTACAGCTGATATGGCATTTGGTAAGGTTTATATCCTTGTGGAGTCTGAACTGAAATGTAACTCCTCAGTATCATTAAGATTGCAGAGAACTTGTTTTTTTCTTTCAGTGTCTTACAGTTTTTATTCTTATCCTTAGTAATTACACTGTGTAAGAATTAACCAAATGTCTAATGGAGAAAACTCATAGAGTATTTGACTTACTTTCCTACACTTCTGTTATCCCTAAGATCGTGTGCTTCTCTCCCACCCCAAATGCTGACTGCCTTGTCATTTCTTAACTAAAAATTGTATTTCTCCAGGACATGGAAGAGACAAATCTTCTGCTGATTCATTTGTTGCTTATAATAACCTGCCTAGGACTTCTGCATAGATTCTCAGAATCTTCCTATACTATAATCAACAAACACACTTAAGGAAAAATCACCTTCAGAATGTTAGCACCTCATTATATGGATTTCTTCACTACAGTGTGTTTTCTTGCTCAGGCCTTATTTGCCACTGCATTTCTCTGAAAGATATACATCTATTATTTCATTTAGCTTTTCTACATATGTTCACCAAGATCATTGCTCTGATTAAAGTTGTTCTATCATTGCTAAAAAGAAAATGTTCTTCATAGTGTTTACTGGAGAACAGAAGGAAGAAAGAAACAAAGAGAAAGAATGTGTTGCACCTATGTAATGACTCCTTTTTGACTACAAAATTGGACTTAGTTTTATTTTAGACGATTTCATTGTCTTTCTATTTTTACAATATCTAACCTGAAATTTTGTGTGTGTGTGTGTGTGTGTGTGTGTGTGTGAGAGAGAGAGAGAGAGAGAGAGAGAGAGAGACAGAGAGAGAGACAGACAGAGAGAGAGAATCAGGAATTAGCTTTTGAAATCTGTATAGCACAAAATTTTAAGTCGTAATTAGGGTGCCCAAGACATTCTAATTTTTCTATCTCTGGGCACATAATATGCCCTAACTTAACCACTTTCTAGGCAAGGTAATATGTTTTAGTTAATAAAATATCTGCAGAAATATATTTGTAATTTCCAGGAAGAATTTTTAAGAGCCAGTATGTAATTTGTCAGAATGTTTTTCTTGGAGCCATATCAATCAACAAGATTCTAAATGGTAGTTTATTGGCTAGTCTGCATCTAGGAATGAAAATAAAAAAAGATTAGAATCCCATTTATCTGGTAATATGAATGCAGCATGAGCGAAAAATAACTGTTGCTCTTTTTGGTGATTTATACCTTACAGTGCAACCTAGTTTATCCTGAGTGAAATAGAAGTTGACCTCAGTGGTGAAGAGCTGTGATTGCTAATAACAGATCACATATGGTATTGGAGTGTGATCAAAGTGGACTGTGGTCAGAAAACTGTTTCTGTAGTTTACTAAAATGAACTTCCAGGTTAGGCAGTGGCAAAAAGCTGATCAAATTTTGCCAGCAACAAATTGGGAATTTACTGTGGCATATTATGTAAATGTAGCATTCACATAAATAGTAAATGTGTAACTTTAGGGGAAAATATTGAAAACACAATTACAGAAGCAATATTTTTAAATAACTGCACTAAATACATCAAAAAAATAAGTGACACTTTTGAAAATTCTCAGGCATAGCTGAAATCTCACTAAAGAAATAATCAAGTCTATCATTGTTGGACATTTTGCTTGGTTGCAAGTCTTTGCTATTGTGAATAGTGCTGCAATAAACATACATGTGCATGTGTCTTTATAGCAGCATGATTTAGAATCCTTTGGGTATATACCCAGTAATGGGATGGCTGGGTCAAATGGTATTTTTAGTTCTAGATCCCTGAGGAATCGCCACACTGACTTCCACAATGGTTGAACTAGTTCACAGTCCCACCAACAGTGTAAAAGTGTTCCTATTTCTCCACATCCTCTCCAGCACCTGTTGTTTCCTGACTTTTTAATGATCACCATTCTAACTGGTGTGAGATGGTATCTCATTGTGGTTTTGATTTGCATTTCTCTAATGGCCAGTGATGATGAGCATTTTTTAATGTGTCTTTTGGCTGCATAAATGTCTTCTTTTGAGAAGTGTCTGTTCATATCCTTTGCCCACTTTTTGATGGGGTTGTTTTTTTCTTGTAAATTTGTTTGAGTTCATTGTAGATTCTGGATATTAGCCCTTTGTCAGATGAGTAGATTGCAAAAATTTTCTCCCATTCTGTAGGTTGCCTGTTCACTCCAATGGTAGTTTAAGTGTGGCACATATGCACCATGGAATACTATGGAGCCATAAAAAATGATGAGTTCATGTCCTTTGTAGGGACAAGGATGAAGCTGGAAACCATCATTCTCAGCAAACTATCACAAGGACAAAAAACCAAACACCGCGTTTTCTCACTCATAGGTGGGAATTGAACAATGAGAACACATGGACACAGGAAGGGGAACATCACACACTGGGGCCTGTTGTGGGGTAGGGGGAGGGGGGAGGGATAGCATTAGGAGATATACCTAATGTTAAATAACGAGTTAATGGGTGCAGCACACCAACATGGCACATGTATACATATGTAACTAACCTGCATGTCATGCACATGTACCCTAGAACTTAAAGTATAATAAAAAAATAAAAATAAATAAAAATAAAAAGCATTACAAAAAAAGAAATAAACAAACATTTTGGAACCAAAAAATATTAGTTCCATAAGAATTTTAAAAATTTGAGTTGGTATCAAATTATACACAGCTAAAAATCCTATCTAGTATACCAGAAAAGAGATACTAAAGAAATATTCCAGTTAAAGCACAAAAAGACAAAAAGTTGGAAAATGTGAACAGTTATATGAGAGACATACGGGAGAAACCGAAAAGATTACTTATGCAATTAGAATCCTAGAAGAATAATTCCAGTTGATGCAGAAGCATTATATTAAATGATATTAATAAATACACATAGTGTATATTTAAGGTGTATAAAGTGATGTTTTGATATACATATACATTGCAATCAAGCTAATTAATCTATACATCATTTCACATATTAACCATTTTTCCTTTTCATTGAGAACTCTTACAATCTAATCTTAGAAAATTTCAAGTATGAAATACATTATTGTCAACTATAGTCAATCTGCTATACATTAGATTGCCAGAACTTAGTCATTTTATAACTGAAAGTTTGCACTTTATGACCCAAATCCTCATATTTCTCTCATACACCTAACCCCTGACAACCACTGTGCAAACATTCAATTTGACTGTTTTAGATTCTGCATATCAGTAAGACCATGCAGGACTGTCTTTCTGTGTCCAGGTTATTTCACTTAGCATAATGTCTTCCAGGTTCATCCATGTTGTCACAATTGACAGGATTTTTTAAGGGCTAAATAATATTTCTGTATAATAATTTCAAAATAATATTCCTGTTTCCATATCTTGACTATTATGAATAATACAACAATGAAAATGTGACCCAAGATGTCTTCAACATGCTACTTTCATTTTCATTGTATACACATCCAAAAGTGGGATTGCTGGAAAATATGGTGGTTTTTTTTTTTACTTTTTAAGGAACCTTCATACTATTTTTCATAATGGCTATACCAATTTACATTTACACTAACAGCATATAAAAGTTCCTTTTTCTCCACATCCTCAACAACACTTGTTACCTTTTTTCTTTTTTATAAAAGCCATCTTAATGTTGTGAGTTCTTATTTCTTTGTGATTTTGATTTGCATTTTTTTGATGATCTCTGATGTTGAGTACCATTTTATATGCCTGTCAGACTTTTGTATGTCTTCTTTGGGAAAATGTCTCTTCAGATCTTTTCCTCATTTTTAAATCAGGTCATTATTATTATATTTTGCTATTGAGTTTTGTGTGTGTATATAAATACACATACAACTTTCTTATATATTTTAGATATTAGGCTTTTATTGGATATATAATTTGCAAATATTTTCTCCCATTCCATAGGTTTCCTTTACTGATTGTTGTCTCCATTACTGTGTGGAAACTTTTTGGTTTGATGTAATCACAGATATTTTTGCTTTAGTTGCCTGTGCTTTTGGTGTTATACCCCCCCAAAAAATTCAAAGAACTTTTTACGTATGTTTTCTTTGGATTTTTACAGTTTCAGGTTTTACATTGAAGTCTATGCATTGATTT
This sequence comes from Homo sapiens, assembly GCF_000001405.40. Lineage (NCBI taxonomy): Eukaryota > Metazoa > Chordata > Mammalia > Primates > Hominidae > Homo > Homo sapiens. Next base: position 194,486,580 of record NC_000001.11, read on the forward strand.
TTGTGTATGATATAATATAAGGGCCCAATTTTGTTACTTGGCATCTGAACATCCAGTTATCCCAATGGCGTTTAACAAAGACACTGTTCTTTCACCATTGTGTATTCTTGGCACTTTTGTTGAATATTAGTTGAATGGATATATATATATATGGGTTTGTTTCTGTGATCTTTATTGTGTTCTGTTGCTCCATGTGTCTTTTTTTATGCCAGTACCACACTGTTTTGATTACTATAGCTTTGTGACATTATTTGAAATCAGGTAATGTATGCCTTCAGCTTTGTTCTTGTTCTTAAGTTTCTTTGACTATTTGTGATCTTTTCTGGTTGCATATAAGTTTTAGGATTGTTTTCTGTTTCTGTGAAAAATGCTATTAGAATTTTGATAGGAATTGCATTGAATCTGTAAAATCTGTAGTACAGACATTTTAATAACATTAATTCTTTCAATCCAGAAGTATGTGATATCTTTACATTTGTTTGTGTCTCCTTTAATTTTTTTAATCAATGTTTTATAGTGTTCAGTATACACATCATTCACCTCCTTTGTTAAGTTTATTCCTAAATACTGACAATCCTGACTTAGAAGGGCTCAACTTACAATGTTCTCGACTTATACGATGGGTTTATCAAGATATAACCTTTTGTAGGTCTAGAGGAATCTGTATACATTCTTTTGTTTTTCATTATAGTAAATGGGATTATTTTCTTAATTTCTTTTTTAGGTATTTTGATGTCTCTTCCTCTGACATGTAAATGGCAGTTTCTGTGGTTGTTATTGTGTTTCTGTTCCTCTCATGGGTGTGCACTGTGGGTGTGTGTGTGTGTGTGTGTACAATATAACTTGTCATTTTAACTCACAGAAATCTGTGTCAAAACAAGCCACATCTGAGCTTAATGCAGAGATTTTCTTAAATCAAAACGGCCACATATTATACAAAAGTCCACGATATTGAGCTGAATGTTCTCACTATAAGAAACTTTTTCTTTTTGTTTTTCTTTTTCTTCTTTGGAGATGAGTGTATTTTGAATGGGGAAAAGAGAATGAACCAAGTGGTGTTTGATGAGTTGAAGGGTGGATGACAGTAAGAATTATTATGTGCAAAAATTGTATTTTTCTTTATTTCTAGGCATGAGGTAAAATTGTACCTCCTAACTACTCCCCAGTTGTAAGGTTTGGCTAAGTTGTTTATTTTGTCTAGTAAAATGCAATTGGAAGCTCCATCAGTTACTTCCAGTAGGACCTTCAAGTGTCAGTGCATTGGTGGCCATGGTCTTCCTTCCCTCCCTCTATGATTATTGACCATCTTTCTAGAAGGAGTTCTTTCAAGAGTCTGATTATCCAAAAGAGGACATCGTAAAAACATATAATTAGTTGAACTGTGCAGCAGTGAGATCCAGAAAACTTAAAAATAAATATTTTTTGTAAATGATGAAAATTCATATTTTTCTTTTTGCTTTTATTATTTTTTTAATTGACACATAATAATTGTACCTACTTTGTGGTACAGTGTGATATTTCAAAAATACATGGAACATTTCACAAATCTGTGTCATCCTTCTTCAAGGGCCCTGCTAATATTTTCTATATCATTCACATTTTTGTATATACCATCAAAGTAAGCACTCTTTACTGTTTTAAAGCCCTAAGATTTGGAGTTAATAATTAACACAGAAAAATATAACCCATCTTTACTGATATGTGAGCATACATTGTTTTATTGTGCTTTGCTTTATAGTACTTTGAAATCACTGCATTTTTTAAAAAAAGAAATTAAAATTTTGTGGCAACCCTGCCTGGAGGAAGACCATATGATCTATTTATTTTTCAATAGCATGTGCTCACTTTGTGTCTCTCTGTCACATTTTGGCAATTCTGACAATATTTCAAATATTTTCATTAGTTTTATATTTGTTATGGTGATCTGTGACTGATCATAGATGTTGCTGTCATTTGTAATTGTGTTGGGGCAGTATGAACCATGCCCATATAAGATGGTGAACTTAATTAATAATGTTGTATGCATACTAAATGCTCCGCCAATCAACCAGTTTCACATCACTCTCCCTCTTTGTGGGCTGCCATACTCCCTAAGACATGACAATATTTCAATCAGGCCAATTAGTCCTACAATGGCCTCAATGTTTTCCAATAAGTCTCTCAATGTAAATAAAAAGCTAGAAGTGATGATTAACCATTGTGAGGAAGGTATGTTGAAAGCCAAGGTACGCTGAAAATGAGGCCTCGTCTCCAAAAATGTTAACCAAGCTGTGAATGCAAAGGAAAATTTCTTGAAGGAAACTAAAGTTGCTATTTCAATGAACAAAGGAATAGTAAAAGAATGAAATAGTCTTATTGATGATATGCAGAAAGTTTGAGTGGTCTAGGTAAAAGATCAAACAAGCCACAACATTCTCTTAAGCCAAAGCCTAATCCAGAGCAAAGCCCTAATGCTCTTCAATTCCATGAAGGTTGAGAGAGGTGACTAAGCTATAAAAGGAACACTGGAAGCTAGCAAAGTTGTTTCATGAGGTTTAAGGGGAGAAGCTGTATCCATATCATAAAAGTGCAAGGTGAAGCAGCAAGTCTTAATGCAGAAGCTTCAGCAAGTTATGCAGAAGATCTGGCTGCGATAATTTATGATGGTGGCTACAATAAACAACAGATTTGCAATGTAGAAAAAACAGCTTTATACTGGAAAAACCTACCTTCCATAATTTTTGTAACTGGAAAGGAGAAGTCAATGCCTGGTTTCAAAGCTCCAGAAAACAGGCTGACTCTCTTGTTAGGAGCTAATGTACTTGGTGACTTTAAGTGGAAGCCAATTCTCATTTATCATTATGAAAATCCTAGAGCCCTTAGGAATCTACTCTGCCTGTGCTCTAGAAATGAGGCACAACAAAGCCTTGATGACAGTATATCTGTTTACAGCATGGTTTACTGAATATTTTAAACCCACTGTTGAGAGCTACTGCTCAGAAGAAAAGATACCTTTCAAAACATTACTGCTCATTGCCAAAGCACCGGGTCACCCAAGAATTCTTATGAAACAGTGTAAGCTGATTAATATGTTTATACCCATTAACAAAGCATCCATTCTTCAGCCCATGGATGAAGGAGTAATTTTACTTTCAACTCTTATTATTTAAGAAATACACTTCATAAGGCTATAGCTGTCACAGGCAATGATTCCTCTGATGGACTTGTGCAAAGTAAACTGAAACCTTCTCAAAAAGATTCACCATTCTAGATGTCACTAGGAACATTTGTGATTCATGGAAGGACGTCAAAATATCAATATTAACTGAAGTTTGAAAGAAGTTAATGCCAATTGTCATGGATTATTTTGAGAGCATTCAAGATATCATTGGAGGGAGTAACTGCAGACCAAGAGAGACAGAATTAGAAGTGGAGCCTAAATAAGAAACTGGAGTGCTGCAAACTAATGATAAATCTTGAACAAATGAAGAGTTGCTTCCTATAAATGAGCAAAACGGTGGTTTCTTGTGATGGAATCTACCCCTAGTGAGGATTTTGTGAACATTGTTGAAATGACAACAAAGTATTTGTATTATTAATACATAAAGGTAGTTGATAAAGGAGTGGCAGAATTTGAAAAAATAGACTGCATTAGTGAAAGAAGTTCTACTGTAGGTAAAATGCTATCAAACAGCATTGCGTGCTACAGAGAAATCTTTAATGAAAAGAAGAGTCAATTGATGCAGCATACTTTGTTGTTGTCTTATTCTGAGAAATTGTCACAGCAAACCCTACCTTCAGAAACCCCCACACTTATCAGGAGGCAACCATCAATTTTGAGGCACTGCTCTCTACAAGCAAACAGTATAGGATTTGGCTGAAGACTCAGATAACCATTAGCATTTTTTAGCAATACCATATATTTTATTTTATTTTATTATTATTACACTTTAAGTTTTAGGGTACATGTGCACAATGTGCAGGTTAGTTACACATATATACATGTGCCATGTTGGTGTGCTGCACCCATTAACTCGTCATTTAACATTAGGTATATCTCCTAATGCTATCCCTCCCCCCTCCCCCCACCCCACAACAGTCCCCAGAGTGTGATATTCCCCTTCCTGTGTCCATGTGTTCTCATTGTTCAATTCCCACCTATGAGTGAGAACATGCAGTGTTTGGTTTTTTGTCCCTGCGATAGTTTACTGAGAATGATGATTTCCAATTGCATCCACGTCCCTACAAAGGAGATGAACTCATCATTTTTTATGGCTGCATAGTATTCCATGGTGTATATGTGCCACATTTTCTTAATCCAGTCTATCATTGTTGGACATTTGGGTTGGTTCCAAGTCTTTGCTATTGTGAATAGCGCCGCAATAAACATACGTGTGCATGTGTCTTTATAGCAGCATGATTTATAGTCCTTTGGGTATATACCCAGTAATGGGATGGCTGGGGCAAATGGTAGCAATACCATATTTTTAAATTAAGGTATTTTCACTGTTGATTTGTAGTTGTGTTGGGAAACTATGAACCATGCCCATATAAGATGGTGAACTTAACTCATAATGTTGTATGCATACTGAATGCTGTTAAACACTTAGCAGACTGTGTAGCATAAACATAACTTTGATATGAACGTGGAAACAAAAAAAAAAGAAATTAGATGAACGTCTTTATTGAATATTTGAATATTTACTTTATTTGAATATTTGCTTTATTGTGCTGGTCTGGAACCATGTGGAACAATGTGTCTGAGGTATGCCTATAACTATCTTTTTTGGTTGATACTCAATTTTTCCTAAAATTAAAAATTTCTGAAGTATTGGAATATATTGCGATGCTATTCCTTTAAGGTGGAGATTTTTTTAATAAACACATTAGTTATATGAATGCAAACAAACACACAATTGCATGTGTGTGCACACACACACACAACACACCCCATAATGTTGAAATACACACCCAAATGGGTAAAAAACTGCATCTGTATATTTTTAAAATGTATATTTTTAAAATAAGCATTTCTATTATTAGATATCTTAGAATATGTTTATATTTAAACTTAAGTTTGATATTTTTAACAAGTTTTCTCCAAAAGTATTAATTTCTGGCTTGTGTTTTCTATAAATACAATGAGTCTGTTTTCTCCTTTGTTTTACTTTGTGTTTAAATTTTTAAAAAGATAAAGTCAATAAGGGTATTTGGGGAATATATTGGACTAAGACTGGGTTCATCATTCTGTGTTTCTTTCAATTGCCCACTCTGTCACCTCCACAAATGAAATAAGTGTATCCTAACATTAGAACCAATTTCTCAGAAGCATAAGAAATGTTTGTCCCAGAGAGAGCCTAGAGAAATGACCATCATTTTCTCTTTTTTTTCCTTTTTTTTCTTTTTTTTTTTTTTGGAGGCGGAGTCTCACTCTGCCACCTAGTTTGGAATGCAGTGGTGTGATCTCAGTTCACTGCAACCTCCACCTCCCAGGGTCAAGTGATTTTTGTGCCTCAGCCTCCCAAGTAGCTGAGATTACAAGCATGCACCACGATGCTGGGCTAATTTTTTTGTATTTTTAGAAGAGACGGGGTTTCACCATGTTGGCCAGGCTGGTCTTGAACTCCTGACATCAGGCGATTGGACTGCCTTGGCCTCCCAGAATGTGGGTATTACAGGTGAAGATAGGCTTTTAAATCCTGGGATCAGCAGTCTTGGAAGAAGCCAAGTTTGGAGAGAAGCTATGGGGTACTACAAAGAAGTTATTCATGTACAAAGTTAGGAAAAGCAAGAGTTAACATTTATTAAAGCGCAGGTTAAAAGGATAGTGTTTTAGTTCATTTTCTGGAGCTTATAATAGAATAGCTGAAACTGGGCAATTTATAAAGAAAAAGAATTTATTTCTTACAGTTACAGAGGCTGAGAAGTCCAAGGTTGAGGGACACCAACTGGTGAGGGCCTTCTTGCTGGTGAGGACTCTTTGCAGAGTCCCCCATTGGCAAAGGGCATTACATCATGAGGGGGCTGAGTGTGCTAGCTCAGGTCTCTCTTCCTCTTCTTTTTTTTATTTTTATTTTTTATTATACTTTAAGTTTTAGGGTACATGTGCACAACGTGCAGTTTTGTTACATATGCATACATGTGCCATGTTGGTGTGCCACACCCGTTAACTCCTCATTTATATTAGGTATATCCCCTAATGTTATCCCTCCCCCCTCCCCCCACCAGACAGCATGCCCCAGGGTGTGATGTCCCCCCTCCTGTGTCCATGTGCTCTCATTGTTCAATTCCCACCTATGAGTGAGAACACGCAGTGTTTGGTTTTTTGTCTTTGTGATAGTTTGCTGAGAATGATGGTTTCCAGCTTCATCTATGTCCCTACAAAGGACATGAACTCATCATTTTTTATGGCTGCATAGTATTCCATGGTGTATGTGTGCCACATTTTCTTAATCCAGTCTATCATTGTTGCACATTTGGGTTGGTCCCAATGACCATCATTTTGTGTACAACTTAAGAAGTGTTACTAGCTGACATGAGAGCATCTTAGCACTATACAGAAGTGGCTGTCCTTAGCAGAACCCTGGAAGTCATCTTTGTACTGGCTATCTAATACTGATTTGACAGGAAAACATGATGGGTGACTATTCCCATGGCTGAGAGGATGATTGACTTACCCAGGTTTCATGTGTACACTCCTGACAAGAAGTAACCTCTCTACCTGGACTGATAAACATCTCAGTTGACTTTTCAGGAAATCCCCACTTCCCATCACTTGAACAGAAATGACTTCCTTAGATATACTAAAGCCTAACAAATATATGAAAATAGTATTCAACATCATTAATTATCAAGGAAATGCAAATTAAAACCACAGTAAAATACCACCTTACTGCTGCAAGAATGGCCATTACTAAAAAGTCAAAAAACAATAGATGTTACTGTGGATGTGGTGAAAAGGGAAATGCTTATCCACTACTGGTGGGAATATAAATTAGTACAGCCTCTGTGGAAAACAGGATGAAGATTCCTTAAAGAACTAAAAGTAAATTCTTCCATTTGATCCAGCAATCCCATTATTAAATATCTACCCAAAGGGAAATAAGTCATTATATGCAAAAGACACGTGCACTGCACACATATGTTTTTTGCAGTCCAACTCACAGTTGCAAAGATATGGAACCAACATGAGTGCCCATCAGCCAATGAATGGATAAAGAATATGATATATATATATATATAAAACATATATATGATATATATAAATAGCATTCCAAGATATACATATACATATATACACACACGTATATATACACATATATACACACACATATATATATATATACATATGCATATATATACACGTATGCATATATATACACACATATATATGTGTGTATATCATGGAATACTATTCAGCCATAAAAAGAAATAATGTACTTTGCAGAGACTTGGATAGAGCTGGAGGCTATTATTCTAAATGAAGTAATTCAGCAATGGAAAACCAAAAAGACTGTATGTTCTCACTTATAAGTGGAAACTAAGCTATGGGTATGCAAAGGCATACAGAGTGGTATAATGGACTTTGGAGACTCAGAAGGGGGAGGGTAGTAGGGGACTTTGGGATAAAATGCTACACATTTGACACAACATTCAACTACTCAAGCAACAGGTGCACTAAAATCTCATATTTCACCACTATGTAATTCACCTGTGTATCCAAAACCCACTTGTACCAGAAAAGTTATTGAAATTTGGAAAAATTCAAAAAGAAATAACTTGTATCATCTATTATATTCTAATTTACTAGCACCTGAAGCCAATGGAATTATTTACTACTAAGACAAATAAAGGAGGACCACCATAATTATAAAGCTTTGTTTAAAATATCCTAGTCAATTTTTTAAGGAACACAAATTAATGTATAAATATTCAGAATGGACAAAATTAATTTGTTAGAAAATAATAAAGGCCAAATAAAATATTTTATAAAATATTAAGATCATTTGGTATTGATTTTGATGAAGCTTTTATTTCTTATAGTTGGGCTTAATAGTTACAAAAGGAAATGAAAATATATCATTAAAATTCAAGCTACATATATACATATATATATATATATATATATATATATATATATATATATATATATAAACTCTATAAGTAAAATTTAAAAAGTATGATTCTGAATGAAATCCAAAATTTAAAGAAGGAAATAAATAAGGCCTAAAATATCAGACATATATTACTGGTTGGGAAAAATATTATAAAAATGTCATTTCTCATAAAATTAGTATGTACCTGTTGCAATTTAAGACGGAGATATCAACAGAGAGTTTTCTTAAATACAGAAGTGCATGAAAACCTGACTCAAAAAAATCTAATGCATTTTGAAAACTGTGTGCAAAATGGATCAGGAGAGAGAGAGAGACAGCGAAAAGGAAAATGCACTATACTGGTAAGCCATCAGATCTCATGAGAACTCACTCACTATCATGAGAAAAGCAAGAGAAATCCACCCTCATGATTCAATCACCTCCCACCAGGTTCCTCACCTGACATTAGGAATTACAATTCAACATATTTGGGTGGGGACACAGAGCCAAGCCATATTATTTCACTCCTGGCCCTTCCCATATCTCAAGTCCTTCTCCCATTTTAAAATACAATCATGCCTTCTCAACAGTCCCTTAATATCTTAACTCATTCTAACATTAACTGAAAAGTATAGCTTCAAAGTCTCGTTGGAGACAAGGCAAGTCCCTTTCCCCTATGAGCCTGTAAAATAAAAAACAAGATAGTTACTTTCAATATATTAATAAAATGGGGGTACAGGAATTGGGTAAATGCTCCCATTTGAAACGTGAGAAATTGGCAAAAACAAGGGGGGTTACAGGCCCCATGCATGTCAGAAACCTGGCAGGGCAGTCATTAAATCTTAAAGCTCCAAAATAATCTCCTTTGACTCCATGTCTGACACATAGGATATGCTGATGCAAGGGATGGCACCCACAGCCTTGGGCAGTTCTGTCTCTGTGTCTCTGAAAGGTAAAGCACCTGCAGCTTCTTTCACGGGCTCACACTGAGTGACTGAGGCTTTTACAGGTGCAAAGTGCATGCTGTAATTGGATCTACCTTTTTGAGGTCTGAAGGAGAGTGGCCCTCTTCTCACAGCTCCACTAAGCAATGACCCAGTGGGGACTCTGTGTGAGGGCTCCAACCCCACATTTTCCCCACACACTGCCCTAGTAGATGTTCTCCATGAGGTTTCTGCCCCTGCAGCAGACTTCTGCCTGGACATACAGATGTTTATTTCACAGAGCAGCAGGAAACCATTATTTCCTCCTAGGTCTCCAGGCCTGTGATAGGAGGGGCTACCTAAAAAATCTCTGAAACAACTTGGAGGCATTTTCCTCATGGTCTTGACTATTAACATTCAGCTCCTCTTTACATATGCAAATTTCTGCAGCTGGCTTGAATTTTCCAGAAAATGGAATTTCTTTTCTATCACAGGATCAGGCTGCAAAATTTTCAAATTTTTTACTCTGCTTCCCTTTTAAATATAAGTTTCAGTTTCAGATAATCTCTTTGCTCATGCATATGAGCATATGCTGTCTTGAATGCTTTGCTACTTGGAAATTTCTCTGTCAGATACTCTAAATCACTTCTCTCAAGTTCAAAGTTGCACAGATCTCTAGAGCAGGGGCACAACACTGCTAGACTTTTCGCTAAAGCATAGAAAGAGTGACTTTTACTCCAGTTCCCAAGAAGTTCTTCATTTCCATCTGAGACCACCTCAGCCTGGACTTCATTGACCATGTCTCTCTCAGCATTTTGGTCAAAATCATTCAAGAAGTCTCTAGCAAGTTTCACATCTTTCCCTCATATTCCTGTCTTCTGAGCCCTCCAAACTGTTTCAACCTCTGCCCAGTACCTGTTTCCAAAGCTGCTTCCATATTTTCAGGTATCTTTATAGCAATGTTCCACTTCTCTGGTACCATTTTTCTGTATTAGTTCATTCTCACACTGCTACAAAGAACTACCTCAGAGTGAGTAATTTATGAAGAAAAGGGTTCAATTGACTCACAATTCCATAGACAGTACAGAAAGCATGGTTGGGAGGCCTCAGAAAACTTATAATTATGGTAGAAGTTGAAGTGGAAGCAAGCACCTTCTTCACATGGTGGGGCGGGAGAGAGAGAGAGCAAAGGGGGAAGTGCCATACACTTTTAAACAACCAGATAACATGAGAACTCACTGACTATCACGAGAAGAGCAAGGGGGAAATCCACCACCATGATCCAATCATCTACCACCAGGTTTCTCCCCCAACATTGAGAATTATAATTCAACATGAGATCTGGGTGGGGACACAGAGCCAAACCATATCAATGTAGAATTGTGAAATCATTACTGCTACCAAGGTGTTAACCATATCCATCTGTCCTTCATTCTGCCCCTTCTGACATATACCTACTCATGTTCAGGCATCCACTGATCTGCATTTTATCACCATAGATCAATTTGCAGTTTCTAGAATTTTTGATACATTGAATCGTATGGTATTATTTTTTCTGACTTCTTTTACTTAGTTTTAAAGAATTTACTTATTTTTAAAGAATAAGTTCCACTTTTTAAATTGTTTTATGAAGCAAACGTTCTGTTTATATTTCAAATAATGCACATAACATATATTGATAGTATAAGGGTAAAAACAGAGTGTTGTTTTGTGGCTGTGATTTCAAGTTGGTAAAAATGTAGTTCTAATACAATGAAATTATAGAGTCAATTTCCTATGCATTTTTTTTCATGTGAATGTAGCAATAGGTTCACATGAGATGTATACAACAAATTCTCATGTCTTATCTCAAAAATGCATGGCTTTTATTTTAAAGCAAAATAGAAAAGGATATTGTAAGTAAAAGTCAAAAAAATACTGCTGCCAGTAAGATAAATTAGAATATGTACTCTCTTAATTTAACTTAGTAGTAAAGTCATCTTTCCCAATTATTTGAATAATAATAAAAAAAAGGAAATAAGAATAGCAAGGACGATTACGGATTGTAGTTTTGGAACATGGAATGAGTATTATGTACCAGATATGATTCTAAATGACAAACTTGTAATTTATTGTTCCCTCTTATAATTATGTGACATTTATTATGAATACAATTATTTAACATGTGAAGACACTGAGACAGAGAGAGGGTAACTATTTTTCCTAGGCCCATACTGGTAGTCACTGAATTGGTTTTGGCTCTTGGTAGTCTGGCTGCTGGGTTCAGGCTCCCAACCAGTATGTAATAATGTTGGTTAGCATGTTAATAAATATTTCTGGACTAACAATTAAAAAACGATTTTTGCCAAATGAAATTTGGTCTTAAGTCTTCATCTTCACTGACATCAGTTTTTACACACCAAATATCCTCATGTCACTACATGTATAATAGATTATAAAGAAAAATATATTTTTCCCATGCCCTTAGTTTTTCATTACTCTGAGGAAACAATCATGAGGATCATGGTGGTGGATTTCCCCCTTGCTCTTCTCGTGATAGTGAGTGAGTTCTCATGCTCCCTCTGGCTGCCTTGACAGAAGTTTCCAACTCCTAATTCAAGTCTTTACTCGGCTCTTCCCTGCATACACCTGTCCAGCTAGATACTACATGCTCAGCCTCTATTCCACTCAGCCATGGCTGGGTCAGTGTTTGCTTACCATGTAGACATGGGCAGAAGTTCAGCAACTTCTAGCTTATGTTTAAAAATAATATTTGCATGTGTCATTCCCTTCTCTGTTTCCCCACCTGCATGAATCAGGGCTTGATTGGAGCCATCTTACTTTTAGGTGTGTAAGGCAGAGCTGCTCTGCTGGCCCAGATCCCTGGGTCTTTGTGTAACAGAGACTGGCTATCCATATTGATTGGCCACAGTAGAGAGAAATAAATTATGTCCTGTCTGAGGCACTGTGCTTAGGTGTAGTTTGTGACTATGCAAAAAGAAGCAAATTTACCAATTATCCTGACTAATGTGCAGGAAATCATGAATCTCCTCAGAGATTTCTGCACATTTGAATACTTCCTCTTGCCCTTGAAATCAAAAAGAAATGGCAGCTCTAGAACACCAATAAATCACAGCTTCTCAAGAAGTAGAAATATGTAAATTTTCAAGGGGCCTTCTAAGAGGAGTTCATTTATTGCTTCACTATTTTGAGGCTTGATTTCTATTATTCAATGTAACATCTGTAATTTTCTTAATTTATATTAATATTGTGTAAAGATTTAAGACAAGTTTTCAAAGTTTACCTTTTGTGAGGATATTTATATTCATAATTTAAAAACAAACAAACAAAAAAAAACGGAGTCTTGCTCTGTTGCCCAGGGTGGAGTGTAATGGCATGATCTCGGCTCACTGCAATTCCACCTTCCAGGTTCAAGCGATTCTCCTGCCTCAGCCTCCCGAGGAGTTGGAATTATAGGCATGCACCACCATGCCTAGCTAATTTTTGTAATTTTTAGTAGAGACGGGGCTTCACCATGTTGGTCAGCCTGGTCTCAAACCCCTGACCTCAGGTCATCCACCCGCCTCGGCCTCCCAAAGTGCTGGGATTACAGGAGTCAGCCACTGTGCCTGGCCACATTCATAAATTTAAACTTAGCATTTCTTTTTTGTTTATTTCTTGCTACTTAGTATTGAATTTTTTAAATAAAGAATAGGTTTTATTTAAGCAAATCATGTCTGTCTTGAATAAGGCAAGTTATGTTGATCAAATCAAAATATATTCTATACACTTTTTTATTGAAACCAAGTGTATTTCCTGTACTCAGAATTTTATATAATAATGTTTCATAATATATGAGTTACATTCCTAAACTGTAATGTGTTTCTTCTAGGACTATAATTTTTATATTTATACAGCTGTGCAGAAAGCTACAGAATGTTTTTAGGTTTTACAAATCAGTATTAAAATATATACTCATTGAAATATAAAACAAGGTACAGAATAGAATAATTTTATTTTCATTACATTCACAAATTATTTAATATAGCATTTATCTGTTGAATAGTAGGGTCATAGAATATTTGCTATAGTTTTACTACCAAATAAGGCTTATGGTGAGGAATTGTTGTCTAGGTTTACACTTATTAGAATTTTGCTACATCCATTACTGCTATTAAAATTGAATAAGTCAAAGTTGCTGAAAGTAAATTAGAATCATTTTATACTTGTTATTAAAGTACGTACTAAGCATGAGTAACAATAAGCTAAGAGGTTCATATTTTTAGACTACACAAAAATATTTCATGTAATTTTAGAAATTATTTTAGTTGCCTTTGATTTTCCACCCTTACGATCTACATCAGGATCAGCAAGCCTTTAATTAAGATAATTCATGCAATACCATACTTATGATATAGGCATGGAGTATCTATTTTTATTTTTATTTATTTATTTATTTATTGAGATGGAGTTTGCTCTGTTGCTCTAGCTGGAGTGCAGTGGCAAGATCTCGGCTCACTGCAACGTCCGGCTCCCAGGTTCAAGCAATTCTTCTACCTCAGCCTCCTGATTAACTGGGATTACAGGCACGTGCCACCACGCCAAGCTAAATTTTTTTTTATTTTTAGTAGATACAGGGTTTCACCATGTTGGCCAGGCTGGTCTCAAACTCCTGACCTCAGGTGATCCATCCGCCTCAGCCTCCCAGTGCTGGGATTACAGGCGTGACCACTGTGCCAGGTCAGCATGGTGTATTTAAACAACAAGGTTCTGAGCTCTTCTTTAGATACTGCTTCTGAGATACATGTAATGGCATGGAACAGGCAGTCCTTGGCATGGCAAAATCAGTTTTATGTTCATTCTCCATTTTTGAAAGATTTTAAACTTTGTACCCACAATCTGTCATAAAGAGGAAAGTGATACCACAGAGCAAATATGTAGCTGCCTCAGCAAAGGACCAAAGAGAATACAGATTTGAAGGATTCAATTTAGTTAAACTGAGAATAGTGGCAATACATTATAGCCATAGAGAATATGTGGCATTACATATTGAAAGCATGGGCTTCTGAATAAATCAACTAATAATCAGTTAGTATTTTTGTAGAAATTAAAAGGCAATGGTATAAAGCATATAACTAAGGGTTTCAGAACTGGCAAATACTATGGAACCAAATCAATGAAGGGAAGAAAAAGTTAATTCACTCAAGAACACAAATATTTTCATAGCTGTGCTGATTAAACATCTTGGACATTCTCTTACTGAGGAACGACAGCCCAACATCACACCCATTGCAGATTTTTTACACTGTCATGCATAAACATATTTTATAAGTTGTATATAATTCTTTTGACAAATAGAGGTTCAATCATTTTAATAAATTCTTGTGTGTTTGTGACGATGTATGTTTATACTTTGTCTTCCTTAAGACTCAAGTTAAAAAAAATCCCTCTAAGAGCAATTAAACATAGAAATGGCTAGGCTGTGCAGATTTCTTGATTTTTAAAATAAGACCTATTATGTCAAAGCAATACAACTTAAATACATTCCTTTTTTATCTTTTTTAATGGAACACTTTATGCATTGTACCGTAGGGATATTTAAAAGTGATAAACAATTCTTATCTTTAAGGTGCTTTCAATTTAATTAAGAATATGGGGTAATGTGTAGTATATATTTGAACATTTTTTTAAATGCTACCAGTATTCAGAAAAAAATACAGAAATTGGACATTTTCCATGGAGAAAAATAAGATAACAGATTAAGTAACAACTGATTAAAACCAGAAAGAAATTTTGAGAATTAAATAATAAATAAGAAGAAAATTGTGAGAGTTAGAGAATGTGGTTTATCTCACCTTTTACAAAGTTTATTCTCTATTTTAGTTGTGCTAGGACCTAAATTACTGCATTTTTATCATGCTGTAAATCTAAACAATTCTATTAATTACTAATAAGAAGAAGGTCTAAGAATCATGCCATTACAAGTATATAAATTATGGAATGTATTCACTTACAGGTACAGATATTTAACCATAGTGTCTTAAACCTGAAAGGGTTTATTCTCTTGCGAATGAAAATACTAGTCCATGCCTGGCATAGGGCTCTGTGAAATTATCAGAACCCAGGCTCCTTTTATCTATTACTTGTGATTTCCTTAAGCGTGGTTACCACAGGTCCTGCTATTATGTATACTCCAGAGAGCAGGAAGAAAGAAGAAAAGAAAGAAAACTCAGTTCTATCTCCTTAAAGATGCATTCCTGAGATTCCCACATGAATCTTTTACTTAGAGTGTATTGGCTAGGACTTAACTTTATGTCTATTTTCATCACACAGGAGTTTTAATTGTGGGCAGCAAGGCATATTTTCCTTTTAAGTATCAATGTGTTCAGTGAGATATTTGGGTTCTTCTACAAATAAAGATGAGGGGAATGAGCATTGGAAAGCTACTTACCATTTCTGTCTGCAATAAGCCAATATCAAAGAAAAGAGTTGTGTCCATTTCAAGCCTATTAGCAAGAACCAAAGCCTCAAAGCCTTCAGATGGTTGAAGATCAACTTGCAAGTATCACTCATGTACAAAACTGAGGTTTGAGTGGATCTAAAAGAAAATCCTGATAACCCAAGTCCAGAAACAACGTAAATTTAGAGAAAGAAGCTAAATATATGGAATTCAAAAATGAACTTCAATACGGTTGAAAATTATGTTGGAGAAAGACATGAGTGTAAAATTGAATGCCTTCTACTTCTCCTGCAACTTGAGACCTTGATACTGTATTTTTTTTTTTTTTTTTTTTTTTTTTGGAGCCAGTGGTTTGTTTCACAGGGCAAATACACTTTCCCTTAATGGTCACCTATTACTGGATAGGTTGGAGTTAAAAAAAAAACTCCAATTTTTACAGATCTAAGATAAATGAGAGCTATATAAATGAAGAATGTGGACAAATTACTGCAATGTGTCTATTGGTAAAACTTTTAGTATAACATTCATACAGAAAACTGCATGTATATGATTCAAATAATTATCACGAAGTGGGCAGATCCAGATCTACAAATAGAAGATGGAAAACACTTTGTAAGTTTTCTACCTGTCTCTTCCTCCTCACTACCCACTCCCTCCCCAATCCTACTTATGTTCCTATTGATTTTCGCCTCTTTTGAACTTTATAAGAATGAAATCATTCAGCATGTGTTATTTTCTGTTTTGCTATTTTCACACAATATTTTCTTTGTATGATTCATATATGTTGCTTACATCAGTAGTTTATTTGCATTGTAGTGTGCTGTTATGATGTGTAACTATACCACAATATTTTAAAAATCAATTTTATGGTTGTTTTCAAATTTTGCTTTTGAAAATTACAGTTTTGCAATTCTTATACATTTTTGTACACACATATATACACATTTATTTGTCTTCATGACTAGTTTTGGAATTAATGAATCATTGAGTACATGTATATTCAGGTTTGAACCTGGCACACAATTTTCTAAAGCATCATATCAATTTATACTCCCAATACACACTTGTGTATGTATACACCCCACAGATGCTGTCAGTATTTTACTGACATTTTCAATGTGCTGTTGAAAATTTCAGATTGCTTGTATCTGCATTTTTATGCCTGAAGGTTTTTTAAAATGTGGAGATGGGGATGGTTAGTTGAGGGTTAGGTGGGTATTATTACCCCCTACAGCCACCTTTCACCTAATAGTTCAGAGGAGTTGGTCTCTAACTCCAGTTCACTGGTCCCTTAGAGGAGTTAAAAATTTTTGAGATATGTGTTGTGCCATTTCTCAGAGTTTCTTCACTAAATCAAAAGAGGAAGTAAAACATATCTGAGACTAAAAAAATTACCTTTTAGTGACTACTTGTTTCCTACTTATGACAAGCCAGCACCCAATTTACTCTCATCTATAGTCACTACTTAATCCCTGCTTTTTCTAATCCTGCTTTGAAAATGGCAACCAATTCAGAGCTGGTTGATCTCTGCTTCTTTTAGATGTTACTCAGAATCCTTCAGTAGAACCCGAGATCTTACGTAAGATGCTTCACTGCCCCTCTTCTTTAAAAGTTCTTCTTGTTTCCCCCCAAGTTACTTCTTTTACTGCATAGACTCAATAATGTCATTTTGTCACATTACCAATTGTCCCTGGGGTCTTTGACTGATTAAATTTTATCAGGATTGAACTTCAGTTGCCTATAATGGTGGCTGTCTAAGTTTAAGTGCCGTCTATCAGATGTTTCCCTTCTCTAAATCACTTTCACATTCTCCTACTGGCAATTCTTACCTAAAAACACAAACATCTTTTGCTAGAATCTTTTTTTCTCAGGATATGCATCTGGAGAACCCAAATGAAGAAACCATGTGTCTGTATACCTGTCCCAATGACCTATTGAGAAGTGTCCTCTTAAAACAGTAGACAGGGAGTGGATAATAAAAATGACTATGTATCTGTGCCCATGGGGCTAAGATAAAAATGAATAATAGCTACTTCCATTTTGGATAGATAGTAATAGAATACTGGAATATGCATAGCATGGAATAAACAATGTATGATTAAGTGAGGTAGAATTTACATGGTTCGGTTTGGGTAAGTGAGGATGTACGTATTGCCTGTCATTTGAGGGATTCTTAGGGAAGCTCCAGAGAAAACAAAACATTTAGAGGAAAGTCGGACAGAGCTTTAAAGCCAAAATTAACAGCATGTAATCATAATATAATTTATCTATTTTTATGATATTATAAAATCAAAATATAAGCCTATACCATTTTGTCTTCAGTTATAATAATGCAATGTAATATGTAGATAGAATTGCAGTTGTTTAATCAAGCAAAGTGCATAAGGCATGGATTTCCTTTAGTAAATATGTATGTATTCATTAACAGCTATGTTTTTACAGCTTTGGGGAATAATCAGTATCATATTACAGTATCTCATATTCAATATTTCACATATTTTACTGAAGTTAAATACATAATGCTAATCACTAATCTTTCCTGTAGCTACCACATAATTATATTGTTTGTTAATAGTAAGTAAAAATTATTAAACAACTTAAAGATAAAATTTAAAAATGTGGTAAGTGTAGTATTCTTCCAAGTTATTTACTGCTGTCCCCATAAAGGTTATCTATTTCTGCCTGCTGATTTGTGGCTTTCTGTGCTTTCCTATGCTGTTAGTATTGAACTTGGCGGTGAATTTTGCTTGGACTGATAAAAGTCAGCAGCACAAGGTAAGCCATGGCAAAATAGAAGCTTTAAAGGTCATTGAAAAGTTTCATACACTCTTGATTTTTCCCCCCTCTGACATAGTAATGACATATATAAATTATGAGAATTTCTTCAGTCTGGATATGGAC
The DNA here is from genome assembly GCF_000001405.40 of Homo sapiens. NCBI lineage: Eukaryota > Metazoa > Chordata > Mammalia > Primates > Hominidae > Homo > Homo sapiens. Next base: position 194,504,918 of record NC_000001.11, read on the forward strand.
TAAAGAAGGGATGTACTGTGTAGCTGTACCTGCAGCAAGTCAATCAACAGGCCAAGAAAGAGAGAGAGTAAAAGAGAGACAGACACACATGGTATTGAAGCCAACCGAGACTTGGTGTTTGCTTGATCCAACAGCATAACCTGGGGTAAACTCAATAAGTAAATGATGTATTGGGATGAATATTTAATGATGCTAATGCACACAGATATGAAAGATATCAAGTAAAATTTGTATCTGCACATTTCATCTAGTCAATCTTGAAGCATTTGATTTTCTTCGATATATGTAACACATAAAACACAAACAAAATATAGATTTACTAACCATTATTAGTTTAGCTTCATTTTATTTTCAAAAGGAAAGATGTATTAGGTTGGTGCAAAAGTAATTGGCAAAAACCACAATTACTTTTGCACCAACTTAATACATAAGAAAAGTTTTGGGTTTCCTGAGTTAACATTAAAGGAAACTTCTCTGAAAACCATCTTTCCATTGTCACTTTGGTGCTTGGCAACCACCATGGTAAGATGGCAGGTGGATAAGGAATATGTCTTTCTTTTCTAAAGGGAAAGCTGTCTAGTGTCAAAGGGCAAAGTGTAAATATAAAAGGGAAGAGAAAATGTAAAACAAGTGTCACGGAGAAAATAATCTTGACTCTTTCTCAGGCTGATAGATTTTTGAACTGAGTATGCAGGGAGGTTGAATATCTGGCAATATGTATCAATGTGTATGTGTATGTATATGTATGTATTTCAGCCTGGCTACATTTTGGAGTGTCTTCTCACAATCCCAGGGGCATGAACACCAATTTAAGACTCCTTATCTAGCTTATATATGCTTAAAAATGGAGTCTCTGGGTCAAAGAAAGTACAGATCAAATAATATACACCTACTAGTTATGTCAAACTATTTTCCACAATGATAGTCATCAGAACAGCAATTCATGAACATACCTTTTTCTCCTAGAATAAATTGGTTTTCTCAGTCTCCTAAGAATTCCAAAGCTCTTGTTTTTAAATCAATATTGTGGTTATAATGCAGTTTTATTTTCTCCAGTACTCAAATAATGAATCTTCTTAGGAATATGGCTTATATTGAGGATCTCCTGCTAATTGTTTGTCCTGGTCTAATTGGTATGTTTTCTCAATTAACGTTATTTTTAAGATACAAGTTCTCAAGTTCTTTTCTGTATAGTCTGGATTTGGGGGGATTCATTTATACAATTCAGAGATACAGAACTAAAATATTTATAACACTTCAATTTTCACACCATAATTTGTTGAAGCGTGGTCATCTTTAATGATATGTCATAATAATATAAGTAGCCATTAACCAATCCATGATACAACTTGAAACATAGAACAATGAGAATGACTTTAAACTGTCTATGTGTTTGTAGCCCATCTTATCATCCTGCTTTCCTTCACTGAAAAAATAATTATTACTTAATTATCCTGAATATTTTTTATCATGCCCTTGCTTTAGAAATGTGTTTTTCTCATTAACACATATGCACACATTTTCATAAATATATATACATTATGAATATATATTATTTATTACTAGTTATTTTAAACTCAAATAAAATCATACTTATAAAACTTTTTTTTCCCATTCAATATTATAAAGATTCATGCAATAGCATGTTGTTACATTTTACTCATTTTCAATGCAGTATTACATCCCAATATATTCATATATATCTCTGTTTCGGGATGATATTATTGTTTCCAGATTTGGGCTATTACAGGAAACAGACAACAGCAATGTGCTCCTAAAAACGTATTTAAATAAACACAAACCAAAAGAGGTTACCATTAACACTAAGATATCTTCTTGAAGCAAAATTTCAAATGTATAACATATTTTTGCATCTAAACATTGGCATAAAATAATAATATATTTTGTGAGTATAAAAATTCAATAGAAATCACAACTCTGGAAAAATAGTATATCAATTACAAAATCGGATGTCAAATTTCAAGCATATTCTGATTAAGTAATAATGGTGATTAAAATTAGGCTTAATGAAAAATTTTATAATTTCTAGCATAATAATGAAATAAATTATAGTATAACCAGATTTCCAAATATTTGTTTTATATTACATCTTTACAATTTGTTAAATTCAGTATACTGTCAAATTTGCTCAGAATATGGATACATACTTTGAGCTATCGGTAATATCCACATCTCAATATAGCAGGTTTGGTTCAGGTAAGCACCTAATAGGGGGTAATATAATACACATTGACTTGTAATCATAATCTGTGTTATGATTTACAAAGATAAACGCATTTTATTGGACAGCATGATTTCTCCAAAGTTTTGATCTATACTGTTTTTATTGATAAAATGCATGCATATTCATCATATTCTAAACAGTGCAAACATAGCACCTTCTATGCAAGTAACACAAGTATTGATCATATCCACACTGAATAAAAGGGTCATATGACCATAAATGTCTTGAATTATTTTAAAAAGCAGGCTTTAAATTCATTCAAGCTTAATAGCAACTTGTTGATTTTTTCCTTCAGAATCACTGAAGGAAATGTGAAAATAGTAAATTTAAAATGAAAGATTGGGTGCTTGGCTTACATTTACACAATTTCAGACACATGAATTAAGCCATAAAACTCTTCATCTAGAAACAAAGATGAATACTTTTTACACATTTTCAAAGGCAATATAATCACATTTTGATGTATTTGAATGATTCTTGGATGTCTATTAGCCACAGTGGAACTCTATATATTTGTATATAGCTCTTTTGACTTGATTATTTATGATTCTGCTAGAAAATTTGTAACAAGGTTATAGAACTTTCCTCTTTCAAACTTTATTGAATTATCTGAGTTCTCACATACTGTTTTTTCCTCAAAATGAGAATGTCAGCAATTTGTTTCATTTTCATAATGAACTGCAATTATCCTACATTAGAAAAAGAAGATTTTTACTTTGAGATGTCAGATTATTTTTTTAAAAATGGTTTCCAACAGAACACAAAGCTATAATTTAATTTTTGCTGACATCATAAACTATATAAGTTGAGCATAAGTAGTTTATGAATAACAGAACAATTTAAATTATATCCTAATGATTTATTTCAATAGAATAAAAGGTTTTTACAAAAGTGTCTTCCATTGAAATTCAAATAATTCATTTTCTCCATAACGGCAGTAAAGCAGATTATCTTCCCTATTCAGTCATTTTTTAAGTAAGAATTAGATAGTGTTAAATATATTTATGGCTGTGCATGGTGGCTCAGGCCTGTAATCCCAGCATTTTGGGAGGCCGAGGCGGGCGGATTACTTGAGGTCAGGAGTTTGAGACCAGCTCAGCCAATGTGGAGAAATCCTGCCTCTACTAAAAATTCCAAAATTTGGGCGGGCGTGGTGGTGCATGCCTGTAATCCCAGCTTCTCAGGAGGCTGAGGCAGGAGAATTGCTTGAACCCGGGAGGTGGAGGTTGCAGTGAGCCGAGATCATGCCACTACACTCCCACCTGAGCAACAGAGCAAGTCTCAGTCCCCTCCCCACCCCAAAAAATATATTTATGGCATAATGTGAAGAACTAATTTTCACATAATTATTATGTGGTTGCAATTTCTATTTTAAATATGTATTGCCCTTTTGTTAATTTTTACTATTCAAAAGTCTTCCTAGAATCACAAAATATATTATATAGTGTTCTTTTTCATGGTGTTAATTACAAACTAAAAACACCATAACACTCATACTGTTTAACCCTGACATGGTAGATGGTAAGTAGACTACATAAGATCAAGGAAAAATTAAATCAAATGATCATGTTCTAAATAAGTAAGGTACCTTGACTTCTTTAGAGATTATGGTAAATCTATTTGTTCTCAACTAGCAATGAACACTTTTCCATATGGATTGCATTAATTTCTGAATGTACTTACAACAATATTTTCTTTTAATGTAACAATTTAGCTATTGCATCAAACTAGAAATCTCCCTGTGCCAAGGCCTTCTTATAAAAATCTTTCAATTTTACACCCTCCTCTTGATTTCCATTTCTACTACTTTAGTTTGATCCATGATACACCTTTGCTAGGCAAATCATATGTACTTTGTCCTTGGTTGTTGTCATTTATCTTCCTAATGTACATTATCAGGTTTGCTTAAAATTCATCAGTGTGCCCTTTTTCCCATGTATAAATCTAACACCTGTTAGTGGGACATACAATATTATTGAAAATATGTTTCTAATACTTATTACAAGTCTAGTCTTCAGTAGCTCCATGGAAGGGGGAAAATGCAGGCTAACTAAAAGATTGCCAATATTATGAGTCCTGATAACCTGTAATCAATCAACTAGTGGGTGCTGAATACCTTCTCTCTTCTTCTCAGGTCTGAATTAATCATGGGCATTGAAGAATGAATGGAGTGGCCAGATAAAAGCAGGATGCATTATACCCCCGATTCTTTCATTAGACCCTGATATGGTTTGGCTCTGTGTCCCCACCCAAATCTCACCTTGAGTTATAATCCCCATGTTTCAAGGGAGGGACCTGGTGGGAGGTGATTGGATCCCATGCCATCCTCATGATAGTGAGGGTGTTCTCACAAGATCTGATAGTTTGAAAGTGACAGTTTCTGCCCCCCCGCCAAAAAAGTGAGTTTCCCTGTGATCCATCTCTCACCTGCTGGCTTGCTTCCCCTTCAACTTCTGCCATGATTGTAAGTTTCCTGAGGTTACCCCAGCCATTTGGAACTGTGAGTCAATTAAACCTCTTTCCTCATAAATTACCCAGTCTCAGGTAGTATATAGCAGTGTGAAAATTGACTAAGGCAGAGAATTGGTACCAGGACAGTGGGGTAGTGCTGTAAAGATAACCTGAAAAATGTGAAAGCAACTTTGGAACTGAGTAACAGACAGAGGTTGGAACAGTTTGGAGGGCTCAGAAGTAGACAGGAAGATATGGGAAAGTTTAGAACTTCCTAGAGACTTATTAAATGGTTTTGACCAAAATGCTGATAGTGATAAGAACACTGAAGTCCAGGTTGAGGTGTTCTCAGATGGAGATAAGGAACTTACTGGGAACAGGAGTAATGGTCACTCATGCTATGCTTTAACAAAGAGACTGGTGGTATTTTGCTTCTGCCCTGGAGATCTGTGGGACTTTGAACTTGAGAGAAATGATTTAGGGTATCTGGTGGAAGAAATTATTAAGCATTAAAGTGTTCAAGATGTGACCTGGCTTCTTCTGAAAGCATAGAGTTATAAGCATTCACAACGAGATAGTTTAAATTTGGAACTTATGTTTAAAGGGGAAGCAGAGTGTAAACATTTGGAAAACTTGAAGCTGATCATGTAATAGAAAAGAAAAAAACAGTTTTCAGGGGAGGAATTCAAGCCAGCTGCAGAAATTTGCACAAGTAATGAGGAGCCAAATGTTAGTCATCAAAACAATGGGGAAAATGTCTCCAGTGAATTTTAGAGATCTTCAAGGCAGCCCCTCAAATAACAGGCCTAAGGGCCTAGGAGCAAAAAATCGTTTAGTGGGCCAGAGCCAGGGCCCAGCTACTCTGTGCAGCCTTGAGACTTGGTGCCCTGTGTCCCAGCCATTCCAGCTCCAGCCATGAATAAAGCAGCCAAAGTACAGCTCAGGCCACTGCTTCAAAGGGTGCAAGCCCCAAGCTTGGTGGCTTCCATGAGGTGTTGGGCTTGTGGGTTCTCAGACAAGATTGAGCTTTGGGAATCTCTGCCTAGATTTCAGTGGGTCTATGGAAATAAATGGATGTTCAGGCAGAAGTCTGCTACATGGGTGGAGCCCTCATGGAGGACCTCTGCTAGGGCAATGCAGAGGGGAAATGCAGGTTGGGGCACTGCCTAGGGGAGCTGTGAGAAGAGGACCACTGTTCTTCAGACCCCAGAATGGTAGATCCACTGACAGCTTGCACATGTGCTTGGAAATGTTGCAGGAACTCAACACCAGCCTGTGAAAGCAGCTGTAGGGGCTGTACACTGCAGACCCACAGTGGTAGAGCTACCCAAGGCCATGGGAGCCCACTACTTCCATCAGTGTGCCCTGAATGTGAGAGATGAGTAAAAGGGGATTATTTTGGAGCTTTGAGAGATAATGAGTGCCCTGCCTGGTTTCAAACTTGCATGGGGCCTGCAGCACCTTTGCTTTTGGCTACATCTCCCATTTGGAATTGGAGTATTTACCCAATCCTTATACCCACATTGTTTCTTGGAAGTAGCGAACTTGTTTTTTTATTTTACAGGTTCATATGCAGAAGAGACAAGTCTTGTCTCCGATGAGACTTTGGACATTGACTTTTAAATTAATGCTGGAGTGAGTTAAGACTGAGGGAGGAACCATTGGGAAGGCATGATTTGCTTTTAAATGTAAAAATGACATGAGATTTGGGAGGGGTCAGGGACAGAATGATATGATTGGGCTCTGTATCCCCACTCAAATTTCATCTCAACTTGTACTCCTCATGTATAGAGAAAAGACCCTGGTCGCAGGTGATTGAATCAGGGGGTTGAAGGTATTGCTGTTCTTGTAGTAGTGAGGGAGTTCTCATGAGATATGATGGTTTAAATGTGGCAGCTTCCCCTGGTGCTCTCTCTCTCTCCTGCCGCCATACGATGTGCTTTACTTCCCCTTTGCCTTCTGCCATGATTGTAAGTTTCCTGAGGCTTCCCCAGGCATTCAGAACTATGAGTCAATTAAACCTCTTTTTTTCATAAATTACCCAGGCTCAAGTATTAGTAGTATCTTTATAGCAGCATGAAAACATACTAATACAGGTTCTAAGGGTAAAATTATTAGATTTGATAAATACTTTCACATTATATCATTAATCCTGCCTCATATTCTGCATGATTAATGCAGAAGGTGTTGTAATAATGTAATAAAATAAGCAGCTTTGTTTCTAATCTACGTATTTGCTGTCCGAAATACTTCAGATTTAGCTTCTAACCCATGCTATCCTCTCTGACGTGCACATCTGGAGCAATCTCTGCTACTCTTGTCACAACTCTCATTATTCCTTGTGCCCACTTCTTATTTATTTGTTTATCTCTCTTGCTAGTGCATAAGCTTCCTGAGGCCTAAAACCTTTCATGTTTTGTTCATTGTTTTATCTCTAGCACTGGACAGTTTCTGGTCTATGATAAACATCTAATAAATATTGGTTGAATGAATAAAGAATTTGAGTACTAATCATACACTGCCAAACACACTGAGCATTTTAAATCCTGAACAAAAGATCACAAGGTCATGGTTCTGCATTCTACAAATCATATTGTATATCAAGTGTCTAAAATTTTGTATGTTTTTCCTATGTTGCAGTTTATCATTTAAGTGGTGGCTGGTAATTTGAGGTGCCAAACTGAGTGATGTACTCCTACCACTTGTCTAGGTATCAACTCTACAATCTCAGCTGTGCTTTAGCTTACAGAATTAGCAGAAAAACATCTTGCTTAAAAATCTAAAATACAATGACACTCCATCATATGATTTTATAAGTAGGTGATCATGTGTGTTACAAATACTCTCTTTATAAAAGCTGCAGTCTATTACAATGGTTAAATATACTCATAATTATAGCTGTTCTAAATTTGAAAAAATCATTTAAACATTTAGCTGACGTCAGCCACACTGTGAGCAGAGTTATCAGTCATCCTGATGTTAAAGAAGAGAGCAGAAAGAAAAAGTAATTTATAAATGTGCTTCAGCCACGGAGAGAAAAGTAATGCCTGAGAAATCAAAGGGATGATTTTGAAAAGTTGGAGTGAAGATCTATTGCTTCATTCTTTCTGATTTATGTATACATCTTATTTATCAATTATTCCTAATATTTCCCTAATCGTATCCCAAAATTCATGTAAGGTATAAGAACTTAAACAATACATCAGATTATCTTTTTTTCCAGGGACAATACAAAATCAACTGGAAGAAGTAGACATATATAATAGTGATTAAAATAAAGTAATAAACAGAATAATAAAATGTACATTATATGATATTAAAGAATGGAAAAAAGCATGAAAACTCCTATGGGTATGTGGGCAAAGTTAGAGAGGGCTTTCTGAAAGAACTGGCATTGTAGAATAACCTAAATGACACTTGACTAAGAGAAGGCAAGGCATGAAACACTTGTGGCAGAGTGGAGAGGTGCATTGAGCATTCCCAGCTGCTTTACTCATCTCGTCTCTCTTATTTCCAGGATGTGACAGAAGCCAGGGAAGAGTCCCTGGGTTATGTCTAAACTTAGTGCCTGCAATTGCTGGGATGTGGATGAGTGTGTGCATATGAATCTGTATGTGTGTGCGTGCACATTTGCTAAGGAGTTGTGGTTGTTCCATGTTCTGACTTATGGCAATTTGATTGCACTTGGGGCGTGTCTGTAAGTTACTTATGTCATTGTAGTGATTTCATTCTTAACTGTGACATTTTAAACAAATGTGTGAATAAATACATAAAGATTGGTTTTTAAAAAAAAGAAAGGCTGTTCCTTTCTTTGACAAATTCTCCGATGTATAAATTGACTTTAATTTTCTGAAGTATGTCTCTGATCCATCCAATGACTGCTCAAAATGTTCTGTGTTCTTGTCTTCACCTTGCCTATATGTCACAGTTTTTGGTTGACTTCCTCGGCAGTCTTTTCACCATGAGTTCATATACCCCATCACTCACCTTTATAAAACGTATACTGACTGCAAAATGAAATACTCACTATTTCTCAAATATTCTATGCTTTCCTTTCCTTACTGTGTTCATGCTTTTAATTTTCTCCTCAAAATTATCTTTAAATTTTTTTTTTACATGAAGAATCTTGATCATTCGCGATGGTTCATCACAAAAGACATTTTGTATATAATTTAATCTGATCCAATCCATTTAAAGCACTACTCCTGAATTATTAAATGACAGCATTTGTAAATTCATACTTTTGTAGTGTTCTGTAGTATATATTTAGATCCATTCCCTCAGCTAATAGCTATTTAATTCTTTGAGGAAAGTCATAAATTTATTTTTTGATTTGCTGTAAGAAAATTACCAGTGAGTCTCAAGCCAAGAGATATTTATTGTGTATCTCATCCTCTTACTTCTACTTGTATGGGTTTTTAAAAGAACTTTGTAAGGGAATATGTACTGTTTTATGCTTCAATCATCATTATTGCAGATTCCTCATGATTATTGTCTTCATACATAACATGTTTTTATGAGTGTACAATGTATTTTACTAAGTGCTTTACCTGTAGCGTAACTTACAACTGCTGATTTGGTTTCATGTGTTCTTTCTTTCTTCTCTTAATGAACTCTTATTTAAGCCAATAATGCTTCCTCCAGGTTTTAGTAGGGTCTTGTTTGACTTTTAAGGGTAGTTTGGGGTTTAGTCAAGAGGTATTTCTAGACATCATGTGTTAATACTATGTTTTGATTGTTGATCTTAACTTTAAAAATGAAAAGCACACCATGAATTTTTATAAATATTTATTTTACCTGTATGTTCTCTGGATTTGCCTGTCAACTATATATTAGACTTTATCTCTCTTGACAGACAATGACATATATAGATATGTATGATAGAGATAGACTCATTATCTATCTATATTTGTATCTATATGAAATCCTCTCTCTCGACTGAAAGAAATAGAAATAGATGTTCAGATTTTCTTCTCTTTCACATCCACTAGACTGCATTTGCAACACTGTGCTTTGCAGACCATTGGGTAAATATGGCCATTTAATTGATATGGATATCTTAGGCTTCATTTTTATACATAATCCAAAGAAGATTCAAGAGAATTAAAAAAAGAGGAGAAACAAAGTGAAATTTTAAGTAAATTACTTAAGGCTAAGAATGTGCGGTTCCAAGCCCCTATTATCTTTTTCTAGCTCTTATTCAGAGTTCACTTGACCCAGAGGCCCAGGCAAGAGCTGTGTCTACATTGGAGCCTAACGACATTCTTCATATGGCATAAAAGGGAGTATAATGTAAACCTCAAGAAATAAGGAGAACTTTGTTTTAATTAGCATTCAACAATACACTTTAAGCTCAAATGAATTGGTGAGGTGAATGGATATGTTACTGAGCTTCATTGAATCTTTCTATATTACATACATAGATCAAAACATCACATTGTGCCTCATAAATATATACAACTATTATTTATCAATTAAAAATAAATTTTAGGCCGGCATAGTGACTCATACCTGTACTCCCAGTAATTTGGGAGGCCAAGGTGGGAGGATTGCTTGAGCCCAGAAGTGCAAGACCAGCCTGGGCAACATAGTGAGACACTGTCTCTACAAAACATTCAAACAAATGTTTAAAAATTAGCCAGGTATGATGGTGTGTGCCTATGTTCTCAGCTACTCAGGAGGCTGAGTTGAGCAGATCACTTGAGCCTGGGAGTTCCAGGCTGCAGTGAGTCATGATGGCGCCACTGCACTTCAGCCTAGGAAACAGAGAGAGACCCTGTCTCAAAAATAAAAATAAATAAATAAATATTTTTAAAAGTCAGAATTCATCTGAGTAGTCTTTTTTGTCTACAGTATTTTTTGTGAACTAGTTGAGTTCTAACTTTTTTATGTTTGTTAATTATGTTGAAGACATGTCTAATTAATCACATCCAAATAATTATAAATTGCCAGTTTCAATAGGAATTTGGGGACACCTATCACTTATATAGTACATTTGTACAGACGAGTTGCTCAAAAATATAAAGTTTAAAAATTGTGGACTGCTTATGCTGAAGTATGAACAGTAAATGTGAGTATGGTTCCCTAACAAAAAATGTATATTAAACAGGAAGAGGTTTGAAAATTTGTTCTGACTTTTGTGTTTAAGCAAATAGAAAAAGTCTATTTCATGGGAAACAAAAACATGAATTTAAAATACAACAAATAAACTTATATTTATGAAATAAGAAGGATAAAATCACAGGTTACTACATAAATGATGTGTACTTTGTAAATTTGCTAACCAGACTAACATTTCTTGGTCTTGACCCAGTTTGTTGTGGCAAGACAGATCTGTTGCAGGTTAAATATTTATTGTTATTTTTAAAATATTTTCTCGTATTATTCATCTTTAGAATGCAGAATTCACTTGCTGTGATCACAGAAACTCTTTTTCTTAAACTCCTAAACTCTATCACAGATATGCAAACACCACGAATTCCAATGTCGTATTGTCGTAGAAAAGGAGTGATACAGCTTTTCAAAAACTGGAAATTCTTGTGTGAACAGAATCCTTTATCTCTGCTTAGTCTACAGGGAAGTGTTACAGTGATGAATGACTTTCAATTCTCCTACTTTTTTATCCTTAGCATTACAAATTTTCATTCAGTACCCAACTTTCCTGTCTGACATATTGTACCTCTCAGATTGAAAAGTCCCATTATGGGAATATTTGAAACTTCCTGTCAGTAGTAAATCAGAGTAAGTTTAGTCTGTTTATAACTTCTGTCATTTTTTGACTTGTACATCACATTAATATAACTAATGCTCTGACTTAAATAATGTTCATATTTTCACTGTTGAAAAGTTGTCCCACATTAAATGACTAATATCTCATTACGAATATAGAAAATTGCCTTTTGTGAAGTTATGAGCCCTCAAGGACTAGGAACTAAGAATCTAGAATCCTGAATTTCGCTACCTGAGCTTTAATTTAAATTCAGAGTGGCTATTCTTTAGCCAATAGCATAAGAATCCCAGACAAGGCAGACTTATTTTGTCAAGTTAAAACATAGATATCACAAATTTTGTCCCTTCTCTCATTTTCCAAGAAATTCAACAAGTGAGGGAGAAGAGTTTTTTTTTCTTTCACTTAAAACAAGAGAAAACTGAATATAATGATTTTTAAGACATAAATAAAAAGGCATGCTGATAATTTTAAACTATATTTTAAATTACATATTGATTTATTCGATCTCCAGCCTCTTCCTCTAAAATTAATGAAGTATATTTGTTGAGTCAATTGGGATCCTGAAACCCAAAGTGCTTCTTGATGTACCAGAAATAGAAGTTTAGGAAGTAGCCTAGTATATTTCCCTTTTGGAAAATGACTTGCATAGAAATGAAGAAACTGGTAACTCTTAAGTGCACAGTTTCTCGCATCCTGAGAAACAAAACGAGATTTAAAATCTTACTTGCTACTTAGGAAAGGAAAGGAACTGTAAATAGCTCAACTGATCCATTTAAGGGTAATGGTAGCACATCTCCAGCAAGACTATCACAGTGAAATTTCCTGCAATGCTGGGCTTAGCTCACAGAAACCAGAAAAAGCTCAGAAAACATACATGCACATGTAGAGAATAAATTATGTCATGAACCAACAAAAGAGTAAAGAAAACTCATTCCTTTGATAAAGATTGTGTTATCTTCTCTGACCATGTCTAGTTTGAGCAGAATTTTCTCAATCCCATAACTTTTTTCTCCACCTACTTGCTTCTGAAATAAATTGGAAACTACAACATGCAAAATATTCAGGAAGAAAGCAGATTATTTTGGGGCAGAAAGTCATGAAGTCAGTTAGAGGTACATCAAAACTAGCAGAAAAGATGGTAATTATGATATAAACGTTTCTTTATGTGTCAACCAGAGAGATAAAATTGTAGTGACAAGACATATAATAACTGTGGGGCTTATAAAATGCATGGCTGGGTGTGGTGGCTCATATCTGTAATCCCAGCCGTTTAAGAGGCCAAGGAGAGAGAATTGTTTATGACCAGGAATTTGAGGCCAGCCTGGGCAATATTGTAAGACCCTGTGTCTACAAAAAAAAAATATTTAAAATTTACTGGGCATGGTGTCATGCACATGTAGTCTCAGTTCCTCAGGAAGCTGAGGTGGGAGGATCTCTTGAACCCAGGAGGCTAGGGATGCAGTGAGCCATGACTGTGCCACTGCACTCCAGCCTAGGCAACAGAGGAAGACCCTGTCTCAAAAAATAAAAAAATAAATGCATGGATGCCCTAGTGAAATATGCCTACACCGTAGATATCACGGTTTGAGAACAGGACAAGAGGAGCCTCTACAACACTGCCAACAAAGCTTAACAGTGTCGTATCATGCAACTTGATCCCTTGTCTTGATCACTGTGACAACGAAAGGTAAGGGAGAATGTTAGCCTTCTTTTGCTGGTGGTAAGTGCTTCTGGAAAAGGATTTATCAGACCAAAAGTTAGATGTACTTTTGTGCAGTCGATTAATGTAGTTACAACTACAACCTGCCCTGAGGAGTTAGACCTGTGACCATTGTTCTACTTACAGCACAAGAAAAGAAATTTGTAAAGAAATAACTCCCTTTAATAGCTCAGAGATGACCATTTATGTATAAGACAGTTTCAGTTTGTATGAGAAAGGCTTGCAATGGGTGATAGTTTCAGGGACATTTGTAACTAACCAATTGATGGTAATAAAAACATTCTTTAAAAGTGAATAATAAAAATATTTACATAATAACCTAATATAATATTTTCTCTTTTCCCTAAAAAGTGTTTATTTATTACACACACAAAAATTGAACAACTACTACAGCTCAGGCTGTGGAGAAGGTTCAAACCCTGGCTTGGCCATTAATCTGGGGAAATTACTTACTGTGTCTATCCTCCTTGCTTTTGTCATCTGTAAGTACAATTCATAATAGTTCCTCACTCATGAGTTTGTTGAGGGGATTAATTTGTTTGTTAATGCATGTAGGCCATTCAATAAACGTTAGCAATTAACATTGCTATTATGAACAACGTTTTGTAAAAATTATAATGTCCTCAAAATGCTCAACACAGAATCCTACATAAAAAAATAAAATAAATGACCAATAGCCTATCATATCCATAGCATAATTTAATTATTTTAAATATGCAAAAGCATAGACTATCATGATGTTAGCAGTAATCCTGTCAATAATATGGGGTTAAATTAAATTAAAAGTTTTTATATGTACATAGTGTACATGTTCCTTGTTATTCTTATAATTATGTAACAATAAAAATTAATTAAATACCATTAAAATCAAAGAAATATACTTCAGTATATACATGTTTAGAGGTGCAAAAATACAAGAAAATCCTAGAAACTACTCAAATCTGCTATTATCATAAAAGCAGTCATAGAAAAAACCTACAGGCATGTCTTTTGGAAAAAAAGGAAAAAACTCATTTACAAAACCAAATGTCACACTGGTGTGGCCTGTGGGCCAGAGTTTGCTGACTTCTAGGATATAGCATGTAATGGGAATGCAGTAATAAGAGAAACATATGGAGAGGAAATTACTGAACTAGCCACTAGCATAGAAAGCCAGGGAGAACTATTCTCTCCAAGAGGTATTGAGATCCTAAGAATTAGGAGTTAGAAATGTGTTGAGCACAGAGGGGCATTTCAGGCAGAGGGAGTAGAAAATGCAATGTGCTGCAGTTGGCCATTTTGACTTGAAAAATGGAAAGAGCACTAATGAGACTAGAGTTTAAGGCAAGAGATATAAAAAAGGGAAAATTCATGTCATGAAGAGCACTGTAAACCATATTGATGGATTCTGTTTCTGTTTTTAGTTAAAACAATAGACAAATTTGATGGTTTTCAATATTGTAAAATCAGGGTGTATTATAATGGCTTTCTGGGAATGCACACATAGATGGAGGCTAAAAGAAGAAAGTTTTTTTTTGTGGCGTACTCTAAGGAAAGAAAAAGGCAGGATTAGGCACAGAGAGAAGTTGAATTACCATGCAATTCCAACTGAGTCTCAGCACATTTTATAAGAAACTTTCAGTCTAGCATGGCCCTTCAGAGTTGTACTATATTCTGGCAAGAGAAAAGAGTCTTTAAGGATTATATCAACCGGTCATAGTCAGGGCTTTCTTTCTGGTAGAGGGCTTGTTTTTTTGGGAGGTGCTCCCAAGGTTAGGGAGGCACTTCACTTAGACCAAGAGTAATTTCCTATGTGGGACCCAGCACTGTGCTGAAAGCAGAGGCTATTCCGTGACTGGGAATATCTCCTAGCTGTTTCATCTAACTAGAAGGTATTTGGGAAGATTATCACGAAATAGATTGATTAGTATTTTGATGAAATTATTTTGATTGTGTTGTAGAAGATGGATTCATAGTAATCAAAGATGGAAAAACAAACAAACAACAACAACAACAACAACAAAACAGAGGAGGAAATACAATGGTTCAGATCAAAGCTAATTGAAGTTTGAATTAGGATAATGTTAGTAATGGGAATGGCTAATAACGTCTCCTTGAGAGATTAATTTGAAGGTTCAATTGTTGGGTTTGGGAATATATTAGGTATACAGAATGAAAGAGAAAGGAAGATCAAATAAAATCTTCGTTTCTGGCCTGCAGAATGCTGGAGTGACTGGGCCATTCCTTGAGATTTTGAATACTGGAAGATAGACAAGTTTGGTGGAAAAATCATGAGAATATTTGGGCGTGCTGAGATTGGAGTAACTTTTGCACATCAGGACAGTTATTATAAGTAGTATGTAAGATTTAATGAGCTCGAGTTCAGGGCTTAGGATAAAACTTAGAAGTCATTGGTTTAGTCGGCCGGGCACGGTGGCTCACACCTGTAATCCCAGCACTTTGGGAGGCTGAGGCAGGCGGATCACGAGATCAGGAGATCGAGATCGAGACCATACTGGCTAACATGGTGAAACCCCGTCTCTACTAAAAATACGAAAAATTAGCCGGGCATGGTGGTGGGCCCCTGTAGACCCAGCTACTCGGGAGGCTGAGGCAGGAGAATGGTGTGAACCCGGGAGGCAGAGCTTGCAGTGAGCCGAGATCATGCCACTGCACTCCAGCCTGGGCAACAGAGCGAGACTCCATCACAAAAAAAAAAAAAAAAAAAAAAAAAAAAGTCATTTTAGAAATGAGCTTTTAAGCATAGCTAATTCTGCCTCTTCTTTCATTCTCACACACAAATTCTGTAAAACTGTATTCAACAACTTTTAAATTCTAGGTGCTCTGATGGGCACTAGGGTAAATATATAAAAAATATATTAAATCTCTCTCCTTAACCAAGTATTGGTCAGGAGGAAAAATTCAGGTTTTTCACAGAGACTCTAATTCAAAGCTGAACCAAATATAGAGAGCCCATTAAAGTAAGAGATTGAAAGAGCCAAAAAGATAAACAAGAAAACACATTTCTTTTTATGACTGGTTGCATTTTAAAGTTTCTTTTTTTTTTTTTTTTTTTTTTTTTTTTACATTTGGTGTCTTTATGAACTTTTCCATCACTCAAAGAACCTCAAGTTTCAGGGCAATTCTTATGGCTACTTTGTAATTCCTCCCATGTACTCTACTTTTATTGCTATTGTCTGCCACTAAGTGATTAATGATTGTTCATTAAGTATAGTTACTGTGGGTAGACTTTTCATGCATAATCAGCAAAGGGGAAAACACATATTATTGTTTAAAAATTTAATTGGTTTTTCTTTTTACTATATATATGTTTTATATGTTACACAAGTTACTTAGTTTCAGTTTCTATATAGACTATGTAAATGTATGTTATACACGTTAAAAAGTAGCAAACAATTCTCAGATCAAATTGTGTACCTTGCCACTAATTTATACTGGGATCAATTGCTTCTCTATACACTTAAATTTATCTTTCTTTAATCTCCATGCTTCCCCACAACATGTGTTGGGTTTGTTTCTGTTTTTCTCTATTATTTTTCTGGTTAGTTCATAATTCACCATTTAGTCATTCAAAATTAAAAACTAATCTGCAATGTATGACATTGTTCTTTCTCTTTGAATCTCTGAATATTATTAGTCTTTATTATTTCCTATTTATATTCATCCAGAAAATTTTATCTTGGTATAAGGAAAATTGTTAAACTCTTCTACTGTGAAAGATTAAAAATTTATACCAGGCCTTAATTTTTAAAAGTGTCAGATTGTAAGATCTAACAAAAATAAGGAATCTCAACAATTTTAAGCATTCTAATAATTTCATGTAAACAAGAGATTGCAAGATGCAGGAAAAGCAGAGACCAGTATATTAATTTCTTCCCTCAGATCCTTTCTTGCAATGTTTTAATTGTTTCTGGCCCAGATTTAACATATGGAGTTCCTGAGTGAGACATGCAGCCCTCACTTACACAAAAGGGAGCTATCTCACTTATAAAACACCTCCTATTTTCACTCCAATAACTGCATTGCTTACATGAAAATTTCAGGGAGCTATGTTCCATAAATCCACAGACTCTGAGCTGGTTTACTGTAATCTTAACTAGATAGACCAGATAAGGAAACTCTATGGTAAATAACATTACATGTTTCCCAGGAGATGTATCATTAGCATCTAATAAAAGGTTGTGACTAGATCAACTTTCTTACTTTCCCTGGTTGTCCCTGATAAAGAGAGAGAATGGATGGCAGAGCCGCCCTTAATCCTTTTGCTCCCAAGTGTAAGGTAAGATGAAAGAATACTAACTGATCTTTAAAAACAGGTAATTACTATTTGATTAAACTAGTCAAGATTAGAGGTATTGAAGGAAAGCTCACTAACTGACTTTATGAGGTGGTCTTTTATGTGATACTAACCTTTGACAAAAATATTACACAGATGAGAATACTAAATATATACATATGTGTTTATGTGTACACGTTTTATGTATTACATGTGTTTATACAACATTCTAGTTGGCATAAATATTGATTAAATCATTTTATGATTAGTTTTCTTTGAGAGATAAAGAGATACAGAGAAAATTATCAATCTGTGTTCAGAGCTTTTCCTATAGAAGATATATCTAAGTATATATAGCTTAAAAAAGACAGGATTCTGAATAATGCTAATTACAGTCTGGTTTAGGTATAAATTGTTTTGTTTTAAATGCATTTATTATTAAGCATATGGTTTTATTCCTGGTATTCATTTTTTTAGCCAAAATAATTTACAGGACTTAAGAAAATTGAAGCTTCTACATTCTTAGTAGATCATGACATAAAATAAGTTAATGAGAAATGAATCTGCTCTTAAAATTGTAAATGGAGTCTTTCAAGAAGTTGATCACTCTGTCAAACGCTGTATTAAGATAAGTTAAGATGAGGACTAAGAAGTAATTATTGAATTCAGCAACTTATTGCTGACTGAGAAAAAGCAGTTTCAGTAGAACTGGGAGTCAGGGGGAAATACATGTATCCGTAAACCCAAAGCGTTCAGAGGAAGTCGTGACCCTTAGTTTAGTAAAGACTTCCCAAGAGTTTTGCTTTAAAGAGAATTGGGGCAGTAAATGGAAGAACATGCAAATTTACAGAATTTTATTTGAAAGCAGGAGATGTAGGCCACATGTGGTGGCTCAAACCTGTAATCCCAGCACTTTGGAAGGCTGAGGCAGGAGGATCCCTTGAAGCCAAGTTTAAGATCATCCTGTTCGACAGAGTGAGAACCCCATATCTATTTTGTTTCTTTGTTTGTTTGTTTTTGAGGAGATGTAGGACATTTATTTCTATTCTGAGAGAAAATATCCTGTAGAAAAAAATCATAATCTAGGAAAGAGTACAATTAATTTGAGGAGCATAATCTTGGAATTGGTGCAAAGGATGGGATCCACAACAGAATTAAAGGAGAAAATAGTAGTAGAAAGAATTAATCCATTTAGTGAAGGAAAGACAGAATATAAGGGTAGAGCTTGTATGAATGGATAAATTATGTGATAAAATGATACTGCATTTGCCTTCTCGTAGCTTTTATTTAATTCAGTGTAAAAGGAAGCAAGATTGTCAGCTTAATGTTGGGCCTGCAAATTTAGAGGTTTGAGGGAAAAGAAGAAGGTGCAAATAGATTGAGTCTGAAAGAAAATTGCTCAGTAAAACGGGATAATCTGGCAGTGTTTATTTGTGGAAGGGGGAGAAATCTATTTATCATATCAATAGATACTGATAGAAATTTTAAAAATTTATTCTAATTAAAGGAAATAAAAATATTGAGATATCTGGCCACCAGTTATTTGAACAACCACCCTTCCCATGAATGAGAATGAACTTTTTCTTGGTCAGCAAATACAGTACTTTGAAAGTGATATGATCTGGCTTTTGTGGGTAGGTAATGAAAGGTAATAAAAGTTTCCACTTGCTGTCTGTGATATTTGCCCTTGAAGCTTTCGGGTGACAAATAAGCAATCTAAATGTTCTAAGGATGCTCTTTCTCTAGGAAAACAAACTTGTTCATGTAGACACACCACATGGACAGGGTATAAGAAGACAGAGAAGTCTGGCCAGCCTCCAGTTAAATGCTCTTCACCGCCACCACCACTCCTGCTCTTATGAGCCAACATTGACTGCAATTAGTGCTCTAATGCACTGAGCACTAATGCATTAGAGCTCACAAGCCAGAGACATCTACACAAAGCTTTCTTAGATTTCTGACCCATACAGACTGGGAAAAATAATAAAATAATTTTTATAATTTTAAACCACTAGGTTTTGGGCAATTTTTTTTATGGAACAATGAATAACAAGAACAACATCATAAAGTCAGAAATAAGACAGCATTTATTAATCTTATTGTTCTCTCATTTAAACATAAGAAAAAGCAACAAATATATGTATATTTATTGTCTATATATACATATCTGAATATAGATATATTTACTCTTATTTATAAATATATATTTATATATAATAAATATTTTATGTATAAATCCCTCTTCTCTCTTGCTCTCACTATATACACACATATATATACACATGTATATATGTGTATATATATGTGTGTATATATATGTCATTGTGTGTGTATATATATGTGTGTGTGTATATACACCTATATATCTTTACACACACACATACACATATCTATAAATATCTGCTTCTATGAATTTGGCCATTTTAGATACCATAGATGAGTGTGCGTATATATATATATACACATATAAATAACTATGTACATATATATGTACTATATATATGTATATACACACACTCACATAGATACCATATGTGTATATATTTAGTTATATATATATACACACACTCACACACTCACACACACATACATATACACATATATAAGTGTGTATATACATATGTGTGTCTGTAGAGGGAGCGAGAGAGGAGAGAGAGAGAGAGAGATTAGACATAAACATTTTACCGCTTTCAGAATTTCTAATATTTTTACCTGGAAAATCCAGAAAAATGAACCAGAAAGAAAACTATTAAAATAAAAAAGAAGTTAGTAAGATTGCCAGATATAAGAAATTAAATAAATGTATATTAATCAGTGTCAATTTTCGTAATTAAAAACCTTATCACAGGATACAATGAGAAAATTGCCTTTCAATATAACAATACAATTGACAGAATATTTCAAAATAAATTAACGACAAATAAATAAGAATTGTAGTAAGATAACATATCACTGAAGACATAAAATAAGACCTAAATCAATGGAAAAATAAACATCTTTCTAAAAGTTAAGCTCCAATAATTTGATGATGTTCTTCCTTAACAAATTAATGTAATTCTTCAATGTCAACTGATAATGAGATCATTTCATTCATTTGGGTTAATGAAGGCATGAACAGAGATAGAAATATTTATAAGTAGAATAATGTGGATAGGCTTTCCCTAATAAAATTCAAATCATCCTCCTATATTTTAAAGTAAGAACTCATTTTCAAAAGACTTTATCTTTTTAATAAGTTATTTTTTATTGTGATAAAAACACTTAGCATCATATATATGCTCTTAACCACCCTTTTAGTGTACAATACAATATTGTTGACTATAGGCATAATGTCGTACAGCAGGATCTAGAACTTATTCATCTTGCATAACAGAACTTTATACTCATTTATTAGCAACTCTCTATTTTCCCCTTTCCAATTCCCCTGGAAACCATCTTCCTGCTGTCTGCGTCTATGAGTTTGACTGTTTCAGATACCTTAAAAAAGTGAAATCATCTAACCTTTAGCCACTGACTTATTTTACTTATCATATTGTCCTCAAGGTTCATCCATGTTGCATATTATAAGATTTCCTTTTTTATAGCTAAATAATATTCTGCAGTATGTATATACCATATTTTCTTTAGTAATCTGTCAATTGATATTTATGTTGTTCCCACACCTTAATCATTTTAAATAGTGCTACAATAAACATGGGAGTAATATTATCTTTTCAAGGTCCTGATTTTAATTTTTTTGTGTAAGTGACCAAAAGTTGGGTTGCTAGATTATATGGTAGTCCTATTTTTAGGAATTTTTGAGAAACTTCCATAGTGGTTTTCATGGCAGCTACACCATTTGCTTTCCCACTGACAGTATACAATTTATTTATTCACATCCTCACAACACTTGTTGTCTTTTGTCTCTTTGATAAAAGCCATTCAAGCAGACATGAGGTGATATCTCATTGTGGTTTTGAGTTGCATTTCCTTGATGATTAGTGACATTGAGGCTTGTCTCATATTAACAGTTGGCCATTTGTATGTCTCCTTCAGAGGTGGAAAAACTGGATATACACATGCAAAAGAATGAAGTTGGACTCTTATCGTTTACCATGCACAAAATATTGAAGCAAACTAGATTTAAGGCTTAAGTGCTTAACCTAAAACTGTACAACTCTTAGCAAACATCATGGAGAAAAGAACTGTAGAGTATTGTTATTGGCAATGATTTAATGGATGTGACACTAAAAACACAGACAACAAAAGCAAAAATAGACAAGTGAGACTACATCAAACTAAAATGCACAGGAAAGGAAACAATCAACATAGTGAAAAAGCGACCAACAGAATGAGAAAAAATATTTGCAAGTCATATATCAACTAAGAGGTTAATTTCTAAAATATGTAAGGACCTCTTACAATTCAATAATAATAATAATAATAATAATAATGAAACTAACATCTTAAAATAAAAATGGACTAACGACTTGAATAGATATTTCGCCAAAGAAAATTTTATCTTCCTTAGGTCTTAACTCTAAAAGTTATAGGCCAAAAAAACTTGGTATTCGTCATATATAGGTTTTCTTTTTTTATTTTTTATTTTTATTTTTTTGAGATGGAGTCTTGCTCTGTCACCCAGGCTGGAGTGCAGTGGTGCGATCTCGGCTCACTGCACGCTCCGCCTCCCGGGTTCCACCGATTCTCCTGCCTCAGCCTTTCGAGTAGCTGGGACTACAGGCTCCCACAACCACGCCCAGCTAATTTTTTGTATTTTTAGTAGAGACGGGGTTTCACCGTGTTAGCCAGGATGGTCTCGATCTCCTGACCTCGTGATCTGCCCGTCTCGGCCTCCCAAAGTGCTGGGATTACAGGCGTGAGCCACCATGCCCGGTCTAGGTTTTCAATATACAACAAATGAGATTAAATGTCAATTTGTTGAGAACCACAAAAACACATTATGGTTTACTGTAAAGTCTTATAAATAATGATCAAATACATAAACAAGACTTTAAACATTCAAGAATGACCTTTCACAGGACTCCTAAGACTGATGTTAGGTACTGTTTTAAATATTCATTAATCTCTACTGGTCATTGTTAGGAAATGCTGAATTAGAAGAACATCTAGTAGTTAGACATAGGCACTAAGCTATATTAATGACTGGAGTAAACAAATCACTATATTTAATGTTAAGAAAGTTCCATACCCTTCATATTGTAGAGTATGTTTAGTTAAATTATGTGAATGAAGCATCATAAATATATTTTCATATTGATAGAAACTTTGTTTCCATTTGAGGTGAGAATTGACCAATGGGCTTCTTATTTCATTTTTAATATAATTTATTAGATACTAATGAAAAATCAAACATTCTTATTACACAACAACTTTCAGCCTTCTGAAATCCTGGCTTCTATTTATTTCGTTTCATAAATATTAGAAAAATAATTAATAGCTTTAACTCCTGTGAGGTTACATTTATGATAATGCTCCTGAGATTATTTTATTTCATGCTTCATAAATGACAGTGGAACGTTTACTTTCAAAATATGTTTTAAAGCTAACATTGCATTTTTATTTGATTTAATCTCTTATTCTACAATGAAGAATTTGCAATGCCCAGGAATTTGCATCATGTGTATTATGCGAATCATGAAAAGAAATGACATAGACTTTTCAGAAATTATGTCAGTTGAGTTATATTTTGATCCAGATGTATTCACATGTGAAGTGTTCATAGGATCAATAGCCTATTATTCTGTGGTTCATAAAAGCAGATAAATCATTATATGTGCATACTGAAGTAAAAAATTCACTTTTCCATGCAGATGCAGAGATTTTTATGTCAAAATTTGGATCATTTTAAAATGGGAATAGTATGAATAATTGCATTTGAAGCTGGTGTTGTTGGTACAATATTATATTGGTATAAAACTCTACTGGTAAGTTAATTGCATACCCTAGTATACTAAAGATAATACTTACTTAGCACTTCTTTTATGCTTGGCACTGGTCAATTGGAAGGAAAAAGTGGCAATAACACAACCCCTAATCTCTGCCTTCACGGTTATTTACTAGTTTATAAAAGAGACTTATATATATTATGTGCAATAAACAGCATTCTCAACAATCTGTTTTCTTCTAAATATTGATAGATATGTATGTAAACATGCATATGTATTTATACCTTTCTAAAGGAATATATGCAAATTATATATATATTATATACTTTACACATATAATGTTTTCAAGAATTATAGATGTCTCTGATACATATATATAATCATATATATACACACAATAAAAAGATAAAATATATTCATTCTTTGATGATCACAAATTTGTGATTATTACTTAATGGACTTGGTATGATTTTCACTTGATCTAATATTAACTTATTTATTCATTTAATCAAATAATTGAGGAACTTGTGAATAAAACAGAGTTAAATACTTTAACTCCATTGGCAAGACACACTATTGTATCTAGAGCATAAAAAGTATTAGATTCATTTCATTATATGTAGAAACTATTTTTTAACTATGATTGGTAGCAAACGCTATGGTCTTCCTTATTATAAAATACCTGACACAGGTCAGTCTAAGCACAATTAGGTATTCCTCAAAATAATACCTTATATAAAACTCAATTATAAAAACAATCATTTATTTATGAATTTATTAATAACAATATAGACAGGATAAGGCCTAAGAAACATTATTTAATAATATAAATATTAATGTAAAGGAGCAAAATAAAAATAAGACTTCAGAGTTAAAAGAGAAAATATTAATGCCAGAAAATAAAGCCATCTCTTTGGTCAGGTAGATGCTTATACAAAATGTTTCATGGTATTCAACATTAACAATGGAGGAAGATATTTGTAAAATTAACACAGAAATCTGTTATGGACATAAAATGAACACATTAATTAAAATTTCAGGTTAAAATTTATTGTTCCTTATTTTTAAAAAAGCTTTCATTAAAATAATTCTCTCATGCTTATCTTTTTTCATATTTTAATATTTTAATAGTGTTGTTTGCAGATTTTAATACATAAGGAATATGCATGAAAGTTTCCATTCATGCAACATGTAATTATCTACATTTGGGTGTTTTTAGGCAGTAATTCTCAAAATAACCTGTGGGCTTTTAAAAATTATTGCCACCTGTGATCTGTTAAAGAAAAAAATTAAATTGGAAATTTTAGAGGTGTTTTTGAAAAGCATCCCATGTGATGATTTTGTTTGCCAGGTCCGGGAGACAGGTCTGATAGACCCTCATCAGATTCAGTCTACCAGCCGAACTTGTGTCCTCATGAAACATTCTTTTCTCAATAGCCTCTTCAACAAACAGGGAACTATATCTTCCATCTTAGTGTGCAAATCAGCCAGGGAAGTAGTCATCATGCTTGCCTCTTCTTTCACCTCCTATAACTGAGACAACACTGAATTCACTTTACCTTCTTAATATTTTGCACATCTTGCATTTGTTATTTGTTGTGCATCTCTACCATTAATTAATCCAACCTCTCATGACTAACTACTAGAAGAGTTTCCTTCCTCTTCTCATTGTTTTACTTGTGACCTAACAAACAATTATGCAGACTGTAGTCAGGGTTTTCCTTTTAAGAAAAATTAAAACCTCCGATCATGTAACTTTCCTTGATAAAAGTGTATTTCAAGCATAAATTTCAAATAAATAATTCCAATTTCATTGGTATTACAATTAAGTCATAATTTTCATTTCATGAAACAATATATTGATTCCTTTTCTAGAAAAAAAGGGCTGTCTTAAATTTGTATGAGCAATTGTATGCATCAAAACATTATCTTTAATAGAGAGCTGTGGTAGGCTACTACATTATTGCCTATTGACCCAGAATTATATCAAAATGACCTATTGCATATAAATACATATATACACTGGGTTTCTATGTTTTTAAGTGGCTGGGGTCTTAAACAATTTTGATGATTATACAGTATCATGAATAATCATCATTTAATGAAAGATAACATTAATAAGTTTTACCATTTTGCATAAAATCAAATATTTATGCTGAATATACTCAGAGTTCCTGATGAGTTTACAGGACATAATAATTTAAGGTATATGTGAACTAGCTGTTTTCTCTCTAGAATTTTTTTGTAAGAAAGATAACCAATGCTAAATGTGATCTGTTGATTTGGCTACTTGTTTTTTTGGTAAGAAAGATAACCAATGCTAAACATGATCTGTTGATTTGGCTGCTTTTCTTTTTCTTTTTAATAATTAAGATAATAATGCCTTAATGAAATATATGCATTTGCTCTATGTCAAATATATGCTTTCCACTCCACAGATAGCAATTTGTCTTTATTATCTTATAAGTCTTGTGCCTTTGGAATTTGGAAAGATAATTAAATATACAGCAGAGGTATTTTATCTGGAGAAAGCACCTAATAATATAGGTTAATTAGCTTCTTGAATAGCAATACAACTATAATGAAAAGCCACAAAGGAATACAAGAGCAATTAAAAACAGGATTTAGGTGCCCTTTATTTTTTTCTCTTGACTGATTGCTCTGGCTAGAACTTCCAGTACTATGTTGAATAGAAATGGTGAAAGTGAGCATCCTTGTCTTGTTCCAGTTCTCAGGAATGCTTTCAACTTTCCCCATTCAATATAATGTTGGCTGTGGGTTTGTCATATATTGTTTTTAGTATTTTGACGTATGTCCTTTCTATTCTGATATTGCTGAGGGTTTTAATCATAAAGGGATGCTGGGTTTGGTCAACTGCTTTTTCTGAATCTGTTGAAATGATCATAATTTTTGTTTTTAATTCCATTTATGTGGTGTATCACATTTATTGATTTATGCATGTTAAACTATCCCTGCATCACTAGTATAAAACCAACTTATTCATAGTGGATTATCTTTTTGATGTGCTGTTGGATTTGATTAACTAGTACTTTGTTGAGGATTTTTGCATCTATGTTCATTAGGGATATTGGTCTGTAGTTTTCTTTTTTATGTCCTTTCCTGGTTTTGATATTAGGGTGATACTGGCTTCATAGAATGACTTAGGGAGGATTCCATCTTTCTCTTTCTTCTGGAATAGTATCAATAGGATTAGTACCAATTCTTTGAAAGTCTGTTATGATAGAATTCAGCTGTGAATCTGTCTGGTCCTGGACTTTTTTTATTGGCAATTTTTTAATTCCTATTACAATCTTGTTCCTTGTTACTGGTCTGTTCAGAGATTCTATTTCTTCCTGGTTTAATATAGGAGGGTTGTATATTTCCAGGAATGTATCCATCTTCTCTAGGTTTTCTAGTTTGTTCACATAAAGGTGTTCATAGTAGCCTTGAATGATCTTTTGTATTGCTGTGTATCAGTTGTAATACCTCCCATTTCATTTCTAATTGATGTTATTTGAATTTTCTCTCTTCTTTTCTTGGTTAATATTACTAATGGTCTATCAGCTTTATTTATCTCTTCAAAGAAAAAGCTTTTGTTTTATCTATCTTTTTTATTTTTTTGTTTCAATTTCATTTAGTTCTGCTCTGATCTTGGTCTTTTCTTCTGCTGGGTTTGGGCTTGGTTTGTTCTTGTTTCTCTAGTACCTTGAGCCATGACCTTAGATTGCCTATTTGTGCTCTTTCAGACATTTTGATGTAGGCATTTAATGCTATGAACTTTCCTCTCAGCATTGCTTTTGCTGTATCTCAGAGGTTTTGATAGGTTGTGTCACTATTATTGTTCAGTTCAAATAATTTTTTAATTTCCATTTTTTATTTCATTATTGACCAATATTGATCATTCTGCAGTAGGTTATTTAATTTCCATGTATTTGCATGGATTTGAGAGTTCCTTTTGGAGTTGATTTCCAATTTTGTTCCACAGTGGTCTGAGAGAGTACTTAATATAATTTTGATTTTCTTAAATTTATTGAGACTTGTTTTGTGGCCTATGATATGCTCTATTTTGGAGAATGCTCCATGTGCTGATGAATAGAATGTATGCTCTGCCATTGTTGGTTGGAATGTTCTGTAAATATCGTTAAGTTCATTTGTTCTAGGGTGTAGCTTAAGTCCATTGTTTCCTTGCAGTGGAGTATTAAAGTCTCTCACTATTATTGTGTTTCTGTCTAACTCATTTCTTAGGTCTAGTAGTAATTGTTTTATAAATTTGGGAGTGCCAGTGTTAGGTGCATATATATTTAGGATTGTGATACTTTCCTGTTGGACTAGTCTTTTTATCATTTTGTAATGTCCCTCTTCGTCTTTTTTAAACTGTTGTTGCTTTTAAATTTATTTTGTTTGAAATAAGAATAGCTATTCCTGCTCACTTTTGGTGTGCATTTGCATGGAATCTTTTCTCCACCCCTTTACCTTAAGTTTATGTGAGTCCTTATTCATTAGGTGAGTCTTTGAAGACAGCAGATACTTGGTTGGTGGATATTTATCTATTCTGCTATTCTGTATCTTTTAAGTGGAGCATTTAGGCCATAACATTATTATTGAGATGTGAGGTACTATTCTATTCATTGTGCTATTTGTTGCCTGATACCCTTTTTTTTTCATCGTCTTATTGTATTATAGGTCCTGTGACATTTATACTTTAAGGAGCTGCTATTTTGATGTATTTTGGGGATTTGTTTCAAGATTTGAAGCTCATTTTAGCAATTCTTCAGTGCTGACTTTGTAGTGATGAATTATCTCAGCATTTGGTTGTCTGAAAAAGACTATGTCTTTTTTTACAAAGCTTAGTTTTGCTGGATAGAAAATTATAGGCTGATAATTGTCTTTTTAAGGAGGCTAAAGATAGGACCCCAATCCCTTCTAACTTGGAGAGTTTATGCTAATACATCAGCTGTTAATCTAGTAGGTTTTCTTTTATAGGTTACCTGATGCTTTTGCCTCACAGCTCTTAAGATTCTTTCCTTTGCCTTGACTTTAGATAACCTAATGACTATGTGCCTAGGCAATGATCTTTTTGTGAAGCATTTCTCAGGTGTTCTTTGAACTTCTTGTATTTAAATGTCTAGGTCTCTAGCAAGCCAGGGAAAGTTTTCCTTGATTATTTCCTCAAATATGTTTTCCAGACTGTCATATTTCTCTTCTTTCTCAGGAACGCCAATTATTCTTAGGTTTGGTCTTTTAACATAATCCCAAACTTCCTGGAGGTTTTGTTCATTTTTCTAAATTATTTTGTCTTTGTCTTTGTTGGATTAGGTTAATTCAAAAGCCATGTCTTCAAGATCTGAAGCTCTTTCTTCTACTTGTTCTATTGCTGAGATTTTCCAATGTATTTTGCATATCTCAGAGTTTGTCCTTCATTTCCAGAAGATGTGATTGTTTTTCATTTATGTTATTTATTTCTCTGGAGATTTTTTCATGCATATCTTGTAACATTTTTAAAATTTATTTAAGTTGGTATTCGCCTTTCTCTGATGCCTCCTTAAGTAGCTTAATAATTCACCTTCTAAATTCTTTTCTGGTGACTCAGTGATTCCTGTTTGCTTTGGATCCATTGCTGGTGAACTAGTATGATCTTTTGGGGGTGTTAAATAACCTTATTTTGTCATATTGCTAGAATTGTTATTCTGGTTCCTTCTCATTTGGGTAGACTATGTCAGAGGGAAGATCTATGGCCCTAGGTTGCTATGCAGATTCTTTTGTCCCACGATGTGCCTCCTTGATGTGGTGCTCTCCCTCTTCCCCTAGGAATAAGACTTCCTAAGAGCCAAAGTGCAGTGATTGTTATTTCTCTTCTGGATCTATCCATTCAGCAAAGGCAACCACCTCTGGGTTGATACTAGGGAGTGTCTGCAAAGGGTACTGTGATGTGAACTATCTTCAGGTCTCTCAGCTGTGGATACCCGCACCTGCGTCAGTGCAGGTAACAAGGGAGAGAAGTGGACTCTGTGAGGGTCCTTGGTTGTCATTGTGTTTAGTTTGCTGGCTTTGTGTTTGTTAGCCTCCAGCCAGAAGGTGACGCTTTCAAGAGAGCATCGGATGTGGTCATATAGAAAGGGTACAGTCTTGCCCTAGGGTCACCTGAATAAGTTTCTCAGGCAGTGGGCAGGACCATAGAATTACCAAGAGATTATGTCCTTTGTCTTTGGCTACCAGGGCAAATCGAGAAAGACCATCAGGTAGGGACAGGGTTAGATATGTCTGAGCTCACACTCTCCTTGAGTGGAGCTTGCTGAAGCTGCTGTGGGGGATTGGGGTGTGGTTTGCATGCCAATGGAGTTATGTTCCCAAGAGAATTATGGCTGCCTCTGCTGTGTCATAGAGGTAGCCAGGAAAGTGGGGTAAAGCCAGCAGTGACAGTCCTCACCTAGCTCCCACGCACCCCAAAACGACAGTCTCACTCCCACTGTCCTCCCCCAAAAGCACCAAGTTGATTTCTAGGCAGCCAGTGAGCACAGCTTAGAGCTTGCCGCAGGCTACCAGCTTCTGTGCTGAGACAGCAAGCAGGGCTTTCAAGTTTTGTGCCTTCCCGCCTGCCATGGCTTCTATGCTGTATCTGCACTCCCAGTTCGCCCTTTCCCCCAGATTCTGTCCAGGAAACTTCACATTTGACCAAAATTGTTACAAAGTTCAGCTGGAAGTTTCCTTCTTTCTTTGTTCTTTCCTCAATTCCACTCGCAGCCCTCCCCAAGGACCCTGCGAGACAAAGTTCAAAATGGCTTCCCTGTGGACTGAGAGCACTCACAGGGCTTTTCCTCCTGCTTCCTCTACCCCTATATTTTGCTCGCATCTCTAAATTCATTTGCGCTTCAGGTAAGGTAAAATCCTTCTCCCATGATCTGGACCTTCAGGTTCCCAAGTAAGAATGTTTGCTTGGGGGTCAATGTTCCTTCTTTCACCCTTTGGGCATGCAGTTCTCGACTGTCACGGTATAAAGTTTTAAACTACATTTTTTCTTTTCTTATTGATGCAGGAGATTTTCCTCCTTAGTTCAGCTAAATCGGGTTCTTGTAGCACAACCAGGAAATAATTAGGCACGCAGACCCATTAAGGGTGAGGAGGACGGAATTTATTAAGTGAAAGGAAAGCTCTCAGCCTGCACACAGGCTTCCAACTCACAAATTGAATACCACGGCCCCAGCAAATGAGTTGAAGAGAGCAGGATCCTCTCCTGCATAAGATGCAGATTTCTGGTGGCTCCACCGCATTCCCCCAGTGCATGTGGGCCTCCAGCCTGCTGAGAGCATGCCCAGGCAATCTCCCCGTGCAGGTTCTCTTATCTGCACAAAACATCTGGTGTTAAACACTTGTGGAGCTGGTCAGAGATTCTCCGGAAACGCTTCCCTATCTGCCTAGGCATTTGGTTGTCTCCTGCCTCTATCATTCTTATTGTATCGATTCATTATGTCTTTCTGCCTCAAAGTCAACCACCAGACTTCTATAATGACATCACAATTGTTTAAATTACTGCTAGTACTCTTTAATTGACTAATACGTGTATAATTCTTAAATATCAATAGCTCTTTTGTTACTTATTAGGTGAAATAGAATCCTTAGATTGTTTCTCTTAAATTTATCAAAGTGAAACTTTGTACTGACAGTTTAATAACTAAAAACAAAAGGACATCTTATTCTAACTAAAGGTGTAATTTAACAGAAAACCAAACTTACAAGAATATCTTGAAAGCAAATGTAAAAGAAAAATAAGCATAAGAAAATTGTTTTCAAGAAGTTCAGAAATAGAATAAAAAGAAATGTAATCTTATTTTTAAGTTAATTTATTTCCATTTTTAAAGAAATTTAAAAATTTTAAGGAACTTGTAGATTTTCAGAAAAATTGTGAAAATAGTGGGGAGGCCCTAACCTATATACGCAACATCTAGTTTCATGTACTATGACTATCTTATGATAGTATGGTATGTTTCATACAATTAAAGAACCTATATTGACATAATACTATTAACTAAAACCTATAGCTTTTTCAGATTTATTTTTCTTTTTTTTTTTACTTTTACTGTTCCAAGCTTCAATCCAGGTTACTGTATTACATTTAGTAATTATATCTCCTTAGGCACCTCTTGGCTATGACAGTTTTTTAGACTTTCCTTGTTTTTCATGACCTTGAAAGTTTTAAGAAGTACTTTTCAGGCATTTTGTAGAATGTGCCTCAATTGGGAATTTTTCTGATATTTTTCTCAGAAAAACTATGGGTTTTGAAGAGAACTACCACAGAGGTCAAGTGCTATTTTCATCAAGTCTTATCAAAGGTACAAACTATCAACAGTATTTATGTTGATGTGTTGGTGTTGACATTGATCATGTGGCTAAGATAGTGTTTGCAGGTTTTTTTTGCTGCAACATTATTCTTTTCTTCCTTCTTTCCACACTGTACTCCTTGAAAAGAAATCACTATGCCTACAATTAAGGATAGAGGGGCTCCCTCGCCTTAAGAGAAGAGCACCCACAAATTTTGTTTTTATCTTCCGAAGGAGATTTGTCTTTTATTCTTCATTTATTTATTAAACAATTTATGTTTGTATTAACTAACATATTTATTTTATACTTTGGGTCATAATCGAATACCACTTTACTTTGTGAAATTGTTTCAGTTTTGTGCATTGGGAATTCTTTCACTTTGCTCCTGTGTTGCTTTGACATACGTTACTCAATCTGTGTGTGTGTGTGTGTGTGTGTGTGTGTGTGTGTGTGTATCTGGTTTATGAATACTGCCTTACTTTCTGATACTATAAGATACTCTAGGCTGGGTGTGGTGGCTCACGCCTCTAATCCCAGCACTTCGGAAGGCCAAGGCGGGTGGATTGCCTGAGGTCAGGAGTTTGAGACCAGCCAGCCCAACATGGTGAAACCCCTTCTCTACTAAAAATACAAAAATTAGCCAGGTGTGGTGACAGGTGCCTGTAATCCCAGCTACTCTGGAGGCTGAGATAGGAGAATCGCTTGAACCTGGGAGGCGGAGGTTGCAGTGAGCCAAGATCACGCCATTGCACTCCAGCCTCAGTGACGAGAAACTTGTCTCAAAAAAAAAAAAAAAAGAAAGATACTCTAGGCTCATGTTGTATCTTTCCTGCCTGAGTCCTGAGATCAGCCTTTTTCCAACCCCTGGCTGTTTTTTATAAAGAATGGTATTGGAAGCCAAAGTCTTGGTGCTAGATGTGTTAGTTTTACTGGATTATCATTGATTCTCATTGCTCTTAGTTGACAGAACAAGGAAATATATGTGTATACTGGCCTGTGTATATACACATAATTATAAACATTTCTATATGTTACTCTTTGTAACTGTATGAATCTAAAAATGACTTTATAATGAGGTCTTCAAATCTACTAAATCACCACATAGATCACTCTACATTCTTACCCTTGCTTATTTGTAAACTCCCATTCCAATAGCAGGAAACCTGGCTTCCACCACCTGCTGTTTATTTAAGTGTTCAACTGCAGAATATGTATAGCAGTATCAGGATTGTTAAGCTGTACCTAGGTGAAATAAAACTTCATTAACTAGAATACAATGCTATGGAGACCTCTCCATTCATTTTTAATGTTACTTAGGTAAGCAAATCTTCTTCCTACTCTCATGAATGAGGTTGTTTTATACATTTTGCCACATTTTCATCACATCCTGATACTCTCCAGACCTCCTAATTTTTCTTTAATTTGCACATGTGTGGTTTCTATCTTCATAATGTAAAGTTGTATGGGTTTTGAAAAATGCATAGTGTCGTGTATCCACAATTACAATCTCGTACAGACTATATTAACCCCTCTTAAAAATCCTCTCTGCTACAACTTTTCAATCCTCTCTCTCCTCTCTGTGCACTCCTGGAAACTGTTGATCTCTTTACCATTGCTATAGTTTTGCCTTTTCGAGAATGTCATAAATTGAAATCACACAGTATGTAGACCTTTCTGACTGACTTCTTTCGCTTAGTAATATGCATGTAATGTTCTTCTCTATGTATGTATGTACCATAGTTTGTTTATTCATTCACCTATTGATGGGCATCTTAGTTGCTTTCAGTTTTTAGCAATTATGAATAAAAATTCTATAAACATTCACATGCAGGTTTTTTGTGAAGATAAATTTTCCAATAGTTTAGGTAAATTTCTAAAAGAGTGATTACTGAACTATATGGGAAGACTATGCTTATCTTTGTAAGAAACTGCCAAAGTGCCTTTCAAAGTGGCTATGTCATTTTGCATTTATATTAGTCCCTTCTCACACTACTATAAAGATACTACCTGAGACTGCATAACTGATAAAGAAAAGAGGTTTCATTGACTCACAGTTTCACATGGCTGGGGATGTCTCAGAAAGCTTACGATTTTGGCAGAAGATGAGGGGGAAGCAGACACTTTCATCACAAGGTGGCAGGAGAGAGAGAGTGAAGGGGATCACACTAAACGGATCAACAGAATTCTATCAAAAGAACAGCAAATGGGAAGTCCACTCCCATGATTCAATCACCTCCCACCAGGCCACTTTCTCAACATGTGGGGATTACAATTTGGGATGAGATCTGGGTGGGCACACAGAGCTAAGCCATATTATTCTGCCCCTGTGCCCTCCCAAATCTCATGTCTTTTTCACATTTCAAAACTATCATGCCTTACTTGCTTTTCGTTCGTTTATTTGCTTCTATTAATGGTAATTCCTTGTATGATATCATTTCTTGCCTTGATAGGATATTTATTAACTTAGCTATTTATGTATATATAAATATAGAGTTATGTAGCTACATACATACATAGGTATGCAAATCTATCTACAGTCTCAGTCCTGCAATGTCTACATTCATATTTACATTTTCTGCAATTAATAAGGTCCAATTTTCTGCTAAATGAATGAATCAGTGACTGATAATAATCATGACTTAGAGATAAAAAAATCACATCAAATCAAAGCTTTTATTTGTTATTTAATATGTTATTAACTCCTCTTCTAAGATTTTGACGTCCTGTAGAATAACAGGAACTGCAAGAGTAATAATACTGGTCTATGAGTCTTTTATGTATTTTGTGAAGTAAATCATTTAAAAAAACCCTGGCAAATAGCAAACAACTATTTTTCAACAGTGGAAAGTTAATGTTTTATGTTTATTCACCTATTTTCTTTTATGCATGGTGTGAAAGTATTATTCATTTGTATAAAATAGCTTTAGCTCCATTGTCAGTTAAAGTTTTAAATAATGCAGTTATTATAAACTACTTCATTATCTTCTTAAATTATTTTCTTTTCTCATATGAAGTCCTGATTAAATCACAAACAGTACAATTGCTTTCTCTAGTCATAGACTTGCAAACATTCATATCTCACAAAAGTATTCTATTTGTTACCAAAGGGTACGGATATATGGATTAAGATTGCTCAAGGAAAAATGTTAACTTTTACTGACAAAACAACTAAATGTGCTTGCCCAGTTGATGGCTGATAAATAAAGTCATCTTGATATACAAAGGCCAATCTTTAATATATAGATAGAATTGATATACCACAAATAAAAATGATTATTGTCTTAAAGAGTAGAACTAGCATAGACGTTATATATATATATATATATATATATATATATATATATATACACATATACATGGTGTTTGCAGAGAACTTCATTAAAATGGAAATTGGATTTTCATTGAGAGTAGAAAAAATAATAATTTCGGGCAAATTCTTTGTTGCATATATCTATGATGTGTGTTTGCAACATTATTTTAGCTACGTAATTGGTTTTCTTCCAAAGTCAAAGGCCCCAATTTTCCTTCAGTACAAAGCAAATAAAAATATACTTATATTATTGAGAGTTGTGAAAAACAAACGCATGTAGCATACATGTTGTATGCATGTTACATGTATGTACTATGCACGTGACATTCATGCTCTATACATGTTGCATATATGTAGAATGAATGAAATGTTCATATAGTATGCATGTAGTGTGCATGTAGTAAACATGTAGTATGCATGTAGTATGCATGTAGGATACATTTCAAATATACTATGCATGTAGTGTACATGTAGTATACATGTCCTTTGTGTGTAGAAACAAGCGTGCATATAGTAAACATATAGTATATACATAGTGTACATGTAGTATGTGCACAGTATGCATGTAATATGCTTGCTACATACATGTTACTTTTGTGGCATGTATGTGGCTTATATGTAGCATGCATATTTCTGTAAATAAAATATCTTATATTTGTTAATTTTTCTACCATTATTTAAATAATCATATTAAGTCTCCTTTCACCTATTTTAAGGAATAATAATTATATATTCCAAATTACACGTTTTTAATGCAACTCACCTGGTCATGGCCATTAGATTATTAATGGGTAATTAGACATTATACATTAACTATTCCCTAATAGTTTGTTAGAGATTTGTGCAGCTGGAGATGGTCAAGTTCAATAGTGGCTCATAAAAAGCAGGTGGAAAAATTATTCATTCAGGGTCATCTCTGTAAAAAGGGACCAGTAATATTATCAGTTCAGGGACTGTGAAAAGACCTTCTGTCTTCAGTATTAACAGAGTGAACAGAATAGACAGGTTCCCAATAAATATTTCTTGAATAAATGAATAAAATGAGATGTATACACTGATGCATACAATTTGAGGTTCTGGAACAACGACCATGCCTTACTTCATTTATAAAAGCAGAAATACTCTAGGCCGAAGGTCAGAAAAAAGATTGCACACTAATAATTATCTGGCATTATTAGACCCAAAGTCTTTTTCTTTTTTTTTTTCTTTTAAATTCTGGGATACATGTTCTGAATGTGAAGGTTTGTTACATAGGTATACATGCGCGATGGTGGTTTGCTGCACCTATCAACCTGTCATCTAGGTTTTAAGCTCCACATGCATTAGGTATTTGTCCTAATGCTCTCCCTCCCCTTGCCCCCCACTCCCCAAGAGGCCTTGGTGTGTGATGTTCCCTCCCTATGTCCATGTGTTCTCACTGTTAAACTCCCACTTATGAGTAAGAACTTGCAGTGTTTGGTTTTTTTCCTGTGTTAGTTTGCTGAGGATGATCGTTTCCAGCTTTATCCATGTCCCTGCAAAGAACATGAAACCATTATTTTTTATGGCTGCATAGTATTCCATGGTGTATACATGCCACATTTTCTTTATCCAGCCTATCATTGATAGGCACTTGGGTTTGTTCCAAGTCTTTGTTATTGTAAATAGTGCTGCAATAAACATACGTGTGCATGTGTTTTTAGAGTAGAATGATTTACAATCCTTTGGGTATATACCCAGTAATGGGATTGCTGAGTCAAATGGTATTTCTGGTTCTAGATCCTTGAGGAATCACCATACTGTCTTCCACAATGGTTGAACTAATTTACACTCCCACCATCAGTGCAAAAGCATTCTTATTTCTCTGCATCCTTGCCAGCATCTGTTGTTTCCAGACTTTTTAATGATCACCATTCTAACTGGCATGAGATGGTATCTCATCGTGGTTTTGATTTCCATTTCTCTAATGACCAGTGATGATGAGCTTTTTTTCATATGTTTGTTGGCAACATAAAATGTCCTCTTTTGAGAAGTGTCTCTTCATCCACTTTTTGATGTGGTTGTTTGTTTTTTTCTTTTACATTAGTTTAAGTTCTTTGTATACTTGGCATATCAGACTTTTGTCAGATGGATAGATTGCAAAAATTTTCTTCCATTCTGTAAGTTGCCTGTTCACTCTGATGATAGTTTCTTTTGCTGAGCAGAAGCTCTTTAGTTTAACTAGATCCCATTTGTCAATTTTGGCTTTTGTTGCCATTGCTTTTGGTGTTTTAGTTATGAAGTGTTTGCCCATGCCTATGTCCTAAATGGTATTGCCTATGTTTTCTTCTAGGGTTTTTATGGTTTTAGGTTTTATGTTCAAGTATTTAATCCACCTTGAGTTAATTTTTGTGTAAGGTGTAAGGAAGGGGTCTAGTTTCTGTTTTCTGCATATGGCTAGCCAGTTTTCCTAGCTTCACTTATTAAATAGATAATCCTTTCCGCATTGCTTGTTTTTGTCAGGCTTGTCAAATATCATATAATTATAGATGTGTGGTGTTATTTCTGAGGCCTCTGTTCTGTTCCATTGGTCTGTATATCTGTTTTGATACCAGTACCATGCTGTTTTGGTTACTATAGCCTTGTAGTATAGTTTGAAGTCAGGTAATGTGATGCCTCCGCTTTGTTGTTTTTGGTTTGGATTGTCTTGGCTATACAGGCTCATTTTTGGTTCCATATGAAATTTAAAGTAGTTTTTTCTAGTTCTGTGAAGAAAGTCAATGGTAGCTGGATGGGAATAGCATTGAATCTATAAATTACTTTGGCAGTATGGCTATTTTCACCAAGTTGACTCTTCCTATCCATGAGCATAGGTTTTTTTTTCCATTTGTTTGTGTCCTCTCTTATTTCGTTGAGCAGTGGTTTGTAGTTCTCCTTGAAGAGGTCCTTCACATCCCTTGTAAGTTGTATTCCTAGGTATTTTTCTTTTCTTTGTAGCAATTGTGAATGGGAGTTCACTCATGATTTGGCTCTCTGTCTATTATTGGTGTACAGTAATGCCTGTGATTTTTGCACATTGATTCTGTATCCTGTGACTTTGCTGAAATTTTTTATCAGCTTAAGGAGTTTTGGGGCTGAGACGATGGGGTTTTCCAAATATACAATCATGTCATCTGCAGAGACAATTTGACTTCCTCTCTTCCTATTTGAATACACTTTATTTCTTTCTCTTGCCTGATTACTCTGGCCAGAACTTCCAATATTATGTTGAATAGGAGTGATGAAAGAGGGCATCCTTGCCTCATGCCAGTTTTCAAAAGAAATGCTTGCAGCTTTTGTCCATTCAGTATGATATTAGCTGTGTGTTTGTCATAAATAGCTCTTAATATTTTGAGATATGTTCCATCAATACCTAGTTTACTGAGAGTTTTTATCATGAAGGGGTGTTGACTTTTATCGAGGGCCTTTTCTGCATCTATTGAGAAAAGTATGTGGTTTTTCTCATTGGTTCTGTTTATGTGATGGATTACATTCATTGATTTGCATATGTTGAACCAGCTTTGCATCCCAGGGATAAAGCCGACTTGATTGTGATGGATAAGTTTTTGATGTGCTGCTGGCTTCGGTTTGCCAGTATTTTATTGAGGATTTTTGCATTGATGTTCATCAGAGATATTGGCCTGAAACTTTGTTGTTGTTGTTGTGTCTCTGCCAGGTTTTGGAATCAGGATGATGCTGGCCTCATAAATGAGTTAGGGAGGAGTCCCTCTTTTTCTATTGTTTAGAATAGTTTCAGAAGGAATGGTACCAGCTCTTCTTTGTAACTCTGGTATAATTCCGCTGTGAATCCGCTTGGTTCTGGGCTTTTTTTGATTGGTAGGCTATTAATTACTGCCTCAATTTAAAGAAAAAAAGAGAGAAGAATCAAATAGACACAATAAAAAATGATAAAGGGGATATCACCACTGATCCCACAGAAATACAAACTGCCATCAGAGAATAATATAAACACCTCTATGCAAATAAACTAGAAAATCTAGTAGAAATGGATAAAATCCTGGACACATACACCCTCTCAAGACTAAACCAGGAAGACGTTGAATCCCTGAATATATCTCAAGTCTTCAAATAAAATTTTGAGAATGGTTTGAAAACGTGGGAGAATTTTTCTTTCAAATAAAAATAAATATTAAAAATATATACATCAATTTGTTTCTTTTTGACCTGTACCATTAAAAAATTGTCATTTAACTAGTCAATTGTAACCCAGAAGAAGAAAAAAAAATCTATAACATATTTGGGATTATTTCAATATTGGCTGTTAACTAAACTTATTCCTGTGGCTGTCGAAGGCAATCAGGGGCTGAGAAACCTGTGGCAGCAAGTCATTTCCTGAGTGAGACCTCAAAATTACTTTGCAGCTATTTCTCCAATTTCAAGTGTGCACACTATATGTCTGGTCTAAACAAACAACTAATATATTTTTTTGTTCTTGTTTTTTATTAAAAATGAATTAGGGGAATGATCAACAGTGTCAAATACTGTTGAAAGGGAAAGCATCCAATCACCAAAATGCGTCCATTTCATTTACTTACGTGGAATTAATGAGTAAGCTTCTTGCAGCAGTTAGGGATGAAAATAAAACAAATTTGTAAAGACAGAATATAGAAAATAGAAACATTGAGTTTAGCCAATTCTCCCAAGGATGACTGTGAAACTTAGGAAAGGGATAGGATTCCAGTTACAGGATGTTTTGTTTGTGTGTTTCTTTTATTTGTTGTTTATATGTTCTATTTATTTATTTGTTTTTTAACTTTTTAGGTTTTGTCAGTACCTAGTAGGTGTATGTAATCATGGGGTAGATGAGATACTCTGATACAGGTGTACAATGCATGATAAGCCCATCAGGGTAAATGGCTATCTATCACCTCAAGCATTTTTCCTTTCTTTGTGTTAAAAACAATTCATTTACACTCTTTTAGATATTTTGAAATGTACATTAAATAATTGTTGACTGTAGTCACCCTGTTGTGCTATCAAATACTAGATCTTATTCAGTTTAACCGGCTATATTTTTGTACACAGTAACTTATTCATACTCCCCTGCCCCACCCCTGACAGCCTTTCCTATTCTCTGGTAACCGTCGTTCTATTCTCTATCTCCATGAGTTCAATTGTTTTAATTTTTAGCTGCCACAAGTATCTGAGAATTTTTGAAGTTTTTCTTTCTGCGCCTGGCTTATTTTATTTAACATAATTTCCTCCAGGTCCATCCATGCTGTTGCAAATAACAGGATCTCATTCTTTTAATGGCTGACTAGTACTCTGTTGTGTGTCTGTACCACAGTTTTTTTAATCCATTCATCTGTTGATGGACATTTACGTTGCTGCCAAATCTTGGCTGTTGTGAGTGGTGTTGCAATAAGTATGAGAATGTAGATGTCTCTTCCATTCAAAATTTTCTTTCTTCTCAGTACATACCTAGTAGTGGAATTTCTGGATCATATGGTAGATCTAATTTTAGTTTTTGTCGAATCTCTAAACTGTTTTTCACAGTGCTTGTATTAATTTACATTCTCACCAAAACTGTTCAAGATTTCCCTTTTCTCAAATTCCTCATTTGTTATTGCCTGTCTTCTATATAAAAGTCATTTTAACTGGGGTGAGATATTTCACTGTAGGACTGATTTGCATTTCTCTGATGATCAATATTTTTTATGTTTTTACATACCTGTTTTCCATCTGTAGGTCTTCTTTTGAGAAATGTCCATTCAGATCTTTTGCCTATTTTTAATTGAATTATTATATTTTTCCTATTGAGTTGTTTGAGCTCCTTTTATATTCTGGCTATTAATCCCTTTCCAGGGGGAGAGTTTGCACATATTTTCTCCCATTCTGAGATTGTCTCTTCACTTTGTTGATTGCTTCCTTTGCTATGCAGAAGCTTTAACTTGATGCAATGCCATTTATCCACTTTTGCTTTTGTTACCTGTACTTGTTGGGTGTTACTAAAAGAATTTTCACTCAGACCAATGTTCTGGAGAGTTTCCCAGTGTTTTCTTTCACTAGTTTCATAGTTTGAGGAACTTGAGTTAAGATTCAATTCATTTCGATATGATTATTGCATATGATGAGAGATAGGGATCTAGTTTCATTCTTCTGAATATGCATATCCAGTTTTCCCAGCACCATTTATAGAAGAGACTGAACTGTCCCTAATGTGTGTTCTTGATACTTTTGTCAAAAATGATTCACTGTGAATGTGTGAATTGATTACTGGGTTATCTCTTCTGTTCCATTGGTCTATGTGTGAATTTTTATGCCAGTACTATACTTTTTGGCTATTATAGCTCTACGGTATAATTTGAAGTCAAATAATGGGAATTCCCCCAGTTTTGTCCATTTTGCTCGGGACAGCTTTGGCTATTCTGGGTCTTTTGTGGCTCCATATAAATTTTAGGAATGTTTTTTCTATTTCTGTGGTATTTCTTATTTCACTGGTATTTTGATAGGGATTGCATTGAATCTGTAGATTGCTTTGAAGAGCATGGATGTTTTAACAATATCGATTCTTCCAATTTGTGAACATGAAGCAGCTTTCAATTTACCTGTGTTCTTTTCAATTTTTTGCATCAATGTTTTAGAGTTTTTAATTGTAGAAAACTTTCGCGTATTTGGTTAAGTTACCTGCTAAGTATTCTATTTTATTTTTAGCTGCGTAAATTCTACTACTTTCTTGATTTCTTTTTCAGATTGTTCCCTGCTGTCATATAGAAGTGCTACTAATTTTTGTATGTTGATTTTGTATCCTGAAACTTTACTGGATGTGGTTATCAGTTCTAATAGTTTTTTAGTGGTGTCTTTAGGTTTTTCCAAATATAAGATCATATCATCTGCAAACAGGGGTAATTTGATTGTCTCCTTTCCAATTTGAAAGCTCTTTGTATCTTTCCCTTGTCCTATTGCTCCAGCTAGGACTTCCAGGGCTATGTTGAATAACAGTGGTGAAAGTGGACATCCTTGTCTTTTGTCAGATCTTAGAGGAAAGGTTTATAGTTTTTCCTATTCTGTATGATATTAACTGTGGTTCTGTTCTATATGGCTTTTATTGGGTTGAGGTATGTTCCTTCTATACCCAATTTTTTATTTTGAGGAGGCGTTTTGCTCTTGCTGCCCAGGCTGAAGTGCAATGGAGCAATCTCGGCTCACCACAACCTCCACCTCCTGGACTCAAGTGATTCTCCTGCTCCAGCCTCCCAAGTAGTTGGGATTACAGGCATGCGCCACCACCATGCCAGGCTAACTTTTTTTTTTTTTTTTTTGTAGAGATGGTATTTCTTCCATGTTGGTCAGGCTGGTCTCGAACTCCCAACCTCAGGTGATTCCCCTGCCTTGGCCTCCCAAAGTGCTGGGATTACAGGCATGAGCCACATGCCCAGCCTATACCCAGATTTTTAGGGCTATCTTTTATTATGAAAGGATGTTGAATTTTATCAAATGCTTTTTTCAGCATCAGTTAAAATGATCATATGGTTTTTGTCCTTCATTCAGTTGATATGATGTATTACACTGATTGATTTGAGTGTGTTGAACCATCCTTGTAGTCCTGGGAAACAACCCCACTTAGTCACAATGAATGATCTTTGTAATGTGCTGGAGAATTTGGTTTGATAGTATTATGTTGAGGATTTTTGTAT
This sequence comes from Homo sapiens, assembly GCF_000001405.40. Classification (NCBI taxonomy): domain Eukaryota; kingdom Metazoa; phylum Chordata; class Mammalia; order Primates; family Hominidae; genus Homo; species Homo sapiens. The sequence continues at coordinate 194,547,509 of NC_000001.11, forward strand.
AGATGTTCAACAGGAATATTGTCATGTGTTTTATTTATTTATTTTTTGGTGTGTCTTTTCTAGTTTTTGGTTTCAAGGTAATAGCAGCCTCATAGAATGAGTTTGGAAGTACTCTGTCCTCCTCTACTTTTTAGAACCGTTTGAGAAGGATGGGTAATTATTTTTCTTTAAATGTTTGGTAGAATTCAGCAGTGAAGCCATCAGGTCCTGGGCTTTTCTTTGCTAGGAGAGTTTTTATTATAGCTTTGATCTTATTACTGGTTATTGGTCTGTTCAAGTTTTTGATTTCTTTCTGGTTCAATCTTGGTAAATTGTATGTGTCTACAAATTTATCCATTTCTTCTAGGTTTTCCAATTATTGGTATATAGTTGCTTATGGTGGCCTCTATTGATCCTTTGGATTTCTGTGTTATTGGTTGTAATGTCTCCTTTTTCATTTTTGCTTTATTTCTCTGGGTCTTCTCTCATTTAAATGAGAAATATCTGAGACTTTTAAAACCCTACTGTGAAGTGAAGCATGGAGATATAGTAAAAATAAAGTCTCATTGTGGGGCTCTGAGGAGGGCAGGCTGGGAAGCATTGCAGATGTTGAATTTATGGGGCAGAGACATTTCTTTCATTTTAATGGGACTAGTTTTAGATGATGGTGTTTAACAAAGATTTATTTATTATTTATCAGATGCCACAGTCATGTGAATGTGAGAATACCTTTGAACAGACAAACTTAATCCCACTCATCTGGAATCTATCACATGGTGAAGTGATGACAAATTTGCTTAGTGTTACAATGAAATACAGTGTTCCACACAGCATGTGATAGAGGAATTCAGCCAGTCTCAGTGTTCATGAATGTCTTCTCTTACACAATGTGTAGCATGATAACTATAGTTAATAATATTATATTATATACTACAAATTTCCAAGAGGGTATTTTTCAAGTGCTTTTACCACACACACACACACACACACACACACACAGAGACACACACATAGAAACTATGCGAAAAGGTGAATATGTTAATTTGCTTGACCCTAATAATCATTTCACAGTATATATAGATATCACAACATCATTTTTTACATAGTAACTATATACAATAAAAAAAAGAAATAGTTACATTAAGTTGAGGTTAACCAGGCAAAAAATTGAGAGTGGGGCTAACATTTCAGGCATCTTGTAAACCTCTATAGGTAGAAAATGTGTTCTTCAGAGACCTCAGAGAAAATCAATATAGATAAAGAGAACATGTTGGATGGTGAGGTGTTGAAAAAATGGAATGAAGGAGTACTTAAAAGTGATAAGATAGAAAAGTTATTTAGCTTATTTAGATAATTTAAGAATTCCTGAGCCAGGTAAGCTATTAAGTAAGCATTTTAAATGTCGTAGAAAAGAAAAACAAAACAAAACAAATGTTTTGTTTTGTTTTGTTTTGTTTAGACAGAGTCTTACTCTGTCGCCCAGGCTGGAGTGCAGTGGCACGATCTCGGCTTACTGCAGCCTCCACCTGTCAGCAATTCTCCTGCCTCAGCCTCCTGAGTAGCTCGGATTACAGGCACCAGCCACCACGCCTGGCTAATTTTTTTAATTTAGTAGAGATGGGTTTCATCATGTTGGCCAGGCTGATCTCAAACTCCTGACCTCGTGATCCGCCCGCTTCGGCCTCCCAAAGTGCTGGGATTACAAGCACGAGCCACTGCCCCTGGCCAAAAAATAAGATTTTAAAGCAAGTGGTGTGATATGCTTTGATGCGTGTATGCAAAAGATCACAATAGTAAATTAATGGTAGTGGGGAAAGTGAGAGAAGCAAGACTGAAAATCGAAAGCCAAACAGCAAGATGATACTACAGAAAGTTAGGCATAAAATGTGAGCCTTTATAAGAGTTTTAGCATTTAGCATGGAAAGTTGTAGAAGTTTTCAGAGAAGATAGGAAATTAAAACTGATAGCAATTGTGGTAATTTGAAAGAATAATCGAGAGTTCTATGAAAATGGCTTATGTTTTTTAAGTGACAGACTTCCAAATACTGTTCTGGGAAGAGGGCAGACCCCTGTAGTTCATTCCATAATAAAATGCAGAAGAGTTCATCTTGGTGAACTAATATGCATGCGATTTACTTTGACCCAGTTCATTCCGTTTGTTTTTAGAAAACATATATCTAAATTTCTTGCTTGGAGATAAATATCTTTTTTTTGTTTTTTTAATTGAGATGGAGTCTCGCTCTGTCACCCAGGCTGTTTACATCCTAGGTCTCATTCCTACAACCTGTTGTATTACATATTTCTTTTTTTTTTTTTTTTTGAGATGAAGTCTTGCTCTGTCGCCCAGGCTGGAGTGCAGTGGCGCCATCTCGGCTCACTGCAAGCTCCGCCTCCCGGGTTCACGCTATTCTCCTGCCTCAGCCTCCCGAGTAGCTGGGACTACAGGCACCGCCACCACGCCCAGCTAATTTTGTATTTTTAGTAGAGACGGGGTTTCACCTTGTTAGCCAGGATGGTCTCGATGTCCTGACCTCGTGATCCGCCCGCCTTGGCCTCCCAAAGTGCTGGGATTACAGGCATGAGCCACGGCGCCCGGCCCAATTACATATTTCTAAGACATAAGCCTCTCCTCCATTATGCAAGTGAATTAAGTTCTTCCATTGCTACCCAGGCTCTAGAAACTGTCTTAGCTGTATTTTTCTTCATTCTACTTTATAGCTTCTACAACCCTATCTTCTTCTATGTTCACCCATGTAGTATGGAGACTTTTATGCTTATTGAACGTCTATTCTCCTCTTTTTATTGTTATCCGGTTAGAAGACAGCATTTTCCATCTTCTTTTGGAACTAGTTTTGGTTACATGACCAAGTTCTGGCCAATACAATTTAAGCAGGATTATTGCGTGGAGTTTCTAGGGAGAGTACTTAAAACAGATGGAGCTTCATTATCTTTTCCCTTATTCTATTTTATTTGTACATTGTTAAATTTATTTTTATCTAACAATTTTGTGCCACTAATTATTTTCTTTATTTAAACCATATTGTATTTAGGAGTATATTGATTTTCACCATTTTATGGATGAGAGAAAATAACAGAGTTTCGTATTTTGCTTCAGGCTTAACAACTGCTTGAGGTATGGATATTTGGCAGGAGCCACTCTTTTAGGAGGAGCCACCAACTTGGACCATGAGTAGGAAGACCATGCCTGAGGGAAAACAAAGGAGGCTCATTCCAGGAAGATTTCATCAAGCCCACACAATCGCCATGGTCTGTAAAACACAGTGAGAAATAATTCTATACCTGTTTTAGGTTACTTACAATGTTGAATGCTAACCAAAGCAATCATGTTTATTATAATTTCATGATTTCTCAAGAACCTTATTTATTGAAAAGGTTTGACGCCTCTTTCACTCACTAATGTAATTTTAACTGGGTCTGGGAATAAACGTATGTGCATAACTTGCCATTTTGAAATAGGGCCCCTGTCAGTTAATTTTTACTTAAATTTTCATACAAAATAAAACATGTATAAACATTGTACACATCAAACTCAATGACTTTTCACAGAGTAAACAATTCACACATGTGACCACAACCTAGAACAAGAAATACAGTATTTTACCAATGATTCAGAAACCTCTGATACCTGCTTCTAATTACAACACCCTGTGTTCTCCGTGAAGATAGCTAACCTGAAGTCTAACATCATACATAGTATTGCCTACTTTTGAAATTTATATGATTGGATTTATACATTTATAAGAATCAACCATGTAACTATGTGCTTTATTTACTTTAAATACTGTAAGGGATTCCATGAAATTTAACTTTAGGTAAATCTTTTGTATGTGAAATAAAACAGTATCACTTAGATTGTATATTAATAACTATCTTCATTGTCTTGGAGTAGGAGAAGGATTTCTTGAAAAACAAGGCACTAATGATATAACGACTGCTTTAAATTAATTCATAAATAATATGAAATTACAACTCATATAATATGAATTGAGATTGTAAAAAAGAATACACACAAACACACACACACACACACGAAGTGTTTCTACACATTTACAAAAATACTATCAATTTAGTGGAGTTCATGTTGCTTTATATTCTTGCCAATAGTTGATATTTTTATTATTCGTTCTACCTATATATTATCTATCTGTCTATCATCTATCTATCTATCACCTATCATGTTCATTTTAGCCTTTCTGAAGGGCATGCAATTTTATCTTGACTTTAATTCACAGTTTGCTTACAAGTAATGATTAGTAGCACATTTTCATATGTTGATTGGCCATATAAGCCATTTTCTTCAACATTCTGCTGTGTTATCTTTCTTATAGCAAGTATTCATATGGGTAGAGGTCTGTTTCTGACTCTTTATTGTATGTCATTCTTCTATTTGCCTAATCTTGACAAAACAAAACAAAGCAACAAGATAATCATCGTCTTAATTACTGTAAATTAATTACAGGTTTTATTATATGGTAGTCTTACTCTTCCAAGTATTTTTAATTTTTGATGTTTTCTTGGTTATTTCTGTACGTTTGTATTTCAGTATACATTTAAGAATCTCTTTGACAGTTCCTATAAAATTACTACTGGAATTTTACTGTGAATATATTTAAATTCTTTTGTTATTTAGACAAAATTAGTGTCTTTTCAATATTTAGTCTTTCAATTCATTAATATAGTTAATTAGTTTATACATTAAGGTTTTCTTTATAGTCTCACAAAAACATAGATTTTTTTATTGTTAAACAGGCTTTTGTGGAATGTCTTCCTAGTTAATTTCAAATGTTTAATTATATTAAATATCTTGTTTATAATTTTATTTTAGAAAGGTGTTTTTCTGATAGACAGAAATATAGTTGTTGCATATTGAACTTGGAGCCTGTAAACACATTTAAATCATTTATTGATTTTAATAACTTTTTTGTGTGATTTTTTTAAGCTTCCAATAGATAAAAGCATATCATCTTCAATAAAGATAGGTTTAATAAAATCCAATTTATCTAGCTTTTCTTTTATTCTTAGGGATGCTATATGTACTTTTACGTACTGGAAGGTCATAATGACATCCCACAATATTGCCATCTAGCAGTATACTTTTTTCTAATTTCTATAACCTGCTATAATAATAAAAATAATTATAATTACAATAATTATTATAACTATTACCACAACAGTTGTTATTTTTGCATAGGCTATAGCATCCAATGAAATAATAAAGAGGATCAGGCTATTGTCATACTTATTTTGGAAACTCTAGCTATGAAAAATCTTTTAAAATATAGCCATTAAAAAAACTGCTTTCTATAGGCTATTTTGGTAGATATACTTAATCAGGTTAACTATGTTCTCATTTATTTCCAGCTTGCAGAGGACTTTTTATTTATTTGTTCCTTTGAACCTATTCCATCCTATCATTTTTCTTCATATTTTGGAATTATTGTATGAATTTTCCACCTTTTGTTAATTTGATAAATAACTTTGAAGTCTGACTGTTACATTCATCATGTATTTCAGGAACACATTATATATAATTATAATGTATTACTCTTTTTTATATATACTTTAAGTTCTGGGATACATGTGCAGAACGTGCAGGTTTCTTACGTAAGTATACATGTGTCATGGTGGTTTGCTGTACCCATCAACCTGTCATCTACATTAGGTATTTCTCCTAATGCTATTCCACCCCTAGCCCCTCAATCCCCAACAAGCCCTTGTGTGTAATGTTCCCCTCCCTGTGTCCATGTGTTCTCCTTGTTCAACTCCCAGTTATGAGTGAGAACATGTGGTGTTTGTTTTCTGTTCCTGTGCTAGTTTGCTGAGAATGATGGTTTCCAGCTTCATCCATGTCCCTGCAAAGGACATGAACTCATTCTTTTTATGGCTGCATAGTAGTCCATGGTGTATATGTGCCACATTTTCTTTATCCAGTCTATCATTGATGGACATTTGGGTTGGTTCCAAGTTTTTGCTATTGTGAATAGTGCTGCAATAAACATATGTGTGCATGTGTCTCTAGAGTAGAATGATTTATAATCCTTTGGTTATATACCCAGTAATGGGATTGCTGGGTCAAATGGTATTTCTGGTTCTAGATCCTTGAGGAATTGACACACTGTCTTCTACAACAGTTGAACTAATTTATACTCCCACCCACAGTGTAAATGTGTTCCTATTTCTCCACATCCTCTCCAGCATCTATGGTTTCCTGACTTTTTAATGATCACTATTCTAACTGGTATGAGATGGTATCTCATGGTGGTTTTGATTTGTATTTCTCTAATGACCAGTGATGATGAGCTTTTTTTTCATATGTTTGTTGGCCAAATAAATGTCTTCTTTTGAGAAGTGTCTGTTCATATTCTTCACCCACTATTTGATGTGGTTGATTGTTTTTTTCTTGTAAATTTGTTTATGTTCCTTGTAGATTCTGGATATTAGAGTTCATCAGATGGATAGATTGCAAAAAATTTCTGCCATTCTGTAGGTTGCCTGTTCACTCTGATGATAGTTTATTTCACTGTGCAGAAGCTCTGCAATTTAATTAGATCCCTTTTGTCAATTTTGGCTTTTGTTGCCATTGCTTTTGGTGTTTTAGTCATGAAGTGTTTGCCCATGCCTATGTCCTGAATGGTATTGCCTAGGTTTTCTTCTAGGGTTTTTATGATTTGGGGTCTTATGTTTAAGTCTTTAATCCATCTTGAGTTAATTTTTGTATAAGGTGAAAGAACGAGTCCAGTTTCTGTTTTCTGCATATGGCTAGCCAGTTTTCCCAACACCATGTATGCCATAGAGAATCCTTTCCCCATTGCTTGTTTTTGTCAAGTTTGTCAAAGATCAGATGGTTGTAGATGTGTGGCGTTATTTCTGAGGACTCTGTTTTGTTCCATTGATCTATATATTTGTTTTGGTATCAGTACCATGCTGTTTTGTTTACTATAGTCTTGTAGTATAGTTTGAAGTTTGGCACTGTGATGCCTTAGCTTTGTTCTTTTTGCTTAGACTTGTCTTGGCTATATGGGCTCTTTTTTGGTTCCATATGAAATTTAAAGTAGTTCTTTCTAATCTGTGAAGGAAGTCAATGGTAACTTGATGGGGACAGCATTGAATCTATAAATTACTTTGGGCAATATGGCAATTTTCACGAGATCGATTCTTTTTATCCATGAACATGGTATGTTAACTATCCTAAATATATATGCACCCAATACAGGAGCAACCAGATTCATGAAGCAAGTTCTTAGAGACCTGCAAAAAGACTTAGTCTCTCCACACAATAATAGTGGGAGACTTTAACATCCCACTGTCAGTATTAGACAGATCAATGAGACAGAAAATTAACAAGGATATTCAGGACTTGAACTCAGCTCTGGACCAAGCAGACCTAATAGACATCTGCAGAACTCTCCACCTCAAATCAACAGAATATACATTCTTCTCAGCACCACATCACACTTATTCTAAAATTGACCACATAATTGGAAGTAAAGCACTCCTCAGCAAATGCAAAAGAATGGAAATCATAACAAGCAGTCTTGCAGACCACAGAGCAGTCAAATTAGAACTCAGGTGTAAGAAACTCACTCAAAACCGCACAACTACGTGGAAACTGAATAACCTGTTCCTGAATGACTACTGGGTAAATAATGAAATTACAACATAAATAAATAAGTTATTTGAAACTAATGAGAACAAAGACAGAATGTACCAGAATCTCTGGGACACAACTAAAGCAGTGTTTAGATGGAAATTTATTGCACTAAATGTCCACAAGAGAAAGAGGGAAAGATCTAAAATCGACACCCTAACATCGTAATTACTCTTTTTATATATTGATTGAACATAGGCTGAGTTTCCATTTGCATTTATTATTTTATACATATTTGAGACTATGACATAGGATGTATCACATTTCTAGGGGTTTTATGTTCTAGAGGACTGACTCTTAGAATTACTGATTTTTTTTTGTTAGCGATGCCTTCGCCTTAATGTTGACATTGTTTAACATTAATATGGCTACAATAGCTTTCCTGTGTTTTATGTTTTCATGGCTTTTTTTTATTCTTTTGGTTTTGAACTTTCTCATATTAAAAGTATGTACCCTGTAAGAAACACAGAATTGTTTTAATTTACTTTTGTATCTATTCTGACAATCGTTGTCTTTTAATTGGAATATTTACTCTTTATATTTAATGTAAGCACATTTTTATTAATTTCATATTTCTATGCTTAGATTTTCTATTTGCTATAATTTTCTATCAGCTACTAGTTTCTATTTCTCCTGTTTCTGGATTCTATTTGCTTTTTCAATCTGAAATTTATTTTCAATTGATTATTATTAATAATTATTTATATATGTATACCTTTTCAATATTTTTTCCTATTAACTTGAAACTTTAGTTTCAAGTATCACTACTATATGGCATCAGTTCTGAAAAATTTGCCTTCATTTTTTAATCCAAGAAGTACTTCTGTTACATTTTCTTTCTTCTGTATTTTTAGAACTCTAATTATATGTATGATTGTGATTTGCCATTTTCCATACACATCTCATGCTTTTATGCTTTTATCTCTATTTTCAGTTTCTTTCAATATATGCATAACCATCTACATTTTTTTTTGTTTTATTGAGACAGTCTCGCCTTGTCACCCAGGCTGCAGTGCAGTGGCACAATCTCGGCTCACTGCAAGCTCTGCCTCCCTGGTTCACGCCATTTTCCTGCCTCAGCCTCCTGAGTAGCTGGGACTACAGGCGCCCACCACCATGCCTGGCTAATTTTTTGTATTTTTAGTCCAGACGGGGTTTCACCGTGTTAGCCAGGCTGGTCTCGATCTCCTGACCTCGTGATCCGCCCGCCTCGGACTCCCAAAGTGCTGAGATTACAGGCATGAGCCACTGCTCCTGGCCCTACATTTTTTATTTACCTATCTTCCAGTTCACTAAATTTTTCTTTAGCTACATCTAATATAGTATTATATCAGTCTACTGGGTTAACAATTTCAGTTATTTAATTACTTTTTAGAACTTCCAAATTTCTTCTCAAGTCTCAATTTTATTCTTTATTTACTAGAACAATGTAGTAACAATTATTTTTATCACTTCGTATAATTCAAATATCTAAATTTCTTGTGGAATTATATTATCTGTTTTTCTTTTTTTATCAACTCATGCATTTTTAGGAATCTGATTAGTTTTGATTAGACATGTAGGATGAAACATGTTTGCTATCACGTATAAAATCTTTAGGGAAAATTTGAAGTGCAGATAATTTTTGAATTAGATTATCTTCAACTAGATCAGAGTTTCTTCTGATTTTAGAAAAAATACCATTCAAGTGGAGACAATAATACTCAATCAAATTTTAAAATGAATTTGTTAAAAACAGTTTTAGTTTTATGATGAGTTGGCCTATTTTGCTTTGCCCTTTATGGTCCAATTAAGAATCCTGAAGTATTTATCAGTTATCTTGTTCCTTAGTGGCTCCTAAACTCCAGTTTTGTTCCTGTGAACCTATAGAACTGTCATACATTTTGCTCAACTTCTCAGACTCTCCTCAGTCTTTATATAATTAGTAAATACGGTGAAGATAAACTGAAACCAAATATTTTTCTTACCTCAGTGTCTTTCCTTTATCTTCAGGATTTTGGTCCCTGAAATACTTGTTATGCTGGTGGTTTACTGTTGACTTCAAAGAAAAATGTCCTTTTTTTTCAGTTTTTCTAGTTTTATTAGTGAGTGGACTAGTGAGATGCAATGTTGTTCATTATAGGCAAAATTTAAACCCTTCTGTACTACTCTCGCCTATGTATATTCTTGATCATTATATTATAGCTGTATTTATAATTGAAATCATAGAGCTTTAATTTAAATTTTACTTAAAGTTATTTCATTTTAATAGGAAACTTAAATTTATTTTCATCTGTTTGTAAAGTATATATATTACTTGCACATCATAATGTTTTGGTGTATTTATATGGTTTTTTATTTTGCTTTTCTTTTATCATTTATAACATATGTTCAATAATTGATTTAATTTTAAAAATCCAACAATTTAGGAAGTATTCAGCATGTTTTTACATTTTATTTTATTTTTTTAAATTTAATGACAGTAAAAATTAAAAACACACTTGAAATTGATTAACAATGTCAAAAAAAGTGCAGATTGGCAAAACAAAAAAATCACAGTGTCTATTTTTTTAAACTGTTTTTTATTATATTTCCCCAGTAATATGGAATATGTATATATATATATATATTAAATAATTTTGGTTGGGAATATGTTTAGTTTCAAGTACTAAAGGAAAATACTGATGGTGGTGTCTCACCTGTTGAATATGGATTTGTAGGCAAAAATCAGATGTAAGCATACTATTTCAGAGCCATCAACATATTCTAAGTAGATATTAACATAAGCTTGAATTGACCCAGATAGCTAAAACCTGAGAAATAGGCAAAGGGAGGAACATTAGGAAACATCAACATTTCAGAAGTGTTCAAGGATAATTGGTTCCAAGGAAGAAAAATGAGAATGAGAGGTAGGAGAAGCTAGAGGGCATGGCATGGAAGCCAAAGATCTTTCCTAGAAGAAAGGAAATGCTAATATTTTGGTGCAGTGTTTGATTCATGCATCAAACACTGCATGAATATAGATAAAGTAAAAACCAGAAGTACCTCATTGGACTGGGATATAGGGATGTTACTGAACACTAGCAATTGAAAATCACATTTCTATATTTCGAGTAGTAGATTTACAATTTAAATTATTTTACCTTTATTTACATAATTTTAGTGGCAAAGAAAAGCATATCTATAGGTAGTCACATATGCATTTTCAAAACCTGTAAGTTCTTTATTTCCCATACCCTTGTAAAACTCTTATTTATTGGCAATATGTGAGACATCAAAAACACATTGTAATATTACATTTTTATTTGGTTTGACATATTTTTATTCAAAACTTATGTATGGCTTTTCTATTATGCTTTGTTTCCACATTAATAACATGTATTCAGATATACTACAATGTTTACTTCCTTTCAATGGTTACTGTATGTCTTTTTATACTATAATTTTTTCCATTCTAAAATGCTTTAGTATTGCCTACTCTTATAAATAGATGGATTAAATCTTTATTTTTTCCCTCAAGAAATGTAAATAGGGGCTATGTTCCTTCAATTGTTGAATCTGTTATCATGTATTTCTTTTGTTTTATTACATATGAATGGCATCTGGTTAACTTTAAAATCTAGGGATCACAAATCTTTATTCCAGTCACTCTATACCAGTATTTTCTGATATTTAATATTTAGAGGTAAGTTATGAAGTGTCTAGTTTTTAAATTTTTCAGTAATTCTCTTTCCATGCAATGATGCTTGAATGATTTTTTGCCTATTTTAACTTCAACACTTTTAATCTCTAATTAGGAGAATCACTTTTGTCAGATATAAATGTGAAAATTATAGCAATTAATTTTGATAGCTATTCTCTTGAGAGTCAGATTTACTCTTTATTTTTACAACATCCTCATAAATATATTTGAAATAATGATAGATCTAGTTAGAAGAATTCAAGAAACAGTATTAAATGCTGAAAATAAAGTGATGTCTTAACAAAGGGCAATGAGAGACTCAGAGAATTTCTCTCTCCTTCTTCATGACTTACCTTGAATTGTTTCCATCATAAAAGTGGAAGTTAAATTCTAGAGCTAATATTGGTTGTTGCTGCTGTTGTTACTTTTAGGGGCTGTAAATGAGGTCTCTCTTGAATGAATTCTACATAGCCTTGGGCTTTATGTAAGTAAGACTATTACCGCACTGCGTTGCTATTGTGAATTCCTAAACCAGGAGTCTTCTTTCCTTGTATCATGATCCTAATTTCACTTATTTTCCTAGCATTCAATATATTATCTAATTTAACATGTGAAAAGTGTTATAAAATATACAATATTTTAAAACAACTGTAGAATGCCATATATATGCATGTGTGCCTGTTAAATTTTATTTTTAAAACACCTTTGTACCTTTTATGTTGCTAAAGTAGTTATTGGGCACATATGTGGACTCTAATGTTTGTGATAGACTGACTTTAAGGTTACCCCAGTGATCTTCTTTTACTGGGACCCTTATAATTCCCTTATGCCCTTAGAGTGGGCTAGACTCATTGATTCACTTCCTTTTTTTTTTTTTTTCTTTTTTTGTCTCAATCTGTTGCCAAGCCTGGAGTGCAGTGGTGAGATCTGGGCTCACTACAGCCTCCTCCTCCCGGGTTCAAGAGATTCTCCTGACTCAATTTCCCTAGTATCTGGGATTACAGGTGCACACCACCATGTCTGGCTAATTTTTGTATTTTTATTAGAGATGGGGTTTTGCTAGTTTGCCCAGGCTGGTCTCGAACTCCTGACTTCAAGTAATCTACCCGCCTCGGCCTCCCAAAGTGCTGGGATTAAAGGCGTGAGTCACCGTGCCCAGCCTCATTGATTCACTTCTAACAAATAAAACATGGCAGAGATTATGGGATATCATTCCGAAATTAGGTTATGAAAAAATGGCACTTTCTGTCTTGGGTGTTTTCTCTTCTTTCCCTTGTATTGACTGTCTGAGGGGAAATCACTTGCCCTGTCATTAGGCAACCCCTAGAGATGCCCTTAGGATGATAAATCAGGGCCTGCCAATAGCCACATGAATGAGCTAGGTTGCAGATTCATACTATCAGTGAAGTATTCAGAAAAGACTAAAGCCTTAGCTGACAGATTGCACGAAACTTCATGAGAAAACTTGAGTCAGAGACGTCTAGCTAAATTGTGTCTGGTTTCCTGTTTCACAAAAATCGTGAGCAAATGATGTTGGTTATTACGACCTGCTATGTTTTAGCGTAATTTTTCCACAACACTAGATTTAAAATATTTTTCTTATATTGTTCTCTCAAACTAAGTAATTATCCTAATCTTATATGCTGGGTTTGGGGAACCTATCAGAATACACAATTACTAATTTTAATTATTACTAAATTATACTGCAGATAGAAATTTTATACTTTAACAAAATATACAATTTCAGGAGTGAGTTCCACAGAATAATAAAGGCAAAAATGACACTTTTTGAAGTCAAAATACTTATCCAAATGAATCATGTCAATAGATGATATCATGTAGCAAACCTATTGTAAATTCAATTCTGAATACTGCCGTTAATTGACTTTGTTCTTGATTTCCCTTTACCATTTTAAATATCGCATGTTGTTTTTATTGTTATGTTGTTATTCAATTTTATAGAACTTCATCGGGGCTATGCTTTTTTCACATAATTAAAAATAGTTACAGTATTCTTAAGTTCTCTTTATTTCTAGTTTTTCAAAACAATGAAAATGGTTATACTAATACATTTCAGGATGCAGTTTTTGTTTATTGTTAATAATAAATGTAAAAATATTTAATTTGTATATATTTTATGTGTCATTTTGGGGGGTCAATTACACTGGCAGTAGCTAACTCAATCTCTTTCTGAGGCTACACTAACACTTTAAAGTCATTGGGAAGACTATCACGTAGTGTCAAAGAAAAAAAAAGGAACACTAATTGTGATTTAGGATGATTCTGTGCTTCCAAATTTATTTTTATAAATAATTTTTATCCTATATTACCCTTGAAAGACAGATTTTTTCAGTGTTTATGCAGTTGCTTTAAAACAACCCAGAAGGATATTATGATAACAGCTTTCAAAATGTCATAAAATTTTAAAACAATATGTCATATAGGAAGCTCATGACGTCAAAAAGTTCAGGAATTTAAAAGCTGCTAGACTTACTACGTGATACATGTTACAATGTTGAGTGACAAAAAAATCCTTGAAGATTTTTAAAATTTATATTGATTTTAAAATACATACATTATTAATTTTCAATTTCATTGGAACTAGAGTAAGTTAGACTACGTAATACAAATTATTTTTCTAACCGCATAATTTTATAAGGAAAGCAGATCTTAATTTATGTTGAATTTCAAAACTTCCAAGGATTGTTGCATTCTCTTAAAAATCTTTAAGGTTTCAGTCACTGAATAGTCTTTAAATCTTGGTAAAAAAAAAAGTATAGTACTTTGACTTATCCTAATATAAATCACTATTACACAAGAGACCAAGGTTTTTATGTGCAACACTAAGATGTAACACATGTAGATATAAAATATTCTTAAGGATTCCTCTGCTTGCTACATACTAAACATGTTTGGTCATTATTGAGCTAACTAGGGTAAATTATCTAAAGTCACCAACATTGTCAATTCTGGGCAGAGAGATACACAGAGTTAAAAAGGAATACAATTAAGTATTCATCATCAAGGATATTTTCCACACTGCTGATCAGGCATGGAATTGAAACCATTTTCACAACTCAAAAAGATTTTAAAAAAGTGAAGATATTATTAATCTAGTATCAGTCCATTGTAAAGACATTCTTGTATCAATGAAAGAAAATTAGAGTTAGTTCTGGACGGGGCCTGAGAATGTCTCAGTATTCCACAAGTAGGCTAATTTTCCAGTTGATTACTGCTTAAAACAAAGTTTTAAGCAGTGTTAGTTTACTAGGGATGCCACTACAAAGAACCACAAGCTGAGTGCTTTAAACAACAAAAATTTACGCTTCACAGTTTTGGATGCTAGAAATCCAAGATCAAGGGTTGGAAAGCCTGGATACTTTTGTTGTGAGGGAGAGTGTGTTCCTTCTTCCTTTCCTAGCTTTTGCTGGCAATCTGAGTGTTCCTTGTTTTTTTTTCTGCATCAACCCAATTTCTGCCTTAACCTTCACATGGTGTTCTTCCTGTGTGTGTGTCTATGCTCAAATGTTTCATTTTTATGAGGTCAACAGTCATATTAGATTCAGGGCCTATTCTTCTCCAATATGACCTCATATTAACTATTTACACTAGCAACAGCTATATTTCCAAATAAGAACACATTTGTAGATACTTGACTATCAGGACTTCACCATATGAACTTTGGGATTGCACAATTAAACCAATAACTGTGTTCTAATTGCTTTAAAACCTCATTGAATAAATGGAAGAGGAGACATTTTGACTACACCTGAGTTATAAAGGAGAGTTTTAGGTTATTAATGGGCAATGAAGTGGTAAGGCAACCACACAGGAAGACCCTTAGGTGCTACATCATGTCCATTTTATTTTTTAATCTTGGAGGGTGAACATCTTTCTTTTTATTTAGGCCTCAAGTCTCTCCACTTTTGAATGTGAGTTTTCCACATTAATTTCCCTTCAGCTTCACATAATTCTAGTATAACTTAGCTTCAATAATTAAAAAAATAAACAAAATAACCATAATCTACAAAATGAAATAAAAACATAAATCCTGTGAACTCTTATGGATATCTTTCTGTATTGCACTTGGTGAAGACTGAATCTTGATTTCAATGAGTTTTTATTACTGTAGAGACTTTATTATATTGCATTACTTTTTCCTTATTTTGATCCAGATAGAGGTTAGGGGATATAAAATACTGACCTTGGATTACCAATGAGAGAACAGAATGTGGTGAAAATATAGAGAAAATGCATAGATTATGTTACGAGCAAAATGTGCCTCCCCAAAATTTATATGTTGATGCATTAATTCCCAATGTAATAGTATTAGAAAGTAAGGTATTTGGGAGGTAATTCAGGTTAGATGAAGTTAATAGGGTAAGGCTACAATGATTAGATTAGCATCCTTAGATAAGAGTGAAAGAAGTAGACAGCTTTCTCTCTCTACCTTGCAGGGATATAGAAAGAAGGCAGTGGTCTACAAGCCAGGAAGAAGGGCCCATCCCATAACCTGACCATGCTGGAGCCCTTAGGCTATGAGATATAAATTATAAATGTTTTTTTTTTTTTTTTTTTTTTTTTTTTTTTTTTTTTGAGACGGAGTCTCGCTCTGTCGCCCAGGCTGGAGTGCAGTGGCGCGATCTCGGCTCACTGCAAGCTCCGCCTCCCGGGTTCACGCCATTCTCCTGCCTCAGCCTCCCCAGTAGCTGGGACTACAGGCGCCCGCTACCACGCCCGGCTAATTTTTTGTATTTTTAGTAGAGACGGGGTTTCACCGTGTTAGCCAGGATGGTCTCGATCTCCTGACCTCGTGATCCGCCCGCCTCGGCCTCCCAAAGTGCTGGGATTACAGGCGTGAGCCACCGCGCCCGGCCAAATGTTTGTTTTTTAAGCCACCCAGTTTATGGCATTTTTTATAACATTCCAAACCGACTAAGACAGATTAATACTTCAAGTACAATACAATCAACATCAGCATTTAATCTGATGAAGACATTTTCTGAGAGGTCTTCCTTAGCTTCACCACGCATAATTGTGATTGGCAACGTGTGTTCTATAGAACAGAAGAAGCACAGCTGCACTAAAGAGCCTTTCAATCTCATGTTGGGTAATGACATCAGATCATAGTATCAATATTAAAAGGACACTAGAGAAAATTATTTCTAAATATGTTGGGTTTACTCAGGAATAGAAATAAGGATTATAATCTAGAATGCATGAAATGGCACACCACCAGTGCATTTGGTGAGGGAAGAACAAAGGTGAGTTTTCATTAGGAAAAAGAGATTTACATAAGCTGCTTAGAAACTGAGTTCATTGGTTTCAGAGGTTCAAAGCCAGAGTTGTTGTCAGTTTATTAATGAAGATGCCATGAATGGGCAAGTGTTCTTCTGCAGACATTTGATCTGAATTACTGCAGTCCTAAAGAATGTCTAGTGATAAACATTATCAAAGCAGGAGGATGCCAAAGGGTTTTAGAAAATCCTCGGAAACAGTTCTTAAGAAACAGTTCTTATCTCACATTTGTAAAGCGAGCATCCTCTCTTTCAAAACTTCTTGATCCTATTATATCTGGGTCTAAAAAAGGTGCTTTCATTTGGTATTTGCAGTTTTCACAAGAGCATAATGAATATTTCATTTAAAGACACATACCTGAGATTGTTGAAACCAAGGCCATTATTTCATGACATCTTATGCTTGAACTATAGTAATGTCTTGCTGAATGTCTTGAAAAATGAGTATAGCTTCTTGTGTCTTTTTTTTTTTTTTTTTTTTTCAGGGTCTCACTCTGTCACCCAGGCTGGAGTGCAGTGATGTGATCTTGGCTCACTGCAACCTCCGCCTCCTGGGTTCAAGAGATTCTTCTGCCTCAGCCTCCTGAGTAGCTGGGATTACAGGAGCATGCCACCATGCCCGGCTAATTTTTGTATTTTTAGGCGAGATGGGGTTTCACCATGTTGCGCAGGTTGGTCTGAAACTCCTGATCTCAAGTGCTCCACCCGCCTTGGCCTCTCCAAGTGCTGGGATTACAGGCATGAGCCACCACATCTGGCAGTGTCATTTTTTTAAATTATAAAATAGATGAACTATGTTTTCAGTTATGATGAAAGAAGCATAATAATGCTTCATTTGTAAATGGAAACACAATTAATCAAATACAAGTAACATCTGAATAATTACTTCTAAAATTTAAATAATTATATAATTACATGATTTCAAATTGACTAAACTGCATTTTATTAAGCCCATCAATAAACAAATGGCACAGCATCTTCATATGTATAAAGAAAACCCTGTATAACCTTTTTGTTTTATTTATAGTCAACTACATGGCAAGTATTTTATTTTAACTGCATCTATCATAGTTTATAGAACTAGTTTTTGATGTCAACAGATAAACTTTCTAATGACTTACGATCAGAAAAAGGAATACAGATGTACTGTACATCAGATTCTCCTTTCCTCATTAGTACAGCAGCTGTTTAGCTGACAGTTTGAATGATGTTTTGGAGTTTATTCTACATCACTTTATAATTTATGGAAGTTTTGGTTAAACCTTCTCACATTCATCTTTAGTTTACTGCCTAAAAAATAAGATACAATTATCTTAGACAAATGACCTATTATATTATTAAAGCATGATTATCCACAGAGGGACCAAATAACCAAATAGCATGAGTGATATAATATAAATGCATCCAAAACATATAAGATAACAAATTATATTTCAACATATAAGTGCAATACAATTGTGAAAACTCACATGAGGACTATCATAACACTTCACAGAGAACACAAAGAGGACCTATATGTCATATTTTTTTCAGGTGTAATTTTTAAATTTTTTTATCAATGAATAGTAATTGTATATATTTATAATATACAATATAATGTTTTGATATATGTTGTAATGTAGAATGATTAAATCAGGCTAACAAATTCATCATTGCATATATTCTTTTGGTAAAAGCATTTAAAATCTACTTTTTTAACAATTATGAAATATACATGCATTATTACTTATAGTCACCATTCTGTGCAATAAATCACGGAACCTTATTCCTCCTAACTAAAACTCTGTTAAGAAAACATTATATAGCTCAAGCATATTTCTTAAGAAGTAGCTCAAATTATCCCCCACATGCTTACACAATTAATGTAATTCAAATAAAAGCCTAAGTAATTTATGTGAGAGAGGAATTGAAAGCTTTTAAGATTATTCCAATCTCCATGTGTAATAAAAATAATGCAATGGCAGCCTGGGAATATTCGGAATATAGGAATAATATGCCATGGAATAGTTTGTATTAAGATACTATTAATTTGCAACATAAAGCTTCTGTTACTGGTGTAAAAATGGGCATACATACTAAGACAAAAAAATATAAACTGCAGACAATATTTCAATAATATATAAAATACAGTATGTAATTCAGGTAGCATTTTAATGAGAAAAATGATACTTCCATATATTGAATCTCAGTTCATTCCTGATGCAGGAAGCAGTTAATTTTTTAAGAACTCAGCCATGAAAAATAGGAAAAAATAGGTGAACATTTGTCAGGATTGATTGGCTCAATTTTTTTTTTTTTTGTAAGACAGAAAATGGGAAGATGTGACCAAGAGGAATTTACCATTTCCCTCAGCTTGACTTTAGACAAGCATCTTCTTTACAGTAGCCCACCAATCTACTTTTCTTACAGCATTTACTTTAGAAAATGTCATTGTAAATTATTTCTCTGCTCCTTTAATAAGTACTTTTTTTTTTTTTTTTTTTTTGAGACAGAGTCTCGCTCTGTCGCCCAGGCTGGAGTGCTGTGGGGTTATCTCGGCTCACTGCAACCTCCGTCTCCTGGGTTCACGCCATTGTCCTGCTTCAGCCTCCCGAGTAGCTGGGACTGCAGGCGCCCGCCACCCCGCCCGGCTAAGTTTTTTGTATTTTTTTAGTAGAGACGGGGTTTCACCGTGTTAGCCAGGATGGTCTCGATCTCCTGGCCTGGTGATCTGCCCACCTCGGCCTCCCAAAGTGTTAGGATTACAGGCGTGAGCCACCGCTCCCAGCCGTAAATTTTTTCTTTTTTCTTTTTCTTTCTTTTTTTTTTTTTTTTTGAGACGAAGTTTCGCTCTTGTCTCCCAGGCTGGAGCATAATGGCGTGATTTCGGTTCACTGCAACCTCTGCCTCCTAGGTTCAAGAGATTCTCCTGCCTCAGCCTCCTGAGTAGCTGGGATTACATGCGCCTGCCACCACGCCCAGCTAATTTTTTGTATATTTTGTAGAGACGGAGTTTCACCATGTTGACCAGGCTGGTCTTGAACTTTTGACCTCAGGTGATCCACCTGCTTCCGCCTCCCAAAATACTGGGATTTCAGACGTGAGCCACTGCGTCCGGCTAATTAGTAAATATTTAAAAAATCCTCTTGCCTTTTTCACAACCTGAAGGAATGTTGTTCTCAAAGTCTTTGGAGCCATCTCTTTAAAAAGTAATTGTCAAGAAAGATAGTGTTCCTATCTCCCAGTCTCTGTTTGAAGTTAAGTAGAAGCCTAACTTAAGCTAGGGGTTTGGTTGCTTTGTTCCAAGTTATAAAATTAACTCCTGTCATAAAGATAGGAAAAAGTTCACTTTTCTTTGGGTAAAGCCAATTAGAAAATGCAGATTGATACCCTCCTGATCAATCCTTTTTGCTTGAGTATGATCTTCTCTTCACACTGCTCTTTTTATTTTTCTTCTATTTTTTTTTTATTTTCTGTTTCAACAGAATTGAGTTCAGACTGAGTCCTGGCTTTTGTCCCCTATTGCAATAGTCAGGAATAATGTCTTCCTTGCCTGCTTGTTGGTGAAGTTCAAGTTGTTAATTGACACAAGATTTCAGACCAAGCTCAGATCCTTGAGGTAGTGGTTGTGAAAGTGCAGCACATCTTCATACTCAATTGTGTCAGCTATATCAGAACACACCATAGGCTAAGGACATTGGAGGGGAAAAAGTAAGACTCTGAGACACATGATGGGGACAAGAAGAAGTGTGAATCGCTAAAACCTTAGACTTTTTATTTTCATGGAACAGCTATCATCTCTTCCAAACATCACCCTTCCAATCATAACCAGCCTTCCCTGTCGTAAAAGCCTGTTGCTATTGATGCCTAGTTTGTTGCAAACTCCTCAGAATCCATACTTCTATATCTCCCTCCTGACCTGCTCTCCTGATCAATCCTTTGTGCTTCAGGTGCATAAGTAACACAGCTAAGTTGTAATAAACCAAGTGAAGAATTAACCTAACTGCCTAAAAAAGCACCCCACCAATTCATGTTCCCAGGATTCTGGAAGCATCTTGGGAATATATTTTCTGAGTGTTATCATCAAGCAGAAGAACAATATCTAGCTTTATCTAGCCAAATTTATCAAATATGAGTACTCTTTTTCATGATTCTGAATTTATTGTGTTGACAATAAATTCTCACCCGGAGAAAGAATGAAAGCATATTTTCCATAATTGTATCAGAAATCAGATGTTTCCTTAAAAATTTTCCTCATTGTATTTCACATGTTTCTTGAATTCCCCCTTGGAAGATGTGAGTTTATTCTAAATGTTTCCATTTTGGAAAGAAAAATGCAAAGCTCTGTATTGAAGGAGAGGAAAAGAAGCTTTGCCCTAGTCATTACAAGATCAGATTGACAATCGATTCTTAGTATTATTAATGATATTGCTTCTTGAATATCCTATCAAAACAATGTTTTCCTACTTTAAACCAAAGAGTCAATATCTAATGAGAAAGGCATGAATTTGTACACTATTAATGGTGCCTATCTTTATATTTCCATTTTGTTTTACTTTCAAAACTAGTTACTTTGGCAAAAGCAAAAATACTGTAAAGAAAGAAGATATGACAGCCAGAAAAATTAAAGGATCCAATGCAAGAGTGGTGAGAATAAATTCCAGGGAAGGGTGCTAAGCAATCCCATGATGCCACTGTGCATCAGGCCTGGAGGGGGAGCTGTCCAAGGTAGAGAAGATCAATGGGAAGTATTTCTTCTAAAAAGTAAAATGGATATAATTCCAATGTATTTAAGCATATTTAAAAGAAATTTGTTTTTCTTAGTTTTAATGCCTTATAAGGAACACAAAGTAAATATAATGTAAATATAAACTCTAGGGGAAACAAAATGTTGTACAAAACAAGAAATGATAAAATACTACCTGGCACTTTGTGAATCACATTTATTTAATCATAATGTCATAAGCCTAGAATAATAATCCAAACAAAATTAAAAGAAATGCTTATGCTTATATGTTTATGGAATGTAAAGAGGGCTAGGATTACCAAAATATTGTGAAATCATAATGGTACAATTATGAAAAGCTAATAAATAATGCATGAAAGGAAAAATAAGGGTGTAACATGTATGCCATTTAGATATATTGATGTAAACAATATATAAGAAAGTATTGATAATTTTGTCCTATAACAAGCATTATTAAACAATTTACTCTAAAATAATTTTGTTTGTAATTTTCATGGCAAAAATGAAATTAAATTAAATTGAAGATAAAAAGGAGCCACATTTTTGTGTTTTATACTATTATCTTTATATGGTTCAAAAACATACAATAATTTTAAAATCATAAGCAAGGAAACAGAGATACATGGCCTAACAAATACAAAATGAATATTCTAGATTAGTTTTACCTACGTCCTATTAAAAAAAAAAGTTAGATACTAAACCACATTTTGCTGTAGCACCCACTTTCTGTTGATATATCTTGTCTTCTAATGAATTCTTGTTTTACACAGTATAATATAAAAACCATTGGTCAGGCATGGTGGTTCATACCTGTAATCCCAGCACTTTGGAAGGCCGAGGCAAATGGATCACCTGGGCTCAGGAGTTGGAGACCAGCCTGGGAAATGTGGCAAAACTCTGTCTGTACCAAAACAATATAAAAATTTAGCCAGGCATGGTGACGCAAGCCTGTGGTCCTCGCTACTCCAGAGGCTGAGGTGGGAAGATCTCTTAGCCTGGGAAACAGAGGTTGCAGTGAGCCGAGATCATGCCACTGCACTCAACCTGGGCAACAGAACAAGAAATATGTGATATAAATTATATATATATATATATTTTGAGACCCTGTCTCAAATATATTTGTATATAAATATACAAATTTATATACAAATTAATGTACAACATAAATAAAGATTATATATATACATTGTATCCATTACATTTTTATGTATATATAATGATTTTATATGTACATAAATATGCATTTTATGTATATATAATGATTTTATATATACATAAATATGTATATATGTAAAACCGTTATATTCTTAATATAATATCTTTAATCTACATCATTTTTATATATTTATATATGTAATATAAATAATAAAACACGTAATAGATATATCTCATCACAGCACTTTATAATGTATTTCAAATGGGGAAGAAGCATAGAAATGACTAGGAAACTCTCTGCTCATAGAAAAATGACACACACACATACACGTACATTTACTGGAGTAGCAGAGGAAGTTGCAATTGGCCTGAATATTGGTACTACCCTAATCACTTCTTTAAAGGCTATTATTCAGGACTTATTTTTCTTCTTCTATGGGACATGCAATTTAAATTATAAATTTACTCATTCTAGAAAAAAATTCAAAAGGAACTTGAAGTTATGTCAGTATTTGTGTGTGTGTGTTTGTGTGTGTGTGTGAATTATATTTCTAGTTGACTTATTTGCAGTTGCATTTTGGCTGAGCAACAAAAATCTGCCCTTGGCACAAGAAAGGACTACTGATATTTGTATAAGTGTGGATTCTCTCCAAATATAATTTTGTCATTTGTCCAGTATACTAGCTAACTTGGAATTTCTGAACTCTTCCAATGAGGAAAGGGCTATAAAAGGAAAGTGTGTGAAATGTTACATGAGATAAGACTTGGAGTGGTTTTTCAGGAAAGTGAGTATTCTGAGTTTTGGAGATGGTCATATCTCAGTTCATAATTTTTCCCCAGGGAGAGATGTATGGAAAAATTTGATGCTAATGTGAAAAACAGTTTATCAATGTGGAAACAGTTGTAAATTAGAAATCAGATGACCTGAAATCATGTCACCTATCGGTTAGTCAGCTGCAGAATTTGGGGCAGCTTTATTTTATTGCTACGCCTTTTTGTTTAGGTGTTTGTTTGTGTTTCTTTTTCTTTTTTTTACATGAAAATTAGAAGTTATAACTGGATGTAATGTTGTCTCGAGGTTATAGAATAGGAATTAGAGTGAGGGAGAAGTAAAAAGTTTTATTTCACCAGAGTCTGGTAGAAATGCAAACTGCTCCTTGCTTCTCGTCTCCAAGAAGTTGTCAACAGGTAAATATAACCCTTAATGCTACTGAAGAGTATTTAAGTATCTGTGTTCCTTCCCTGCATAAGCATCTGTGTAAGGAAAGTGTTGTCTTTTGCTTCTGTCTAGTTAATATATGTCTTTGTCTGTTGAGTCAACTGGACAATAATTTATTAGTAATTGGAAAGAATTACATTGTAAGTTTCACCTGTCATCTATGACTATTTCCATGTAACTAGAAAACCAGCTATAGGTGAAGGTTTCTTTGCCTTTCTCATCCTTACTTGTTCTCTTTTCATCTAGAAGAATTTTATTAAGCCACTGGCAGATGCCAGTTACTATGGTAGGTGCTGGAGATTCAATAATATGCAAGACAGATCTGGCCTCCCAGGGATTTTTATATTCATGTGGTCATGCACACCTACCTTTTTTGGAATCTCTGGTTATGTGCACACAAGTGCAAACAATTGTTAATGCCCCCGCTTGTTGAGTGCTTTCCTGAAAGGCAGAGCTAATTTAAGGTGATTTTCCCAGCTGACCAACTCGCTAGCCCGAACAGGTGACTTCTATTCCTTCAGTTATGATTGACAGAGCTGTGAACAAATGAAACTGAATGACAAATCTAGATAAATCTGCTGCCTAAAGCTAAAAAAAATGTAAAATAGGTTAAAGGCAGGGCAAATGTAATGTATACATTGATTAAACAAGTTGGATGGAGGATGGTATAATAAAGAACATGAATTGGGTACCTAAGTCTATTACAAAAAAATCAGTCTTAAACAAACTCCACTCTACTCTGTATGTGTCATAATTATGCACTAAGCTTAAACTCGTGACTGGTAAATTTCTATTAACACTTTAACTGTTCAATTGCTCTAGTTAATCGGACTTCAATCTTAAAATAATAATAGTAATTCTTCAACATGTTTCAGAATATTTATCTAACAACAGGCAATGATAAGTAATCATAATACCTTATTAGAATCCTAATAAAAAATCACAGCATCCCTGTTTCTTCAGCAGCCATGTGTAATTCTTATGTGAATGAATACTTATGAATATACTTCTCAGATAAAGTGTTATGATAGCATTCTTTCTACTCCTTCACTTTATACATCTTATCTTTTCAAGACTAAGACCACTTGTTTCATTAATAGCTTTATGTACAATATAAGCAAATACATTTCTATATCATGATATTTAAATATTGAAATACTTTAATTCATTCTAGGAAAGGGAGATTCAGTGACTCCTCTTCTGCCAAATTTGCAATTCTATTTTAATATACTTAGTACACTGCATCTTTCAAGTATTATAACACAAAATTAATTGTATTCATAAAAAGAATAAAAAGTGAAAAATTTCTTGAATAGTCTCCCATTTTATAGAAGCCTTTTTTCTAAAAATAAAAAGTAATAAGATTAATCGAAATTAGTAGAATAAGATTACATTGACTTTATTGGACTTAGTACATATATAATTTCAGTTAATTACCATATAATGTATGCTTGTCATAAAGCATAATTTACTTTTCTATAGGTTCATATTAATATACAAATATGCAACCAAAATATCTCCATAGATTTGTGATTATTCATAGTGGTGCATATATTTTGTTATACATAACCATAACATTTAACAAATAAAAACACCTTCTACAGGCCAAGTGCAGTGACTCATGCCTGTAATCTCAGCACTTTGAGAGGCCAATGGAGGTAGATTGCTTGAACCCAGTAGTTTAAGACTAGTATGGACAATATAGTGAGACCCCATCTCTACTAAAAATTTTTTAAAAATTGACTGAATGTGGTGGCGAGCACCTGTGGTCCTAGCTACTTGGGAAGCTGAGCTGAGAGGATTGCTTAAGCCTGGAAGGTTAAGGCTGCAGTGAGCTATAATCATGCCACTGCACTCCACCCTGGACAACAAAGTGAGATCCTGGCTCAAAAAAAGACTCTATATTAATATAAAATATATATTTATATATTATCTTTTATTTTAATTTATTTGATGTTAAATCGATATGATTTTTAATTTCAGATTCTGTTTTGCTGCATTCAAACATCTATAATGACTGAGACATTTTGCTTCTTTCAGTTGAATCACTGCTTCTTCAAACAGTGTTTGTTGATAAATATAGACTTAAAAAAGCTAGAAGCTCACATTAGTCTAAAAGACTTTGATGCCTCAAAATAGTAACTCTCTTACTGAAAAATTTCCTTCACATTATAATATGGACACACACACACACACACACACACACACACACACACACACATAAATACACATAGCATCATTTGATTTAGTCTTAAATTCAAGCCATTCATTTTTTAAAATGACACTTGGTAAAATGAAACTTTTAAGAAAAATTGCAATTAGAATTTTTTTGAAATAAGTAATCTATAATGATTACAGCAAAATTAGGAAAAGATAAAGAAGTATAGAAAAAATTGTAATATATAATATCACTATCAATTCACTGTATTGTGTCTACTTATCTTTTAATTTTTTATATTGCTGCAGAGATCAAGGTATTTACTGATTTCTTAGTATAAATACTACTATCCTTTCATTTGTATTTATCTGATAAAGATTTATCCTTGTATCATTAACACACAGCTTAAAATGACATTTTATACATAATACTAAACAGGTATCTTCATTACATGTATATACACAATTTGCCAAAATGTCTCTAGTTACCTTGCCATTGTCAAACTCATTGACTAAATCCTTCATTTTCTCTAAAATGAGACATGGAAGGTTACTTCCAATCTCTGGTATCTCGCTAGGCAGAGAAAGTCATTTCCTTCTTTTTCTACAACATAATTTCAAATTAAAAACAGACAAAAGCAATAATAAAAATTACTCACCCAGAGCAAGTTGGCAGTGATTACCTCATTAGGCTATATATCTGCAGGTGACAGCCATTTTATTTATGTTTAGGCATTGTTTTGAAAGTATAATATAATTTACAGAATCTCCAGAATAAGCAACTTTAAAATGTATTCACAATGCTTGGGTATAATTACCCATTTAAAATTTTAAAAAATAGATGATGAAGAAATGCAGCAGCACAATGGTAAGATATTTTAGAGTTAGTGAGAAATGTACTAGTGAGATAATAATAATTTGCACATTACCATATTAATTCTGTTTTTACAAGCAATATGCTTCTCATAGACTAGGCATATAATACAAAGTTTGTGTAGTATAAGACTTTAAATACATGTGCACACCTCATTAGATTGTGCTTCATGTTATTGTGCTTCACAGATATTGCATTTTTTACATATTGAAGTTTTGTGTCAAGCTTGCTTTAAGGAAGACTATTGGCATCATTTTTCCAACAGCGTGTTTATTTTGAGTCTCTGTGTCACATTTTGATAATTCTCACAATGTTTTAGACCTTTTCATTATTGTATCTCTTATGGTGATCTGTGATCAGTAATCTTTGATGTTAGAACTGTAATTGTTTTGTGGCACCATGAATCACACCCATATAAAATGGTGAATTACATAGGAAATGCTGTGTGTGATATGACTGCTTGGCTCACCAGCCATTCTCCCATTCTGTCCCTCTCCTAAGGCCTCCCTATTTATGAAAAACAACACTATGAAAATTAGGCCAATTAATAGCACTACAAAGGCTTCTAAGTGTTTAAGGGAAAGGAAGAATATACCTCTCTCACTTTAAATCAGGGGTGTCCAAGGGAGAGACTAGTCATATGTTCTCAGTTTCTGTTTCTGGTTGGGGCAATATGGCCGCTTCCTCATCCCTCTTTTCCACTTATCACTAGAGACAAAAGCTAAAACCATGGCTTCAGGCTGCTCAAAACCTAAAACAAAACAAAACAGAACAACAGCAACAACAAAATAAGGCAGGTTGGATAAGCCTGGTTTAAATCAAAATCTCAAAATGATTTAGTAAGGAAGGCACACCTAAAGCTAAGATGATGGGCCAAATATCAGGCCTCTTTTGGCAAACAGTTAGCCAAGTGGTAAATGCAAAGGAAAGGTTCTTGAAGGTAATGGAAAATGCTACTACAGTGAACACATGACCACACAAATGATAAGAAAGCAAAACAGCCTTATTGCCAATAATGGAGAAAGTTCCAGAGGTCTGGATAGAACATCAAACCAGCCACAACATTCTCTTAAGCCAAAACCTAATCTAGAGCAAGGCCCTAACTCTTGTCAATTAAATGAAGGCTGAGAGAGATGAGAAAGTTGAAGAAACATTTGAAGCTAGCAGAGGTAAGTTCATAAGGTTTAAGGAAAGAAGCCCTTTTTCCATAACATAAAAATGCGAGGTGAAGAAAAAAGTCCTTGATATAGATGCTGCAGCAAGTTATCCAGCTCTAGTTAAGATAACTGATGAAAGTGACTACACTAAACAACAGATTTACAGTGTAGATGAAACAGCCTTATATTGCAAGCAGAAGATGGCATCTAGGACTTATATAGCTAAGATAGTTATCCTAGCTTCTTGTCAATGTCTGGCTTGAAAGCTTCAAAGGGCAGGCTGACTCTCTTGCTGGCGGCTAATTCAGCTCATGACTTTAAGTTGAAGCCGATCCTCATTTACCCTTCTGAAAATTCTAGGGTCCTTAAGAATTATGCTACATGTACTCTGCCTGTGCTCTAGAAATGGAACAACAAAGCCTGAATGATAGCACATCTGCTTACAGCATGGTTGACTAAATATTTTAAGCTCACTGTTGATATCTACTGCTCAGAAAATGAAGACTCTTTTCAAAATATTACTGCTCCTTGACAATGCATCTGGTCACCCAGTTGCTCTGATGAAGATGTACAGTGAGATTAATGTTGTTTTCATTCCTGCTAACAAAACGTCCTTTCTGCAACCCCTGAATTAAGGAGTAATTTCAACATTCAAGTCTTATTATTAACAAAATACATTTCATAAAGCTATACCTGCCACTGATAATGATTTCTCTAATGGATCTTGGCAAAGTAAGCAGAGCTTTCTGGAAAGTACTCACCATTCTAGGTGCCATTAAAAACATTTGTGATTCATGGGAGAAAGTAAAAATATCAACATTAACAGGAATTTGGAAGTAGCTGATTTCAATGCTCATGGATGACTTTAAGAGGTTTAAGACCTATTAAGTGGAGGAAGTCACTGCAGATGGGATGAAAAGAGCAAGAGATTTAGAATTGAAATGGAGCCTTAAGATGTGACTGAACTGCGCCAATCTCATAATAAAACTTGAACAGATAAGAATCTACTTCTTACAGCTGAGCAAAGGAAGTTGTTTCTTGAGAAGAAATCTACTTCTGATAAAGACACTGTGAACATGGTTGAAATGGCAACAAAGAATTTAGAATATTTCATAAACTTATTTGAGAAAGTAGCAGGAAGATTTAAGAGACTGATTTTATTTCTGAAAGAAGTTCTACTGTGGGTTAAATGCCTTGGAAAAGCATTCTATGCTAGACAGAGAAATCTTTCTTGAAAGGAAGAGTCAATGACACTTCATTGTCTTATTTTTAAAAATTGTCACAGCAACTCCAACCTTCAGCAACTTCCATTGTGATCAGTTAGCAGCCATCAACATTGAAGCAAGACTCTCCATCAGCAAAAAGATTATGACTCACTGAAGGCTTAGTTGATTTTTAGTGTTTTTTAGCAATAAAGTATTTTTAAATTAAGGTGCGTACATTGTAGACATAATAATGTTGCACCTTTAATAGAATACAGTGTAGTGTAAACACAGCTTTTATATGCACTAGGAAACCAAACAATTTGTGCAACTGTGTTATTGTGAGATTTACTTTATTTTGGTGGTCTGGAACCAAACTTGCTTATATTAAATAATATTTACTTTTGAAGAGTCTCAATTGTGCTTTTATTGGATTGACATATTTCTAGAGTCAATTCAGTTTTATATATTTGAATATTAAACTTCATGGGCAAAATTATGAAAAGGAGTATGTGTAATAGAAGTCGATAAATGAAAAAATTTAAATGCCAGATGTAAGTACTTTGCTTGCATTTTAAACCCATAGGATCCAAATATGTTGAAAGCAATATACTTTCTGAATACACATTGAAGAAATGCTCATTGTTTTTTGGGTTAGCATATTATTTCTCGTTATCAACTCAATTTTTTTCTAAAAAAATTTTATTTTTTAGCTAATTGACACTTAATGTTTTTTCTTCCCATTAATTTGCTTTCTTTTACTCTTTGTGTATGTTGGTTGTTCTTAGAATTATGAAAAATATAATATATTAATAGGTATCACTTATTTTTGTCCAAGATAATTTGTCATTGTTGTTTGCTATCCTTGGAATATTTCAAAAACTGTACTTGCTGCCAAGTAGCAGCAAGTAAAATTGTCCTTCTAAAAAAATAAAATAATACTCCCCAACAAATATCCTTAGGATCTGCTAGCAGCCACACATGAAATTCAGGCACTTTGCTCTGGTTATTGTTGTCATCCTCAATTCCTCGTTTAGTTATTACTTAGCTTTTACTGTTTTTACAACCATATTCAAAGAGGCTAGATTTGTTTATAATGTATATAACTGTGAATATACTATAAAATTAGAGACTATAAGACAACAATTTTGAAGAATAATATATAATTTAGTCACTCTAGTAAACATACTACCTATAATGCATTCATGTTTTAATGACTGGTTTTCTTGATAATATTTTGTGGAGTAGAGACAAAATTCCCCATCCCATTACTAATGCAGATAGTTAAAATGCCAAACAAGTATTTGTGCCACAAAGATATGTTAACATGTTTAATAGAGACATTATTTTGATCACATTAAAATGTCAGGGGAAAGATTGCATTTAAAAACAGAAATCATCAGAAAATACAATAAATGTGTTTCTTGCATCTACACAACACCTGATAGGTTATTCCTGGAAAGGGTCACCACTGGAGATGTATTAAGTTCTATGTTAAGCACTCTGGCATTTGTTGAACTCCATTTTGGTATAGGTCAAATGTTGGGAAAAGATAACCTTTTCCTTTTTTGTTGTTCTTTTTTTTTTTTTTTTTTTTTGAGACAGAGTCTTGCTCTGTCGCCCAGGCTGGAGTCCAGTGGTGCGCTATCTCAGCTCACTGCAAGCTCCACCTCCTGGGTTCATGCCGTTCTCCTGCCTCAGCCTCCCGAGTAGCTGGGACTACAGGCGCCCGCCACCACGCCTGGCTAATTTTTTTGTATTTTTAGTAGAGATGGGGTTTCACCATGTTAGCCAGGATGGTCTCGATCTTCTGACCTCGTGATCCGCCCGCCTTGGCCTCCCAAAGTCCTGGGATTACAGGCGTGAGCCACCGCGACCGGCCAACCTTTTCCTTTTAACTCGACTTCAAATTAACTGACAGTTTTTCTCTGCACACTTCCTGCTTTTACCTCCTATTTTGCACTCGCGTTTGCACATTAGGCCTCCTACATCACCACTACAGTCTGTTACCTCTTTTGTCAACCCTCCGAATAAGCCGCATAAACTACAGGAGTGGGAGAACTAACAAAAGCAGCATGCTGTAGAGGCATCCCTCATAACCCACTCCTTGCAACAGTTGCTATCTAAATTCGCTCTTTTTTATTTGCTGCTTCTTTCACCAGATAGTCACTTCATTTCTTTGAGGTTTCTCCAATGCTTTTTTAGAACATATTTCTTTACTACAGTTTCATCCAATTTCCTTTAGCATAACTTGCTAAAACTTTTATTTTAATATAGAGAGGCATTGCAATAAAGAAGAAAAGAATTAAAATCTCAGATAACTTGTCTTTTAAAGGAGAAATTTTAAAAAACACATAGGAATAAGTTAAATGCAGAGCTGGATAACTCAGAAAATAATACAGGTGTTAATTTTATATCATCTTAGTTGACAAAATTCCAGACCACTGTGCATTATATTGAAATAATTGAAATAAGCGGGGCATTGAAACATTGTGAATTATAAACTCCAGAGAACAATGAAATTTTCAGAATTTATAGTAACAATTTTTTTTAACAATGAGTTTGAGTTTTAGATATTTGGATACTATCTCAAGGAATTTACTTTTTTTTTTGAGTGGTTAGATTTTACAAGGTTATTTTACCCCCAGAATATATAAGGAACTCAAACAACTCAATAGTAAAAAATAATCTGAGTAGATAGATTAGATTTGAGTAGACATTTCTCAAAAGGAGATATACTAATGGCCAGCAGGTATATGAAAAAGTGTTCAATATCATTAATCATCAGAAAAAATGCAAATCAAACCCACAATGAGGTATCACCTCACCCCAGTTAGAATGGCTATTATCATAACGACAAAAAAAAAAAAAAAAGCTGGTGAGGATACAGAGAAGAGGAAACCTTATACTCTTTTGGTGAGAATGTAAATTAGTACAGCCACTATGGAAAATGTTGTGGAGTTTCCTCCAAAAATTAAAAACAGAACTACTTATGACATAACAATTCCATTACTGAGGATATATCCAAAGGTAATGAAATCAGTATTCAAAGACATATTGGACACCCATGTTTTTGCAGCATTATTCACATTACCCAAGATGTGGAATCAACCTAAGTGTTCATCAATAGATGAATAAATAAAATGTATACACACATACACACACACAATGAAATATTCGTCAACCATAAAATAGAATGAAATTCTATCATTTGCAGCAACCTGGATGAACTTGGAAGACACTATGGTAATTGAAATAAGCCAGGCATAGAAACACAAACACCACATATCTCGGTCATATGTGGAATCTAAAAATGTTGATTTCATTGAAGTAGAGAGTAGTGTGGTTGTTACCAGAGTGAGGGGAGGGAGTGGGAAGACTGAG
The DNA here is from genome assembly GCF_000001405.40 of Homo sapiens. Classification (NCBI taxonomy): domain Eukaryota; kingdom Metazoa; phylum Chordata; class Mammalia; order Primates; family Hominidae; genus Homo; species Homo sapiens. Next base: position 194,579,989 of record NC_000001.11, read on the forward strand.
AGAGGTTAGTCAATTAGTACAAAGTTATAGCCAGAAAAAATAAATTTTAGTGTTCTACTACACAGTAGGGTGACTTTAGCAAATAATAATGTTGTTCATATTTCAATATAGCTGGAAGAGAAGAATTTGAACGTTGTCACCAGAAAGAAATGATACTTTTTAAAGAAATGAATATGATAATTACCTTCATTTGATTATTATACTATGTTTACCTGTAATAAAACATTACATAGGCCAGGCGCGGTGGCTCATGCCTGTAATACCAGCATTTTGGGAGGCTGAGGCGGGTGGATCACCTGAGATCAGGAGTTCGAGACCAGCCTGACCAACATGGAGAAACCTCGTCTCTACTGAAAATACAAAATTAGCTGGGGGTGGTGGCGCATGTCTAAAATCCCAGCTACTGGGGAGGCTGAGGAGAAGAATCGCTTGAACTCGGGAGGCGGAGGTTGCAGTGAGCCGAGATCGCGCCATTGCACTCCAGCTTGGGCGACGAGAGTGAAACTCCATCTCAGAAACAAACAAACAACAAAACACATTACATAGTACCCCATAAACATGTATAATTATTGTATAAATAATAAATATATAAATAAAAATTTCCTTTAAATCCACTGAATCTATGTACAAAATTTGTATTTGTTAATATCTATTTTAAGTAAACTTTATTAATGTGAATACTATGCAGACATTTTCATATTTCAGTTCCTATTCTTAAATGTCTTCTAGACTTACTGCAATATGCAATATAATGCAAATGATACAAAATACATTAGAGAGTCTTCTGTCAATAATAAAAGAACCTTCTTCAAAATCCTTTCAGTCTTTAATAATTAGATACTGCATAATTAAAACCTTCTTTTACATATAAACACACACACACAAACACAGAAGCATATATGTTAAAGTGTAGAGAGTTGAGATATACCAACAGCAACAACTTTTGTGTAAGATAAATGTGGAAAACACTCAAATTTAGACCTAATTGCACTAGGCATAAAGAGACAAAATTGTTCATTATTAAACTGGGAAATCAGTGAAGATTAGGTGTAAGTAGCTTCTGAATTGGGCCCCAGAATACGAAAGGCTTTCTAAAGTAAAGTGACATTTTTGAAGGGGAATTAATTGAACTTTTGAATCACATGGTAATTAGATGGATTAATATAAATATTTTTTTTCTGACAAAAGCTCTGAAGCTGTTTGAGCTTAATAGGTTGTGTTAAATATCACCACACCGAGCTTAACAATGTGAACGACTCTATACCTGGTGCTATTAAATGAAGTTGCTTTTAGAAAAATACTGGATATTTTGATTAGGGCAAAAGTGAACAAATTTTAAAGATGGCACCCTTGAAGATGTTTTAAAATAAGGTCAGTGACCAAATGTATCTGACCTTTGAATGTTGCAAAATGTCATTCTAATCTTGAAGTATAGAGTGAGAATAACATTCCATTTACCATGGTTAGAAAATGATACATTTAGATTCTTGCTTATATATTACGATCAACAGAAAATCTAGTAAAATCTATTTTATGTAAAATAAAAAGAGCCATAAATATTATTCTTCTAGTAAAATGATTTTTTGTCAAATATTTACTTTTGAGTTATCAAGTATTTGATCCAAGAAAAAGAGTATATGATCAGGGTTAGTTCTTGCTTACCTCTTAAAGGTACATACACCATAAAAAAATAGAAATCACTGAATTTTTATATGTATTGATTATATATTCTATGCTGAATGGCATTTTATTGGGTGAGAATAAGAACAAAGCATTGTAAAACAACTTGACAAGAACTTAAAGTGCAGTTGAAAAGGAGCACAATGCAAGAACAAAACATGCTTTACGTTATGCTAAAGGGTCTACAAGGATCTTTGACTTTCAGAGAATAACTAACAATATGCAGGCTGAAACTACCGTACAAATACAGTACTTGGAACATTAATACTTGGAACATTGCAAATTGTTAGAACTAGGTAGGGAAAGTGAGACTGTTTTATATTGGGAGCAAACAAATACAAATGCATAGCAAAAAGTTCAGTGTGGGGAAGTTTTTTTTTTTTGTTTTTTTTTTTAACGGAGTTTTGCTCTTGTTGCCCAGGCTGGGGTGCAGTGGCATAATCTCAGCTCACTGCAACTTCCGCCTTCTGGTTTCAAGCTATTCTCATGCCTCAGCTTCCTGAGTAGCTGGGATTACAGGCACCCACCATCACACCCTACTAATTTTTGTATTTTTAGTAGAGATGGGGTTTCACCATGTTGGCCAGGCTGGTCTCGAACTTTTGGCCTCGTGATCCGCCCGCCTCGGCCTCCCAAAGTGCTGGGATTACAGGCGTGAACCACTGCATTCGGCCAAGGATATTTTAAGAACAATGTTAAGTATATAATATGATTTAATAAAAAGACTCCGGGGAAAGCAAACTAAATTTGTTGAGCACCACCCACTATCCCAAGTAATGTACTACCCCTGTAGGGTTGTTTATTGTTATCACTAAAATCCAAATGCATCTTCCAAGCCCAAACATCTGAGAAGTGGCTGTCTGCACTGAGATTCCAATTTAGGTTCAGTAGTTGCTTGTGTACCTGTGAACTGCTATTCTGGTCTTACTACTGACTCAAGCTACTGACTTTATTACTTGTGTTTACATTTAAAATAGAATGTTGTGATTATAAAGTGATTTATATTGTCTGGCAGAACCATTGTTTTGTTTTCAGAATTTGAGATTACTATATGTTTTCCTTTATGTAATTTTCCACAATATACTAATTTATAATCCTTATGCATTCACCAAATGGGTCTGTGTGAAGACAGATATGTGTAAAAATGACAACCAAATATATAAAAATAACAATATAACTGTGATGTTATAAAATAGAAGCTTAAACAGGCTTCTTCATGGGGTGTAGTCTTCATGGAAAAGTCATTATATCTCGATCTTGAAGAATAACTTGAATAACTACAGACAGAAATAGAACATAAGACATTAAATCAGTAAACTGAGTAAAGGCACAGACATCTGAAAAACTAGACCTCTCCGGGAATTAGGGATGTTGCTAATATTAGTTATCTACTACTGTGCAATGAATTATCCCACTACTTATCAATTATCCCACTACTTAGCAATTTTAAATGGCAGGTGTTTATTATATCATTATTACTATGGATTAGAAATTGGGGAGTAGCTCAGTTGAACGATTCTGACTCAGAGTCTGCTACAAGGTGGGAGTTAAGCTGCCTTGTCTACAGTCATCTCAAGGCTCTTCTGGGACTGGAGAATCTGCTTCTTTGTTCACTTCCACAGTGGTTGGTGTCCTCAGTTCCTCGTTGAATTTTGGCCGAGCCTTCTGATTTCATCGTGTGAGTCTTTCCATAGGGCTGCTTACAACGTGACAGCTTGCTTCCCTTAGAGCGACAGCTCCATGAAAGGGAAATAGAGAGAATCCAAAATGAAAGTTATCTTTTCATACCTGGTAGTAGCATACTATCACTTCTGCCAAATGCTATTTGGTCACAAATAGTAACTACGGTGCAATACGGGAGAGAATTAAACAAAGATGTGAACAGCAGAAGACAGGAATCATTGGAGGCCCTATTGGAGACTGGCTACTATACAGAACAGAGAATTTCATACAACCACAAATGATTCTCAATTCCTAACCTCCTCTTTCTAGACATTGAAAGTGTTGGAGAGAATGTGAACTGAAGGTGTTGCTACTGGCATCTAGTAGATAGAGGCCAGAGATACAGATAATCACCCCACAATGCTCAGAATGGCTCCCACAAAAAATTATCCATTCCAAAAATGTCAATAGTACTGAGGTTGAGAAACAATGCTGAGCCAAGCTAGAAAGTATTCAGGAGGCTATAATAAAAATAATTGATGGCATGTCAGTGCTCTAGATATTATTTTCATGGACTATTCTGAGTGAGCTAATGAAAGAGATACTAAAATAAAACAAAGGAAGCAAAAGTAGTACAAAAAAATAAATAACTAAAATAAAATAATCAGAATTTTAAAAACTCAAGCGTTTATTTCAGGTAATCAGGTTGCCTATATGTATAATCAAATAAAAACTTGTAATAAATAAACTAACAAATTATCTTTGAAACTTTCAATAAAAATTACACTTATATAAACTAGAAAAAAAGTGGGTTACTTGAGGCCAAGTATTCAAGACCAGCCTGGCCAACGCAGTGAAACCCTGTCTCTACTAAAAATAAAAAACTTAGCTGGGTGTGGTGACACATACCTGTATCTTGTTTCTCAGCTACCTAGGAGGCTGAGGCTCAAGAACTGCTGAACCCAGGGGACAGAGTGTACAGTAAGCCAAGTCTGCTATTTTGAACATTATATTTAGATTTTCTCTGGTTTTTATTTCTCATTTTTCACATTTTTTGGAGAGTTTTTTATTATTTCTGTTTGTCCATCTATTACTGCAGGACTTAAATATTACATTACATAAAAGTTTACTTTTGTGGTGGTAGTTTTGAAACTCTGCAATTGCAATTAATCATATATCTGAATAATTAAAGAAACTTGTTATGCTCGTCTTCATACCATTGCTTCCTACTTTTATATTTAATGTTATTTAATTGTTTTTCCATTAGTTTCATTTTATATCACCTCTGGAATTACAGGCATTTAGTCAATATTGTTTTGAATATGCAATATTTATTTAGCTTATTCACATTCTCTTTACTGGCTTTTCCTTTTTGCATCTCAGAGAAATCTCTATTGAGATAACTTTTCTTCTTAAAATAAGACCTCTAGAATTTCTATTAGAACCTGTATTTTTGGACAAAATGCATCTTTTTTATTTAAGAAAGTCTTTACTTGTTCTCATTCTTAAAAGTTACTTTTGTTGATTATATAGAGGCTGACAGTAACTTTCTCAAAAATTTTATGATATCAAACATTTTGGGGGCTTTCATTTTTGTTGGTGAGAAGTTATCTAACTTTTGGATGTTAATTCATTTTAGTTAAAATGTTTTTTCTAGCTTTGTGATAATATATTCTTTTATTGTGTGCATATGTTTGTGCTTATATTCACATATGTGTGTGTTCTGCAGTTAGAAAAAAATAAGTGCAGGATTTTCATTTTTTTATGTTTTTGATTTTTGAGGGATCTTCATCTGAGTAATTATGACATTCTACTTTGGGAAATTTATTAGTATGTAACTGGAAATACTGAGTCTACCAGTTTTCTCTATTTACTCCCTCTGGAATACTAATTAGATACATGTCTAGGCACTCATGTTCCAACCTTCGTATTTTTTTTTCTCTCATGTTCTTTCTATCTTTGTCTCTACGTGAACTTTGAGTTTCCTAGTCCAAACTCGGGTGAGAGAAGGCCTGAGGTAAAACATTTTCAGGATAGACGTGCAATTTTCGTCCAAAGTCCAAAGAATGAGTAAGCCAATTTTTACTTCTATTAATCTGAGATTGGGTGTGCATCTCTAAATTACAACATATCTATTTAAATCTGTCTATCTCTCTATTTTTGTCTCAATCTCTATTTCTCTATCTAGCTCAGAGATCTCTGCTATTTAAACCTGGGGAGAAGGGAAGATGGAAGTTTCAGGAACTCACTATTAAGACAAAGGGCATCAATGACTACCCAATATTTATTCTCCCCTTTTTACTTGGAAATAAACCCTGATGTTTATTTTGGGTTACAATGTATCTACTACATATCTCATCATTCTGTATAGATAGAGTTATCACAAGAAATATTCACTTTGATCCTTTGGTAGGAGTTTTGGAAACAGTATGGAAATTGCATACTCCATATGCAATTTCTTCACATTTGGAATACAATGAAAATATGAGGATTTCAATTAGTCCTAATTGGACTTTGTGTGTGGATGAGTATTAAGAAAAAACAAACAAACAAACAAAAAAAAACACCACTAAACACTGTTTTTGGCCTGAGGCTCAGATGACTTTATGGAGTCATCAGAAATAATTAAACATGGAATACGTAAGTCACTGTAGAGTCACAGAAGTTAAGACCATAGGTGGGAGCAATTTCAGCTAGGAAATTTATAAAAGGATTTTAGAAAAAAAATGCAATGTGGTACTGAAGGCTTTTGTTTGGGGACTTCAGCAGAAAAAAAACAAACCAAACCCAAACAAAAACACAATAATTGAGGCATTTTGTTATAGTAAAAGATTACATGTAGTTGAATGGCTTAAAATGTGCTTTTACTATTTTGCATAGACACCTGCAATGGATGAGAATTTTAGATACTCCACATATTTGTCAACACTTCATATTAAAAATCGTTTTAAATTTTAGCCATTCTAGAGAAAGGTTGGCAAACTTTTTAAAAATAAAAGTCAGGGTGAAAATATTTTTAGTCATGTTAGCCATATGGTTTCTGTTGCAACTACTCAATTTTGCTGCTGTAAAATAAAAGCAGACAACATCAAAACAAATGAGAGTAGGTGCACTCCAATAAAGGCAGCAGGCCAGGTTTGAACTTTGGGCCAGTTGTTGAGCCTTGATAGAGGATGTGCAGTAATACTGTCTGTGGTTTTAATATGCATGTCCTTGATGATTAACTATATTAAGCATATTTTCAGGGGCTTATTGGTCATTTGAATATCTTCTCTTGTGAAGTGTCTTTTAGAATACTTTTTAACAAATTTTTGCATCGTTTTCTATTGACAATTTATTCACAAGAGGTTTTTACATACCACTTATAAGTCATTTGTCAAATATGTACATTTCACATATTTTATTTCAGTGTGTTGTTTGCTCTTTGGTTTTATGGTATTAACATTGCAAAACCAATTTAAAATATTTTATGGTCCATCTTTTTTTGTGGACTATGTAAAATTTCACTATTTCATAAAACCATAACATTTTCTTCTACTTTTTTTCCCAGAAGACGTAATGTTTTATCTTTTATACTTAAATCTCTTATGTCTTTCAAGTTAAGTTATATACATAGTTTAAGGAATGGACGAAGTTCCTATTTATACATATGGATACCCAATTGTTGCAACAGAAGTTTTTTTTAAAGTCTCTTCTTTCCCTGCTGAATTACCTTTAATTATTTTTGTTCTATTGATGCACATGTCTATCTTTACATCAACACCACAATAACCTTTAAAAATCATTATTGTGGTAAAAACATGTAACATTAGTTACAGTCTCTTAAATTTTTAAGTGCACAATTTAGTGTTGTTAACTATAGTCACAATGTTTTACAGCAGATCTCTATATTATTCATCTTGTATAACTGAAACTTTATATGCGTTGAACAACAACTCCCTCTTTCTCCTCTCCTCAGCTTTTGGCAAATACCATTCTACTCTTTGGTTTCATGAGTTTAGCTACTTTAGGTGGAATACCACACACAGGTGGAATCCTGCAATCTTTGTCCTTCTGCGACTGGTTTATTTAGCATAATGTCCACCAGTTCATGCATGTTTTCACAGATGGCAGAATTTCCTCTTTTTAAAGGCTGAATAATATTTCATTTTACATATATAATATATATACATATACATACATATATATATATATACACATACATGTATATATATAAAAAATGCATTTTCTTTATCCATTGGTCTGCCGATGGATTTAACTTATTTCCATATCCTGGCTAGTATGAATAATGATGCAAGGAATATAGGAGTACAGATATCTTTTTAAGATCTTGATTTCAATTCTTTTGGAAAAACACCTGCAAAATGGGATTGTTGAATAATACAATAGTTATATTTGTAGTTAAATAATCTGTTTCACAACAATGTGAATATACTTATCATTACTGACCTGTAAACTTGATATTATATTCAATAGGAAAATTGGAAGTTGTTTTCTCTAAGATCAGGGAAAAGGCAAAGATGCTCACTTTTGCCACCATCATTCAACATAATATTGGATTTTTAGCCAGAGCAATTAGACAAGAAAAAGAAAATAAGACATACAAATTAGAAAACAAGTAAAATTATCTCTATTTGTAGACAGCATGATCTTATATGTAGAAAACCAAAAGGAGTCAACAAAAAAACTATTAAAACCATTAAATAAATTCAAGCTGGGCACGGTGGCTTACACCTGTAACCCCAGCAGTTTGGGAGGCCAAGGTGGGTGGATCACCTGAGGTCAGTAGTTCAAGACCAGCCTGACCACAACGGAGAAACCCTGTCTCTATTAAAAATAAAAAATTAGCTGGGCATGGTGCTTCATGCTTGTAATCCTAGCTACTCAGGAGGCTGAGGCAGGAGAAGTGTTTGAACCTAGGAGGCAGAGGTTGCTGTGAGCCAAGATCACCCCATTGCACTCCAGCCTGGGCAACAAGAGCAAAACTCCGTCTCAAATAAATAAATAAATAAATAAATTCAGCAAATTGGCTGAGCCCAAAATCAACATACAAAAATAATTTGAATTTCTGTAGGTTAATAATACAAAAAAATTGGGAAAACAATCCCATTTATTGTAGAATCCCATTTGCTATAGAATTTTCTTCTTTGCTTAGCAATAAACTTAATGATGGAGGTGAAAGTTTTGCACAATGAAAATCCCAAAACAATGATGGAAGAAATATAAATGCAAAGACATTCTGAGTAATGGATTGTAAGACTGAATATTATTAAAATGTCCATTCTTTCCATATCAATATACAGATACAACATAGTATTTACCCAAATCCCAATGGCATTTTTACAGAAATAGAAAATTAATATAGAATAACAAAGGACCCTGAATTGCCAAGCAATCTTAACAAAGAACAAAACAGGAGGCATCTCACCTTCTAATTAAAAAAAAAAAATCAAAGCTATAGCAATTGTAACAGCATAGTACCAGCGTAAAAACGGATGGCTAGACCAATGGAAAAGAATAAAAAGTGCCCAAGTTAAACCCACACATATAAAGTCAACTGATCTTCAAAAAAGATGTCAAGAATACACACTAAGGAGGGGATAGTCTCTTCACCAATTTGTCCTGAGAAAACTGGATATCTACATACAAAAAAATTCATATTGGATCATTGTCTTACACCACACATAAAAATCAACTAAAATCAATTAAAACCTTAAACATAAGATCTATAATCATAAAAATCCTAGAAGAAAGCAGAGGGGAAGTTTTTCATTATGCTCGTCTATGCAACGATTTCTTGGATATGACACAACGTCCTCATTACTGTGGTTTTTTTGTTTTGTTTTGAGATGGAATCTTGCTCTTGTTGCCCAGGCTGGAGTGCAATGGCACGACTTCAGCTCACTGCAACCTCCGTCTCCCACGTTCAAGCTATTCTGCTGCCTCAGTCTCCAGAGTAGCTGGGATTACAGCTGCGCACCACGATGCCCGGCGAATTTTGTATTTTTAGTAGAGACAGGGTTTCACCATGTTGGCCAGGCTGGTCTTGAACTCCTGACCTCAGGTAATCCACGTGCCTTGGCTTCCCAAAGTGCTGGAATTACAGGCATGAGCCATCATGCCCGGCCTACTGTGATTTTATAGTTAGTCTGGAAATCGGCTTCCTTATGATACATGTTTACATGACATTACTTTTTTCATTATTTTTAATCTCAATGTTATCATATTTAATATATTTTCTTGTTCATATACAGATGGATCTTGCACTTTTCTCTTTTAAATGTAACGTATATATAATTTATTTACATTTTAATTAATAATGGGGTGTGATCTATTCAATAATATAAAGTCTTGCTATTCATTTTTTGGTCCCATGTAGTCTTTGTTCCCCTTTTCTTTTTTTCCTGAATTCTTTTAGATTAATTTTTAAATTAATCTATATTGGGCAATTAGCTATAACTATAACTTCCTTATTTTTTAGTAGTTGCCCTAGGGCTCAAAAAATATATATTTAACTCGTCACTAATATCAAATCATATTATTCCATTTCACATGTTAAATAAAAAGCATTACAAAAGTATACTTAAATTTCTTCCATCATTTGTTAATTTTCACACTTGTTAAATTTGTCCAACATTTTAAAATTTCACACATACAATCTGTACATATTATATAAATAAATAAATATTTTAATTGTCTTTGACAGAGCTGATTTAAAAAGATTAAAAATGAGGACAATTTTTTTTTTAATTTACCCACATATTTACTATTTGGGATACTCAACTTTTTTGAGCAAGAAATACTTCCTTAACATATCTGTAGAACCATTCAATTAATCACAAGTTCGTTCAGCTTTGATACGCCTCAAAATATCTTTCTTGTTTTAACTTCCGTTTGAACATTATTTTCACTGTTAATATAGTAATAGGTCTATGTAGGTTTTTTTCCCCTCCAGAACTTTCTAGATGTTATGTTATTGACTTCTGGTTGGCATTTTTAAATATTAAACAAGCATTACAACTTTGTCTTTGTCACCCTGTAAGAAATATGTCTTTTTTTCTTTTTCCACGAAGATTTTTCTCTTTATTAGTGGCTTTACAGAAATTTGATTATTTTACATTTTGGTGTACTTTATTCTTGTTGGGTTTTGTTCAGCTCTTTGAATATGAAAATATATAATTTTCATCAGATTAAAAATATGCATTATTTATTTCTTTAAGTATTTTTCCTGCTCTGTCTGCTGTTCCTCTTCTATTCCAATTACATATACGTTGGACCACTTGAAATTTTTTGACAGGTGACTGAAGCTCTATCAATTATTTTATTTTTTATTACCTATGTGCTTTTTTTGAATACTTTTAATGTTCTGTCTTCAATTGCAGTACTTTCTTTTCTTCATTGTCTAATTTTCTCTTTTGCCTATACAGTGAATATTTAACTACAATATAATTTCCAGCTCAATTTATTTTTTAAATATTCTTTGTTTTTAATGTTTTTACTTTTTTATTCTTAACCATGAATACATTCAAAATAACCCTCTTAAAGTTCTTATCTGTTGATTCTACATTTTTGTCGTTTAATTGCCTCCTTTTATTCCTTCTCTTAACTAAACTTTCTCCTGATTATGGGCCATATAGTCTTGCTGCTTCTCATATTCACGACTTTTTGTTCCAGAAAAGTGTGATTTATTTACTATAATAAAATATACATACAGATATATTATAAATATGTGTATATATAAATATATCACACTCCAGAAGAATGTGATTTACTTTACTAAAATGAAATATAAATATGGATATATTATAAATTATTACTTGGAATAATATATATAGATATATTATAAATACTCTATAATATAACACACTATAATACATAATCTATTATATATTATTACACAATTTAGATATAAATTTATACAGTATTATACTATGTACATATAAATTTTATAATCTAAAAATTTTATTCCAAGTGGTTATTTAACATGCAGAACAGCTTGATTCTTTCAAAGTGTTTTATGGCTGAGCTGGAGTTAGTTTGCTCTAGGGCTAGTTTAGATCTACTGTTAAATTGCAACTTTTTTGGATTACTATAAAAGCCTTCGTATTTGAAAAACCACTACGTTAGGCCAGATGCGGTAGCTCACACCCGTAATCCCAGCATTCTGGGAGGCCGAGGCGGGCGGATCACCTGAGGTCAGTTCAAGACCAGCCTGGCCAATATGGTGAAACCCTGTCTCTACTAAAAGTACAAAAATGAGCCGGACTACTACAAAAGTAGTCCCAGCTACTTGGGAGGCTGAGACAGAAGAATCACTTGAACCCAGGAGGCAGAGGTTGTAGTGAGCCGAGATCGTGCCATTGCACTGCAGCCTGGGTGACAAAGCAAGACTCTGTCTCAAAAAAAAAAAAAAGAAAAGAAAAGAAAAGAAAAAAGAAAAATCACTACTATAGATGACTTACTCTAGTTTTTTGTGGGTATCGTTCTGCATATAGTTTCCCTGTAGTTTTAGTTTTCCTGATAGTCTTTTGTTGTTTTGTTTTTGTTTTGTTTTGTTTTGACCAGGCTATAGATTCTAACTCTGTGCATCTACAGCTTAGTATGTATCCCAAGGTGAAGTGAACCCTTATTCATACTTCATGAGTTTGATTTCTGTGTATCTTCCTTTTTTCAGGTACTGTGCCACGAAATTCCAGCCTCCTTCACCTCTCTGAACTCTGGTGTGTGTGTCTTTAATTCGGTGAGATCAATGGGATCTTCCTGTGTTTGCCCTCCCATAGAAGGCACCATGTTTTGTAATGTGTCTTCATGAAAAAAGCCGTGATGATATCAGTCTCAGTCTCAGTCTCTGCTTTTTTCCCTTCTGTCTCTCTCTCCTTTTTTTTTTTTTTTTTTTTTTTAGACGGAGTTTCACTCTTGTTGCCCAGGCTGGAGTGCAATGGTGCGATCTCGGCTCACCACAATCTCCGCCTCCTGGGTTCAAGCGATTCTCATGCCTCAGCCTTCCAAATAGCTGGGATTACAGGAGTGCGCCACCACGCCAGACTAACTTTTGTGTTTTTAGTAGAGACGGGGTTTCTCCATGTTGGCCAGGCTTGTCTCAAACTCCTGACCTCAGGTGATCTGTCCACCTCGGCCTCTCATAAGTGTTCCCTTCTCTTGAGATCACAGTCTAGTGATAACTCTTATCCAGTTTTTGAAAACAATTGTTTGATCAATTTTTTGTTGTTTATGGAGGTTGGACAGGTTTGGTACCAGTTACTTTCTATGGCTAAAATAATGTTGCTGTTTTATAAGATGCAGTTTTGTCTTTGACTTCTCAGTAATATGTAATTTTTCTTGAACTTTTGCCATTAGGAAAAACTCAATAATGACAGTACATAAGCCAGAATTTTGTCAGAAGGAAGTGCAAGTTTATCAGATGATTAATCTCAAAGAATTGAACAATAGCCAAAAGTAAAGTATCACCAGAAAATGGAGAATGTCTTGGTTCATAAATTAGCATGCTCCTAGCAGGTATGGTATGTGGAGAAAAGCTAGCTTACAAAGCTAATTTTCCATATACAGTAAAGAAACAAAAATGTTTTTATAAAGTTTAAAAATAATTCCTTAGGCAATTATGCAAATGATACCAATCTGATAAGAACATCTTAGCTTGCTATTCTTTGAGATGAACTCAGAAAACTAACATATTGGCTTTTTTTTTCCTGTCTTTTGATAGGAACTTATTTCAATAGACATATAACAGTGTAGCCAACAGGTAGACAGGTAGAACAGTAAGTGGCAAAGGAGTATTTCTGTAGACATTCAGTAAAGAAAATAAGTATAAATCTGATTATACAACCAACAGGTCATCGGGGCCTTTATTCATAAGACAATGTAATAAACAACCTTGAAGGCCTCAGTGAAATATCCAAAGCTTTGGTTTATCATAATACTTGTGATGGATGGGTTGGCCTTGGATAGGCTGGGACTTGCAGACACAAACCTTATTACTGAGCCTATAGCAGTGAAGAGCTCAGGCAAATTTAATAGAATCTTCACTTCTTTGAAAGCTCACCAACCAATTGCTACTGGAATATACATCTATTCGAACAGAGTTAATTTTTGCTTATTGAAGCAATTAAGAATTTGGTGAAGTAGAGTCAGTCAATGAATAGTCCTGGCAGCATGGCTCTGTTTGCAAATCAAGACGATTGCTTGAACAGTAAGTAGAATCCGTAAGGCAGTTAGAAATTACTATTAGATCAGTTTGCCTGTGTCATTCTAGTAATATGGCTCAGAATGCTTAAACAGGTTTAAGAATTGTCGTGCATTTTGTGATTTGGTTTAATTTACTGTTTTGTAAGTTATTGTACAGTTTGGCAAATTTTAATTTCTCTTTCAATTCTATATAAAAATTGAAGGAGAAATTATTGTATTTCGTTCAAATATAAGAACAATTCATATATATATAGAAAGATAAATTCTTATATTTGTTTGTTATATTTTATATTTTGTTTGTTATTCTTATATTTGCTTGTCATATTATATACAACATTCCTACCTGTTAAATAGTACAAACTTTTTTATTTCACAGGATATCTCATTTTAAATATTACTAGAAACAGAATTGTCACATTATTTTGAAAATGACAAGTAGAAAAAATATTTTTAAATATACAAAAACCTTGCATTTATTTTCAGTGTGAATGAAGGGCTCTGGTGATGGATTTTAGGCATCTTCCTCTTTCTTAACATCAAGGCACACCAGAATAAGTAGGATTATTAAACCAAACATATTATGTAAACACAGATCATATTTAAGTAAGTGTGAAAACATTGAACACCCAAATCTCTAATCCCTGAAGTAGAGAAGATGATTCAATATTGCATAGTGTAATTTTGAATATTCTGGAAAAATGATTTGGTGTGCCTTCAACTTAAAAATTATACTCCTCTTTCATAAATTCATTTCAGAGTAATACATATGTTCTACTTCAAAATAGCACAGAGAGAGAAGTCATTTTAGGCATGTATAGCAGATGTAATTTCAAAGCACATTTAAAAGAAAAGTAAACATTATTGCATGCAACTATTCAAGGTTTAATAGTTATATAATACGTGATGAGTATACATAAAATGTGTACTTTTCTATTGCAGGCAAAGGTAATAATAAATTTCTACTCTTAATAAGTATATCAGTTCTATTTAAAACCTGAGCTATTGAAATCCCAAATTACATTGTCAGCCAAGAATGGAGTGGTCATCATAATTACAATCTGTAACTTTCATTAATAACAGAGGATGAATTTTTTCTGCTTGGGATGATCCATGTAATAGTATGAATAGAGACTTAAGAAATGATTTGATCAATTTACGTATGTGTGTGTGTGTATGCATATGTGTGTGGCATGTGGCATGTTTGTAGATTAGATAAAAATGTGAAGAGAGTTTCCTTGAGTAGAGCCATATGATCATTTGTGAACTAGATGAATTTGTAATGCTCCATTATTCTAGCTGTGATATAAACAACAAAGATAATGTTAGATAGTTTTAATATACAATACAATAATAAATAAAAGAGGAAACCAAACCTTATTAATATCCCAATGCAATTTACTTTATATGTGTTAAAATAATTTGAAATAGATATTTATTAAGTAAATATTTGGAAATGTATTTATAACTCTACATTTCTCTAAAAAATACTTGCGAATAAGTGAGGGTTTATTCACCAGAACATAATAGAAAGAAATGAAAGTTGAGTCATTTGTTATTTTCAGGAGTGTATTTGCATTTATTTCTTGAAAATTATTTTATTACTTATAACAAAAATATATTCTATAGAAGAAGCCTTCAATTACAAATAAATTAGAATGAATGATAATATTTCCCAGTAATTAATATAGTGACGGGAAAGATCCCCGTAAGCCAGGTATTGAAAAATGTTTCGTCAAAAACCGGAGGAATTAATACAAAAGTTACAAGCAGAAGTTTGTCAATGAGGTTTAGAGGAAACAAGCAGGAGGGAGAAGAGCAATGCTATGTATTCACAACTGCCACATTAAATCCTGGCAGAGAACCGGGTGCTTTCATGTTGCAAACTCTTTTGTTTTTGATTAATACGCATGCGTATTCTGAGTAGGCAAGCATTAAAGACTTGTTAATGCTTCATTATTAATCCTCACAATTCAATGCCCTGCTCAATGCTTTTCATTTTTCATAGGTAGGCTTTATCTAAGAAGAGCATTAATTATTTGTATTAAATGAGAATGTTTTCTAATCCAAAGGCATGTAAAAATGCTCTCGGAAAATTACTATGATTTTTTTTGAAAGTAGTGGTAGGAAAAAAGAGTAATTTCTCAAGGAAAAGTTTGGTCATAGTCATAAAAGCATATTTTGTGATGGCCGGGCGCGGTGGCTCACGCCTGTAATCGCAGCACTTTGAGAGGCCGAGGCGGGCAGGTCACCTGAGGTCGGGAGTTCAAGTTCAGCCTGACCAACATGGAGAAACCCCATCTCTACTAAAAATACAAAAATTAGCCAGGCGTGGTGGCGCATACCTGTAATCCTAGCTACTTGGGAGGCTGAGGCAGGAGAATCTCTTGAACCTGGGAGGCGGAGGTTGGGGTGAGAAGAGATCGTACCATTGCACTCCAGCCTGGGCAACAAGAGCAAAACTCTGTCTCAAAAAACAAATAAATAAATATACTTATTTTAAAAAGCTTGTTTTGCATTTGTATTTGCCTCAATATGTTTTAGTTATGTAACGCACATTGCGAATGGACCCTTGTGCATGAGGCCATCAAATGAGGAAGATTCAATATTACCTCCTCAAAGAATTATCAGTGGTCTGACAATAACCCCATTCAGAGAAGTGAAAATATGTCATGGTCACCTACCATGCTCTACATCTGATAGCATTACATTTAAATGACATTAGAATGAATGATTCGTATAATACACTTGGATATAATACATTTGGACAGCTACAAATACCTTAATAGTGGTAGATAATGCTTCTATAAGTCATCACTTTTGTTAGGCACCTTTGTAAAATATATACATATACATATATACATAAATAGTTTCTCACATTTAATTTTCATTACAAATATATGGAATAGGTGCTTTTATTATCTTTAAGAAAACTGAATTGCAAAGAAATTGTTTTATCTTCACAGATGAAAACAGCTAATTTGTGTTTGAATTGTTATTTGGGCAGTGGCTGTCTGGCCCCATAAACCTGCTGTAAACTATCGGTGTATACTAATTTTCTTGAGATATACATAAATCTGTAGATGCCGATATAAACATAGACAATATACCTGAAAATATGAAACATAAATGTACCTGAAGAAACAGATATATTGTGCCATCCTCCTAACCATATTGTCTAGGGTTGTCAAGAAAAGATCTATCAGAGGAAGACTCAAAATAAATATATTAGGCCTAAGATAGAGAATTGGGTTAAATTTAGATAAACAAAAACATTTTACAAAATCATTCACTGGGTTAGTGTGTGGGGGGTGGGTGGGTGTATGCACTATATAGGTATATTTTAATAAAATTAATGATTTTAGACATCAAATGAAATAGCATTTTCCTTATGTTATATAGTCAGTTGAATAAGTCCTGTACAAAAATAATTAAAGCAGTGTGTTTAACATCTTGAACCTATGTCAAAACTGTTACAGAAAAGAAAAACATATTTAATCCAATTTTGAATCATACTCAAGACAGAAGTACACCTACCCCTAGTAAAAGTATGCATAATTTCTACAAACCAAGAAACACTTATACTTTTGCCCTTTTTTTGGAGTTTTATGAAAACAGCAGTTGCCTGCATTTTATGAATTCTTTTTAGATTCATGAGAATTTTCCCAGTGTGTTGTATAAAAATAATTTAAAATGTAGCATATTTTCCATAAAAGCCTTCTCATTTATTTTTAGATTGGACCATGTAACTGCTTTTTTAGCATAGATTTACTGCAAACTTACTATTTTATATGCATCAAAAGAATGGGCAAGAAGTTGATTTTATTCATCACTGTATGTTTAATAGCAATAAGCTTGACAATAAGTAACTATTGAACTGAAGTAAGTTCAATTAATTACATAGTAAGTAAAAAGAAAAAAAAAACCAAGGAAATAAACAGTCTACCTGATTTTCACTTTGAAGGAAGTAGATGTCCTAAGTATGAAAATTCTACCAAGCTGTTAGTATCAATTTAGGCTGATCCTTACTTATATGCGATCATAAATCCTGAAACATAGGCGAAAGTAATTAAATATTTGATTATTTATTTATTTACTCTCTAAATAGAAATGGAAGAATAGAACATAAAATTTTAAAATATTTGATTATTAAGCCTTATACGTAGCATATTTTGTGGAGACTATAAAAAAGTCAGGAATAACTAATGAAATACATTTTAACTTCTAATCAAAATATAAAAGAAAATATATTTTATAAATGAACTAATAAGAAAATTGAAAGAAGTTAAAGTCATGTAATTTTGAGTTTTTAATTTAAATATAATAAATTACAAACATAAAAGTATTACCATATGTTTTAACCATTCTCATTAAATTTTCTAATTTTCCACTAGGTTTAATATAATAATGATTTTTTAAAAATAATGAGAGAAGAAAATAAAGGCATATATGTTATATAGCTAAAAATCCAAGGCAAAATTCAAGTGGAGTGTTAAAACCCTTCAAAATCCTCTTTTATATTTTGTTATTAATAACTCAACCTAATAAAACAAGTTTCTCTAGCTACATGATATATGAGCAGTTTGATCATATACTTTCTCCTGACAAGAGCTAAAGCTTACAAAGAAAGTTTTTGCCTTATAACTTCTGGAAGGTTGTTTTTGACAGACTTGAACACTGCTTAACAAGCTTATTCCAGCCTGAGAGCCTGCTCCCTGCCATTCTCACATTAGCCTCACATCTGGCACACGTCCCCTCTTTGTGCTAGCTGGGTTCCTTTGATTGCTTCATTTGGGCCTGAAATCATAAGAGTGCTGCTGACATAACCCAGGAGACTCCTGTCTCATCTCACACCAGGGATAATCAGGTAAAACCAATGCAAAGGAGTCTGTTGCCCTGATGGAGCAGTAGGAAAGGTATAAAATTTGTCCTTGCTCTTCCTTCATATTTTGATGTAGAAAAATGCTACCAAACCTGTAATATGCGTGTGTGTGTATATATATGCATACACACACACATGCGCACACACACACACAATTTTGAAACTGATAGAGAAAAGGAAAACCTGTTTTGGAGGAGATTTTCAAAATAACAATTTAAAAGGCATCTCAAAAATAAAAGTATTCAATTTTAACTGCCTTCTCATGCCTCATCTTTCCATATTTCTGTGATGTAAATATCTACACCATCCACTTAGTCAACCAAGTTAGAAAATGTGTCTGCAATATCTTCCCTGAATACCTTCTAATAGAATTATTCTCTTTGTTAAAATACCGTTCTATTTATTTATTTTTTATTATAATTTTTTTTTGTTGTTGAGACAGAGTCTCACTCTGTCACTCAGGCTTGAGGGTAGTGGTGCGATCTTGGCTCACCACGATCTCCACTCCCAGGTGCAAGGGATTCTCCTGCCTCAGCCTCCCAAGCCGCTGGGATTACAGGTGCCCACCACCACACCCAGCTAATTTTTGTATTTTTAGTAGAGATGGTGTTTTGCCATGTTGGCCAGGCTGATCTCGAAATCCTGACCTCAGGTGATCCACTGCCCAGGATTACAGGCGTGAGCCACTGCACCCGGCCTGTTGTAATTTATTATAAAATTAAATTTTAGAATTCTCACACTAATCTGTGCATTTTTCATTAAGAGCTAGTATAATTCCCCTAGGGACTAAAGGTCTCAATATCAGTATTTGCATCCTGTATAATCACTTTTGCTACTATTAAATGCATACTATTTTTCTATAGGAAACTCTCTTTTTATTAATAAAAGTAATTTAAAACTATACGGCTTGGCAATCAATAAGGAATAAGCCATTTTTTAATGTGTTACTTAAACATAAACATAGTGTTCTTACTCTTAGCTGCAGAAGACTCTGATTTTGTCTTTGCTGTCTCAATTTGAATATAAGTAAGTGTTAGTGCTGTGTTAAATACCTTTTCTGATTGAAGTAAACAAGATAAAATGGGAAAAAAGTAAAGAAGAAAATATCTATGGACACACCATTACAGTTAAGGAGAACCTTAGCAAGATTGGTGGTATAAAGTCATCTATCAGAATACAAAAATCAGCATTCTACCAGCAATCAATTGTTAGAAAACATAAACTTACTTAAAAATGCATTTTAGAAAGGCATCAAAATGTAAATAATTTAGGAACAAATTCACCAAAATATGTTTATGGATTTTAAGGAGAAAATAATATACTATTGAGAGAAGTTGAATAAGTCTAAAATAAACCAAAATATACAACCTATTCACTAGTTGAAATATAGAGTGCCATAAAGATATTTATTTTTCCCAAATTAATCTATAGATTTAATACATTTCAATGTCAATTTGCTGTATGTGAATGTATTTATATATGTGTGCACATTTGTGTGTGTGAACATTCACAGATATTATAATATATATGTAAGTGGAAAGGTCCAAGAATGGCCGAGATACTTTTGAAGAATCACATGGTGGGACATCTTGATTTATTAGGTGTACCCTCCAAATTTACCATGCTACATGTTTACTCTTAGATATTTAACGTAGAAAACTATATATGCACCAGGAAATGTGTGCAAGATTATTATCAATTTTTAATCACCCCTACTATTTATAATTTCTTTGTGTTAGGATCATTTCAAGTCCTCTAGTCCAGCTATTCTGAAATGTACAACACATTGCTATTAACTACAGTCACCTTACTCTGCTATTGAACATTAGAACTTACTCCTTCTATTTAACTGTTTGTTTTTACCTATTAACCAACCTCTCTTTAACCCTCTATTCCCATCTGCACACCCTTTTCAGCCTCTGGTATCTACTTCTGTTCTGTATCTTCATGAGATAATCTCTTTTTGCTCATACATTTGCATGATAACATGTGAAACCTAGTATAAAAACCTAGGGTGACAACACAAACAACAAAATTTAAAAATTAAATATAAAACAGCACTACAGTTATCTGTAAAACAGGGATAGGTTTAATTTTCTATGTCATTCAGATTTTATTTCTTTGGAGGATACAGAGAAATGTTAAATTTATAATAAGATTAACAATAATGGAAACAGAGAAAAGCAGATTTATGGAGAGTTCTTCAGCTCCATTGAAAACGAAACACTTGAGCAATGGTTTTCAACCCTTAGTGTGGTATTAGAATCACCTAGTGCTTTTAAAAAATACTTATGCCAGTTTCCCTCCCCAGAGATAATGATTGTTCTTCAATGGCACCTAGGTAACAGAATATTTTAAAAAAAATCTCCAGGTGCTTCTAATGTGCAGTCCACATGGAGAAGTGCATTAAACTCGAGAAATACTTTTAGCAAAAATCCCTAGATTGGTAGGCTTCATTTAGCTGCAGATTCCAGGACACCTGCTGTATTAGGGCAAGTTTCAGCTGTCTGTAACACAAAACTCCCCACATCTAACACACAAAGTGTAGCTTTCTCTCATGCAGAATTCCAGAGGCAGGCAGTCCAAAGCTAGTAAAAGTGACTTTACTGTTAGGGACTCATTCTCCCTTATACTAAAGGAGAAGAGAATAAACGCTGGAGAAGAAACCAAAACTCGAACACACTGAATAGTGCTATTTTTCTGCTCTCAGATCCTTAGAAGCCCCCTTTAAAATGTCTTTAGGACATTTTAGGAAATCTTGCATTAAACCAATTTAAACACTCTTTCTTTCTTTATTTCTTCTTCTCTTCCCCTTCTCTCTCCTTCCTTCCTTCCTTCTCTCTCTTCCTTTCTTTTTCTTTCTGTCTTTCTTTCTTTCCTTATTTCTCTTTCTCTTTCTTTCTTTCTTTCTTTCTTTCTTTCTTTCTTTCTTTCATTCTTTCCTCCTTTCCTCTATTTCTTTCTTTTTGTCTTTCTCTTTTTTGTCTCTCTTTTTCTTTTTCTTTCTCCTTTTTATTCTTTTCTTTCTTTCTCAGGGTCTCTCTGTCACCCAACTGGAGTGCAGTGGCGTGATATCTTGGCTTACTGCAGTCTCCACCTCCCACTTCAAGATATCCTCCCACCTCAGCCTCCCAAGTAGCTGGGATTACAGGTGTGTGCTGCCACACTTGGCTAATTTATTTTTATTTTTTATTTTTATTTATTTAATTTTTTGAGATGGAGTCTCGCTCTGTTGCCCAGGCTGGAGTGCAGGGGAGCAATCTTGGCTCACTGCAACCTCCATCACCCTGGTTCAAGCAATTCCTCTGCCTCAGCCTCGTGAGTAGCTAGGATTACAGGCGCACACCACCACGCCTGGCTAATTGTTTTGTATTTTTAGTATTTCACCATGTTGGCCAGACTGGTCTTGAACTCCTGACCTCAGGCAATCCACCCACCTCAGCCTCCCAAAGTGCTGGGAATACATGAGTGAGCCACCGTGCCTGGCTGGCTAATTTTTTAATTCTTTATAGAGAGAAGGCCTCTCTGTATTGCTCAGGCTTAGACACATTTCTTTGTTAAAGAACATCTCATCCTTCAATATATAAAAAAAAAATTCTGAATTTCAAAGGAAATAGGATAGTCATTGGTTATCAGGTTTATTTGAAACAAGACTCTAAAAATAAAAATCTACATTTCTGTCTTTACAGTGCAGTCTAAGTATACAGAATATTAGTTTGGAAACACTATAGTACATATTTCATTATGGTTATACATATATACAACTATCCCTTTTGCACTTATTTCTAGTAATAATTTTAAGGAAACTAAGATTTAAATATTTCAGAATATCAAAATAAATTTTAAAATGGATAATTATTTGCATATTTTTTATATTTAGTTATAATTTTACAAGAACCAATTAAGCCTGCTCTATTTTCACATAACCCAAGGGAAGGATGTTGCCATTAATCATGCATCTTACCGGGCTTTCTTCAGCCCTAATACTGCTATTTGAACAGGAGGTTGTGGTTAATAAATTAAATAAGAGTGATTAAGATATCCTGTTATGAGAAATTAATTTTTGTGTTATGCCTCAAAGGAGATATATCTCTCCCCATGGAAAAGGACTTAAAATATCTCTTCTTTTATGTAAGATTCAGTTTCATGGTGCTTATTCCAGTGAAAATATACTCTAATATTATGGTAAAAATGCAGGACCAATACATGTTTATGGTTTCTAACAGCTTTCACATTTTTACTCAAATAAACTCAGAAACTAACACTTCATTTAAATATAAATGACTAAACTCAGAGGCTTTGTGCTACCTTCATGCGTTACACACCATTAATGGGAACAAAGCCTCTTTTGAACTGAAGACTCAGCACACAAAGATGATATTTTAAGTTCACGCCCAAGAAAAAATATAAAACCTAACATTTTGACATTAAGAACTCCAAAACCAGAGCACATTAGATTTCAAGCACTTAAGAAATCCAGGGAAAGATAGAATTATTACTATAGTTACAAAATTAAGGATACGTACCTGTTCCTTACTTTCTAAGAATTAGGTTTGTCATCATACCTCTGATTGTTATTAGAGATTGTTCAACATGTGTCCACTGTAGATTCAGGTGTTTTCAACAGAACTTTATTGCTTTCATAATGCCCTAAGGTAAAGAGTCCTATAAGATGTATTATACAAAATGCCCTGGCCTAATTGTTTATTATTTCACTCTTTAAATCAAGTTTCTGGTTGCAACATTAGCGGAGTAAGAAGAAAAGAAGATGTTATATAATTAATGAGGCTTGTCCTGTCTATGCATGCTTTATATTTCAATGTTTAATTCTTATTATAAATTAGGCTAAATCAACAAGATTGTCTAAAATTTTGATATTTTATGGTTTTTTAGATATAAATATTTAATGACAAAACAAAATCTCAACCAAAATTTCTGTAGAATATCGCTGTTATATATAGTTAACTAAATACATTTGCACTATTTGACACATATTATCTATTGGACATTTGTTATTTTATTTTTTGTCATGAAAACTAAAAATACATGAGAAAATATAGATATTTCAATGATTAATAAACTCAGAGGGATTTTGGTGTCTTCACTCATGATCAAAAAGTAACATCTATGCATATGGACAAGATTAAAAATTCTTGAACCTGATGTAGGTTAAATCCAGAATAGCTTCAAAGAAGATTTATTAGTTTTTAATATGTTCATAAAATCAAAGTATTCATTATGATTTTATGCTTTTAAAGACAAGCATCTTTATAATTTAAATATATTATTTGATTAATGTCTATCTTTTTTAGTGGAATTAAAGCTTCATGACAACAGATTTTATGCCTCCTTCAAAAATCATTATCTTAGGCCTATGATGATGTACATAATAAAATACATTAATTAAACTGATAAAGTAAAATCACAGAGAACAATTTAGTTATAGAAGGCCTTATATTTTACAGACTCTAATTTACTAAAACTTTACTACATTAAAATATTGCATTATGATTTTATATTACCTTAATCTTTCTAGGAAATAAATACACATATTTTATTATGTCATTTGATAACAACCTAGGAACTTAAGACTAAATATCATTTTTCATTTTAAAGTTACTAAACCTGAATTTATAGATGGTAATTTTTATTTTCCCCAGGTTCATATTTGGTTAGTGGCAAAGTGTTGACTAACCTAGAATCCTTGAATCTTTTGCACTATTCTAAAGTTTGCACTTGAGTTAATATGGCTAAATCAAGTGAGAGAACGAATAGAATAAGAACTCAGTTTGAGCCGTATATTGGGAATTCCCACATTGAAAACTGACAATTAGATTACTTACTCAAAATATATATAAATTTATAAAACATTCATGATGGTTATTAAGTGTTATGTGGAATTTATATAGATTTACTTGATTACATGATGAAACCCCCGTCTATTACTAGTTTGTTAAGCATTCTTATATGAATAGCTATTGATTGTAACAAATTGCTGCTTCTTCATCTTGTGAAATGATTATCAAAATTCTATTAATGGGATGAATAACACTATTTACTTTTTATATAATAAACCAGACTTTATTCCCTGGAATACATCGAATTTAGTCATATGTTAACATTTTTATATATTGCAGAATTCATTTAGTTAACATTGTATAGAATTTTATGTCTATATTAATGAATAAATTTGACCAATAAATTTCTTTCTTTAATATCTTTACCATGTTTATGCGTGTTATATTCACAAAATATTGTTTTGCAATACTAATAGCAAATAAAATACACTTACAGATAAAAGTCATTACTGGGGGTAAAAGATTATCTCACAAATGTTATTGCTAATTAACAGGAAAAATACTGTATTTCTATAAATCTAAATATATAACCTGAAAATACATTAAGCATAGTGACAGAACAAAAGGAAAAAGAAGCAAATTCACAAAATAGGAGATGAAATATTGTTCTCTTAATAACTAACAGAAACAGGCTAAAATTTATTAACTATATAAAAGAGTTGAAATATATAAAAATTGTAAAACATGAAAATAAAAATAGATGAAAATACAAATTATATTTATATTCATAGAACTTCACTGAGCTGTTATCAGGAATTTTATTTTCTGTATACTTTACATTCATAAGACATTATTATTGCATTATAGAAGCCGTTTAGATTTGTCTATACATTTATTTCTTCATTACTCTTCATTGTTTTCTGAATATCTGTGCCATTTTCTGTCTCAAGACTGCCATTTGTTACATTGTTCAGCACAGTTATTTTGGTGAAAATATCTCGGATTTTTTCACAAAATTTATGCTTTTAATTTTCATTTTCAGAAGGGGAGCATGTTTGCCACAAATAGATTCTACATTAGCAGTTATTTTCTGTTGATATCTACAGATGCAATTCCATAGTCTTGTGGCTCTGAATTTTTTTCTGGAGAACCGATCCAGCTGTGAATCTTATTTTTGCTTACTCTAATAACATATGTGTATCCTACCCTCATCTGGTTGCTCTTAAAATTTACCCATTAATGTCCAGTGTTTCTGATTTGCCCTAATATGCGTTGATTTACATTCATGGTGATTTTGATTTATGGAATTTTTTAAACCTGTGGCTTTAGGCCTTTTTGCAAACATTGCTTCTACTGTCTTTTCCTTCTGTCTGTATTCTCATTTTTGGATTCAATTATAATATGTTAGATCTTTTTACCATGTTTCCTACATATTTTATGTTATTTTTAAATTTCCCAATCATTTTTTTTCTCTGTGTGTGTAAATCTGGATATCTTTGCTGTGCTATTTGTCCAGTGACTTTTTTTGTTTGTTGGTTTTTGTTTTTGCTTTGTTTTGTTTTTAGAGGGACTCTAACTCTGTCCCCAGGCTGGAGTGCAGTGATGCAATCTCGGCCCACTGCAACCTCCGCCTTCCAGATTCAAATGATTCTCTTGCCTCAGCCTCCAGAGTAGCCAGGATTACAGGTGCCCGCCACCACGCCTGGCTGATTTTTGTATTTTTAGTAGAGACAGGGTTTCACCCTGTTGGCCAGGCTGGTCTCAAACTCCTGATCTCAGATGATCCATCCTCAGCCTCGCAAAGTGCTGGGATTGCAGGCGTGATTCTTGGTGCCTGACTCCAGTGCCATTTTTTATTCACCTGTGTCTAAACAGTTGTCAAATACATCTATTGAATTCTTCCTTCAGTTGTTGTCATTTGGGGATTTAAAATTTCCATTTCAAAACATTGTATATGTTCCAATTATCTTTTTATATTTTTCAGGTTGTCATTAATTTATTGAGTTTGTTAATCACAGAAATTTGGCTTACATAAAAGTAGATTTGAGTTTTCATAAAGACTGTTCCTTTTATAGTTTCTTCTATGCCTATATTTTAGCCTATGAGTTCCAGCTAAAAACTTGAGATTTTAATCAGTAACCCTTCTTTTTGCTGATCTCTGAACTGTGGTTTTATCTACCCATTCTCTTGCAACTGGTTGAAGCTCTGTTCAGCTCCTCAGCCTTTTATGTTTTTGGCCCTAACTTTAGAATAGGCCAAAGCCTTAAGGGAAATAGTGGATCTAAACACTTTGCTTCCCTTATCTTCAGTTTCTAGACACTTCAATTTCTTCTCTTTTTTTAATTATCCTTTAAGTTCTAGGGTACATGTGCACAATGTGCAGGTTTGTTACATATGTATACATGTGCCATGCTGGTGTGCTGCACCCATTAACTTGTCATTTACACTAGGTATATCTCCTAATGCTAACCCTCCCCCCTCCCACCACCCCAAAACAGGCCCTGGTGTGTGATATTCCCCACCCTGTGTCCAAGTGTTCTCATTGTTCAATTCCCACATATGAGTGAGAACATGAGTGTTTGGTTTTCTGTCCTTGCAATAGTTTGCTGAGAATGATGGTTTCCAGCTTCATACATATCCCTACAAAGGACATGAACTCTTCATTTTTTATGGCTGCATAGTATTCCATCGTGTATATGTGCCACATTTTCTTATTCCAGTCTATCATTGTTGGACATTTAGATTGGTTCCAAGTCTTTGCTATTGTCAATAATGCCACAATAAACATACGTGTGCTAGCAGCATGATTTATAATACTTTGGGTATACACCCAGTAATGGGATGGCTGGGTCAAATGGTATTTCTAGTTCTAAATCCTTGAGGAATCGCTGCACTGTCTGCCACAAACGTTGAATTAGTTTATGGTCCCACCAACTGTGTAAAAGTGTTCCTATTTCTCCACATCCTCTCTAGCACCTGTTGTTTCCTGACTTTTTAATGATCACCATTCTAACTGGTTTGAGATGGTATCTCATTGTGGTTTTGATTTGCATTTCTCTGATTGCCAGTGATGATGAGCATTTTTTCATGTGTTTTTGGCTGCATAGCTGTCTTCTTTTGAGAAGTGTCTGTTCATATCCTTTGCCCACTTGTTGATGGGGTTGTTTGATTTTCTCTTGTAAATTTGTTTAAGTTCTTTGTAGATTCTGGACATTAGCCCTTTGGTAGATGGGTAGATTGTAAAAATTTTATCCCATTCTGTAGGTTTCCTGTTCACTCTGATGGTAGTTTCTTTTGCTGTGCAGAAGCTCTTTAGTTTAATTGGATGCTATTTGTCAATTTTGGCTTTTGTTGCCATTGCTTTTGGTGTTTTAGTCATTGAAGTCCTTGCCCATGCCTATGTTCTGAATGGTATTGCCTAGGTTATCTTCTAGGGTTTTTATGGTTTTAGATCTAACATTTAAGTCTTTAATCAATCTTGAATTAATTTTTGTATAAGGTGTAAGGAAGGGATCCAGTTTCAGCTTCTTACAGATGGCTAGTCAGTTTTCCAAGCACCATTTATTAAATTGGGAATCCTTTCCCCATTTCTTATTTTTGTCAGGTTTGTCAAAGATCAGATGGTTGTAGATGTGTGGTAGTATTTCTGAGAGCTCTGTTCTGTTCCGTTGGTCTATATCTCTGTTTTGGTACCAGTACCATGCTGTTTTGGTTACTGTAGCCTTGTAGTATAGTTTGAAGTCAGGTAGCGTGATGCCTCCAGCTTTGCTCTTTTGGCTTAGGATTGTCTTGCCAATGCAAGCTCTTTTTTGGTTCCATATGAACTTTAAAGTAGTTTTTTTCCAATTCTGTGAAGAAAGTCATTGGTAGCTTGATGGGAGTGGCATTAAATATATAAATTACCTTGGGCAGTACAGCCGTTTTCAGGATACTTACTCTTCCTCTCCGTGAGCATGGAATGTTCTTCCATTTGTTTGTGTCCTCTTTTATTTCACTGAGCAGTGGTTTGTAGTTCTCCTTGAAGAGGTCCTTCACATCCCTTGTAAGTTGGATTCCTAGGTATTTTATTCTCTTTGAAGCAATTGTGAATGGGAGTTCACTCATGATTTGGCTCTCTGTTGGTCTGTTATTGGTGTATAGGAATGCTTGTGATTTTTGCTCATTGATTTTGTATCTTGAGACATTGCTGAAGTTACTTATCAGCTTAAGGAGATTTTGGGCTGAGACAATGGGGTTTTCATGTCATCTGCAAACAGGGACAATATGACTTCTTCTTTTCCTAATCGAATACCCTTTATTTCTTTCTCCTCCTTGATTGCCCTGGCCAGGACTTCCAACACTATTTTGAATAGGAGTGGTGAAAGAGGGCATCCCTTCTTGTACCAGTTTTCAAAGGGAGTGCTTCCAGTTTTTGCCTATTCAGCATGATATTGGCTGTAGGTTTGTCATAAATAGCTCTTATTATTTTGAGATACGTCCCATCAATACCTAGTTTATTGAGAGTTTTTAGCATGAATCGCTGTTGAATTTTGTCGAAGGCCTTTTCTGCATCTATTGAGATAATCATGTGGTTTTTGTCTTTGGTTCTGTTTATATGCTGGATTACGTTTATTGATTTGTGTATGTTGAACAAGCCTTGCATCCCAGGGATGAAACCAACTTGATCGTGTTGGATAAACTTTTTGATGTGCTGCTGGATTCAGTTTGCCAGTATTTTATTGTGGATTTTTGCATCAATATTCATCAGGGATATTGGTCTAAAATTCTCTTTTTTTGTTGTGTCTCTGCCAGGCTTTGGTATTAGGATGATGCTGACCTCATAAAATGAGTTAGGGAGGATTCCCTCTTTTTCTATTGATTGGACTAGTTTCAGAAGGAATGGTACCAGCTCCTCTAAGATGTTCTTTGAAATCAGTTAGAACAGAGACACAACGTACCAGAATCTCTGGAACACATATAAAGCAGTGTGTAGAGGGAAATATATAGCACTAAAGGCCCACAAGAGAAAGCAGGAAAGATCTAAAATTGACACCCTAACATCACAATTAAAATATCTAGAGAAGAAAGAGCAAACACTTTCAAAAGCTAGCAGAAGACAAGAAATAACTAAGATCAGAGCAGAACTGAAGGAGATAGAGACACAAAAAAACCTTCAAAAAAATCAATGAATCCAGGAGCTGGTTTTTTGAAAAGATCAACAAAATTGATAGGCGACTAGCAAGACTAATAAAGAAGAAAGGAAAGATGAATCAAATAGATGTAATAAAAAATCATAAAGGAGATATCACCACCGGTCCCACAGAAATATAAACTACCATCAGAATACTATAAACACCTCTACGCAAATAAACTAGAAAATCTAGAAGATATGGATAAATTACTGGACACATACACCCCTCCCAAGACTAAACCAGAAGAAGTTGAATCCCTGAATAGACCAATAACAGGCTCTGAAATTTAGGCAACAATTAATAGCCTACCAACCAAAAGAAGTCCAGGACCAAATGGATTCGCAGACACTTCAATTTCTTGATACCTTGCTAACGCTTTGATGCATTCGCATAGACTTTAATTTTCATTTCTATTTTTTTTCTAGATGGTCTCAGTGGGAGTGTGTCTATGTTAAGCTTATCCATTAAATGCTAAAAGCAAAAAAGTTATATTTCTCACCCAGGTTTTTCGTGATAAACTTCAGTGGGATAGAAAAAAATGTAATGGGTAGAATTTATAACCAATTCTGTCTTGAAGAAGATGAATTTGAGGTATCAATGGGAAACACTAATACAAATTGCCAGATGTCAGTTGGAGACACAATTTGATTTTTCAGTGAGTTTTATGTTGTAGACTTGGGTTGATTCTTAAATCCTGTAAAATGGGTAAATTCTAATAGGAAAACAGCTTTGGAGGGGAAAAAAAGATCTAGAAAAAAGCTCTGTGGAGTTGCAAAAGTTTAGGGTTTAGTGAGAGAAACACTGGTGAGGAAGAAAATGCTAGCAGCAAGCAAAGAGAAAGGAATATAATCCAGAAAATGTTCTGCTCTAAAATCTAAAAGATGAAAAATAATTTAAGAAAGGGAGAATAT
Organism: Homo sapiens; assembly: GCF_000001405.40. Taxonomy (NCBI): domain Eukaryota; kingdom Metazoa; phylum Chordata; class Mammalia; order Primates; family Hominidae; genus Homo; species Homo sapiens. The sequence continues at coordinate 194,610,293 of NC_000001.11, forward strand.
TCAATAGGGAAAAACAGTATTGTGAGTAAGATGAATTCAGAAATGTATCTACTGGGCATGGAGTTATGGAGCTTTTCCATTAGAATTATGGTACAAAACAGAAATGAATGGAGTAAAAGTGAATACCATAATTCCCTTATTTCTAGCAATATTGTGAGCTACAAAACCTTAAAAGCTTCCACCTTAAAACACCAAGTAATATTGTGCACAATATAACACATATCATTTTAAATGCATGACTGCTTTTACAGAACGTAAGAAAAAATTCCTAGAGGCTAGAAACAAAGAAAGCACTGGAAACAAGGCTACGGGTTGAAATTTAAGCTCCTGCTATCAGTCTCTGTAACAAAAAAACTTGCATTTTAAACACTGCATAATAATGTTACAAAATGTAATACATATTAGACAATGTTGAAAATAAATGATACAATTACACAAAACAAACATGAGGTAGAATTAAAACAGAAGTTAGAATAGAATGTTTAGCAAATGCATATATTCAAACGGAAAGACTGAAAATTAATGAGCTAAACGTAGACATAAGAAATAAGAAAAAGATAAATAGAACAAATCTAAAAGGAGTGGGAAAAGAAAATTAAAGAGTTCAAAGACAGAATTAATACATGGAACATAACCTGAGAGAGTCACCGTAGGTAAAAATTGGTTCTTTGAAAACTTGAATAGAAAATTATCTGTCGAGTTTGAACAAAAACAACAACAACAAAAAAAACAGAAAACACAAATGGTATTATGAAATTTAAAGAAATAGGGCAGAATATGAACAACTTTAAAAACAGTAGACATATTGAGAGTTAAATTTCACAACTGAACAATTTCATAGAAAATTTTTAGTTAACAGGAATGATTCATAAGGAATAGGAATCCTAAATGAACATATAGTAATTATAAAATGATGCAGTAATAACCTGCAACAACAATAAAAAATATGCAAAAATAAACTACAGTTTTATAGGAGGTTTTATTAAACATTCTAAGGAAAGATTATTTTACTCTTACACAAACTCTTTAAGATGATAGATTCCAATTTTATTATGATTGTATATCTTTGATTGCAAAACTACCTAGGGAGATGTAAAGATGCAAATTGCAGCCATTTTTACTTAGCAGATATATCAATATGTTAAATAAAACAAAAGCCATATAAATCAACCAAAGTATGAAAAAAATACATATTGATCAAGTTTGGTTGTTTCAAGGAGTGAAAGACTGATTTTACACTGAAAACGCTGTCAATGTAATTTACTATATTGACATAATAAAAAGAACAAAAAAGATTCATCTAAGTAGATGTAGTAGATAATTTAATAAAATTGAAGTCGTTTACGTTTTGAAAATATTATTGGTAGCTATTAGCTACTGATCCACTCTTAGTCAAGTAGCTCCTGGAAGAGCCTCAGTTTCCCTCTCTGAGAACTGCCTCATAGGGTTGTTGTGTGGGTGAAAGGAGAGAATGTGGGTCCAGTGCTTACTCCCAGAAGGTGACACATGGTGGCACCCAGGTAGCCCTAACGCAGGATAGTGAGTGGTGAGTGCCACCTGCTTATGGTAACATAGGAAAAACAGAAATTCTCCTTGGGCGTGATCAGGGAGAGCTATGGAGAAGATGAGTAATGTGCTTGTTTTAAAAGATGCACAGTCTTGGACATTAGCTCTCTTTGGGACCCTAAAAGCGCACTAGTGTTCAGAACATACTGAGGGCACCCTTGTCATCACTGGAGTCACTTTCTGAGTCATCTACATATATTTCCAGAATACACCATCTTCATGACTATCTGAAATGTTTGTGCTACATCTTTTCTTGAATATGTGTATTATGTTGTAATTGGAAACTATAGCCCAACCCTCAAGAACCTATTCATATATCCTTAAATAGGTTTTTAAAAACTACTCTTTGAGTTTTGTGTGGATCTCTCCAATGCAACCACTTACCTTACTATGTTTCATTAAAAATGATTTTTAAAGAACAGTTACTGAAAATGGTTAAGTAGCTGAACAAATGTGAATATATAAAAATGGTTACCTAAGTACTTGTTTGTGAGTCAATCAGAATAACCACTGCAACATGAATAAGTGACAACTTCAGTAAATTAAATTTCTTTACAGAAGTTTATCTCACACAGTGGCACTTTAATTCAAGATAATTTACAGGATTATTTTATATTCCCATTTTTAATTTTTAAAATTCTAGTTTAAATGCCCCACAATTTACAGTACAATTTTTGCATTAATTATTTCATTTACATTGAATAAATGTTGCTTACTGTTATTTGTCTCTAACTTGCTTTTTACAGGAATCTTTAAAGGGCCTGCTTACAGTGACTTAAAATACTTAGAATTGTGGAATCTAGACTTTGGTTAGCAGTTACTAAGTCTGATAATATATTTCTCCCTTTTTATTGTTGCCAAAAGCAGCATTGTTTGTCTTTAGAAGCAAATGTATCTTTCCCAAACGGCATTTATTTTTCATTTTTATTTATTTTTAATGGACAAATAAGAACTTTTTATATTGATAGTATGCAACATGATGTTTTCACATATGTATATATGGTAGCATGGCTAAATCATGCTAATATATCAATGACCTCGCATGCTTATTACTGTTTTTTGGTGAGAACACTTGAAATCTCACATCAATTTTCAAGTATATAGTACATTATGATTAACTATAGTTACTATGCTATGCAATAGCTCTCCTTAATTTATAAATATTTGTCCTATTTTAATTTGTTCAAAAAATATAATCTGGAAGATAAAAATATACACATATATATATTTGATTAAGCAAGGAAATCCCCAATTATTACAATAGCTGTTGGCTGAGAGTTTATAGATACTCCATATATAATGTCCAAATACTAAAACCTTTTCCTTTAAAAACATAAATCAATTAGGAAGTTTAGATTATCACTTCTATTAATTATTGTCCTACAAGTCTTCCTAGCACGGTAAGACAGAAAGAGTAGAAAGATTAATAAGTCTGAAGCAACAAAATCATTATTTTCAGTGTATCTTTCTTTTTTCACATGAAACATAAGAAAATATAGACACATTTTTTTCCGGATTAGTCATGTTACTGGATATATGACCACATACTAAGATAAACTTCATTTTTATATACTAGTGTCAGATAATTATGAAATGTAATTATACAAAATATATTTATAATAGTAGCAAAGAGTAAAAGTAATGAGAAACAGATCTATCAGAATGTATTTTCATAAGCATAATTATAAACAATAGGGATCCCAGGGACATTCCAATACATATATAGAAACAACATATTAAAATATTAACATTCCAGATCTTGAAGTACCATTCAAGAAATAATTTGAGACAAATGACTGTATTCACAACTATTTATCCTACATACTAAAAACTGGTCTAGAATTTAATGCTTAAATATGAAAGTCAAATTATTTATACACACACACACACACACACGTATAAAGATGCTTGACAAATTACCCGAAAGGAGAGAGATTTTTCACAGCACACAAAGTGAAAACAACAAAAGAAATGATTAATAAATTTAATTACATTCATATTAAAGGCTTCTGATTATGGAAAATACAAGTTTCAGTCTCAACGTTGTTGTCTACTTATATAAATTATAATAAATTAATATTTAGATTTTCATTGTATAAGAAGAGTATATATTAAAGTCACAATATCTTAATGAATTGTAGCTGGGTAACAGAAACCCTTCAGTGAAGAATCATACACTAATAAGCAAAAGAAAACGAGAAACGCTCTTGGATAATTTCTGCTGTCACATTTTGGGCCTCATGAAATGAATCCTGGATATGCGATTGAGTTGAAAGTTATTGACTGCCATTTTATTCATTTTTTCAATCGCTGATGAGCAAAACACTCAGGTGCCAACAATAGGCTATAAGGTAGCTGAAGTTTACTTTTGGTACAAATAACATATGAAAGCCGATTTATATGCTGTAGTGGCAAGGATCTGAGTTTCACTCCACTGTAAACGATTGAGTAAAACATGAAATCTACCTAGCAGAAATTTTTATTTCTAGTTTGTATTACTCTATGAATGACACGGTGGGATTTTTATGTATGTATTTATTTATTTTTAAGACAGGGCCTCACTCTGTCACCCAGGCTAGAGTGAAGTGGTGTGATCTTGGCTCACTGCAACCTCTGCTTTCTGGGCTCAAGCGATTCTCCAGCCTCAGCCTCCGGAGTAGCTGGGAGTACAGTTGTGTGCCACCACACCCACCTAATTTTTTGTATTTTTAATAAAGACAGGGTTTCACCATTTTGGCCAGGCTGGTCGAGAACTCCCGGGCTCAAGTGATCTTCCCAAAATGCTGGGATTATAGGCATGAGCCACCATGCCTGACCCCCCACAGTGACATTTTTAATACTTCATGTTTTCATCATAAATTCTTCTCTTAAAAATTCTATTGCTGCCGACACAGATGCAGAAATAACTTCACTCAACCTTTTAGTAGATTATACATTATGGGTTAAGCAAAGATTTTTACAATGTTGAATATTGCAAGAAAACTGATTTATAGATATATTCTTAATTTTCAAATAAGGATGAGATAATTTCCATGTTAATTCATTCAACCACCATTTAATGAAGGGGAAAAATAAGTTTTAGAAATTCATTGATCCTGATTTCCATCAATATTTAACATATTTTGACATGGATGGAAAGCTATAGCCTAAGATAACATAAATAACAAGCTGACATATGTAAGGGTTATAGAGAGATAAAACGCATAATTACATAATTGTGAAAAAAAATATTGTGATAGCTATCATTAATAGCCAGTTAGTCTCTCAGGAAATTATAACAGTGAGACAGAAGTGCAAGTTGAGAGCTTCCCCCCAAGACAGGAAAAAATAAATTAAGAAAGTAACAATAGAAAAAGTAATTGATGTGGAAAATATCATAAATTAAAACCTCAAAGAATATATTTTTCAAAATAAGAGTACGTTGAGCATGATCTGAATCTAAAACTGGAGCATTTACATTGGTCTTAAAATATTTAATGAAAAAGACAAACACATATAAAAGTATAGAAGGGATAATGTCATATTTTAAATATAAAGAGCAAACCTAAAACCGATCCATGAAATAAAATCAGATTGTTTCAAAAATTGTCTTATCTGCATAATCTGTATATTTCTGAAGATTAATCAGAAAAATATTTTAAACTTTTAGATTAAAAATCTACATTCCAATGTTTATACTAAATATTAAACCAGTTTTGTACATTTGTGTTTGAACATAAGTGAAGCTAAAATAGGCACAGTATTCATGCACATGAAAGTATGCAAGAAGCAATGTATTTCAGTATCTGTCTAAATAAAATATTCAATAATAATTTTTCAATAGGTTTTGTACAGCAATAAAGAACTCTCAGGATTCTAAAAGTCTTACAGTGAATACCTAAAAACTAGTGTGTTGCCTGTTTTATATTAGTCTAAGGAATCAAAAAAAGTATATTTTTCAAGAAGCTTGTGAAACGATACAAGCCAGATCAAAACTAAGTACATATTATAGAGAATTCAAATACACAAGATAGGTTCATAAAGCCCTCCAAATTGGTAGTACATTGGATACAATAAATTTAGTAAGCTATTAACATATTAATCATCAAAATAAACTGAGGTTAATGGGGAAATCAAAATTTTAATACAAGAGTTCGTCTGTAAGTCAAATACAAAAGCAACAATATATTATAAAGAAACCCAGACACTGACTTCATCACCACATCAAGCTAGCACATACTCCAGACTCCAGAGCTCACTATTCGTCTGCACATGCCAGTGCCCACTGTAGGTTGGCACACACCTATGCTTTAGACTCCAGTTTCCCAAATGTTTGACAGGCACCCACATACTGTACATGGTTATTAATGCATCAGTGGGGGTACTTGTACACTAGGTGCTGGTGCCACTGCTACCCCAGAACCCAGAGTCTTAGTCTCTTTGTGCATGACCATGCTTCACACCCTGGTTCCATGGTCACTCCACAAGCACTATGCATAAAATACTAGTGCCACCACCACTGCGAGTATGCTTTAAAGCCAGATCCAGTGCTGAGAGGAACTCCCTTGGTCATAATTTCCTTGGTGGGAAGAAAAGAGATCAGGACAACCCCAGCAGCCATTACTACTGAAGACCCAACAGCCCTCACTGCCCCTGTGCATACCCACAGCCTTGGCTGCTGAGATTTCCTTCAGTCTTCATGAATATCTACCACAGCTGACAGAGCTATATGGAGATTACACATATGCACCTTCACTAGAGTCAGAACTGCCACCCAGCCAGTGCCTTCATACCCACTCATGGAGGAAAGTCTTTCTCCACCAAAACCGATTCAAAAATCTTGAAGATAAGGGCCAGGCACAGTGGCTCATACCTGTAATCCCAGCACATTGAGAGGCAGAGGCGGGTGTGTGTCTGGAATTGGTTTCTTTCAGTGGGTTCTTGGTCTTTCTGACTTCAAGAATGAAGCCGCGGACCCTCACGGTGAGTGTTACAGTTCTTAAAGATGGTGTGTCTGGAGTTTGTTTTTTCAGATGTTCGGATGTGTCTGAAGTTTCTTCCTTCCAGTGGGTTCGTGGTCTCGCTTGACTTCAGGAGTGAAGCCACAGACCTTCGCAGTGAGTGCTACAGCTCTTAAAGGTGGCACGTCCGGAGTTGTTTGTTCTTCCCAGTGGGTTTGTGGTCTCACTGACTCCAAGAGCGAAGCCTCAGATCTTTGCAGTGAGCGTTACAGCTCATAAAGGTAGTGCAGACCCAAAGAGTGAGCAGCAGCAAGATTTACTGTGAAGACCAAAAGAACAAAGCTTCCATGGTGTGGAAACAGATCCAAGCCAGTGCAACTGCTAGCTAGGGTGGCCAGCTTTTATTCCCTTATTGGCCCTGCCCACGTCCTGCTGATTGGTCCATTTTACAGAGCGCTGATTGGTCCATTTTATAGAGTGCTGATTGGTCCGTTTTTACAGAGTGCTGATTGGTGCGTTTACAATCCTCTAGCTAGACACAGAGCGCTGGTTGGTACGTTTTTATAGAGTGCTGATTGGTGTGTTTACAAACCTTTGGCTAGACAGAGAGCACTGACTGGTGCATTTAAAAACCTTTAGCTAGACACAGAATGCTGATTGGTGCATTTTTACAGAGAGCTGATTGGTGCGTTTACAAACCTTTAGCTAGACACAGAGTGCTGATTGGTGCGTTTACAAACCTTTAGCTAGACACAGAGTGCTGATTGGTGCATTTTTAGAGAGTGCTGATTGGTGCATTTACAAACCTTTAGCTAGACACAGAGCACTGATTGGTGTGTTTACAATCATTTAGCTAGACAGAAAAGTTCTCCAAGTCCCCACCTGACCCAGAAGCCCAGCCAGCTTCACCTCTGAGGTGGATCACTTGATGTCAGGAGTTCAAGACTAGCCGTGTAAAAATGGTGAAACCCTGTCTCTGCTAAAGATGAGAAGTGAAGCCAGCTGGACTTTCTGGGTCGAGTAGGGACTTGGAGAATGTTTCTGTATTACAAGAGATTTGTAAAATGCATCAATCAGTGCTCTGTAAAAACACACCAATCAGTTCTCTGTAGCTAGTTAGAAGTTTGTAAAATGGACCAGTCAGCACACTGTAAAATGGACCAATCGGCACTCTGTAAAATGGACCAATCAGCACTCTGTAAAATGGACCAATTGACAGGACATGGGCGGGGACAAATAAGGGAATAAAAGCCGGCCAACCCAGTCAGCAGCAGCAACCCGCTTAGGTGCCCTTTCACGGTATGGAAGCTTTGTTCTTTCGCTCTTTACAATAAATCTTGCTGCTGCTCACTCTTTGGGTGTGTGTCATCTTTAAGAGCTGTAACACTCACCGTGAAGGTCCTTGGCTCCATTCTTGAAGTCAGCAAGACCACAAACCCACCAAAAGGAACCAACTCCAGACATAAAAATACAAAAATTTGTGTGTGTGGTGGTGCATGCCTGTAATCCCAACTGCTCAGTAGACTGAGGCAGTAGAATCACTTGAAACTGGGAGGCAGAGGATGCAGTGAGCCAAGATCATCCTGGTGCATTCCAGCCAGGCAATAGAGCAAGACCATGTCTCTCACACACACAAAATTTAAACTTGAAGATATGATTTCTCCTTTAAAAATGCAGACATCAACACAAGGCAACAAGACATAAAAAAATAAGAAAACGTGCCACCACCAAAATAATACAATTTTCTAGTCACTAACACCAAGAAAATGGAGATCTCTAAATGCTTAATAAAGACTTCAAAAAAATTGTTTTAAGGAAGCTCAGCAAACTACAGGGAAACACAGAGAGATAATTCAAAGAGACCAGGAAACAGTACACAAAGTTAAAAGTTTGAGATTGAAATAATAAAAAAACACAGATATTCTGCAATTGAAACAATGAATAAAATGAAAAATGTGACAGGGAGTGTCAATGGCATAATTGATAAAGCAGAATAATCTGTAAATTTAAACAAATATTTGAAAATGTGTGGTCAGAGGAGAAAAATATAGAAAGATTAAAAAGAAATGAAGGAAGCCTACAGGATTTATTATACAGCATCCTGAAAGCTAACATCTGCATTGTGAAATTTCAGAATGATAAGAAGGAGAGAAGGGACTTAAAATTTATTACAAGAAATGATGGCTAAAAATTTCCCAAATCCAGGCATGGAAATCTTAAAATTATTCAATTAGAATCTTAAAAGTATTCAACTAGACTCAACCCAAGCAGATCAAACCCATACTGTCCAAGGATCAATTGTGTGTGTGTGTGTCTGTGTGTGTGTATGTGCATACACACATACATACATCTATATACAAATATGATACATACATATATACATACACATATACACACATATAAACATGTATATATTCCATATATGTATATATAATGGAATATAAAAAAATGAAAATCTTTTCATGTGGATGAAACTTGATGACATTATGCAAATTGAAATAAGCCAGTCAAAAACAGACAGATATTTCCGGATCTTACAAATGTATGAAATCTAAAGCTTGAACTATGAAATACAGAGTAGAATGGTGGTTACCTGGCATTGGGGAGGGATGAGGAGATGTCAGTCAAAAGTACAAAGTATCGGACAGGCGCGGTGGCTCACATCTGTAATCCCAGCACTTTGGGAGGCCGAAGTGGGTTGATCATGAGATCAGGAGATCGAGATTATCCTGGCCAACATGGTGAAACCCCATCTCCACTAAAAGTACAAAAATTAGCCGGGCATGGTGGCACGTACCTGTAGTCCCAGATACTTGGGAGGCTGAGGCAGGGAAATCTCTTGAACCCAGGAGGCGGAGGTTGCAGTGAGCCGAGATCGCGCCACTGCATTCCAGCCTGGCGACAGAGCAAGACTCCATCTCAAAAAAAAAAAAAGTATCAGCCATAAAGTATCAGATTGGTCATACAGGAGGAATAAATTTTAGAGACATACTGTATACCATGATGACTAAAGTTAATAATGATGTATTGTATACTTGGAAATTGCTAACAGAGTACATCTTAAATGTTCTTACCACAACAAAATGATAAGAATGCAAGGTGATGGATATGTTACTTTGATTTAATCATTTAAAAAGTATTTATGTTTCAAAACATTATATTGTACACTATAAATACATAAAACTTGTATTTATCAATGATAGCTTAATAAGGCTGAGAACATTTACAAAAATAATAAAGAAAATAAATTTCATAAAGTCTACTCAGCCCAATTAAATATGTTTAAAACTAAAATGTAAAGTACACTTTTTAAATGTTGAAATAAATAGTCTATACTTAAAAACATCATACATATAGTGAAAATTGAAGAAAACATAAGGTAGGCTCATTGTTTTATATAATTTGACTACGTAATTTGAATTTTATTATACAAATATTTTAATACATTCCCTTTTATTTTATTTTTTATTTCCCACTCCACATTTTCCTCAATGTTATCTCTTCATTCCATCTCATCTGGACAAGTTATGCTCATAATCTGATGTGTGTTTTTTCAAACAATGAAGTAAAGTATGTGTCTAGATTTACCTTAATCTCTGTTTTGTTTTTGTTTTTGTTTTGTTTTGTTTTTAATTTACTACATTGTCTGAAAATTTACCACTACCACGTATTTGTTTCAATTAGAGTTCAGACAGAGAACAAAGATCATAGCAGCTATTTTAACAAAGATAATTTAATATTAATAACCATTAACTAAGCAGATAGAATTGTGAATTTATCAAGAAAAACAGGAGAGAGAGAGGGAGAATATTAGCATATTACAGAAGTAGCAAGGATTGAAATCAGCTAACACTCTTAAGCCTAGGGAAATGAAGGAATTATGTTGAAATTATCAAGGATTAAGATCTTAGAAGAGGGACTACGTGGAGGCCAGTGTTGTCTGAGTTTGCAGGAAGGTCATTTGGAGCTGGAACCAGGCCTACAAAGAGATTTCCAGAGGGATGATTCTGAAATCCCTGAGAAGGCTGAGCCTGATTTCTGAGTTTTAGCAAAACTCCAAATTGTACTCAATTGTTGATACAAAAATGAACTCTGACACCAGGAAAAAAATATGTAAACATGTAGAAAAATCAACAGAAACATGGTGATATATAGTCAGCAAACGGGATAAACAAGAGGGATTAAGTTCCCTATTGACCAACTCAAGAGGGAGAGACCTGTAGAAAACCAGAAATGTAGTTTGTGGAGCAGCAGCCCTCAAATCATAAAGTAGACAGCAGGAGTTTCATTTTGGAGCTGAGAGGCAAAATCATAATAAATATTACTTTCCCTCTTTTTGCATGCCCAGCATCCATGAATATCTTTCCATTATAAAAACAAGCCAACAATTCTTTCCTTACTTCTGACTTCTCTTTGGCAAGAAGAAATGAGAAACAGTATTCACAGCTCTAACTTCCGAACTGCAAGGATTTATTTCAATTCTCTTCTTCAGGAACACCTGTAAATGAGTCTGTGATGTTGCCAATTGTTCACATCTTGTTGGTACTACTAAATAGGGCAGAACTGTGTGTAAAATACGCCACAGTTATTTCCTCCTCTACTGGTCATAATGTCTTCCCCATGAGCCCATCAATGTCTATTGAGTGAAAGGATGTAAGCATCAGGAGTCAGTCTAGCCACCTGCTATGACCTTTCAGACCTACTGAAGCCCAATCGCTTCTATGCCAATGGTACCAATAATAAATTGCTCCTGCAAATGACAAACCTTATGGTTTCATTGGTCAGATGGCACCCAGTTACTGTGGATCACTTTACATTCCATGAATAGGCTTTCAGTTTTTTACCGTGGCCCAATAGTAAGTAAAGATCTTTTACTCCAAAGAGAAATGGTTATCTGCAGAAGTGTGCATGGATTATTTCCAAAATCCTAAAAGTTTACACTGTGATCCTTTATTGGTGCTTGTTAGAGGCTCCAGATAGCATTCTTATTTGCTAAAGACACTTCAAGTAACGTCGGATCTGCTGATCCAGGTCTGGACTTTCTGCAAAGCCTTCTGTTGTTCTGTAACCTCCTGAAACCCCTAAGCATTCCTTGACAAATGAGTAAGGGAAATCCATTCGAATGTGGTATATATTGCCTATCCAATCTAAAAATAGCACATAGTGTACTGCTTTAATTTTAATTAGTTTTGCAAGATGTAGTACCTAGCTTCTAAATGATGTTGGTAGTCCTCTTACTGATTTATTTCTAAGTGTATTAATGAAGGAAATGTTCTGTGGGTTTTCTAGATAGATTTAGTATAGAGGGTTTGGTCTATAAGTTACGTAACAAATCCACTTCAATATTCCTATCTTCCTAAGCCTTTGGTCTACTTCCTCTACATGATATCAGAAAAAAATCTAGCGTCTATACTCCATTTAACATATGCATCCATTGAATCCACAATTCAGGCAACCAACCAAGGAAACCATTATGACTGCATGTAACTTCATGAGCAAACACTTTATATTCACAATCATCAATAAGATGTGCATGTATATTAATAAATTTAATTAGATTTGATACTATATTCCATCATCTTTAGGCTCTTATAATCCATTCCATACATATTCCTCATGATTCTTTTGATATAAATTCATAAAATCTTGCAATTATTTTGGTGTATTATTTTATTTTGAGTAAAACCTTTAATTCCCCACACTCCCGCCACCCCAGACATACTAATACCTGACTTTTTCATTCTGTCAACAAGGAATGGTTGGAGTTTGTCTTGAAGAGAATAGGCTTTCCCTTGGAAGGCAATTACTCACAGTAAAGTTATCATAGAGCCTTTATGTAAAATAAAGTGAGTGTCCTCAGAATGGGTAGAATAAAGGAAGGCTGCTTTGAGTGACAAAAGTGGCTTCTAATGACACAGAATTCTAGTTTTTTCCAAATCAATGCTCTCATCTTCCTATGAGAGACTTAATAAGGCGGTAAATTCAACTGATACGGTAATTTTCAACCCACATAATAAAATATTTAGTCGATTTCCAGCAATATTGGTCCAGGGGCTATAAAATAAGAGATTATTTTTCGCTGATTTGGTTGGTTAATGGCCTACACTTGTAAAAGAAAAACAAAATATAAAAATCTTACTCTTTGATTTTCACCTTATCAACAGATTTATTCCAATTTTATTTCTAAAGAAAAAAACTTTTATTTTGCCTTATTTTTAGTTTCTCCTTATTCATATTTTCATTTATTTCTCTTTGGATACACAATTAAGTTTTATAGTTAACAGTACAAAAATAGGTAATATTTGGAACATACTTTCAACCAAATAAGGCAAAAATGTTTTACTAACCTTGTAAATTAGAAATCCAGATTTGGAGGGAGTTTAATTCCAGGAACCGAACAACAATTTCATAGAATACTTTATTATTTTGTACACACAAAACGTTTACATCAAATATATAACAATAAAGACAACCTTATATTTATCAGATTAGCAAAATATAACTTGAATGGTTTCAAATACTGAAGAAAACTGAAAAAATGGGAACTCTCTTGTCCCATTGAAGAGAATAGAAAGAATTCTAAAAAGCCTTCTTGCATGCATTTAAACATAAATAAAAATGTAAGCTTGATGAATTGGTATGTATGTTGTATCAGGCAGTATGTGTTATTTTGGGTCTGTATATGAGTATAGAGTTACTGTTAGGATCTTTGGGCAAAGATGAATACAAGCAAGTGGAATAAAATTTAAGGTAATTAAGATATTTCAATAATATTTAATAGAATTGGGAAAATGTACAAATGAAGGATAAAATAAGAGGAGAAATGTACAAACATATCAGTATATTTTGTACATATTAAATTTATCTGGAAATATTTACTTAAGAGTTCTAAAAGAACTACATGTTTTAAAAGATCTCAATATCTAATAAAAACTCAAATAGACTAATGCCGGGTTTAATGTATTTGCATGGAGAGTCTTTGTTTTGAAGAGCAATTAAACCTCTCAAGTGCTTGACTTCCAAGAGATGAGACCACACAGACACGTATTAAATATGTCATAAGATTTTTTCTGTAGTATTTTATTTTTGCTTGTCTTCTACTATTTTGCTTTGTATTTCTTATCTCTTCCAAAAGGATAACAATGCTTTGGATGATGTTAAAATAAATATAGGTTCATGCAAAATTATATTACTATAAAAGCCCTGCAAGGTAATATCTGAAAATGTTATTATTTCTTGAAAAGTATTAAGCTATCTGATATGACAGCATTTAAGTAAAGGGCAAATGGTTGTAAACATTAATTAACTTAAGCTAAAAAATGTGAGATTAAATTTGCAAGAATAAATACATTCAAATAAAACCTTGCATTTCAAGAATATTTGATCCTATTAATCATGTGTTGTTAACAAAAGCTGAACAGAAACTCATTTTAATTTTTATTTCAGATCTTTAAAAGTTCGTGGAAGACTAGTCACAAAGAATTTTGTTTCCTCTTATGGATCTCAAAAAATGAAAGTTCATTTTATACACAAAATTCACATAATTCACAACAAGCATATTACTTGGCCAATAATAAACAAAAAAGTAGGTGAGCAACTGTAAAGTTATGATAATTTGCTTATATCATTTGTAATTATATTTCCCATGTTGTTCTAGATTTTTTTTAGTGTTACACCAGAGGTTTATAAATTGATTATATCCACTTCATTCAAAATCACATTATGGAAAATACTTGTGTATATCAAAGAAATTATAAAATAGAAGGTTTATAATATAGAACATCTTTTCATTAAAAACCTAAAACATGATTTATTTAAAGGTGAGTTTGAATTAATAAAATATGCAATACATACGAATGAATTTAACCAAATATAGAAACTTTAAGAATCTAAATATAAGTCCATTGTTTTCCCCTCTGGTGCCCTGCTGGGGAGACTTAGTGGTCTGTACCAGGGGGAATTCCCTCACAGCCAGCATAGCGACAGGGGCAGATCATGGCAAGACTGCTTCTTTAGGTGGGGCCTGGATATATCCCTCCTCACTGGGTGATGCCTCCCAGCAGGAATTTCAGCAACTCCAGCCAGGGGTTTAGGGACAGAACTCTGATTTCCCTGGGATGGAGCCCCAGTGGGGGCGGGGGTGGGGGCAGCTTCAGTCTCCTGTTTAAGGACTTAGTCGTTCCAGCCCGCTGGCTCTGAGGAGTCCAGGAAGTCCAAGCAAGTGGGATTCCCCACAGCACAGTGCGCCTCCTCCACCAAGGGGCAGCCAGATTACTTCTTCAAGCAGGTCCCTGATCCTGTGCCTCCTGACTGGGTGAGACCCTCCAACAGGGGTCAGTGGGTACCTCATACAGGGGAGTGTCCAAAGTCATCACCTTGGTGCCCCTCTGGGACAGAACTCCCAGAGGAAGGAGCAGGAAGTCATCTTTGCTGTTCTCCAGCCTCCACTTGTGATACCTCCAGGTGCAGGAAGGACCGTGGCAAATAAGGTCTAGAGTGGACCCCCAGCAAACTGCAGCAACCCTGCGGAAGAGGGGCCTGACTGCTAAAAGGAAAACAAATGAAAAGCAGCAACAACAGCAACAGCATCAACAAAATAATACTCTACGCAAAATCCATCCAAAGGTCAGCAGCCACAAAGACCAAAGGTAAATAAACCCATGAACATGAGAAAAAAATCAGTGCAAAAAATACCAAAAATTCAAAAAGGCAGAGTGCCTCTTCTCCTCTAAATGATCGCCACATCTCTCCAGCAAGGGCACAGAACTGGGCTGAAGATGACATGGATGAATCAACAGAAGCAGGCTTCAGAACGTAGGTAATAATGAACTTCACTGAGCTAAAGAAGTATGTTCTAACTCAATGCAAAGAAGCTAAACCCATGATAAAACATTACATGAGTTGTTAACCAGAATAACCAGTTTAGAGAGGAACACAAATGACCTGACGGAGCTGAAAGACAAAACATGAGAACTTCACAATCCAATGAAAATTATGACTAGCTGAATAGACCAAGTAGAGGAGAGAATCTCAGAGCTTGATGACCATCTTGCTGAAATAAGACAGGCAGACAAAATTAGAGAAAAAGAATGAAAAGGAACGAACAAAACCTCGGAAAATATGGGATTATGTAAAAAACCGAACCTACGACTGACTGGGGTACCTGAAAGAGACAGAGAGAATGGAATAAAGTTGGAAAATATACTTCAGGATATCATTTAGGAGAACTTCCCCAACCTAGCAAAACAGGCCAACATTCAAATTCAGGAAATGCAGAGTACTCCAGTAAGATACTCCATGAGCAGATCAACCTCAAGACACATAATCATCAGATTTTCCAAGATTGAAATGAAGTAAAAAATGTTAAGGGCAGCCAGAGATAAAGGCCAGGTCACCTATAAAGGGAAGACTATCAGATTAATAGCAGCACTCTCAGTGGAAATCCTACAATTCAGAAGAGATTGGGGGTCAATATTCAACATTCTTAAAGAGAAGAATTTCCAAGCCAAAATTTCATATCCAGCCAAACTAAGCTTCCTAAGCAAAGAAGAAAAAAAGAACTCTTTTCAGATGAGCAAATGCTGAGGGAATTCATCAACTCTAGGCCTGTCTTAGAAGAGCTGCTGAAGGAAACACTGACTATGGAAAAGAAAGACCGTTACCAGCCACTACAAAAACACATTGAAGTATAGAGACCAATGACACTATGAAGCAACTACAATAACAAGTCTCCAAAACAGCCAGTCTCATGATGACAGGATTAGATTCACACATAAGAGTATTATCCTTAAATGTAAATGGGCAAAATGCCCCAAGTAAAAGACACAGAATGGCAAGCTGGGTAAAGAGTCAAGACCTATTGGTGTGCTGTATTCAAGACACCCATCCTACATACAAAGACACACATAGGCTCAAAATAAACAGATGAAGGAAAATTTAGCAAGCAAATAGAAAGCAGTAAAAAGCCAGGATTGCAATACTAGTTCTGACAAAACAGACTTCACACCAACAAAGATTATAAAAGACAAAGAAGGGCATTAAATAATGGTAAAGGTTTCAGTTCAACAAGAAGAGCTAACTATCCTAAATATATATGCACCCAATACAGGAGCACCCAAATTCATAAAACAAGTTCTTGGAGTCCTACAAAGAGACTTAGACTGCCATACAATAATAGTGGGAGACTTTAACACCTCACTGTAAATGTTAGACAGATCATCGAGACAAATAAATAACAGATACTCAGGACTTGAACTCACCTCTGGATGAAGGTGGCCAACACCAACAACAGATAAGCAAAGAACCAAATCATGAATCAATTCCATTCACAATTGCTACAAAGAAAATAAAATACCTAGAAATACAGCTAACAAGAGAAGTGAGAAAACTCTTCAAAGAGAACTACAATTTTACCAGAGGTAAAATTCAAAGAGAAGCTGGTAGTATTTCTTCTGAAATTATTCCAAACAACAGAAAATGAAGGAATGCTCCTTAACTCATTTTATGAAGTCAGCACCATCTTGTTATGAAAACCTGGCAGAGATACAACGAAAGAAAACTTCAGGCCAATATTCCTGATGAACACTGATACAAAAATCCTCAGTAAACTCCTGGCAAACTGAATCCAGCAGCACATGAAAAAGCTCATCCACCATGATCAAGACAGCTTCATCCCCAGGATGCAAGGCTGATTCAACATATGCAAATCCAACAAGCATAATTCATCGCATAAACAGGTCTAAGGACAAAAACCACAGGATTATCCAAATAGATGCAGACAAGACCTTCCATAAAATTTAACATCTCTTAATGCTAAATACTCTCATTAACTAGGTATTAATGGAACATACCTCAAAATAATAAGATCTATTTATGACAAACCCACAGCTAATATCATACTCAATGGGCAAAAGCTGGAAGCATTCCCCTTGAAAACTGGCATAAGACAAGGATGCTCTCTCTCACCCCTGCTATTTATCATAGTATTGGAAGTTCTGGCTAGGGCAATCAGGCTAGAAAAAGAAATAAATGGTATTCGAATAGGAAGAGAGAAAGTCATATTGTCTTTGTTTTCAAATTACATCTTCCTATATCTAGAAAACCCCGTCATCTGAGCCCAAAAGATTTTAAGCTTATAAGCAACCTCAACAAAGTCTCAGGATACAAAATTGATGTACAAAAATCTCAGGCATTCTTATACACCAACAACAAATAAGCAAAGAACCAAATCATGAATGAACTCCGTTCAAGTTGCTACAAAGAAAATAAAATACCTAGAAATACAGCTAACAAGGGAAGTGAGAAAACTCTTCAAAGAGAACTACAACCCACTCTTCAAGGAAATCAGAGAGGACAAAAACAAATGGAAAAACACTCCATGTTCATGGGTAGGAAGAATTAATATCGTGAAAATGGCCATACTGCCCCAAGTAATTTATAGATTCAATGCTATTCCCATTAAACTACCAGTGACATTCTTCACAGAATTAGAAAAAAAGTACTTTAAAATTCATATGGAACCAAAAAAGAGCCCGTATAATCAAGACAAATCAAAGCAAAAAGAACAAAGCTGGAGGCATCATGCTACCTGACTTCAGACTATACTACAAAGCTACAGTAACCAACACAGCATGGTCCTGGTACAAAAACAGACACATAGCCCAATGGAACAGAGTAGAAGATTCAGAAAAGAATACTGCACATCTACAACCATTTGATCTTCGACAAACCTGACAAAAACAAGCAATGGGGAAAGGATATCTTATTTATTAAATGATGCTGTAAAAAGCGGCTAGCCATATGCAGAAAACTGAAGCTGGACCCCTTTGTTACACCTTATACAAAAATTAACTCAAGATGGATTACGGACCTAAATGTAAAACCCCAAATCATAAAAACCTAGAAGAGATGGATTACAGACCTAAATGTAAAACCCCAAATCATGAAAAACCTAGAAGATAATCTAGGCAACAGCATTCAAGACATAGGCACAGGCAAAGATTTCATGATGAAAACATCAAAAGCAATTGCAACAAAAGCAAAAATTGACAAATAAGATCTAATTAGACTAAAGAGCTTTGATACAGAAAACTATCATTAGAGTGAACAGGCAACCTACAAAATGGGAGAAAATTTTTGCAAACTATCCATTTGACAAAGGTCTAATATACAGAGTCTCCAAGGAACTTAAACAAATTTATATAAAACAAACAAACAAAAAAGAACAACTCCATTAAAAAACGGATTAAGGACATGAACAGACACTTCTCAAAAGAAGACATATTTGTGGCCAACTAATATATGAAAAACCTCAACATCACTGATCATTAGAGAAATGCAAATCAAAACCACAATGAGATACCATCTCACATCCATCAGAATGGCAATTACTAAACATTCAAGAAACAACATGCTCATGAGTCAGTGGAGAGATAGGAATGCTTTTACACTTTTGGCGGGAATGTAAATTAGTTCAACCATTGCTGAAGACCATGTGGCCATTCTCAGAGACCTAGATTCAGAAAGTCCATTTGACCCAGCAATCCCATTACTGGGTATATACCCAGAGGAATATACATTATTCTATTATAAAGGTGCATGCATGTGTATGTTCATCACAGCACTATGCACAATAGCAAAGACATGGAATCAACATAAATGCCCATCAATAATAGACTGGATAAAGAAAATGTGGTGCATATACAGCATGAAATACTATGCAGCCATACAAGGAAAGACATCATGTCCTTTGCAGGGACATGGATGGAGCTGGAAGCCATTATCCTCAGCAAACTAACACAGGAACAGCAAATCAAATACTGCATGTTCTCACTCACAAGTGGGAGCTGAACATTGAGAAAACATGGACACAGGGAGTGGAACAACACACACTGGGGCCTTTCTGCGGGGGTATGGGGGAGGGAGAGCATCAGGAATAATAGCTAACGCATGCTGGGCTTCATACTTAGGTGATAGGTTGATAGGTGCAGCAAACCACCATGGCAAATATTTACCTATGTAACAAATCTGCACATCTTAGGCATGTACCAAGGAACTCAAAATAATTAAAAAAAAATTAAGAAATTGATAAGAAAGAAGAAAGGAAGGAAGGAGGGAAGGAGGGAAGGAGGGAAAGAGGGAAGGAGGGAAGGGGAAGGAAGTCGTGAAGAAACATCACCCATTACAATAAATTACCCAGGAACAGAACCTCAATATAAAAATGCTGTTGGATCATCTGGCCTCTCTTTTGCTCTTCTGATCTTCCTTCTGCCCTTTGGTAACCACACTAGGTCAGGTATTTTTGTGTGTGGTTGGAAAAAAAAAAAGAATCTAAATATAGAGCCTCACAAACAACAGATATATGTAAAATACATATATAAATATTATAACATAAAAGGTTTCATGGTAGATTAGCTTTAACTCTTCTAATTTGACAGACTTTATGATGATTCCATTTTTAAGCAGAACCTTGTCAGTATTTGTTGTGGGTCAACAGTTTTTTCCCACACTTCTCTACCTCAAAACTATATCCTTCCTGTTTAGATCATTTATAACTGGATTTAATGGGAGTGAAAATCCAAATTATATGAGGCAACATCAAATATCCAAATGAAATATGTATGAGAATGTTATATAATGATTTAAGAAAAATTAATGTTACTAAATATTTGATGTTTACTTGAAAACATGTTACAATCAAAATTGTGCAAAATGATTGCAGATAAGCACCACTAGTGTCATATGTGTAGATCTGAAATAGGTTTTTTGTTTTTAGAAAAACTATGAAGTCAAGTAATAATTGCATACAAACAGTCCCCAAAACTCTCTTTCTACAACTTAGATTTTGCTTTGCATACTGGCCAACGTTCAGTAGAAAGTGCTTAGGGTGGAAGAGGGCTGGAGACAGCTGCAACTGTGCAACAATGAAAGTAGAGAAGTGGCCTTATTAAAATAAGGAGACTGGAATCTAGTAGAGGGATTGAGTTAATTCACACATGAGGAGCCAGTTCTCTATTAAATTACCCAAAAGAGGGAAGAAATAAGCCTACAGTATCAACCATATTTGTCTGTCCTTATTCAAATTTTGTCAAATGCATCAAATACTTAAATGTAAAAAAGAAGAACATACACCCAAAGGAACTGAAATAAATATAAGTGACTTTTTGTAAGCTCTTGGGGTGAGACAGGATCTCATGATTACAACACATCAGGTATATAATTAGGTGAAAAAGCAGATACTAGGTAAACATGTACCTTCTTTGTTAGATGAAATATTGCTAAGGTATAATGAAAACTGTAATGATATTATATCTTGGGGTCCTTTCCTCTATTTTACATAATTGCCTATGACAAGTATTTTTCTTGTAATCATGGAAATTAAATAGTCATTGCTTTTTGTATGTTTAAATTTAAGTGCCATGTCAAAATTTCTTGTCCTGTATCTTTTCCAAATTTTCTGAGGGCAAATAATTCTTATGTTACATATATAAAGCATAAATTTAAACATAAAAAAAGATCATGACATTCCAAAAGTGGCAATTGCAAAGGAAAGAGAAAATAGAAGCAATATAATTTGGCATAGTGCATCTATTATTTCAGAACCAGCCCAGCACAAATTGGAATGGTACTTGTTCTTTGAAAGATTGTCCCTGCTTCTTTTCACTCCAGCGATATGGGAGCCATATGGTTCTAATTTTCTTCAGATATTTCGTTAAATGTCACCTTTTCAGGGAAGCCTTTCCTGACCACCCTGTATCACACATCACTTCACTCCTTCATTCTTCGTGCTTTTTTACGCTTTATTTTTATGATAACATATCACAACTTGACATATTCATTCTATTTGCTTATTGTCTCTGTATGCCACTAAATTTTAAATGAGAGCAGAGATTGTGTGCTTTATTAGCTGTTTTATCCTTAAAGAGTGGAAGAGGGCAATGGATGTGATAGGAGCTTAACTAACATCATCAAATGTATAAATGAATATGAAAATTGTATACACACCACACTAATCACATTTTAGTTTAGGAGATGTCATATGAATCTTTTAAAGGCTTTACAAGGCTTTCCTCACCTTGCTTATAAAGAAGGGCCATTGAGTCTTACGATGGCAAGAGTGTCAGATGCAAAGTTGCTGAACACTGGCAGCTCTATTTCCAGTAACATGGTAAGTATAGTTTAAAATGAGACTGAAACAAGAACAGAGAACCAAAGACAAGACATTAATATGATGAAGTTCAAGTCAGAATTGAGATTCTGATGCCAATAATACTTAAATCTGAGCTGCATGTGTCCTTGCCATGGTTTATGTATGGTTTCTGTTATTTTCAACTGAAATTCATGGCTGATTCTACCATAATTATATAACAAGTTATAATAATGCAAAATTACAAGGCTTCAAATAATTTTTAGTAGATTTGAAAAGTGAAACTTAAGTAAAATTTTTAGCTGATAACATTTTCTGGATTGAAGAAATAAAGGAAGACTATTGTGTTTTTAGAAATAAAATTATCATTACAGTCTGAAATTTGATTCTAATACCAACTTGTACCTCTTCAATATTAGTTAAAGTGTATAAGCTCAAAGCAATTTGGTCTAAAATTGTAGTAAATGTTCTCATTTCTTCTGAACTAGATTCATGTAAAACACATAGGGAGAGTTAAGAAAATGCTACCTATCATTATTTCTATAGTTTTTTTCACACTTTGTCAATGTAGTTCTTCAAATATGAGATTGTTGAAACTTTACTTAACTTCAAAACATTGCTTCTTTTTAATTTTCTTTACAAGACATCAGCTATTAAAGTTATTTTTGGAAGAAATGTCTGTATGATGTTACTTCTCTCTACTTCAATTTCTAATCTGAATATAGAATACTGAGTATATGTGCGCTCTCTGAAAGGTATAAGAGGAAAGATATTTTACATTATTTATGATGAATGATGTTTCCCTCATAAAATCCTAGGTGAAATGCTGTATTTATTTATCAGCACTAAGGTACTTTGTGGAACTATTAAACCATTAAAGTTCCCAATTATCAGCAATAAATGCAGGGATTTTCTGATTGCATATTTAATAGCTGCACTTTACTCATCAAGACGCCACTTATAATTAAACTAATAATCCTTCTAATTACAGATATCTGATTTACCTTTTGCTATGGTTTGAATGTGTTGCCTCCAAATTTCAGGTGTTGCCAGTGAGATAGTATTAAGAGGTGGAGCCTGTAAGAGATGATCAGGCTGTGAGGGCTCCTCCCTCATGAATGGGACAAGGCCATTACAAAAAAAATGCTTCTTGCTCTTCCACCTTCCATGATGTGAGGACCCAGTGTTCCTCCTCTCTGAGGATGCAGCCCTTTTCAGCCAACTGAAGCTGCTGGTGACTTGATCTTGCATTTCCCAGTCTCCAGAACTATGAGAAATAAAGCTATATTCTTTATAATAACCCAATCTCAATATTCTGTTATAGCAGCACAAATGTACTAAGGCACTTCACAGAGGTACTTTACAGAATATGGCACACAGTAGGCACTTGGGAAATATTTCTTAAGACCACTGTTGGGCTGACTAATCATCATTAAGAAACTAAACATGTTTGTGAACACTTAATGTTAGGGTAGTTTTTTGATTTATATAAAAAAAATTTAAAGTTGGCACACATTGCTTCCTTATAACCCACACTCAGTTTCCCCTATTATTAACATCTTACATTAGCATGGTTGCCTTGTTACAATTAATGAACCAGTACTGATACATTATTATATGCTAAATTCCATACTTAATTCTTATTTTCTTCCTTGTTACCTAAAGTTATTTTCCATTTGAGTATCCCATTCTGAATAACACATTTCATTTAACCATCCTGTCTTCTTAGGCTCCTATAGGCTTTGACAGTTTCTCTAACTTTCCTTGTTTTTGGTGACCATAAGTTTTGAGAACTATTGGCTGGATATTTTGCAAAATCTTCTTCTATTAGAATGTTTCTCATGATTACACTAGGTTTTGTGTTTTGGGAAGAAGACCACAGAGGTTAAATGCCATTTTCATCTAATCATATCCAGGGTACCTACTGTAAATATGACTCACCACCTCTGATGTTAACATTGATCACCTGGCTAAGGTAGTGTTTGTCACATATCTTCACATTTCTGTAAAGTTACTTATTTTCCCTACTCTACATAATATACTTTTCGGAAGAAGTCACTATATGCAGTCTACACATAAGGAATGAGGAGTTATTCTCCACCTCCTTGAAGGTGAAAATATCTACAAAAATTACATAGATTTTGTTCCACGAGAAGTTTTTCTATTCATTCCCATTTATTTATTTAATCATTGACTTGCACCAGTATTAATACAAAAATATTTTTATTATATTGGGTTACAGCCTAATACAAATTAATTTATTTTGTTGCTCAAATTGTTCCACCTTTGGACAGTGACAGCTCTTTCATTTGGTTCCTGTGTCATTTCCACATGCCCCCAACATCGTTTGTTTGTGTGTTCATGTGTTGGTTTCCTTTTTAGCATTTCTTTATTTCTAGTACTAGTAGTGCCCAAGTACATCTTTTATAATTATTGTCCCAAACTATTTCTCCAAGGAATACTGACTGGAGAATGCTATTAAAAACCATACGGAGGCACCAGTGTTCTCATCAGTACTAAAGTGTTGTTGCCATTAGGCATTCTCAGGTGACACGAATAGAATATATTTATTTGAATACTAATATGTGTATACACACTTCTATAAGCATATCTGTATGTAAGCATTGGAATCTATATTAAGCTAAATATGAGTGCATACTGATATCTTCACCTCTAATCCACTGACACATTAATTAGTCTAGCCTCATTCCCTTGTTCCTCTCCAACTGTGAGAAACCTGGCTCCAGCCTTCTGCTATCCATTCACTAAAATGTCCAGTTTCAGTATAAATGCAAAACAGTATCGGAATCATTTTCCCATGTCACTGAGGGAAATTAATTTCACAACTAGACTACATTTTTATGTATACTTCCTTTTGCCTTTAGTCTTACAGAGTCCACTTTCTTCCACTGTTACTTAGATCTGCAACTTTTTCCCCCAGCCTCATTTAGTGAGATGGTTTCAAACATTTGCAATACAGCTAGATTGTTTTTGTCACAAAACAACTGATAACATAACAATGTTGTTATTTCATCCTGGAATATCCTAACTTCTAAATGTTTTGTATTTTCAAATTTGCACACAATAAGTTTCATTCTTTATGCTGTAATGTTCAATGGGTTTCAACAATGCAGTGTCATGTATCCACCATTACAATAGTATACAGAATAGTTTTATCACACTTAAAAATCCCATGCCTCACCTATTCAACTCCCCTCCTTGGAATCTCCCTGTCATCATCCATTTTAAGCATATATGTAATTTTGTCTTTTTCAGAATATCATATAATGTGAATGAGAAAATATGTAGCTTTTTCTGTCTTAACTTTTAACATAGCAATATACATTTACAATTAGGCTGTGTCTTTTTATGGCTTGATAGTTAATTTCTTTTAATTTGACTAACATCCCCTGGAAGAGATGTATCACAGTTTGTTTACTCATTCACCTATTGAAGGACATCGTGGGTGTTATTGAAGGACATCTTGGGTGTTCTGACAATTATAAAAAAGCTGTGTGCAGATTTTTCAGTGCACATATGATTTTAAATCCACTGAATATTTAGAAGCACAATTGTTAGATCAAATGATAAGTCTATGTTTAGTTTTGAATAACTATCAAACTGTTTTCAAAGTGGCTATACCATTTTGAATTCCTGCCAGGAATGAATGAGTCCTGTTGCTCCGGATGCCCTCCGGCAATTAGTTTTGTCAGTTTTGTAAATTTTAGCAATTTAAATAAGTGTATAGTGTTATCTCATAGTGGTTTTAATTTGTATTTCCCTAAGGAAAATGATATTGAACATTTTTATATGCTTGTTTTCCATCTGTATATCTTTTTTGGTGAGGTGTCTGTTCATCTTTTGTTCTTTTTTAATGATGTTATTCTTTGTTGCAATTTAAGAGTTCTTGGTATAAGCAAGTCCTTCATTGATAGTTTTGCAAATGTTTTCTCTTCATCTTTCACTGACTTTTTAATTTTATTGATATTGTCTTTCACAGAGCAGAAAATTTTCCATTTTAATTAAACCTAAATTATCAATTTTTCTCTTATGAATCATGTTACTGTTTTTAAATCTGGAAATGCATAACCAAACCAAAGGTCATATAACTTGTCTACTATTTTTAAAGAAATTTTATGATTTTACCCTTTATATTTATAATTATGATCAATTTTGAGTTGTTTTTCGGTGTGAAGTAAGTCATTTTCTATATGTGTTTGTGTGTGTGTATATACACCATACATACATACAAATGCTCCAGTTCCATTTATTAAAAAGACTATGAATTTCTCCCTTGCATTACCGTTTCTCTTTTGTCAGCAATCAGCTGACATATTTTTTATGGGTCTATTTCTTATCTATCTATTCTGTTTGATTGATATTCTGTTTGTACTATGCTGAATTTATTACTGTAGTTTATATTAAATCTTGATGTCAAGTAGTGTTAGTCCTACATTTTTTTCCTTTTTAACATTTTGTTTGTTATTCGTTTACCTTCCTGTATTTATTTTTAAATCAGGATTTCAAGTCTACAAATTAGCTTTCATAATTTTGGTTGGATATGCATTGAATTAATGACACTGGGAAAAATTGACATCTGTACAATACTGAGACTTCCAATACATATACTTGGAGTCTATTTATTCTTATTCACTTCTTTAGATTTTCTTTGATTTTTTTTTAACCACAAATTTATAGTTTTTCACATACAGGTTTTGTCTTTATTTTGTTAGATTTATATCTAAATTTTTATGTCTTTTTTGTGCTATTGCCAATGTAATTCCCAACATTTTGCATTTGAATTGCTCATTGCTCATATATAGGAAACTAGCTAATTTTTGTATATTAACCTTGCATCATATGACCTTGCTATAGTCATTTAATACTTCCAGGATTTTATTTGTTGATTTTTCTTATTTTTCTACATACACAATCTTATCACAGGCAAATAGAGACTTTTATTTTTCTTTCCAATATGTATATGTATTTATCCTGTAATTATTGCACTAGGTGATATTTCCAGTCAATGGGGAATAGGAATGCTAAGAGAAGACACAAATAGAGAGTTTTATTTTTTCTTTCCTATATATACAACTATTTATCCTGTAATTATTGCACTAGATGACATTTCCAGGAAATGAGGAATAGGAATGCTAAGAGAAGACAGCCTTGCCTTTTTTCTGATCCTAGGATGAAAACATTGTTACTCTGTGTTAAGTATGATGTTAACCATAATTTTTGTAGATACTACTTATAATTTAAGAGGATCTGTTTGAATACTGGATTGCTGAGAGTATTTATTACAAATGGATGCTGGATTGTGAAAAATTGTTTTTATGCATCAATTGAGATTTCTTCTTTAATAAGTTGGTATAATGGGTTACATTGATTATTATTTTAATGTTGAAACATCCTTGCATATCTGGCACAAATCACACTATGCCATGGCATGTAAATCATTTTTATACATTGTTAAACTTGATTTGCTAATATTTTGTTGAGAATTTTTTATTTATATCATTGAGAGACACTGGTCTATAGTTTTACTTTCTTTTGATGTCTATTTGGTTTTGATATTAATATAATGTTTACCTGAGAATTAGTTACAAAGTGTCCCTCCTACTTCAAACTTTTACACAAAATCGTGAAGAACTATTATAATTTATTCCCATTTTTTGGTGGAATTGTCAGCAAACTATCTGTGTTTGTGCTTTTATTCTGGGAGGCTACAGATTACTGACTGGATTAATGGATATAGGGAAATTTAGGTTATCTATTTGTCCTCTCTGTCTTGGTATAGAGAATCTTTTACATAATGTGTGCATGTCATCCATATTATCAAACTTGTTGGCATAGAATTGTTCATAGCAATCCTTCATTATCCTTATAATGTCCATGGTTATTAGAATTGTGAAATGGTAGTACTTACCAGTAAAGCATTTAGAATTTTTCTTTTCTTTCTGCAAATGCTTTTCATTAAAACATAATTAATTTCTTTAATAAATTTAAGTGTATTTAAGTCATCTTTTTCTTCTACAAGTATACAAGTAATTTTGGTATTTTCAGCTTCTCAAAATTTTGGTTTATTTCATCTAAATTATTTAATATATTGACAAAGATGTTATAAATATTTTCCCATTTTATTTTTATACTTGTAGAACCTCTGATGAGGTTTCACCTACAATTTCTTTTAACTTTTATTTTAGGTTCAGGGATACATGTTCATTTTTGCTATATAGGTAAATTGCATGTTGGGAAAGTTTGGTGCGCAGATTATTTTGTCACCCAGGTAATAAGTATAACACCCGATAGGTAGTTTTTTGACCTCACCCTCCTCCCACCCTCCGCCTTCCAGGAGGCCCCAGTGGCTGTTGTTCCTTTCTTTGTGTCCATATGTAGTCACATTTTAACTCCCACTTATAAATGTGAACACATGGTATTAGTTTTTCTGTTCCTCTGTTAGTTTGTTTTATAGTTTGGCTGTGTCCACCCCAAATCTCATTTTGAATTGTAACTCCCACAAGTCCCATGTGTCATGGGAAGAACCCAGTGGGAGGTGATTGAATTATGGGAGTAGGGCTAGTGAATGAATCTCACAAGATCTGATGGTTTTAAAAATGTCAGTTTCCCTGCACAGTCTCTCTCTTTGCCTGCCACTATCCATGTAAGATGTGACTTGCTCCTCCTTGCCTTCCATCATGATTGTGAGGCTTCCCTGCCCATGTGGAACTGTAAGTCCATTAAACCGCTTCCTTTAGTAAATTCCCCAGTCTTGGGTATGCCTTTATTAGCAGTATTAATATGGACTAATACAGTAAATTGGTAACAGTACAGTGGGGCACTGCTGTAGATACCGAAAAGGTGGAAGCAACTTTGGAACTGGGTAAAAGGCAGAGGTTGGAACAGTTTGAAGGGCACAGAAGAAGACAGGAAAATGTGGGAAATTTTGGAACTTCCTAGAGATTTATTGAGTGGCTTTGCCCAAAATGCTAATACAGATATGGACAATAAAGTCCATGCTGAGGTAGTCTCAGATAGAAATGAAGAACTTATTGGGAACCGGAGCAAAGGTGACCCTTGCTATGTTTTAGCAAAGAGACTGACAGCATTTTGTCCCTGTCCTAGAGATTTGTGGAACTTTAAACTTGAGAGAAATGATTTAGGGTACCTGGCAGAAGAAATTTCTAAGCAGCAAAGCATTCAAGAGATGACTTGGGTGCTGTTAAAGGCATTCAGTTTTATAAGGGAAGCAGAGTATAAAAGTTGGGAAAATGTGCAGACTGACAATGCAATAGAAAAGAAAATCCCATTTACTGAGGAGAAATTCAAACTGGCTGAAGAAATTTGCATGAGTAATGAGAAGCCAAATGTTAATCCCCAAGACTATAGGGAAAATGACTCCAGGACATATCAGAGGTCTTTATGGCAGCCCTTCCCATTACAGACCTGAAGCTGAGGAGGAAAATACTGTTCTGTGGGCCAAGTCTGGGGTCCCCGTGCTGTGTGCCACCTAGGGACTTGGTGCCTCTCATCCCAGCTGCTCCAGCCATAACTGAAAGGGGCTAACATAGAGCTTGGGACATGGCTTCAGAGCGTGCAAGCCCCAAGCCTTGGAAGCTTACACATTGTGTTGAGCTTGCGAGTACACAGAAGTTAAGAATTGAGGTTTGGGAACCTCTGCCTAGATTTCAGAGAATATATGGAAATGCTTGGAAGTCCAGGCAGAAGTTTGCTGAAGGGGCAGTATTCTCATGAGGAACTTCTGCTGGGGCAGTGCAGAAGGAAAATGTGGGTCAGAGCCCCCACACAGAGTCCCCACTGAGGCATCACCTAGAGGAACTGTGAGAAGAGGGCCACCATCCTCCAGACACCAGAATGATAGATCCACTAACAGCTTGCACTGTGCACCTGGAAAATCCATAAACACTCAATGCCAGCTCATGAAGGCAGCTTGGAGGTTGGCTGTACCCTTCAAAGCCACATTGGTGGAGCTGCTGAAGACCACAGGAACCCACCTCTTGCATCAGCATGACCTGTATGTGAAACATGGAGTCAAAGGAGATCATTTTGGAGCTTCAAGATTTGACTGCCTCTCTGGATTTTGGACTTACATGGGGCCAGTAGCTTTTTTGTTTTGACCAATTTCTCCCATTTGGAATGGCTGCATTTACCCAATGTTTGTATCTGCATTGTAAATAGAAATTAATTCACTTGCTTTTGATATTACAGGCTTATAGGTTGAAAGGACTTGCCTTGTCTCAGATTTTGAGACTTTGGACTGTGGACTTTTGAGTTAATGTTGAAATGAGTTAAGATTTTGGGGGACTGTTGAGAAGGCATGATTGGTTTTGGAATGTGAGAACATGTCATTTGGGAAGGGCCAGGGGAGAAATGATATGGTTTGGCTGTGTCCCCACCCAGATCCTATCTTGAATTGTAACCCCCACAATTCTTATGTATCATGGTGGAAGGTGACTGAATTATGGGTGCCAGTATTTCCTGTATTTTTCTCATGATAATGAATGAGCCTCGCGAGATCTGATGGTTTTAAAAATGGTAGTTTCCCTGCACAATCTCTCTTTTTGCCTGCTGCCATCCATGTAAGATGTGACTTGCTCCTCCTTGCCTTCCACTCTGATTGTGAGGCTTCCCAAGCCATGTGGTACTGTAAATCCATTAAACCTCTCTCTTTTGTAAATTTCCCAGTCTTGGGTATATCTCTCTTAGTAGCATGAATACAGACTAATACTCTTTGCTTACAATAATGATCTTTCCATGTTGCTACAAAGAACATGATCTCATTTCTTTTTATAGTTACATAGTATTTCATTGTATACATATACCATATTTTTAAACCCAGTCTACCATTGATGGACATTTAGGTTGATTCCAAATTTTGGTTCCACATTTGCTAATGTGAATACTTCTGCAGTGAACATACATGTGCTTGTGTCTTTGTGACAAAACAACTTATATTTCCTTGAGTATACACCCAATGATTGGATAGCTGGGTCAAATGGTAGTTCTGTTTTAAGTTCCTTGAGAAATCTCCAACTGCTTTCCACAATGGCTGAACTAATCGACATTCCCACCAGCAGTAGCCAGCATCTGCTATTTTTTTGATTTTTTAATAATAGCCATTCTGGCTGGTTTGAGGGTATCTTTCATGGTTTTTATCACATTTCTTTAATGATTACTGATATTGAGCATTTTTTTCATATGATTTTGACCACATATATTGTCTTCTTTTGAAAAGGCTCTGTTGGTGTCCTCTGCCCACTTTGTAAAGGAGTTGTTTTTTGCTTATAAATATTTTCAAGTTCCTTATATATTCCAAATATTAGACCTTTGTCAGATGCATAGTTTACATATATTTTCTCCAATTCTGAAGGTTTTCTGTTTACTCTGTTGATAGTTTCTTTTGCTGTGCAGAAGCTGTAGTTTAGATCCCATTTGTCAATTTTATGCTTTTGCTGTGATTTCTTTTGGTATCTTTCTCATGTAATCTTTGCCTGTTCCAATGTTCAGGATGGTATTTCCTAGGTTGCCTTACAGGATTTTATGGTTTTGGGTTTAAATCCAAGTCTTTAGGCCATCTTGAGTTGATTTTTATATATGGTATAAAGAAGGGGTCCAGATTCAATCTTCTGCATATGGCTAGCCAGTTATCCCAGTACCATATATTGAACAGGGTGTCCTTTCCCCATTGCTTATTTTTGTGAATTTTGTCAAAGATGAGATGATTGTATGTGTGTGACTTTGTTTTGGGGTTCTCTATTCTATTTCATTGTTTTGTGTGTCTGTTTTAAGTATCAGTACTATGATGTTTTGGTTACTGTAGCCTTGCAGTATAGTTTAAGGTCCAGTAATGTGATGCCTCCAGCTTTGTTCTTTTAGCTTACATTTGTTTTGGCTATTCAGGCTCCTTTTACTTCCATATGGATTTTAAAATCATAAAAAAAAGATTTCTTCCTAATTCTTTAAAGAATATCATTTTAAGTTTGACAGGAATATCATTGAATCTGTAACTTTCTTTGTGAAATATGGCCATTTTAAAATTTTGATCATTTCTATCCATGAGCATGGAATATTTTTCCATTTATTTGTGTCATCTCTGATTTATTTGAACTGAGTATTGTAATTCTTGTTGTAGAGGTGTTTCATCTCCTTGGTTAGCTGTATTTTTTTTTTCTTTTGTGGCAGTTGTGAATAGGATTGTGTTCTTGATTTGACTCACAGCCAAATATTGCTGAAGTTGTTACCAGATCAAGGAGCTTTTGGATTTTTGCCTCTATGTTCATCAAGGATGTAGGCCTGAGTTTTTTGTTGTGTCCCTGCCAGGTTTTAGTGTCAGAATAATTCTGGCCTCATAGATTGAGTTATGGAGGAGTTCATTCTTCTCAATGTCTTGGAATAGTTTCAGTAGAAATGGTACTAGTTCTTCCTCATACAGCTGGTAGAATATGGCTGTGAATCCTTCTGAACAATGGGGAAAATGTTTCCAGGGCATGTCAGCCCCTCCTATCACAGGCACAGAGGCCTAAGAGTAAAAAGTGGTTCTGTGAGCCAGGCCCAGGGTTGCCATGCTGTGTGCAGCCTAGGGACTTAGTGCCCTGCATTCCAGCTGCTCTCGCCATGGCTGAAAAGGGCCAACATAGAGCTTGGGCCATGGCTTCAGAGGGTGCAAGCCTCAAGCCTTGGCAGCTTCCACTTGGCGTTGAGCCTGTGAGTGCACAGAACTCAAGAATTGAAGTTTGGAAACCTCTGCCTAGATTTTGGAGAATGTATGGAAGCACCTGGATGTCCAGGCAGAAGTTTGCTGCAAGGGTGGGCTCTTATGGAGAAGCTCTGCTAGGGCAGTGTGGAAGGGAAACATGGGGTCGGAGCCCCACACAGAGTCCCTACGGGGGCACTGCCTACTGAAGCTGTGAGAAGAGGACCATCATCCACCAGCGCCCAGAATGGTAGATCCACCAGTAGCTTGCACTGTGCACCTGGAAAAGCCACAGACACTCAATGCCAGTCCATGAGAGCAGTCGGGAGGAGGGCTGTGCCCTGCAAAGCCACAGGGGTGGAGCTGCCCAAGACCATGGGAACCTACCTCTTGCATCAGTATGACCTGGATGTGAGACATGGAGTCAAAGGACATCATTTTTTAACAGGATTTCAGACTTGCATGGGGCCAGTAGCCCCTTTGTTTTGGCCAGTTTCTCCCATTTGGAATGGCTGTATTTACCCAGTGCCTACCCTCACTGTATCTAGGAAGTAACTAACCTGCTTTTGACTTTACAGACTCTCCGGGGCATGTCAGCCCCACCCATCATAGGCCCAGAGGCCTAAGAGAAAAAAGTGCATAAGGGTAAGGTTGGTTTTCTAGTGTACCCATCACCCCAATAGTGAACATTGTACCCAATAAGTAACTTTTCAACCCTCTGCCTCCTACCAACCTCACCCATTTTGAAGTCCCCAGTCCCCATTTTTTTTAATCTGCATGTCCATGTGTACTCATGCTTTAGCCCCCTCCTATTATGAGTGAGAACACACAGTATCTGATTACCTGTTTCTGTAATATTTTTGCAATCAAATTTCTGTATAATTTTAATTATTTACAATTTGATAAAAATTGTAGTTCTTTCAGAGTATGGTATATCTTGATGAATATTTTATACATACTTGAAATTAATATGTGTTTACCTGTTTTAGAGTATAGTTTTATGTAAATACACACCAAATCATGTTTCTTAATGTGGGAAGTATTAAGTCTTTTCTTTTATTACATGATGATTTTTCTGCATTGCACTATAAATTTCAGAAGGGATATGGCTGAAATCTCCAACTGTGCCATCTGTGTTTACTTCATTGATTAGGTTCCTTATTTTTAAACATTTGTGTGTGTGTGTAGCAAGGATTGTGTGTGTGTTATTTTTATTATTATTATTTTTGCCTTCTTGGTGGATTGGCCCTTGAACATTTATATCTGAAAATACAGTTAGTACTGAAATCTACTTTTCCTTATATTAATATAAGCCATTGCAGCTTGCTTTTGATTATATGTTTGACATTGTTTCCTTTTTATGTATTTTTATATTTGAAGTGGATTTTGTGTAGATAGTATTTATGTTTTCCTCGTTTTTTGTTTATTTTCTGTCTTTCTAAATAGAATGCAGGCTCAATAAAAGCAGGAAGGTTTTTTCGGTTTTCCACTAGAACAGTACTTTACAATCGGTGAGCGATAAAATACTTGCTGAATAAATATAATTCAATAGCTTCTTCATAAATTAAACTAATTAATATTTTAAAGCATTTAGAACACTGCTTGGAACATAAGAAGTATTTAATAATATAAGCACTACAATTTAATGTAATGGTATCTGAAAATAACAGCTAGTATTCATTCATTTAACCAAAACTATTTTGTAGCTTATATTTGGTAGAGAATAGGGCAAGTTAACTTTGTGGTTTCTAAGATAAATTTTTCAATATTATTTTTCATCTCCTGGAACAAAATGGTGGATTCTATTTCTCTAAGCCTTAAATTCAGGCTGGTCTTGAGACTTATTAGAAAGTGTGAGAAATGACATTGTTCCAGTTGTGATGCCTAAATAGATCTTCAAGCTTTCTCCTTACTGGAATTTTGCTTCTAACACGTGAACAAACCCATATTAGGTTGTCCTAATCTGAGAACAATGAGAGGCAAGTGGAGAGAGGTGTAGCATACCAAGCTGCTCTCTGCCATTACCCAAACACCTGAGAGAATCTGCCCTAATGTGAGTCATTTATCCCTCTGACACCTGACCACACCACAAATGCATGAGGTAAGCCCATGCATGACCAGAAACCCAGCTGACCTGTATACACTAAGCCAAACAAATCTGTATTTTTAAAATGCTGAGTTTTGAGGTAACTGTTTTGCAAAAATAGCTAACTGTATACAAAATATAAATTATCCAGTACATCATATAGGACTTCAGCAGTGCCAGGTGTCAGATTGGAGAATGGGACCACTGGCCCTTAGGTTCTAAGATTTTTAAGACTCACAATTCAGAGAAGCACCAGCCCCTCTTCTGTTGGGATGAGGAATTAGGTCCAACAAAATATTGATAATCAAACCATCGCCTATAGC
Organism: Homo sapiens; assembly: GCF_000001405.40. Classification (NCBI taxonomy): domain Eukaryota; kingdom Metazoa; phylum Chordata; class Mammalia; order Primates; family Hominidae; genus Homo; species Homo sapiens. The sequence goes on from NC_000001.11 coordinate 194,645,067, forward strand.
CTAGTCCCATCATCTCAGCATTCGTTGTTGGGAACTTACCAGGCCCTAATCCTTTATCATCAGTAGCACAGATCCTTGGTGTTTCAACAGAAGCATCAATCTGATTCATTATTAATGTTATTACAAATAGAAAAATTAGACTAATTTTAGGACATTTTGCATATTATTTTATTAATGTAATATATTAGAAATCCATGGGAATTTTTAGTGGCATAAACAGTAGTAAATATTATATTTTCCTTAAGGTTACAGAAGTATTGAAATAGATGAAAAAGCAATAAAAGACATTCAAGAGGTCTCAAAAATTTTCAGCAAAACCTTAGGCCATTCATTTTGTATTTTATAACAAAAACTGTCTAATGATTTAACCTAAAATAGTAAAAACCTTAGAAAAATGTTATAATTTATAATAAAAAGAAGAGAATCACAGAAAGGAAAAGAAGGGGGTTGTGTGAGAAGAGGGAGAGACATACTATGAAACTTATGTTAACTTTCAGAGTGAGTAAAAATGAGGTCATGAAATTCACACGTCTTGGTAACTAAGTTTAGAGAAACTTGGGAGATGTCATCTTTACAGAGGAATTAGGTAGAAATTCAATACAAGATAGGCTAAAGACAGCTTGATGAGAAGAGAATGTTTATGTCTTCTGGCATTCACATTCAGAAGAATTGTAAGGAAGTCTGCATACATTTTAAGATGTTCTTCTTATTAAAACAGTTAAACTTTTCAAGATCTATTATTTTCCTTTCAATCTTATCCCATACTCGAAGGTAATTCTTTTTAGCTTTATTGAGTTATAGTTGATGTATAAAAAATTCCACACATTTAACGTATGCATCTGACTAGTTTGGATATATGCATACATCTGTGATTACTATCACCATAATCAAGGCAGTAAACATATCCTTCACTTCAAATAATTTGCTTGTGTTTTACTGCTGGATGTTTTTGCTTATTTTATAAGAACTTTAAATATGATATATATATTCTTATATTTTTAAATGAACAATACAGTATTGTTAACTATAGAGACCATACAGGCAGCAGATATCTCAAATTAATTCATTTTGTATTACAAAAATTTTATATCCATTGAAAATCAATTCTTCATTTTCCCCTTCTGCTAGTTCCTGGCACCACCATTGTATTGTCTGTTTCTGTGAGTTTTACTATTTAGATACCTCATAAAAGTGGAATCGTATTTGTCCTGTGACTAGTTTATCTCACTTAGGATAATGCCCTATAAATTTAAATACGTTGTTGCAAACAGTAGGATTTTCATCTTTTTTAAGGTTGAATAACTTTCCACTGTGCATTTATAACCAAAATTTCTTTTTCTATTCATCTGTTGATGGATATTTGAGTTGTTTCTATATTTTGGCTATTATAAATAATGCTGCAATGAACATGGGGGGGCAGATATGTCTTCAAGATCTTGATTTTAATCCCTTTGGATATATAATGAGAAGTGTGATTGCTAAATCACATAGTAGTTCTTTTTTTAAATTTTTTGAGGAAATTCCATATGGTTTTCCATGGTGGCTCCACCATTCTTCATTCCCAACATTATATAATGGCTCAAATTTTACCTCATCCTCATCAATACTTGTTTTTCACTCATTCATTTAAAAAACGATAGTCATTCTAACAAGTGTGAGGTAGTATTTTGTTTCATTATGGATTTTATCTGCATTTCCTGGATGATTAGTAATGCTGATGCCCTTTTCATGTACTTGGTAGCCATTTGTAGGTCTTACTTGGAGAAACATCTATCCAAATCCTCTGTTACTTTTGTTAAACCAGGTTATTTGTTTTAAAGGTAGAAATATCATTTTGAAACAAACTGTAATTTTACTTAGATGACGTATTTTGGGAATAACTTTTAGAATCCTTCTCCTTCAATTGCTTTGCAATAATGGAATTGTTTTGCATTATGGATGACGCAGAACATATATTAGAAAATACATTATTTTCGAAAGAAACTGGTATAAATAAAAAAAAGAAGCAGGATTTATTGAGAAGCAAAACATATTTGTCTGAAAATTGTTGTACATTGAGAATATAAAAGTGTCTTATAGATTATGATTTATAGGATATAGTAATTACATTACCTCAAATGACATGTTAACATTAAAACTACATTCTATTACCTGAAAATGAGCAATTTACATTTTATCTCAATGTCGTGACTAGATTCTTTTTATAAATTAGAGGATGTCATGCAGTAACTGCTGAATTTGCAAATGTTAAGAAAATGCGTAAATTCACAGTAAGCATTTTCATCAAGCTGAATAAATGTGTCATACATTTTGTATAAAACAGGAATTTCTCCCATTAATGCTTCATTACTGTGCTGAACATTTTGTTTCATTAACATTATATACTGGAGTTTTTCTGTCTTACTTTCAATTTTGTAGGTCAAATAAAATATGAATGATTAAAAATAAATACCAAGTTCAAATCAGTACCTAGCACATTGACTAGCATGGGTACATATTCAATGTTTTGAATGCTTAATGAATTGAATGAATTACAATTCCATTTTTGGTCACATTATAGACACTGTATATCTCAATATTTATGTTTGTATTTTAGAAAATGTTGGCCTAATTAGAAATGTAAGTGCTTGGTGTCCTGTTGGGTGTCTGTAATTTCAGCTATTAATACTAGGGTGGTTGATGCAGTAGGACTGCATGAGCCAAGGAGTTCCAGTCTGGGCAATGTAGAGAGATGCTGTCTCTAACTAAAAAAAAAAAAAAAAAAAAAAAAAAGAAGAAGAGAAGAAGAAATGTGATATTTCAGCTCTGTATTTTGTTTAAATCTTACAGCCGGGTACTGTGGCTCATGCCTGTAATCCTGGCATTTTGGGAGGCCAAGGCAGGCAGATCACTTGAGGTCAGGAGTTTGAGACCAGCCTGGCCAACATGGCAAAACCCCGTCTCTACTAAAAATACAAAAATTAGCTGGCATATTGTCAGGCGCTTGTAATCTCAGCTACTCAGGAGGCTGAGGCAGGAGAATCTCTTAAACCCGGAAGTCAGAGGTTGCAGTGATCCAAGATTGCGCCACTGCACTCCAGCTTGGGCGACAAAGCTAGACTCGATCCTAGAAAATAAAACAAAATAAAATAAGTAAAGTAAAATAAAAATATCTCACAATATATGTGTTATATGAAAGCAAACATAAATATGAAAAAGAAATTAGTTATTTCCATAGTTTATGTCTAAAATATAATTATATGTCATTTCATATTTCCCATTTTGAGAGGCAGTTTTTATGCTTCATTTTACAGAAAAGGATTATAATGTTAAATCATTTGCTCAAAAAGATATGCCCAGTTATTTTAAGGGATAGGGCTTGGATTTGAATTAAATATTATTTCTGCAGTACTTCTTACTCTGTATAAAATTAGCTGTTCATATAAAAGTTACAAGTGTATATCCAGCTCCCTTAAGTTATAGTATGAAGAAATATATTTAAATAAAATATAGGTTTAAAAATTGAGAAAACCTAGGAATTGCTAAGAATATGAACTTTTGAGTGGATTTTTAAATAACTGTGAATTTCTATAAAATTCATTATTATAATAAGCACATTTTGTTATTTGAACTTTTTAAAAAGTGCTAATTTCCCTCAGATAACTCCCCATATGCTTCTCTTTATTAAAGAGTCTCTGGGTTTATGAAAGGAGAACTATATGAACAACATCTTATTGTGACATTAAGGGCAAGAATACTCCTAAACTCGTGCTGGGCTTTGGGAATACCTTAGCTGGCGTGAATTAAAATCTGGTGTGATTTCCTTGATCCAGTTTTTAAACATGAAGAATTGTACATCCCCTTGTCTTTCACCTCTTACTGGCTTCAGTCTGCATGGTCTTGGCTATACCCTCTGTCCACATTTGAATGAGCCACCCCAATCTCTGTTTTCCAACATACGGTCAGTATTCACTATGGTGAGAATCATGGTAAGAACCTTGTCTTTCTTTAGGAAGCAACTGAAAATCAATTATGTTAAAAGGAAAAGGTAACTCTGTTCTGGACTCTATATTATCCCAGCACCTGCCAGAGAGTCTGAGACTGTAAATTATTGCTGAAAAATGAATTTGATGTGGATCTTAGCTTAGAATATAAAAGAATGATAGTACTAATAAAAATAAAGTATATAAGAAAGTTCAAAGTGCTGTCTAGTTAATTTGTCAAAGAAAGAAAAGAGATATGGGTTCCAGAGATAAATATTAAAATACTTTTCTCTGGGATATATATAATTGAAAGTTGAGAATGCAGAATGAAAAGGAACTCCAATATCAACATGGTAAAGTATATTAGAATATAAATATTAATGTTAAAAATAAATGAAGATATTACTATTCTATTGCCCTAAATTAATATCTAGTGAACTTTTTTTATTTTGTATTACTATTTTCCATTGTATTGTAGAATGTGTGTGTGTGTGTGTGCACGTGCTCATGGTACAAAATATTATAATTTACTTTTGAAGGCTTCTTAATAAAATATTTTGTTATACCATAATCAAAGATGTGTAAAATAAACATTAATTCTATACATTTTTACAAATAAATATATGCTGTACACTTTGATAAAGGCTATCTTATATATTGGTAGATTGTTCTCCTATTTCTCCTTCATTATTTATTTGACAAAATTAATATACTTATAGAAATCATAAAGACACTTTCAACAATTAATGCATGTGAAATATCTTTACAAAAACAGCAGTGTTCTGAAAGTGACATTGCTATCATGATGATTATTAATACATTTGAAAGTATATACATGTGGTAATTAAGCAATATATTCTTGAACAACCAGTGAGTCAAAGATGAAATAAAATGGAAATCAAAAAATGTCTTGAGATAAGTGAAACTGAAAACAAAACATACTCATACTTACTTCATGTAGTAAAAAAGGTTCTAAGAGAACAGTTTAATAGCAGTAAAGACCTACATAAAGACAAAAGAAGTTTCAAACAACCTAACTTTACACCTCAATAAACTAAAAAAAAAAAAAAGCTAAATCCCAAATCATTGGAAATAAGGAAAGACTAAAGATCACAGTAGAAATAAATGAAATAGAGACTAGAAACTTAATAGAAAAAAATCAGTAAAACTAAGAGCCATTTTTTGGAAAAAATAAACAATATTGGCCAGGCGTGGTGGCTCATACCTGTACTCCCAGCAATCTGGGAGGCCGAGGCGGGCAGATCACATGGTCAGGAGTTGGAGACCAACCTGGCCAATATAGTGAAACCCTGTCTCTATTAAAAATACAAAAGTTAGCCAGTCGTGGTGGCACGTGCTTGCAGTCCCAGCTACTCGGGAGGTTGAGGCATGAGAATCGCTTGAACCTAGGAGGCAGAGGTTGCAGCGAGCCGAGATTGTGCCACTGCACTCCAGCCTTGGCGACAGAGCAAGACTCCGCCTCAAAAAAAATTAATTAATTAAAGATAAACAAAATTGACAAACTTTTAAGGAGACTAAGAAAAATAAAAGACAAGTAAAATCAGAAATGAAGGAGGAGACATTAAAACAGTTGCCAGATAAATATAAAAATCCATAAGAGACTACTATATACACCAACAAAATGGGTAACATAGAGGAAACATACATAGTAGACAAATAAAACCTACTAAGAATGAATCAAAAAGAAATTCAAAATATGAATAAACCAATGACAAGAAAGTACAGTGAACTGGTAACAAAAAACTCCCGTGAAAGAAAATCCCAGTTTCCAGATGATTTCATTGGTGAATCTACCAAAATTTAAGCAAGAAGAATGCCAATCCTTTTCAAACTCTTTCTAAAAACTAAGGAGGAGAGAAAATTTTCAAACTTATTTAGGAAATACTTCCAAACTCCAGCAGTGATTTTTCTCACTGAGTATGTTGCTACGTGTGGGTTTATCATACACAGCTTTATTGTATTTAGGTACATTCCTTCTTTACCTAATTTATTCAGAGTTTTTATCATGAAAGTATGTTGAAATATATCATATGCTCTTTCTGCATCCATTTAGATGGTCATGATTTTTATCCTTCATTTTTTAAATTTTGTATAATCCATTTATTAATTTACTTACACTGAGCCATCCTCATATCCCAGGAATAAATCACAACTAGATATAGTGTAGTTTCATTACACGTGCTGCTGCATTATATTTGCTAGTATTTTGTTCAAGATTTTTGCATCTACGTTCATCAAGGATATCGTTCTGTAATTTTCTTTTCTTTTAGTTTTCTTGTCTGGCTTTAGTATCAGGGTAAAGCTGGAGTTTGGAAGTATTCCTTAAATAAGTTTGGAAGTATTCACTCCTCCTCAAGCTTGAGTGAGAGTTTCAGTTAGACAGGAGGAATAAAAAAATACAGAAAATAGAAGGAAACATCAGAGGTTTCTGGAATGCTGATATATTATTTTACCTGATCTCTTACAAAGGGTGTGGTCCACTGATCAAAAATCATCAAGTTGAATACTTTGATATGTATATTATTCTGATATAAGAAGGTGAAAAGAAAAAATATGGAGAAAATCACCATTCATTTTAAGAGTACAGTTTGGATATTAGATGCATAATATTTGATCTCAAATTGGGTACCATCTAATATCCATATCCTAGTCATGTTTAACTGAAAGAAAGACAAAAAAATGTGGTCAACTTTTTGTTAACCATGTATTCAGTAATAATCTGACGTTCTATTATCAAAGGGCAAAAAAGAAATTGGAAATTGAGGGACAACTGGGAGTTTCTGCCACCAAGAGTTGGGCCTTGTTTCCAAAAATGATGTTAAAATGATAGTTCTGTTGTAGCGGCTTTCCCTAGTATCAAAATATCTTATAAACCAAAATAAAATTTAAGAACCAATGAAGAAACAATTTTTTCGTAGAAAAACCTGATAAAACATTAGCAATATATTTGGATCTTAGTTGAAATAAATAATCAAAAATATATATTACTTTATCTATAGGTGCATTCTTTTAAAAATTGTATCAAAATGCCTATATTTGAATTATTTTGTGTGTATTATACAACTCAACTGAAAAATTGTTTTATGCAGATCATTTAATGTCAATACCATCTGTGCAGAAGAGCTAACAACTGGTTTCATTGAATGATGCTTTTATATAGCTTGAGTGCCAAAATCATCATTTATACAAAAGATTTCTACATTTGTTTACTAGTTAGTGGCAGCAGGCTGTCAAAGAAAGTGTGTTTTTTTTAGAAAGTACTACTTTATAGTTTTAATTTCCTTTATTAAGGAATCTCCTACACCTTGGATCATCTAAATACTAGTCTATTAAAAGTATATCAGCTATAGTAGTAATCATTTTAATTGTTAATTCAGAGTCTTAAAAACTGGCTGAATGACAAAATGTCTTTTATTATATGACCATGTTATAGTCCAATAAAAAATTATGGACAATGATGAAAAAGTTATTTTAAGGGCTAAGACTAGATTGTCTTTATCATTTGAATGAGCATAGCTATGTAGGAACCTGCGTTGGTAATTAGTTGGCTTTTACTCATAATTAGTAGATAATATTAAAATCTGGAATATTTGGAATATTTCCACAATTACGTCTTATAAGTTTACTTAGTCAATTCACTGTGATCAAATAAGAAATACGAGGGAAAAACAAATAAGCCATGTGTAATACAGGAGAAGTGGCAAGAAAAGTGGGCATTCTAGGGTGTCTGGCCCATATAGAGGGAACACCCATCCCACCGGCCAACAATCAGTAAAATGGAATGTGAGCCTCTGGATTCTCAAAAAGACGAAAGCAAAAACAAAAATCTGACAAACAAAAAACATTTTCAGGTACTTATGAGATATCTCTCCATTAAAAATAAAATAAAACAAAAATCCTAACAAGTCAGTTTTTAAATAGCTGAACTAACTGTATCTAAAAGCCAGATCTCACCTATGGACCACCAGATTACAAAGTTTGCATTAGAGTTTGAAATGTGTATCAATGTATTTCAGGTTAAAAATATTATATCAACAAATGTGAACTGCTAATTTTCATTATCATTTCTTAATTTTGTTAATGATAAGCTTTATATTTGAGGAACATTTTTAGATAACTTTTTAAAATAGGAAAAATGAAAAAACAAAACCAAATTTTTTTTATTCAATGAATAAGAGACAAGTAAATGATGAAAATTTATAGTGAAAAATAGGGAGAAAATGTAGACATCACATTTATTAATTTTTACAAAAGGTATCATATACTACAGAGCAATGGGATATTTATAAACAAACCACTGTTATGAGTGCCCTATTTGTATTCAATTAAGTTTTCTAGGTTCAAGAACATTTAAAATATCATACTTAACCTAGACATGACAATTTTAAACATACAACCCCGTCATTTAAAACTTCTCAGTAAGTGCCTGGGTAAATATTTTTTCCCCTAGCATTATTTTTGGTCTTCAGATTTGTAAGATATTTACATATGTAGAATACCTAAACCAGATAGAATAAAATCACTTCATAGACATATGCATATGTATATTATATGTGTCCTTCTAGAATTCTACATATGCAAAAATACAACATTCAAAAAGTGTTCTTATTAGAAAGTCACCCTATGATCTAAATGTGCTGTGAACATTTTGAAACCTATGGTAACTTTATCCTAACTCTAAATTTCATCTTGAGAGAGAGTCTTGATCTAATTTTCAGGCTTGGCAGCAAAGTTTTAAATCACTATATTATCACTGAATTTATTTAGCACCATTAGCTTTTTAAAAGATTACTTACTGTGTTATTTTTATGTATGTTTTTCTCCACACGTGCACAACATAGTGTCCAAAAATGTAAGAAGCAACAAGTCATGGAGACAGGTGAAAGGCCAGGAACTAGAAGAGTGAAAAAAGGGACATTAGACAGGAAATGGGTTAGGAATGGGAATCAACTACATAGAATTAGCAGCTTCAGTAAGTAACAGAACAGAGCTAGGATTAAAAACAAAGAATCACAAAATAGACAAAGTAGAGCAAAGCAGATATTAAAGGGAAACCAAAGAGGTTTTCTAAGGAATAAATAAGATATATGTAATTAGTACATCAGGGCAAACAGTATGTTCATAGCAGGCACATCTTGCAGATTCTGGCAGTTATTAAAACTCAGCTAAGTAGGAGTTCCAGAATCTAGAAGGAAAATCTGCTCCTCACACATCAGATTCTGAAGCACTGGGATTTGCCCATACATTCAAGACCAATAATGCTAACTACTCACAATAAAATCTAAGAAAACCAATAGCTTGTTTTGAAGAGTGCTTACTGTATCATTTGACAGATGGATATCACACATAATTTCATTTTTTAATGATAGTTGTGAATGGAAGACTTTGTGCCTATTTTACAATTGAAGAAACTTGTGCACAGAGGTTTTAAGAAGAGCACATCTTGCTATTAAATGAATAAGCATTAGAGCTAAGAGCTCAGCCCATTTTTAATAGGACATTGCATTAATTTCCCCTCCCTACTATAACAAATTGCCACAAATTAGTGGCTTCAAGCAACACAAATGTATTACCTTCCAGTTCTGGACGTTGGAAGTCTAAAACAGATGTCACTAGGCTATAATCAAACTTCAGCAAGACTGCATTCATTTTGGAAAACCTGGATGGATGATCCATTTCCTTACCTTTCCCACTTTCTAGAAGCCGCTCATATTCCTTGGCTTGCAGACCCATTCCTCTACCTTCAAAGCCAACTACTGTTTTCTAAGTTCTTACATTGCCATCTCTCTAGCTCTCCAGAGTCACATCTTCCTCTAGCTCTTTTCAGGACTCTTGTGATCACACTGGGTTCACATGGATAATCCAGGCTACTCTTCCTATTTTAACATCATCATCTGATTAGCAAATTTACTTCCACCTACAAACTAACTTTAGCTTTGCTGTGTAATATAGGATATTCATAGGATCCAGGCCTTAAAAGAAGGAACATCTTTGAGGGTGGGGTAGATTATTCTGCCTGCCACAGACAGCAAAGCTTTTATTCTTAATTCTGATCTCCAAGACCTCACCTAGCAGCAGACTTGCACATGCATAACAAATCATCAATGTAGTACAGGCTCTCCCCACACTCCCACATGCTTTCTGACTAACTCTGAATCTCAGCACTAATCGTCAAAAGTGTCTAATACAGAAGCAAGAGCTAAAGGTAAGTATGAGCTCATGGTTAGGAAAAAGAAATTCCTCTTCATTGATGTAAAATAATGGATAAAACATATATTATATATAGAACATGGTCAAAAATAAAAATTATGTTTTCATATGCAAATATTCAACTTCTATATTTTTAGAACATTAAAAATAATAATGAGAAAAAAAACTGTGTGGGAATTTTTTTTAATTTAAGCCTTAGATAGCTAAGAGGCCATTGTGTAGAATACAAACATGTTGTAATTGCTAATCTACTCAGATTTCTCTTTAGCAAATTCCAGCAAAAAATTTGTGAAAATGATAGTATGATTGAGAAGATATTTTAGGATAATTGAGAGAAGATAGAGAGCCTTTTAAGTATTTAGAAATTACATAATGAGGAAAATCACATTAAACTGATAAAATTGTAGACTCCTGATGTTGGAGCTGGATCCAGAGATTCTTAAAACTTTTTCCAGGACAATTTTTTTGTTTTGTTTGTTTTGTTTTGTTTTTAGAGCCAGGGTCTTGCTCTGTCACCTAGGCTGGAGTGCAATGGCACGGTCGTAGCCCACTATAACCTCCAACTCCTGAGCTTAAGCTATCCTCCCAGCTAATTTTTATTTTTTGTAGATTGGGTCTCCCTATGTTGCCCAGGCTGGTCTTGAGCTCCTGGCTTCAAGTAATAATCCTACCTTGGCCTTTCAAAGTGCTGGGATTACAGGCATAAGCAACTGTGCTTGGCCTGCAAATGACAAATGTAAGAATAAAGACTTCCCTTATTTCATCCCAGAATTATGCTGAATTGGGAGTTAATTGCTTTTCAGTAGTTAATAGGTCATATAGACAAAAGGAATCTTTTTTACTCTATTGACCATATATGCAATATAGAAATTGAAACTAGATGGTGACATCGGTAGGGAGAGGAAAGGATGGTGGTGAGGTGAGAGTGGGACATTGTGTGGAGATGATAGACTAGATATCATTCAGCAGCTAGGCAAGCACAGAGACACAGAGCTAGATTAGATTCTAAGCAATTTACAAAATACAAAAATCTATAGTTCAAAAGAAATATGCTTAAAACGAAACAATAAAGGAAGCTAAATGAAAAATAAAAATAAACTTATTAGGCAAATATGAACCAAAATAAAGCCAAAGTATCAATCTTGTAGCAGATGACAAAGACTTTCAAGTGAAAAACATTATAAAAACAATAGCAATTTAATATATTATTTAAAAATCATATTTTTTAACTGCGTGTCATTTGATCCAAAGAGAAGCAATTAACAAAAGTATAGTGAAAATAAACTGTGTAGAAATTGAAATACATTTTTTAAATGTTTTAATGTATTTCTCTCTTTTATTAATTGCATGAAATTGCTGTCATTTAATTACAAGTATGAAGGCAGACTTAACCTGTGATAAAGACCATGTGATTAAAAATTTATGTCATCATTAAAAGACATATTAGTAAATCAGCCTCATATTGGCATTCAATATAATGTCATCTTTAAAAAATCAATATTTACATAGGTATACACGTGCCATGGTGGTTTGCTGCACCCATCAACCTGTCACCTACATTAGTTATTTCTCCTAATGTTATCCCACCCCTAGTACCCCAGAACTTAAAGTATAATAAAACTTAAAAAAAATTTTTAAAAAGCGTGGGAGAAAACCTATTCGAAGATGTAAAAAATGTCCAACAAAAATTAAAGATGTAAATGAATGAACAAATACACCATGTAGATGAATTAAAAGACTCAATACCATCAACATTAAAAAAAATCAGTATTTATCAATTGCCTCCCAGGTGAAAAATACTAAGGAAGACGGTATTCAAATTTTAATACCTTTTAATGGTACTTTGCAATACTAAAATAACAGCTATTTTCTAAAGTGTTTTAATATGCAGTTTTAAAAATGTGTTTCTTACAAAGGCTTTGTTTGAACAGTGTGTCTCAGATGCAAATACAGATCAGTAGCAATATGAAAAACATAAAATATATTGTTGTAAATCTCCTGTGGTGAACACAGTCTAGAGTAAAGAATAAGTTACTTTTGGATGGCAAAGGTGGTAGGCTAACACTACCTCGATTGTATTTTGTAAGAGAAGACTCTGTTTTAGCAGATTAGAGGGTGAGATTATCCTGCTGGCCACGAAGAAGCAAACAGCCACGTTGCGCATGTCTATTGAGAGGGACATGTGATAGTAAATGGCTGGCAGCCCTTAGGACCTAAGTGTTGCACTCAGCCAACATCCAGCAACAAAATGGGGACTCAATTCTTCTAACTACAAGCAGATGAATTCTGCCTAACAGCTTGTGGGAGCTTAGCAGAGAACTTATCCACAGTCAAAACTCCGGTAAAACCACCAACTAACTTTAGTCTGGCGCGGTGGCTCACTCCTGTAATCCCAGCACTTTGGGGGGCCGAGGCGGGCGGATCACGAGGTCAGGAGATCGAGACCATCCTGGCTAACACGGTGAAACCCCGTCTCTACTAAACACACACACACACACACACACACACACACACACACACACACACACACACACACACACACACACACACTCTATCCGGGCGTGGTGGCGGGCGCCTGTAGTCCCAGCTACTCGGGAGCCTGAGGCAGGAGAATGGCGTGAACCCGGGAGGCGGAGCTTGCAGTGAGCCGAGATCGCGCCACTGCACTCCAGCCTGGGCGACAGAGTGAGACTCCGTCTCAAAACAAAAACCACCAACTGACAGACATCTTCTTGCAGCCTTGTAAGACCTTTAGCATAGTATTACAAGCTAAGCTGTGCCCAGACTCATCACAGAAACTTTCAAATAATAGTTGTTTTAATCCTCTACATGTGTAGTCATTTGTTTTGCAACAATGTAAAACTAATACAGATACCTGGGTTTATATTGTGCAGGATGAAAGTTACCCATAGCCTAAGAAGTAATTCTCATGATTTCTGGAGGTATGTGAAACACTGAAACATTTATTAGGTATGACTCGATAAGTTCAGGACACCTTAGGACACCAGCCTGAAAAGTCTGAATGTCATGGACAGAGACTGTGGTTATGACTCAGCATACCACAACCTGTAAGCATGATGTGAATTTGAGCACATTTATTGGCCATGTTAAAATGAATGCCTTGAGAGTAAGATTCCAAATAAATTTGACAAAAATAACTCAATTAATGATTTTCATTAAGTTTTTCACTTTCTGTTATTACAAGCCTAAGAAATTATTAAATGCTGTTACCACACAAATAACACGTGCAGAGAATATAAAAATTAACAGATCTAAACTCGTACCTGCTAATAGAAAACATAAAAACAGTGATGCAAATATAATGAAATTTAAGCATTACACAATCAGCTCAGGAACATAAAATAGACAAAAATGCAATTTAAATATTTGAACAACATAATTAATAAAATTAGCATGAAGTGACAGCAGGCAATTGGCTTTACCTTCTCTTTTTTTTAGTAGCTTTTTACAAACATTAATAGATTATTTCTTGGAGCAGTTTTAGTTTTACAGAAAAATTGAGCAGAAAATACAGAGTTCCCAAATAACCACTCTTCCCCCAACTTCATGGTTTCCACTATTATTAAATATTCCATGAGTATGGTGCACGTGTTACACTTGTTATTGATAATTAAATTAATCCAATATTGATAAATTATTACTAACAAAATTCTATCATTTACATTAAGATGCGCTGTATATATTTTACATTCTATTAGTTTTTGCAGATATATGATGTCATGTTTCTGCCATTGCAGTATCCTAAAGAATGGTTTCACTGCCCTAAAAATTCTCTGTTCTACTTATTCTCGCAGAACTGTGGCCACCACCAAACTTTTCACTGACTCCATAGCTTTTCCTTTTCCAGACTATCTCATACCTATAATCATAAAGTATGTAAATTTTTAAACTGTCTTCTTTCACTTAGCAATATGAATTAAACGTTCCTTCTGGTCTTTTTGTAGCTTCCTATCTCATTTTTTTAATCCTTCAATAATATTCCATTGAGTGGATGTATCACTGTTTGTTTATCCATTCATCTACTGAATGACATTTTGTTTGCTTTTGAGTTTTAGCAGTTAGAAAAAAGCTGTTACAAACATTTGCATGCATGATTTATGTGGACATTAATTTTCAAGTTATTTGGTTATATTCCTGGGAGCAGGATTTCTGGGTCATATGGTAAGAATTTATTTAGTTTTATAAGAAACTCTTTCCAAGTGGCTATACTATTCTGTATTCCCACCAAAAATGAATGAGAGTTCCTGTTGCTCCACATACTCTCCAGCAGTTGTCATTATTGCTGTTATTTATTTTAGCCATTCTAATAGATGTATAGTGCTTTCTCATTGTTTTTATTTGCAATCCCATGATGACATCTCAAGTTGAGCATATTGTCATAGATTTATTTGCCATCTGTATATCTTCTTTGGTGACATACCTGATCAGATCATCTGCCCAATTTTTTTTAAAGTTTTTGCTTTCTTATTGTTGAATGTTAAAAATTACAGACCTGTAGCAGAGGGTCCTGACTGATAGAAGGAAAAATAATGAACAGAAAGGAACAGAATCAACATCAACAAAAAGGACATCCACACAGAAACCCCATTCGAAGATCACCAACATCAAAGACCAAAGGTAGATAAATCCACGAAGATGAGGAAAAAACATTGAAAAAGGCTGAGAATTCCAAAAACCAGAATGCTTCTTCTCCTCCAAAGGATCACAACTCCTCACCAGCAAGGGAACAAAACTGGATGGAGAATGAGTTTGATGAATTGATAGAAGTAGGCTTTAGAAGGTGGGTAATAACAAACTCCTCTGAGCTAAAGGAGCATGTTCTAACCCAAAGGAAGGAAGCTAAGAGCTTTGAAAAAAGGTTAGAGGAATTCCTAACTAGAATAATCATTTTAGAGAAGAACATAAATGACCTGATGGAGCTGAAAAACACAGCACAAGAACTTTGTGAAGCATACACAAGTATCAATAGCCAAATTGAACAAGTGGAAGAAAGGATATCAGAGATTGAAGATCAACTTAATGAAATAAAGTGTGAAGACAAGATGTGAGAAAAAAGAATGAAAAGGAATGAACAAAGCCTCCAAGAAATATGGGACTATGTGAAAAGACCAACCTATGTTTGATTGGTGAACCTGAAAGTGATGGGAAGAAAGGAACCAAGTTGGAAAACGCTCTTCAGGATATTATCCAGGAAAACTTCCCCAACCTAGTGAGACAGGACAACATTAAAATTCAGGAAATGAACAGAACACCACAAAGATACTCCTCAAGAACAGCAACACCAAAACACATAATCATCAGATTCACCAAGGTTGAAATGAAGGAAAAAATGTTAAGGGCAGCCAGAGAGAAAGGTCGAGTTACCCACAAAGGGAAGCCCATCAGACTAACAGTGGATCTCTCTGCAGAAACCCTACAAGCCAGAAGAGAGTGGGGACCAATATTAAACATTCTTAAAGAAAAGAATTTTCAACCCAGAATTTCATATCCCACCAAACTAAGTTTCATAAGCAAAGGAGAAATAAAATCCTTTACAGACAAGCAAATGCTGAGAGATTTTGTCACCACCAGGCCTGCTGTACAAAAAATCCTGAAGGAAGCACTAAATACGGAAAGGAAAAACAAGTACCAGCCACAGCGAAAACATACCAAATTGTAAAGACCATCGACACTATGAAGAAACTGCATCAAATAACAGGCAAAATAACTAGCTAGCATCATAATGACAGGATTAATTCACACAGAAAAATATTAACCTTAAATGTAAACAGGCTAAATGCCCCAATTGAAAGACACAGACAGGCAAGTTGGATAGAGTGAAGACCCATTGGCGTGCTGTATTCAGGAGACCCATCTCATGTGCAAAGACACACATAGGCTCAAAATAAAGGGATGGAGGAATTTTTACCAAACAAATGAAAAAAAAAAAAAAGCAGGGGTTCCAATCCTAGTATCTGATAAAACAGACTTTAAAACATTAAAACAACAAAGATCAAAATATACAAAGAAGGCCATTACATAATAGTAAAGGGATCAATGCAACAAATGAGCTAACTATTCTAAATATGTATGCACCCAATACAGGAGCACCCAGATGCATAAAGCAAATTCTTAGAGACCTACAAAGAGACTTAGACTCCCACACAATAATAGTGGGAGACTTTAACACCCCACTGTCAATATTAGACAGATCAACAAGACAGAAAATTAACACGTATATTCAGGATTTGTACTCACCTCTGGACAAGCGGACCTAACAGACATCCAGAGAAATCTCCACCTAAAATCAACAGAATATACATTCTTCTCAGCACCACATCACACTTACTATAAAATTGACCACATAATTGGAAGTAAAACACTCCTCAGCAAATGCAAAAAAAAAAATGGAAATCATAACAGTCTCTCAGACCACAGTGCAATCAAATTAGAACTCAGGATTAAGAAACTCACTAACAACTGCACAACTATGTGGAAACTGCACAACCTGCTCCTGAATGACTACTGGGTGAATAATAAAATTAAAGCAGAAATAAATAAGTTATTTGAAACCAATGAGAACGAAGACACAATGTACCAGCATGTTTGTGACACAGCTAAAACAGTGTTTGGAGGGAAATTTATACCACTAAATGCCCACAGGAGAAAGTGGGAGGGATCTAAAATTGATACCCTAACATCATAATTAAAATAATTAGAGAAGCAAGAACAAATAAATTCAAAAGGTAGCAGAAGTCAAGAAATACTAAGATCAGAGCAGAACTGAAGGAGATAAAGATATGAAAATCCTTTCAAAAAATCAATAAATCCAGGAGCAGTTTTTTTGAAGATTAATAAAATAGATAGAACTCTAGCCAGACTAATGAAGAAGAAAATAGAAAAGAATCAAATAGACACAATAAAAATGATAAAGGGGATATCACCACTGATCCCACAGAAATACAAACTACCTCTACATCAGAGAATACTATAAACACCTCTACACAAATAAACTAGAAAATCTAGAATAAATTGATAAATTCCTAAACACATATACACCCCGCCAAGACTAAACCAGGAAGAAGTCGAATCCCTGAACAGACCAATAACAAGTTCTGAAATTGAGGCAGTAATTATTAGCCTACCAAACAAAAAAATCCCAGGACCAGATGGATTCACAGCCGAATTCTACCAGAGGTAAAAAGAATAGCTGGTACCATTACTTCTGAAACTATTCCAAACAACAGAAAAAGAGGGACTCCTCCCTAACTCATTTCATGAGGCCAGCATCATCCTGATAATAAACCTGGCAGAGACGCAACAACAACAACGAAAAACAAAATTTCAGGCCAATACCCTCATGAACATCGATGCAAAAATCCTTAATAAAATACTAGCAAACCGAATCCAGCAGCACATCAAAAAGCTAATCCAACATGACCAAGTTGGCTTCATCCCTGGGATGCAAGCCTGGTTCAACAAATGCAAATCAATAAAAGTAATCCCTCACATAAACAGAACCAATGACAAAAACCACATGATTATCTCAATAGATGCAGAAAAGGCCTTTGATGAAATTCAAAACCCCTTCATACTCTCAATAAACTAGGTATTGATGGAACGTATCTCAAAATGATAACAACTATTTATGACAAACCCACAGCCAGTTTAATACTGAGTGGGCAAAAGCTGGAAGCATTTCCCTTTGAAAATTGGAAGAAGACAAGGATGCCCTCTCTCACCACTCCTATTCAACATAGTATTGGAAGTTCTGGCCAGGGTAATCAGGCAAGAGAAAGAAATACAGGGTATTCAAATAGGAAGAGAGGAAGTCAAATTGTCTCTGTTTCCAGATGACATGATTGTATATTTAGAAAACCCCATTGTCTCAGCCCCAAATCTACTTGAGCTGATAAGCAACTTCAGCAAAGTCTCAGGATACAAAATCAACATACAAAAATCACAAGAATTCCTATAGGCCAATAATAGACAAACAGAGAGCCAAATCATGAGTGAACTCTCATTCACAGTTGCTACAAATAGAATAAAATACCTAGGTATCCTACTTACAAGGGATGTGAAGGACCTCTTCGAGGAGAACTACAAACCACTGCTCAAGGAAATAATAGAGGACACAAACAAATGGAAAGACATTTCATGCTCTTGGGTAGAAAGAATCAATATCGTGAAAATGGACATACTGCCCAAAGTAATTTATAGATTCAATGCTATCCCCATAAAGCTGCCATTGTCTTTCTTCACAGAATTAGAAAAATCTGCTTTTAATTTCATATGGAACCAAAAAGGAGCCTGCATAGCCAAGACAATCCTAAGCAAGAAGAACAAAGCTGGAGGCATCATGCTACCTGACTTCAAACTATACTACAAGGCTATAGTAACCAAAACAGCATGGTACTGGTACCAAAACATATATATATAGACCGATGGAAGAGAATGGAGGATTCAGAAATAATGTCACACATCTAGAACCATTTGATCTTTGACAAACCTGACAAAAACAAGCAATCGGGAAAGGATTACTTATTTAATAAATGCTATTGGGAAAATTGGCTAGCCATATGCAGAAAACAGAAACTGGACCTCTTCCTTGCACTTTATACAAAAATTAACTCAAGATGGATTAAAGACTTAAATGTAAGACCTAAAACCATAAAAACTCTAGAAGAAAACCTAGGCAATACCAATTAGAACATAGGCATGGACAAAGACTTCATGACTAAAACACCAAAAGCAATGGCAACAAAAGCCAAAATTGACAAATGGGATCTAATTAAACTAAAGAGCATATGCACAGCAAAAGAAACTATCATCAGCATAAACAGGCAACCTACAGAATGGGAGAAAATTTTTGCAATCTATCCATCTGTCAAAGAGCTAATATCCAGAATCTACAGGGACCTTAAATAATTTTACAAGAAAAAAACAAACCCATCAAAAAGTGAGTGAAGGATATGAACAGATACTTCTCAAACGAAGACATTTATGTGGCCAATAATCATACGAAAAAAAGCTCATCATCACTGGTCATTAGAGAAATGCAAATCAAAACCACAATGAGATACTGTCTCACACCAGTTAGAATGGTGATCATTAAAAAGTCAGGAAACAACAGATGCTGGAGAGGATGTGAAGAAATAGGAACACTTTTACACTCTCAGTGGGAGTGTAAATTAGTTCAACCGTTGTTGAAGACAGTGTGGTGATTACTCAAGGATCTAGGACTAGAAATATCATTTGACCCAGCAATCCCATTACTGGGTATATACCCAAAGTATTATAAATCATTCTACTATAAAGACACATGCACATGTATGTTTATTGCAGCACTATTCACAATAGCAAAGACTTGGAACGAACCCAAACGCCCATCAATGATAGGCTGCATAAAGAAAATGTGGCACATATACATCATAGAATACTATCCAGCCATAAAAACGGATGAGTTTATGTCCTTTGCAGCAACATGGATGAAGCCGGAACCTATTATTGTCAGCAAACTAACACAGGAACAGAAAATCAAACACCGTATGTTCTCACTCATAAGTGATAGTTGAACAATGAGAACACATGAACACAGGGAAGGGAACATCACACACTGGGGTCTGTCACGGGGTGGGGAGCTAGAGGAGGGATAGCATTAGGAGAAATACCTAATGGAGATGACGGGTTGATGGGTGCAGCAAACCACCATAGCACGTGCATACCTATGTAACAAAACTGCACGTTCTGCATATGTATCCCAGAACTTAAAGTATAATAAAAAAAGTTCAAGTATTTTATATACAAGTCCTCTATCAGATAGGAGATTGGCAGATAATTTTTTTTTTCATTTAATAGCTTGTCTTTACAATGTCTTTCACAGAAAGATTGTTTTTAAATTTACTGAACTCCAACTTATCAACAGTTTCTGCAATAGACTATGCATTTGTCATTGCATCTAAAAACTCATCAGCAAATCCAAGATTATCTAGGTTTTCTATGTTATCTTGTAGATATTTTATAATTTTGTATTTTATATTTGATCTATGATCCATTTTGAGTTTATTTATTGTTAAAGGTGTAAGTTTCATGTCTATATTCCTTTTCTTACATGAGGATGTCCGATTGTTCCAACAACATTTGTGGAAAAGTCTATCCTTTCTCCATTGAATTGCCTTTGCTACCTTATCAAAAATCACTTGTCTATATTTGTGTGGGCCTAGTTAGGCACTTTCTATTATTAACTTATTTTTAAGTGTCCTTGAAAAACTTGTAAACACTGATTATATGTCATGAAAAACAGGTACATCAACCAAGTGAATGTATAATCATATTAAAAATTTTTAAAAATTTAAAAATTATTAATTCTGTTGTTTAGGTGAAGATGACACCAAGAAAAAAAACCCTAGTACCCTAATAATATATAATTTAAAGTCATTTGCTTCATATTATTAAATAATAACTATTGTGAAGATTCTAATGATCCTGAAAAAAGTCGGTAAATTTAACAGAAATTTTTAAACAACTATATTTAAATTTGAAAAACAAAACAAAACAAAAACATTGACCTGATTTCTATTTGGAACATATTAAACCTATATATTTATTTGAAGAAAATTTATGTTGATATTATTCAGTATTATATGTTTTCTTCTGAGGACCAGAGTAATTCTTTCTGATCCTATCTGTTACATGGTTTGAAACCATTTAATAAAATTATTAAGCTTTGAACATATAATTTCAGTATTGTCAATAAACTCTTCATTCTTTTATGATATGCTTCTATGGCACATTTTCCAATAATCTGTTCTAAATTGTTTCTAGTAAACAGGAAAGTTATTGAACTGTGTATAAAAAGTTTGTATTTGTGTGATTATTTTCCATTTGTTTTTTGAGGAAATATTTCTTCACTGACCATAAGATTTTATGAGAATATTTTTTTTCTGTCTTCTTATTTTCAACCCTTGAAATTGCCCATCTATGAAAAGCATGAAATCCTCCCTGAATAAGGTTAAAGGGAGCTTATTAATTTTCAATTATACTAATGGCTTTCCATAATATTGTGGATAATTGAAGGCTGACCTGTGACTAGGCAGTGATCTGCTTATTCTTTGTGGTCTATTTTCAACCTACTTCCAAAATGGATTTGAAGTAATTTACTACACACAAGACATAGAATAAAACTATTAAAATAAACTATTTGAAGACATAATTGAGAGGGTAAAATAATTCGGTTAAAAGTTAAAAAAAAAACTGTGTATGATTAGATAATATAATAGGCAACTTTAATGTTTGACTAATTGTGAAAATGATACAATGAAAAGTATTGTTTTCTGATAAATTAATCTCTTAGGATGTATTAATTAACATATAAAATGTATAGAGAATAAGATATGCTTCAAATGGGAATTGTTGCGTATTTATTATTCTTTGATTTACGTATATACTTTATCTCCAAATTAAACATGACTGATTCAGAGGTATAATTATTATGACCCTCAAGATGGTAGATTCCTTTATCCTGTTATTTTAAAGGCTCAAAAAATATGCAAATCTATGAATAATAACAAAGGTGGTAGATGCAGAAACACCAGTAATATCTTCTCATAGCACTAATGATAGCAAGAGAATATACAGGTTAAATTGAAGAAGCTCTAGAGCAGTGGTGTTCCATCTTTTCGCTTTCCTGGGCCACATTGGAGAAGAATTGTCTTGGGTCACACATAAAATACACTAATACTAATGATAGCTGATGAGCTTAACAATTTTTATGCAAAATAATCTCATAATATTTTAAGAAAATTTATGAATTTTTTTTAGGCTGTATTCAAAGCCGTCCTGGGACGCACGCCGCCCATGGGCTGCAGGTGGGACAAGTTTGCTATGGAGAATATTCAGTGATAATATCTATTTTTTTCATAGATGAAATGACTGTCAATTAAAAATAATATAGCATTTTTAATTTAAAATAATTGTTTTTTTCTTTTTGAAATGCAAGCAATAATAAATATGTGTGAAATTCAAAGAAAATAATTTTAAATTATTATTTAATGTTAACAAAATATATATATTCTTGGAAACATTGTAAGAAGGAATTAAAGAAAGCATATATCCATCCTGAGCAAAAAATAAAAAAAATTGGAGGAATCACATTACTTGACTTCAAATTATACTGCAAATCTGTAGTAACCAAACCAGCATGGATTTCCATAAAAAAAAACACACAGAGCAGTGAAACAGAATGGAGAGCCCAGAAATAAATCCACATACCTACAGTGAATCATTTTTGACAAAAGTACCAAGAGCATACATTGTAGAATAGACAATCTCTTCAATAAATGGTGCTGAGAAAACTAGATATCTATATGCAGAGAACGAAACTAGATCCCTATCTCTTGCCATATACAAAAATCAAAATTGATTAAAGACTTAAATGTAAGATCTCAAACTATGAAATGACTAAAAGAAAACATCGGGGAAAATTTCCAGGACATTGGACTTCTTGGGTCCAATGTCCTGGAATTTCTGGCCAAATATTTCTTTTATCAGTACCCCACAATCACAGGCAAACAAAGGAAAAATGGACAAATGGGATTAGTTCAAGTTAAAAAGCTTCTTCACACCAAAGAAAATGATCAACAAAGTGAAGAGACCATCTACACAATGGGAGAAAATAATTGCAAACTACCCAACTGACAAGAGATTAATAACCAGAATATATAAGGAATCAAACAACTTGACAGGAAACAATAAAATAATCTGATTTAAAAATGGACTAAAGATCTGACGATATTTTTCAAAAGAAGATATACAAATGGACAAGAACATATGTGAAAAATGCTCAACATCATTAATCGTCAGAGAAATACAGATCAAAGCTACAATGAGATGTCATCTCTCCCCACTTAAAATGGCTTTCAGCTAAAAGACAAACAATAATGAAAGCTGGCAAGGATGTGGAGAAAGTGGAACACTTGTACACTGCTGGTGGGAATGTAAATTAGTGCAGCTACTGTGGAGAACAGTATAAAAGTCCTCAAAAACTAAATATAGAACACTATATGATCCAGCAATCCACTACTAGGTATTTATCCAAAAGAAACAATGTCAGCATATCAAAGAGATGTCTGCACTCCCATGTTTATTGCAGAAATATTCACAATAGCCAAGATTTGAAATCAATCTAAGTGTTCATCAGTGGATTAATAAAAAAAGAAAATGTGGTACATATACACAATGGAATAATATTCATCCACGTAAAAGAATGAAATCCCATCATTTGCAGCAACATAGACGGAACTGGAGGGCATTAAGATCGCTAAAAGAAGCCAGGCATAGAAAGGCAAATTTCTGTTGTGAGAAATGAGAAATTTGTGAGAGCTAAAAATTAATGTATATTAATATACCTTAATTTACATAGTAATATATTTGTGACAGCTAAAAATTAAAACAATAGATTCATAGAAATAGAGAAAAGAATGATGATTACCAGAGGCTAAAAAGGGTAGTGAGTAGTGGGGAAAAATGGAAATAGCTCATGAGTGCAAAAATAGAGTTAAATAGAATGAATAAGATCTAGTATTTGATAGCACAGCGAAGTGATTATAGTCAACAATCATTTCTTGGTATACTTAAAAATAACTAAGAATCTGGAATCAAAATGTTTCCAAGACAAATAAATGATAAATGTTTGAGGTGATGGATACCCCGATTACTGTGATGTGATTATTAAACATCATATGCCTGTATAAAAACATCACATGTAGCCCATGAAAATGTGTACCCCTTCTGTACCTATAATAATTAAAAATAAAAAATTGAGAAAAAGAAATATACACTGATATTCAGAAAAAGGCATTTGTAGAATTTTTAAAATTCGTATCTACATATGTGTTATAAAGTTACATATAGACAAAACATTACTTCAAAATACATATATGTTACTATTTGCATATTATTTACTCTTAATGTATATGTTAATTAACCTAAATTTTGCGACGGTTTTTAAAGAAATCTTCCTTTCACTTTCCAAAACGTCTTTTGGAGCATTCCGTTATCAGTATTCCATGTCATTCAAAATATGGTCATCTTACAGAAATAGCCAATGTCATTTAGGAATCAGTGTTGCATCTTGTAAACCTACTGAGATATACAGAATGTGAATTTAATATTTGATGGAGAAGTTCTGAGCATGTTTGACCAATCACAATTAATATTCCCACTCTGGCTCACTCATCTACAACTGTCGTAGGTATATTTCTCTAACAATGGATCTTCTCAAATTACCAAAGAATTTCTCATATATATATATATATATACACACACATATATATGTGTATGAGCATATATACACACACACACACACACACACACACACACACCCTTCGGTCTTCCTATGTCTCTGTCTCTGTCTTTCTCTGTGACTCTCTTCTCTCTCTCTCCCTCTCTCAGACACACACGTATACACACAGACACACAGGCACACTCTCATTCGTGTTCTTTCTCTATGCCGTTATCCTGGAAGAAATATGTCCAAATCAAGGTAAAACTACAGTAAATAAGTAATGAATGGTGGTCTTTCAGTAATAAATGCTATACCTCCTAAAAATACAAATTACCCTGCTGAAGTAAGATCTTTATCAATAACATTCATAAATAAATGTCATTTGTTTGGGGATATATAAAAGATTGCATAGGAACATTTAAAAACTTTTTATTGTCAATGTCAACGATAGTAGACAGAAAACAACAGCAATATCCATGTCTGGAAAGTAATTGAATTGATTACTTATAAACATGTTTGATATCCAATAATACAGATGTGGATGCCAGATATTAGATCGTGGGGACTAACAGGGAAACTCCCTTTCTAGTCTTGTACTGATTTATTTTGGATGCAAGGGATTTGGTTCTTAAATAATAATTTGAACATTCAGGAACTTAACTGCCCTTCAAGAACGTTTCAAACATATTTTGAATGTCAGAGTTGACTGGAGATACTTTCTGGCAGATCAACCAAAAAATTTGAAATTAAATCAACTAATTTAATTTCAAATAATTGAAATTAATTAATTAATTTATTTATTTATTTTTTGTCACCAGGCTGGAATGCAGTGGCACAATCTCAGCTCACTGCAACCTCTGCCTCCTGGATTCAAGTGATTCTTCTGCCTCAGCCACCCGAGTAGCTGGGACTATGGGTGCACACCACCACGCCCAGCTAATTTTTGTATTTTTTTTTTTTCATTAGAGATAGGGTTTCACCGAGTTGGCCGGGATTGTCTCAATCTCTTGATTTCGTGATCCACCTGCCTCAGCTTTCCAAAGTGCTGGGAATACAAGCGTGAGCCCCCACGCCTGTCCTAAATTTCCTAAAGAAGAAGACAATTATTGTTTGTAGGATTAGAAAATACAATAAATATATTCTAAATAACATAATGTTATGTGGCATATAGTGCTAAAAAGCTAAAAAGTTGACAGTTGATCATAAATAAATGTCTAATAACTGACATTTCAATTAGGATAATATTTAATGTCTCAAGTATAATATAAAACTAATATATCTGACATGAGTGTTTCTGCTTATTATAGAAGTTTACAAACTCTTACCAAATTAATGCATATTAGCATACAAGCACAATTTTGCTTACAAATTAATGGAAAATATCATTTACCATAAATATCATTCCTTGTCCACTATATTTAGAGTTTAAAATGCATGTTGAGGTCTATGATTATACAAGCTTGCAAAGAATGAACAATTATTTATCTTTCATAATATGTGCTTAAAATATCTTGTTAGATTTATGTTTCTATCATAGTATTTCTGCTATTAATAATGGTAAAATAGTGCCAGATGACATGACTCATGTCTATAATCTCAGTGCTTTGGGAGGCTAAGTCAGGAGGATCAGTTAAAGCCAGGAGTGCGAGATCAGCTTGGTTAACTAAGCAAACCCCTCACATTGTTTTTGTTAATTAGCTAGACATAGTGGCACACACCAGTAGTCCCAGCTCCTTGAGAGGCTGAGATGGGAGGATAGCTTGAGGTCAGAATTTGGAGGTCATAGTAAGCTATAATCTAACCACTGAACTCCAGCCTGGGTGACAGAGTGAGACCCTGTCTTTAAAAAAATAATGATAAAAGTATAAAATAAAATTTAAACATTGACATTCAATAATTATATATTTTGGTATATAATATAGGGTCAATTATACATTTTGGTATATAATATAGGGTAAAATGCCATTATATATAATGGCATATAATATAGGGTCAAAGGGTGAGAAACATTTGGGTTTAGAAGCAAATATGGTCAGTAGATTGACATTTTGGGTCCCGCACTTTGCTTTAGCATTAGGAATTAATATTCTTTCAATCTGGTTTACATGTCCCTATTTGTCTAAAATTCTAATATCCCCTACTATCTTACATTTGGCCATATTTCACTTATTTCACATATTTCTTTATAGGCATATGATTTCCCTAAAACACATTGTTTTTAATGATCTCTCACTATCATCTGCTTTGAATTCCCACCTCATCTTTCATGGAGGTAGAAGGTACATAATATCATGAGCCAAATTGCATTAGATAATAATCCTTGGTGGATAATTCAGTCACTCACATAAAATAATGTTTATTTTTAAATTTAAGAAGATAATATTAGAAAAATTAATGGAGTAACATTATAGAAGTTCACTTAACTTTAATGTACTCCAAATAAGCTCAGTTGATAGAATTGTCTCGTCAAACTCATCAATCTGTTGTCTTTCTTCTTCTAGCCCCAGAAACTATAAGTTCTTCTTACTTTATTAAAACAGTATTAAAACTAATCTCTTTGTCTCTCTCTAAGCTCAATTATCCCATTCTCATGGAACTGTAATATTCATAAAACAATCAAGATCTTTTGTCCCTAAAAAATGACTATTTACATGAAAACTTTTAAATATGTACAATTGTGTGTCAATTATAAACAAAATGTTTAAAAGTATTCTAAATCAAAGTGCTCACTGCAATATTATCAATGGTACTGAGTTAAATTTGATTAAAATGACTAATAAAATCATTTTATATAATTACTACTTTTCAGCCACTAACATAGCAACTATGACAACTACAGAAATATCAAAATCTTAGTATTTTAAAAATATGTATAAAAATCAGGCACATGAAAAATTTTGTATAGGTAATTGTAATGGTAGAGTAAAGCAGAGTTAACTTTTAATCACATTGAGAATAAGATAATACACAGAGTTGTGAAATTATTGGTACTTATTAAACAGGATCTGTTGGACTTAAAGATAATGAGGTTCTTTATTTTACAACTATTTATTGTAACTGAATTTTAGATTCAGAGGAAGACTTTTATGATACATATTAATAATAGTTGTACATAAGGGGTACATGTGATATTTTGATACATGCATACAATGTGTAATAATCAAATCAAGGTAATTGGAATATCTACCACTTCAAACATTCATCTTTTCTTTATGTTGAGAATATTCCAATACTTTTCTTCTGCCTATCTGGAAGTATACAATACATTATTGTTAATTATTATCTTTCTACTGTACTTTTAAACACTATAACATATTCCTCCAATCTAACTTTATTTTTATACCCATTAACCAACCTCTCTTCAACCCCTATCTCTCCTATCTTTCTCGGTCTCTGGTGACCATGAATCAACTCTCTACTTCCATGAGATCCACTTTTTTGGCTCCCATATATGAGTGAGAACATGTAGTATTTGTCTTTCCGTGCTTGGCTTATTTCACTTAACATAATGATCTCCAGTTCCAACCATATTGCTGCAAGTGACTGGATTTTATTATTTTGTCTGGCTTCATTGTTTATATATACCACATTTTCTTTATTCATGCAACCATTGATTGCCACTTAGGATGATTCCATATATTGACAACTGTGAATGTTACTGCAGTGAACATGAGAATGCAGATAGCTCTTCAATATACCAATTTCTTTTCTTTTGGCTCTATAACCAGCAATGGGATTACTGAATCCTATGATCATTCCATTTTTAGCTTTTTGAGAAAACTCCACACTGTTTTCCATAATGGCTTTACTACTATACATTCCAACCAATAGAGTATAAGTGCTCTCTTTTCTCTGCCTCTTTCTCAGAAGCTTGTGATTTTTTTTGTCTTTTTCATTGAAGGCATTTTAACTGGAGTGAGATACTCCTTATGGTTTTGATTTGCATTTTTCTGATGATTAGTAATGTTGAGCATTCTTTCATATACCTACTGACCATTTTATGTCTTTTTTTGAGAAATATTTGTTTAGATCTTGGACCCATTTTAAAATTGGATTATTTGTTTCTTTGTTTTGTTTTGTTTTTGGTGTTTTTTTTTTTTTTTTTGTGGTTGTTGAGTCCCTTATATTCTTAATCCTTTCCAGGGTGGATAGTTTGCAAATATTTTCTCCCATTCTTTAGGTTGTCCCTTCACTATCTTGAGTACTCCCTTTGCTGTGTAGATTTTTAGCTTTATGTAATCCTGTCTGTCTTTCTTGGCTTTTGTTGCCTCTGCTTCTGAAATCTTACCCAAGAAGTCTGCACAGACCAGTATCCTCAATTGTTACCTCAGTGTTGCCGTTGTTTCTTTTAAAGTAGTTTCTTAGTTTCAGGCCTTAGATTTAAGTCTTTAATGCATTTTGATTGTTCCATGTGGTGAGAGCTTTATTCTTCTGGATATGGATATTCAGGTTTCCCAGCATCATTTTTGAGAAGACTGTGCTTTCCCCAGTGTATGCCCTTGGAGCCTGGCTTCTTTTCCTCTTGTAAATTGTGTAGCGTTCAAAGAAAAAAAATATTTATTCATTAAAATAAGGAAATGATTAGAAATAGCGTTTTTGTCAATAATAACTAGATAACATGGGCAATAGTAAGAATATGTGATTTTAAAAACATCGTTGTTGTAGCTGCAGTGAATGACTCTAACATGCAGAATCCAAAACCACCACTGACCATCATATCAGCCTATAAAATAGGATATTAAATTTTCCTTTTAAATTTCCTTTTATTTTCCCTCCATTTGTAAAGAGTTGTTATTTTTAAGTATAAGACGTACAACTTTTATTAATTTGATCACTAGGAATTTTTAAAGAACAGGACACTTCTGTTACTGCTTTAAATTACTTGTTATTCCTGCTAAGAATAAAAAGATAGGCTGGGCGCCGTGGCTTAAGCCTGTAATTCCAGCACTTTGGGAGGCCGAGGCGGGCGGATCACAAGGTCAGGAGATGCAGATCATCCTGACTAACACGGTGAAACCCCGTCTCTACTAAAAATACAAAAAATTAGCTGGGCGTGGCGGCGTGCGCCTGTAGTCCCAGCTACTCCTGAGGCGGAGGCAGGAGAATGGCGTGAACCCGGGAAAGGGAGCTTGCAGTGAGCCAAGGTCGCGCCACTGCACTCCAGCCTGGGCGACAGAGCGAGACTCTGTCTCAAAATAAATAAATAAATAAATAAATAAATAAATAAGTAAATAGATTAAAATGTGTTATCAAATAAATATAGTTTGAATATTCTATATTTTAATATGTTTGTGAGTTTGATATAAAACATTACAAATTGTTTAATTCTGCTAACCTGATAGACAAAATCTGAAAACAGTTTATGTTAATTTTAATTTAATACAGATACTAAAGTTTACTATCACTCATACAGAACACTTTTATGTACTGATAAAATTGATAGCTGGATGTACATATGGTTTTTTAGTCATGTTACTGAATTAAAATTTACATATAGCAAAATAAATCATTAATTCCATCTAGTTCTCTGGATTTTGACAAATGCTTTGTGGAAAAACGATCATGATATATCTTTCCAATACCACAAAAAGTTCCCCAATGCCCCTTTGTGTTACATCACTTCCCTGAGCCTGTGTACCAACAGCAATTGATACATTTCTTGCCTCAATAATTTTGCCTATACTAGCATGTTTTATAAATGGATTATTACAGTATGTAGTCTTTCGAGTCTGGCTTCTCTCATTTAATGCGCTTGAGATTCATTTCTGCTGCTGAATGTATCAAAAGTTTAACCATTATTTTTATTGGTCAATAGCATTCTAGTATATGTGACTGTATCACAGTTCCTTCATCCATTAAAAGTTAAAGACATTTGTATATATTTATGGAGTACAATGTTTTGTTTCAATGCTTGTATACATAGTGTAATTATCATATTCATCACCTTAAACATATATCATTTATTTGTGATGACAACACACAAGATCTTATCTTTTAGCTATCTTGAAATAGACACTAAATTGCTATTTGCTATGATCATACTACTGTGTGATAGAATGCCAGGACTTATTCTTCCTGTCTTATGAAAGCTTTTGATCTACTGATCAACCTTTTTAGGTTCCTCCCGCCCCAAACAGCCTCTGGTAACCAATATCTACTCCCTACTTCTCTGAAATCAACTCTTTAAGATTCCATGTAAGTACGAACATGCAGTGTTATGTGCAATTGTTGTGTGCCAATTATATAAACAATTGTTTTTAAAAGAAAGGAACACACCTCACCAAAGATGAAGGCCACTTAACTAACCAGCCACTGATTCTTAAGGGAATTCTTACTTAATTTCCGGTCCCTCCCCCACTACCTAGAAATAACTCTCTCTGGGGGACTCTCTTAGAACTACACTTCCGGAGATGATTCAAAATATCCTTACACCTTCTATCCGCCCTTCTAGTTGGTGAGATAGAATTGGCAGATCTGGTGCTAAAGTCTCTCAGAGACTATTTTAAAAAGAAAATATATATTTAAAAAATTTGCAATATTATAATCCTAATATACTTAATGTTAATATTTTGATATGCTTCCTTTTTCTTTATATAGCTGTAATAATTGTGAAACATCTTTATTCCAGCTTTTTTCAGTATATAAATATATATATATATATATACATGTATATGTATGTACACATATACTTACTCATTACCACAGTATTCCCATCTATCACAATTGGTCATGTGATATTTTATTGACTAAAATAATTTTCTTAACCATTCCTCCATTGTTGAACATTTGTATATTTTTAAATAATAAACTATACTTTATAGTATACAATTCTCCATATTTTGCATGTTACTTTGCATAGATTTATAGAACTGAATTATTTGGTCCCCAAAGTATTCCCATAGACTTATGTTTCCAAAGTGGGTTCTATGACCATTTAGATCTAGTTCTCCATTTTAAAAAAACATGGCCCCTGGTCAAGTGAGGTTGGATAATACCGTGAATTATACACAACTCTTGCAGATTTATCAGCACAGTAGCTGATTAAAGATGGAAGAATTTTATGAAAATATATTTAATATTGTTTTAAAAAGACATTTAGATATTTTCCATTTTATATTTAAACCACTATACATTTGCATTCAGATTTTTATGTGGACACATATTTTCATTTTTCCTGGGGCAAATAGCAAGACAGAATGTTGGGTTGTATGATCAGAATAAATTAGATTTTATAAGAAACTCCCCAACTTTGGTGCCGTTTTATATTTGCCTTCACACTTACTCTGCATCTTTTCCAGTATTTAATTATCCAGGTTAAAACTGCATCTGTCCAATTTTAACATTGGTTTATAGTTCTTTAAATATCTACATATAAGTCCTTTGTTTTTCATATTTCTTCTTTCATGTCTTTAGTGGTTTTAACATTTTTAAACAATTCAGTAAGGTCATTAATTAATATTTCATAATATTAGACATCAGGATATTTAAAAACTGAACCTAAAATTGCCCTAATTTATTTATGTATAATGTAATTATAATTAATTTTACTTTATTTACATATTTATTTATCCACATAAACCTACTTAACATCTTCAACATTTGCTTCATAAGAATCAGAATTCTTTACAATGCTTGGCCCTAACAACAAGGCTCAGTAAATAAAATTTTAATCCATGCAGTTGTTCAATTAAAACCACTTGGGTCTCATTCTTTACATATTGTGTTTTCTTCAAAACACACATCCAGCTCATCACCAAGTCCTGTGAATTAGAACTACACAATCTGTTTGAATTCCTTGCATTTCCTTCATTCTCTGCTGTCACCTTCATAATCCAACTTCCTCTAACTCTTCTCCAAAATTATTGATACATTTATTTCTCTTTCCCTTATAATTTTGTTTGTTTCTAACTAATTTTTCAGGCGGAATCATGAATAGTATTTCTCAAATGTTAATAGAGCATCCATTGGATTTAGAATTCACTCTAAAGTCTTTCTGTACCTACTAGTTCAACCTCAAGTTACGTATAATCTTTTTTATTCACTCAACTATAGCTCCACGGCATTGCCAGTTCTTTTAAAAGCTCAGTTTTTTTCCATTGCAATTGTAGTACATGTTGTTATCCCTCATTTGAAGCTTTGGCTTCCATTTTTATCCTGCAAACTCTTACTCTTCCATCAATAAGCAGGTGAGTTTTCTCTTCCTCACCCGAAACCCAATAACCTTCATAACTAAAATTATGATAACTTTTGTATTCTAATATTGCCTTGGCATATTTTGCTTACCACAGCTTTACATACCATTTTGAGGTCCCTTTTAATATTTGCTCCTAAAATACTTGCATAGTAACTTAAAATATGTGTTCAGAAATGTGTTATAAGAAAATAAGATGCATCAACCACAAGAAACATTTTAGATTAAAAAAATGAACTTATTTCCCTCTACATCTTTTACAGCAAACTTAATTTCTTATTAGAAGAAAACTAAAATAATTTACATGCTAAAAACTTTAAAAATGGAAACACATGCACACAAACACACTATATATATGTATATATTATATATATATACATATATATACATATATATGTGTATATATATATGTGTGTGTGTGTATATATATATATATATATATATATATCTCCTCCCTGGGTACCAGTTTTTATCAGTCACACAAATCTACAACATATTTTATCAATCACATAAATCAGGTAAGACTATTTTATACTCTTACTGTGTGCAGGTAATTTCATAACAGCCAAGGGGGTAAATATTTTAATTAACTTGTGCTCATTCTGTTGGATTTACTACAGAATAGTAGTAAAATTTTATGTTTTCTCCACAAACTGTGGTGACCTTTACATAATTTTCTTTTGGAAGAAAATGTAGAACAGATAAAAGATATGAAAGGATCATTACCATATGTTAACAGTTTTAGGGCAGACCACTGCTGTCTGAATGTAACCTGTATCATCCATCCACTGCTTGTAACTATTAATTCAGAGGGACAAAAATAGTTTAAATCTACTTCATTTCTGAAAGCAGTTGGATTTTTTATGAAAACAGTGGTAGATTTCTATTAAATATGCACTATATAGAAATTCTTATTATTCTCTATATAATATATATATAATATATAATATACTTTAATTAGCTTCATCTATCTTTGAATACAAAATATTCAGGTAAAGTAGCACTGGTTAAACAACCTTTAATAAATGCTTGTAGAAATCTTTGAAATAAATTGTATTGAATTAACTAAAACACACACATATTTGAGTTTAATATCTCTAATTTCCATATACTCATCTTTAAGAAGAGACGAGACACCACAAAAGGACAAAAGGTCTTCCCCTTGGCCTGTTTCTGTCTGTCCTTTCTTCCTGGCTTTGCTTTCGTACCTCATTATTTCATTGGTTCTGAGGCTCTAAACATCTGCTCTTAGGACCTTCTTATGTTTTTTTTCCTTTATCCTGCTGGGCACTTATTCTCATTTACCCTACTTTCACTCTGTACTTTCTTTTGGACATCATTTGGTAAATGGCTAGCCACCTATTTAGGCTGGCATGGGACAAACATCAGGTATCCCATTCTTTCTGGAAGGGCCTGGAAAAGATTCCAAACATAAAGAGACATCAAGCTATTACATAGTGTGTTATCCTTATACCTCTTACTGATGTCAAAAACTGTAAGAAGTATCTGTATTCTATTTTAAAGAACAGCTCCACTGATAGCTCAGTGTAAGTACAAAAATGATAAGATGATATTTCCCTTCTCTTTTGCCAGAGAGATATAACTGATCTCTAATCTACAGTACATGAAAAGAAAAACTGGAAACTGGAATTTTCTCAGATACTCTCATCAACATCTGCCGCTCCTCATTTATGTTTAACAAAAAGCAACTTGAAGCCTGAAACATCTTTTCTTCCTAGGCAACTCATAATATATTACAAGTGTAAGCTATGAAATAATTTCTCAACACATGAGGATATTGTGATCTGAATGATATAAATTATTGTATATAGTGAATAATAATACAAATAATAAAAATCTATAATTTTACATTGTATATATTTAACAGGAATTCATGAAAGTAAACAACACTCAGCAATTACAGGATAGCTGAGCATTAACATGTGGCCATTTCATTAATGATAAAGAGTGAGCCAAGGAAGAATAACATTGTAAACAGAAGGGGCAGGGAAAGTCAGACTAAAAAATCTTGTTGCTGAAAGTAACTTCCTGTCTTTTCAAACTGCTTTTATAGTCAAGGAACCTGTGGCCTAGATTATTACATAATTTACCTCAATAGAAAATGTATTAACAGAGTCAAGATATTTCTGATAAAACAAGAGCAGTTAACAGAAGCAGTGTAAAAGTTACGAACACTATTCTTCTTTTTGCCATTAGGAGATATCTGCATTAGAATAATTCTGTTTTACAATAAAGGCAAATAGCTGTCCACAGATTTCTGCTAAAGAGAAAATGTTGACTTTTCTCTCTGAAAATATTTATTATTCTCTATGACCATTAACATACTGGTCATAGAGACAAATACATTTAGAAAGGATAGCATCGTAGAGAATGAGTCTAAACTTTTGACTTTTGAAAAAGAAGGTCTATTTCTAAAGCCAAAGAACACAAGATGTTTCAGCAAATCATAATTAAGCTAAAATGCTTTAAACAGTATTGAACACAAGTTATGTCTCTGTATATATTACTATATACAATGTTTCTAAGTTTTTATTGTCAGGTTTATGTAACAAATATCATGACATCATATAGAATTTTGCGGCTATATATTTCATTATTTGATTATCCTTTTAGTATTTTTTTAATCTTGGTGTTCCATCACTGGCACAGTGTTTTATGCCTCCATGAGGACAATGAATCTTGGTAGAGACTTTGTCAGAGAAAAACTTACCTCACCAGGTTATCCCATGTGTTGTCAAGATTGACCCCAGAAGTGTGACAAAACATATATAGAGTGTTTGTACTGTGAATGTTACAGATACCAGGATGAAATCATTTTTGTCTTCCCGAACAAAATAGAATATGTAAAGCCCTGAAGGTGAGGAGACTCATGCTTATGTGTTTGATATAAGAACTGTTTCTAAGGACTCATGCGTATGTGTTTGAGATAAGAACTGTTTCTAAAATCCCTTTTATGTCCTTCACATATCTCCTGCATTGATAAAGGTTATCACTTAGGCATTCTTTAGGACTTCTGTCATTCAGGTAAGATGTTCTCAGAAAAACAATTGCCCAGTAACAGCATCTCCACCAATGAACTGACAACATCTCTGACTTTGAACCTCTGGGACCAATGAAATCTATTTCTAAGGAACTTACGTAAATCTCTTTTTGCTAGTAAAAGTGCCTCTTACCCTTCCATCACTGAATGCACTGCGGATTTTATCATTCCATGCATTCCAGATTATAATCCTCATTTCTTATTCTCAAATAAAACCAATATATTTAGAGACAATTTTCTCTATTGTATTTTTTTTAGGTTGATAGTATTTTCATATCTACTTTTCAGCACTTCTCCTTATAACGCTGTAGCTTCTGAGAAGATACTTGAGAAAGTATCTAGTGATCTCAGTACTTCTCCTCTTAGAAATCTGAATCCAGAGTTGTGGATGGGTTGGGGAAGGGTGGAGAAGAGTCTAGCGAGGACACAGTTTAGAGACTGAAATCAAGATTTTATTCCCAATTAGCTGACTCCCCAAAACAAGGAGAGACATGTCTGAACCTAGGTACATGAAAGTAAATTGAAGGGAGAAACAATGGTTAATTAAATATGCAAAAAAGGAAACAAACAAAAATCTAGGCAAAAACTCTCTAACAGATCAAAATAATGGTAAACCAAGACTAGGGAATCTAAGAATTAGAAGTTGCTCATTTATGTATAATGTTTTCAGAAAAAAAATGAACAAGTATTTCCAGAAATATTTAAGTACACAAATGCACTGTGAACCATTCGGGAATATGTTCATGGTTGTGGTGTTCGAGGTTCGCTTTGGAAGTCTCCCTTGTAGAGTCATTACTCTGGAGCCTATTGACTGGGGTGGGATGGCAAGAGAACAAGTTTTGCATTTCTTACTTAAGGGTTCCTCCAGGCATGCGGTCCTTCAGTGCTACAGTTTTGAACTTCTCTCCATGTATTTTCTGATCTCTTTTTTCATTTTGTGTGAAACTAAGAGCTTAGAAATGATTATTTCAAGTCATCTCAAATAAATGCCTTAAATTCTTATGATTCACCTTAAAATTTAATAGCAATAATGTAACAACTCTTATTAAAAACTTAATATTAAATAATAATGGATATCTAGTATTATCTGAGTTTTTCCAGAATGCTTTAATCTATTACACCAGGAAAAAGTCTATGTGCCTCTTACTCATCTGATAAGAGCTAAGTGAAATTATTGTTTTAATTTATTTTAATTTGTATTTGTATCACTACTTTTTTAAATGCTTATATAGAAAAAATACACATAAAGTCACTATAGCACAGCTTTTTTTTTCATGTCCAAATATCTCTTTTATTAAGTCAATAAATATACACTGAACACTTACTATATATCAGATATTGTTTAGGTGGGTACATCTTTGAACAAAAAGAAAAACCTTTTTACATTCATGAACAGTGATTACATTCACTGAAGATTTTCTAGTCCTTTGACTTATTCAATTTTTTTTTTTTATACTTTAAGTTTTAGGGTACATGTGCACATTGTGCAGGTTAGTCACATCTGTATACATGTGCCATGCTGGTGCGCTGCACCCATTAACTCGTCATCTAGCATTAGGTATATCTCCCACTGCTATCCCTCCCCCCTCCCCCCACCACACAACAGTCCCCAGAGTGTGACAACCCAAATGTCCAACAATGATAGACTGGATTAAGAAAATGTGGCACATATACACCATGGAATACTATGCAGCCATAAAAAATGATGAGTTCATGTCCTTTGTAGGGACATGGATGAAGCTGGAAACAATCATTCTCAGTAAACTATCGCAAGAACAAAAAACCAAACACCACATATTCTCACTCATAGGTGGGAATTGAACAATGAGATCACATGGACACAGGAAGGGGAATATAGCACAGCTTTAAATTGAAAAAAATAACTTGATGTGATTATAACACATTGTATGCCTGTATCAAAATATCTCATATAATCCATAAATATTTAGGCCTACTATGTACCCACAAAAATGAAAAATAAAATAAAACATTTTTAAAAGAAAAATGAAGATATATGCCCCAATTAATTATTTCACAAATAATCATATTTCTAAGATTCTAATCCCTTGTTGTATATGTCCTATCTAATCTTCTCTCTTAGATTGTGAATGCAACTTGTGAATATGATGTGATTATATTACCTTGTATTATAACAGGATTTTTAAAAAAAATTAATCGTTTTTAAAATACATGGAGAGATTAATTGTTCTTTAAATACATTGAGGGAATTTTAAAGATGTGATCAAGGCCCCTAATCGGTTGAGTTTTAGTTAATCAAAATATAGATGCTCTCTTTTTATGATGGCTACATCCTGATAAACCCATCAGAAGTTGAAAATATAAGTCAAAAGTGCATTTTCTACTTAACAATATTTGCAACTTATGATGGGTTTCTCCAGACATAACCCCACTGTAAGTAGTGGAGCATATTCAATGCATATCTGTTTTGCACCACAGTAAAGTCAAAAAAGTCTTAAGTTGAACCATCATAAGTCAGGGACTGTCTGCAGTCATTAACATGAGTAGACCTGAAATAACTTAAAATAAGGCAGATTCAATTGAAGTGAAAAATATTCTCTTGCTGCCCTTATGGAAAAAACCTACTAT
This sequence comes from Homo sapiens, assembly GCF_000001405.40. Taxonomy (NCBI): domain Eukaryota; kingdom Metazoa; phylum Chordata; class Mammalia; order Primates; family Hominidae; genus Homo; species Homo sapiens. The sequence continues at coordinate 194,683,403 of NC_000001.11, forward strand.
GTTGTAGAACGTGTCATGGGGCAGACTTTGGCAGGCAGTCTCTAGGAGCTGAAATGGTCCCAATTGATAGCTAGGAAGAAAAACAAAGTTCTCAGTTCTACAACTGCAAGCAACTGAATTATACCAACGACTGATAAACTTAGAATTGGGCTATGAATCTTAGATGAGATGTCAGCCCCCATTTACTCTTGGTTCACACCCTGTGAGGTCCCAATCAGAGAACCTACTTGTGCTGTCCCCAAACTCCTGACCTAGAGCAACCCTGAGAAAATAATGAAGGCTGCATTAACTCGCAAATTTGTGATTATTTACTATTCAGGAATACAAAATGATAAAGTTGTGATAGGCAGAATTCTAAAATGATTCAAATCCCACTCTCTGATATATACACCCCATAATATGTCTCCTTTTGAGGGTGAATGGAACCTGTGAATAGATGGAGATCACCTTTGTGACAACGTGGCAAGCATGAAGGGAATTTCCAGATGAGAATAAGTTCCTAAATGTGTTGTTTTTGAATTACACAAAAGGAGAATTATGCCAGATGGGCCAGAGTTAATCAAATGACACTCTTTAAGAGAGACACGTTCAGACACAAAAAGTATTTTTCTACTGTAAGCAGCCCTGTTGTGAGAGAGTGTGTGAGAAAATCGTGTGTTCAGGTGTGGGAGCTGAGAACAGTCCCTGCTGACAGCCAGCAAAACAAAATGAATTAAATTCTGTTAACAACCATATGAACTTGGAAGAGGAGCCTGATCTTCGCCAAAGAATATTGTTGAGCACACATCTTGATTGCCGCCTATGAGATCGTAAGACGATTCAGTTAAATCATGCCCAAGTTACTGTGTGTCATTTGTTATGCAAAAATAGAAAAGGAATGTGTATGTTGAGATTAAAATTAAGATAAATGAGAAAATAAAATATTATATTTGGATTACACTATTCTGAATGTTTATCTACACAGTTTAAATAATCTGGCTATATTGTCCATATAGCTTCCAACTTTGTTCATATAAGCAAAAAGGATTTATAAGAACTATTGAATTCAGAAAAATCATTTTTTCTCAAACTACTTGAAAATATATGATTACTTATTCTTGCATACAGCAGTTCAAATGATTATTTCCTGAATAATCTTTGTCCTCATTACAAATGTCTTTTTGGATGAAGATGTTAACCATATCCTGCATGATTCCAAATTTTAATATTTAATGCTACCTCCTTTTTTCCTCATTCTCTACTGCTAAAACTTTTTCTACATTATCTGTGAACATAAATTTGCTAGTTACAAGAGCATATTTGTGGCTTATAAAATCACTTTGAGATTTGAGGAATATCTGTGTAACCACATTTAAATTATTCAGCAGTAAAATTAATGCTCTATTCACAGAATCTTCAGTTTTCAGATTGCCTTTTTGATTGGCATGACTCAGATATGACTAAGCTGAAAGCTTCATATCTAGCAAGAGTTTTATTCATTTTGAAGAAAATTATCAAACCAAATAACAATGCACAATAGTCATCTCCTATCAAATACAATTATCTTAAATATATGCATTTTCAAATCGTGAAGAAATGGTCTAGAAAATTCGTAGAGAGAAGTTTCTTATCTTCATTTACAATGTATATGTAAGGGGTCAATTTGAATAGCCAATCAAGGTATGGATACATATGTTTGTACATATGAAATTGTTGAAATTCACAAAAGTACATCTATTAATAAACACATACATATCTGTGTATGTAATTATTATGTTACTTATCAAACCTTTTTAGTTCAGCATCCATGATAATTTATAAGTACATTGTTACTTCTTTTTTACTAGCTATCAATTAGCTCCTATCCAATTTATTTATTCTTTTATATCTATACATCAATCCATCTATCCACACTGTTTCTCAGCATATAATCATAAATTCTGATTTTATTTAAGGAGATAAGTAATATAATCCAAGATAAACAGAGCCAATTCTCCTACTATTGTTCACTGAAGCTGTTAGTTTTCCCAGTCCTCATTCCAGTCTGGCATTATGCATTTTATTTAGATTGTCAAGGCTTTTTATTCTCTTGTAATTTGTAGCAATGTCTTACACTATTTATCTGTATCTTTCTTTATTTTTTTTAATTATACTTTAAGTTCTAGGGTACATGTGCACAACGTGCAGGTTTGTTACATATGCATACATTGCCATGTTGGTGTGCTGCACCCATTAATTCGTCATTTACATTAGGTTTATCTCCCACTATTTATCTGTATCTTTCTTAATTGAAATTTTGGAAGAGTAGAAACCAGTTATTTTGTAGAATGCCTCTCTAGTTGGTATTACATACAGATTCTTCTTAATTAGATTCAGGTGATGAGATTTTCAAAAATGTCAATAAACTGATTTATCCTTCACAGTATATCCTGTTTGGAAGTATGTGATGTTGACTTACCCTAATAATAGTAATGTTAGTTTTGATGAATTGTTAAGGTAGTGACAACAAGTTTTCTACCCTGATAAGTCACTGCCTTTCAATTTATAATTAATAAGTAATGTGTAGGGAATACTTTGTGTCTATGTAATATTTCGTTAATTTTCAAACTTTATCCCATTGGGTTTATTATCCATTATAATTTTTAATACATTATCCTTATTTTTTCTTTATTTACTAATAGCCATTTTGCTTTTATCTTATTTATTATTTCATTAATCACTATATACATATATGTGTACTTTAAAATGATGAATTCTTCTTTTATTCAAAGAGTTACAATCTATGACTACCTTATTCATTTTTATACTCAAACTGTCACAGATTTACCAATGAAAGCACTTCCTAGTTGACTTCCCTGTCCTTTTGACATGTTTTATGATTCTTTGAGGCCTTACTTACTTTCTTTCTAAAACAATGTTTTAGGTTCATTTTGTAATTTTTCTAACCTATCCACGAAATATCACACAGCAATCTTTGTTTCTTTTCTCTTTTTCTCCTCTTCTTTTTTTTTTTTTTTTTTTTTTTGAGACAGAGTTTCCCTCTTCTTGCCCAGGCTGTAGTGCAATGGCATGATCTCAGCTCACTGCAACCTCCGCCTCCTCGGTTCAAGAGATTCTCCTGCCTCAGCCTCTCGAATGGCTGGGATTACAGACATGTGCCACCATGCCTGGCTAATTTTGTATTTTTAGTAGAGACGGGTTTTCCCCATGTTGGTCAGGCTAGTCTTGAACTCCCAGCCTCAGGTGATCCTCCCACCTTGGCTTCCCAAAGTGCTGGGATTACAGGCGTGAGCCACCGTGCCCAGCCAATCTTTGTTTCTTTAAATGAGGAATATTAATTAGAAATCAAGACTTGGGTATTAGTTTTCCTTATTGACACCAGAGCATTATGCTATTAGACCCGTCATGAGATAAAGCTACCATTTTATGTACATTTTTATGACTGTCTATCCGTAGATTGATATGTAGATCAATCTATCTATCAAAAAACATGAATTCTTACTCTTTCTTCCTATCACAATCCAAATCCATAGCACACATTAAAAAAGAGAGTACATGTAGCAGGAGGAAAAGAACCTTGGAAATTGTCTTCTATGTTTGATAATTCAATATGATTAGCTAAATCAAATAACGGCTATCATGAACTTTCAATTTCACTTTCACATAAAAATACAAAAAGGAGGTATTTATAGAATTTGATTTGACACACACACACACACACACACACACACACACACACCATGGAATACTAGTCAGCCATAAAATGGAACAAAATACTGGAATTCACAGCAACTTCGATGAAGTTGGAGGCCATTTTATTTATCCACTTGGTTGATGGGCACTTAGTTTAGTTCCAACTTCTTTTCCTTTGAATAGATACCCAGTAATGGGATTACTGGATTGAATGGTAGTTGTACTTTTAGTTCTTCAGGAATCTCCATGCTGTTTTCCATAGTAATTGTACTAATTTACATTCTTACCAGCATTGTAAAAAATGTTCCCTTTTCACCACATCCACACCAAAATGTATTTTTTTGACTTTTTAATTATGACCATTCTTGCAGGACTAAGGTGATATCTCCTTGTGTTTTTAATTTGCATTTCCCTGGTGATTAGCGATATTGAGCACTTTTTCATATGTTTATTGGCTACTTATGTATCTTCTTCTGAGAATTGTCTATTCATATTATTTGCCTACCTTTTGATGGGATCATTTGTTTCTTCTTGCTAATTGGTTGAGCTTCTTGTAGATTTTGGGTATTAGTTCTTTGTTGGATGTATAGTTTGCAAATATTTTCTCCCAATCTATGGATTTTCTGTTTACTTTGCTTATTATTCTTTTTCCTGTGCAGAAACTTTCTAGTTTAACTAGGTCCCATTTATTTATTTTTGTTTACGTTGCATTTGCTTTTGGAGTCTTAGTCATGAACTTTTTGCCTAAGCCAATGTCTAGAAGAGTTTTTTGATGCTATCTTCTAGAATTTTTAGGGTTTTAGGTCGAGATTCAATCCTTTGATCCATCTTAAATTTATTTTTGCATAAGGTGAGAGATGGGGATCCAGTTTCATTCTTCTACATACGGCTTTCTAGTTTTCCCAGACATATATTTAAAAAAATGTTTTGACCACTTGGAAATAATTTTAGATATATAAGTTTAGTTTAAATTTAAACATTCAAAAACACAAACATGTAATCCACCATATTAATGGAATACTGGAGAATAAAATATAAGATATTGAAATAACACTTAAAAATCAACCCAATTCATCATCATAAAGAAACTCTCAACAATTAGGAATGGAAAAGGATACCCTCATCTGAAAAATGGCTCATATCAACACCTGCAGCCAATGTTACACTTAGTGGTGAGACCTTGAAGTCTTTCTCCTAAGATCAGGAACAAGATAAGAATATTTTTAAATACTGCACTGGATGTCCAGGCCAGTGCAGCAAGGCAAAACATAAGTAAATAAAATAAAATAAAGTAAGATGCCATAAATTTATCAAGGGAAAAATAAAACCTTCTTTTTTGCATATTACATGATTGTGTATGTGGAAAATCATGAAGAAATTAGAAAACATTTTTACTAAAACTAATAAATGAATTTGGCAGTATCATAGGACATATGGTCAATTTATAAGAATCGATTTTATTTCTATGTAATCTGAGAAAACAATTGGAAAATAAAATATTTTTAAAATTGCTCTTATAATATTAATAAAATTTTATATGTGTGTCTACATGTATATGCATACCCACACAAACACATACATGTATATATATATACGTGTGTGTTTATATATATATATATATATCTGAGGAAATATACTATATCTTGACTGATTTGTTGATTGTAATATGTATGTACTTGTTTAAACTCAGAATTATACACTTAAAATTTGTGCATTTCACTGCCTAGAATTTCACTTAATTAAAAAATTAAAATATGTAAAATTCAACCAACTCATGCTTGGTTTTAGTTATTTTTATTTGCAACCACCACCTTTTTAATTTGGAAATTTAAAAAAATCAATGTTTATTCAATCCAGAAAACTTAATCCAGAAAACTTGTTATAGTTCATTTTAGTCACCTTTAAGTGTAAGAGGAAAAAAATTATGTGTATCTTGGTATAATGCACATATTAGACAAATAGATTTATTGGCAAAATTATTAATTTACTCATAATAATTTTGTATTACTACTCAACAGTGCATATATTTTTGCATCGCAGAGAGAAATAAATTATCTTTACTTCTTTTCATTGCTGATAATTCTACCTCTACAAAAATAGAATACTGTTAATTTTTCAATTAGGTTTTTCTGTCATATTATTTTTACTAAATATCTCTGGTATGGCTGGCCTCTTCATATGAGACAGGCATAATTTTTAAATCACATATCATCACATTTTGTATGATCGGTATTTCTTCAAATATGATTCTTAAAACAAAGGGTGTCTGCAAATTCTAAGTAATATTTCTCCCCACAGTTTGAAGTTATGTTAGTCTAGATTCAGGCTATATCTTAGTTATAAAACCATTCTGTCATTATAGGGGAGGAGAATTTCTTCCTTCCATTGAGATTGTAAAACTCCAACTTGTCCAACCTATTACATTTGTGGTAAGGACAATGGACTTCATGTTATCATGTTCAAAGTCAAAATGATTATTGTTCAAGTCTCTGTGTACCGTACAAATAAAAGCATGTTTGTCAGGACAATAAATGCTAGCTATCATTTCAACAAATGCTATAAAATATGGGTGGTTTCACTCGCTGAAATTTTATTTCTTAGTCAAGTAAATCCTGATATGAATCAGGAAAGCCTTTTTCCATTTGTAATTCTATCTTGTGGAACGTTAGGTTTCTGAGGTCTCAGTGGAGGCAAGGTGACAAAATGAAGTAGAAGGAAGTGGCACAAATTATTTTTCTTCACAGTCATTGAACAGAATTGACTCCAACCGGACTACAAAGAATGCTGGGAAACATAGGAGAGCTGGAGGAATATTTGTGAGTACTGTCTCTCACAGTAAGTAGCAAACTTATTACCGTATCATTTTCTTCATGCCCTGGGCAGTTGTTAAGGCCCTGCAGACTTGGCAATGTCCACTGTCTAGGTACACATTCGGTTAACCCTTGTGGGTGCTCCAATCCGGGAACGCTCTGGTGAAGCGTTTCTCCTGAATACTGTCAATTTGGAAATTCAATTTTTGTAAATTTGGATTATATCGCTATTTTCTGTTTCTTTATCTTCCTCACAGGACATACAATTTTCTACTGCCCAGTCATGATTCCACATCACATCAAAGTCACCTAGTATATAATACATCAGGGAATGCTGTGAACTCTATTCTACCAAGAGGTATTTAAAATCTGTGTGAAAAATTATTTTCACAAAATTTACACACACACACATATTAATATATATACAGATATATGTTTAAAATTCTTAAACTTTAGGAAAAAAATATTTTAACACTTTCTTAATGCCTGAAAAGTCAAGAAAGACAAGAAATATAGGACGTGATACCATGGTTATGCTCTTGAGAGAGAAAGAAAAATACTTCTCCCGTTGCTTTTTGTAAGTTTACATCTAAGAAACAGAGTAATATTTTTTATGGAGCCGGGGCGGGGTTGTTTTGTTTTGTTTTGTTTTGCGATGGTCTGGCTCTATCACCTATGTTGGAATGGAGTAGCAGGATCACTGCTCACTGCAGCCTGGAGCTCCTGGCCTCAAGGTATCCTCTGACCTTAGCCTCTGGAGTAGCAAGTTCCTGAGACTACCTGCAGGCACCACCACACTTGGCTAATTTTTGTGTTTTTAGTAGAGACGGGGTTTCATCATGTTGCCCAGTTTGGTCTCGAACTTCTGTGCTCAGGAGATCTGCCGACCTTGGCCTCCTGAATTGCTGGGATTACAGACTAGAATAATTGTTAATTGTTCTATCAGATTCTTTTTTTACTTTAATTTTTGATATCTCTGGTAATTCCCTAAAAGGCTATATTGAACTCTGTATTAAAAGTTCACTGTTCAAAAGAAAACAGTGATGTTTAACTCATTTTATTGAGACATAGGCATGTATTTATTTTTGAAACTTTTGATTTTGCAGAATTTATGGGAAATCCAATGTAAACACTGACTCTTAAGATTTTCTGTGCTAAAATTGAGCCGTAGTATTACCGCTTCATTGGAATGTATTCTGCCTCTCTGTGAATATTGAGTGATATTTTTTACTTAAAAGAATTACTTTTAATTTAGAATACAATAACCAGTTTAAGTCAAAATAATTCAAGTAATACAGAAGAACATATAATTAAAATCATTACTGTAATCTTGCCAAGTTTTCCACACCCTGCTGAATTAGCTACCCACTCAGTAAGACCCACTTTAAACCTCTCCTAATTTCCAATATTTACACACACATGTTTGTACCTAAGTGGAATAGTCCTATAAACCTATTCCTAACTTGTATTTGTATTAACAGATATATGGGTCTTTATTCCACATCAATGCATATAGATAGCTCTCTTTTTCTTTTTCTTTTTTTTTTTTATTATTATACTTTAAGTTCTGGGATACATGTGCAGAACATGCAGGTTTGTTACATAGGTATGCACGTGCCATGGAGGTTTGCCGCACCTATCAACCTGTCATCTACATTAGGTATTTCTCCTAATTGCTATTTATCTGTGGGCAATTAGTTTGCTCCAAGTTTTTTATTATTACAAACAATTTTGCAGTTCTTATATGTAATAATTACAGGAATGAACTGTTCGTTTCTCAGTCTTCTGAGGCAATAGTTGCGGCTTTTCAAGATTGCTTTCTGCTTCAAGCACACAAACAAAAACAGAAGAGTTGTATTTTTAAAAAATATATCATTAAAATATTATTGACTCTAGTCACCCTATTGTGTTATCAAATAGTAGCTCTATTCATTCTTTCTATTTTTTTGTGTGTGCTCTCTTGTCCTATCTTGTCTAGAAAGTTTTTCTGTTCCATTGTATTCCCTAATCATGATCTACCTTGTTGGTTTTCCAACATTTGCATATAACAGTAAAATCCTTGTAAGTTTCTTTTTAGTAATAATTAGCTATCTCATGAATAATCTTATTATTCTGTTTTGATAACTACACATTTATTGATTTTTCAGAAAATGATCTGTACCATGTTTAATCATTCCATGTCATCAGTAGCATCAACATAAAGAAATGGGGAAGTACTTGAAATCTTTGGTAATTTATTTTCAAGTAATAATTCCATTAAAAGAAAATTTTGTGTGCTGAAATTCCTATCAGATAAATTGTGTCAGATCAATAGGTCCCAATAGAATATCAAATTATTACTTTGTTTTTGAAATACTTGAGTTATTTAGTGAAAACATATACAAAATCTTTAACAAGGAGATTTAAATAGGGAACACTGAAGAATTTGCGGATTTTATGGACTTCCTCTTCCCCATAGACTAAGATATTTAAGATATTGATAGTTATTTAATTATTTCATTTAACTCTAAGGACTTTTGGGGTACTTATTGCTCCATGCAAATAAAAATAACCTGTCTTAAAAAATACTAAATTCATCATTACCAGAGATATTCAAAGAGATGGATTTACAATCAGTTAAGAATGTATTAGAATAATTAGAATTATCAAATGAGTGACTTGAGATGCTTTGAACCTTGGAATTTTAAGTAGCAATGGGCCGGGCACGGTGGCTCACGCCTGTAATCCCAGCACTTTGGGAGGCCGAGGCGGGCCGATCACGAGGTCAGCAGATCGAGACCATCCTGGCTAACACGGTGAAACCCCGTCTCTACTAAAAATACAAAAAATTAGCTGGGCGTGGTGGCAGGCGCCTGTAGTCCCAGCTACTCAGGAGGCTGAGGCAGGAGAATGGCATGAACCCAGGAGGAGGAGCTTGCAGTGAGCCGAGATCGCGCCACTGCACTACAGCCTGGGTGACAGAGTGAGACTCCGTCTCAAACAAACAAACAAACAAACAAACAAACAAACAAAAAAGTAGCAATGATAGATACTAAGGAGCAGGATGTATAAAAGTGTGGCATATTCACTGACCTCCAGGATCAAACAATTAATGAAACCTATTATCTGCCCCCTTATGCTTTCTTGCTCAAATATGTGTTGCTTTTTAAAAATTACCTTTTGTTAAAATTATCAATTTATTACATAACATAATTATTTTTAATTTTGTATATGAGCTGGTAAACCATTTGATGTATTAGCTTTGAATAAATAAGAACAATACCAGCTATTATAGTATCTGCTTAATGATGCATTTTAACTCAATTTTTGTAAGTGATACCATTTTGCACATGATTATTATAGGTCATCAGGTTATGTTAATAATTATGGTCTGAATGTTCCTTAGATTGCATATTGGCATGGATACTAGAAAATAACTTATCCATCTAAAACCACAAGCTACATCAAGAATAATAGCAAAATGCTTATTAACATTAATCATTCATGTCTCTATCAGGTGTCTCTCCATATTTATCTTTAAAATATTTGAGAGATTGAAAATTAAACACAAACTATTGCACAATATTTTCAAATTGAATTATATGTCATGAGTTTTATAACTGCCATCAAATTTAAGACAATAAAGGCAATACTTTTAATTTAAACCCGATATTGGTGAGAAACTGGCTATTGGAATGATGCATTTCTGTGGCAGTGATGATTGTTTGCTTTACATATTTATGCAAAATATTGAGAGCAGCAAGGGGCTTTGTTTACGAAAATAGGTCAAGCTTTACAATTCCAAAGAGAAAACAGTGTCCATTACATTGGAAAGACTTTACAAATACTGTAAACATTGTATCTGTTATATCCAAACTTTACCATTTCGGTTGCTGCAAACATAGACTATATGTGAGCCATTAGAGATTATATGAAAAATTTCAATTTTCACGATGGTTATTCTGAAAATAAGCTCAGGTGGTATTATGTGTATATTTATTGATATGATTTTTAAGTTAATATCATCTTAAATATTAAAAATCAGCTCCATGGACTTTGGTCTCCTTTCATCAATGTTTATTGAACAAATTATTGATCAGAATTTTTCATTATCATTTTGGAATACTACCAATTATGTTATAATAATTACACTCTAATTTGCTATTAATAAGCTAGTATTCCTAAAAATGAGGTACTTTATATTTTTAAAACTGTTTTTATTTATTCATTAAGATTAAAATTGTCTGAAATTTTCTGAAGTTGCTGTTAAAATCTATAGAGCATTATTCAGTCTCTAGTAAACAAAGGAAGGGTCATATTGAACCCTGTGAATAAACCATTGCTTAGAATTAATGGAACAGCACTGCACATCAAAATGTTTCCAATCTGTTTTGAAATATATTATGAATTTATTCTCCCCTATATTTGCTTTGCATATTGAAAATGTGAAATGAGAAGACAAACTGTCATGTCTGATGCCCTTAGCACTGAGAAAGGAACAGATAACTTGATTCAAATTCCAAGCATTTACTTACTAAAACACATTACTAATTTTTACAAGAACATTTTTCAGTTTAAAAAAGAAAAAAAAATGTTTCCTATATTTTGCCATTTAAGTAGAAATATAAGGGCAAAAATTTTGGGGTTAAGTCTTTTTTTCACACATTTCATTAATAGAGTATATTTGAAAGCATTATGGTAAAAATAAGGCAAATCAATAATTGAAACATATTAATTCTATAAACATCTCCTTTTTGTATTTTTATGTTAAAGTGAAGTTGAAAATTCATGATAGTCATTATTTGATTTAGCTAATCATATTGAATTAGCAAACACAGAAGACAATTTCCAAGGTTATTTTTCCTCCTGCTACTTGCACCCTCTTATCTAAATTCATACAGCTTTCAGCCTGAACAAGCATTTAATTCACTCTTCAAATTATGTATGTACACTTCACTTAGCTCCAATATGGGAATGTAACATAAACAGGAAATTCTGTACAACAAACTAAAGTCATCTTTTTGGTTTCCTATATTTTCTAACAAGAAGAATGATAACATTAAAATTTAGTAATATATACTAAACGTGTTTTTTAATATAGTAAGAAGATTTTTTTCTGTAAAGATTTTTTCATTTGCCATAAATGTATTTAAAGGAGGACATGATTTTTAAAAAGACGCATTCTAGAAACTTGTAACTCTATCAAAATGATCCCAAGTAGAGTCTGGTAAATTAAATTTTCTTTAACAGAAATCAGAGAAATAATTGAATGTAAAATCTCTTTTCTATTTATGTGAGTTCTGTTTTAAAGTGGCCTCATATATTCAAGAAGTTATTTTGTAATAACTTCATAAGAAATTGCAGGAGTGACGATTTAATTGGTAAGTGATATTTTTAAAAGGTCATGAAGATATTGTCGATTATGTAATTCTAAACTTTCTCTGACTGCTCATCTGTTCAGTCAAATCTGTTAAGGGCACTTCTCCAGATCCATATTAGCAATACATCTGTTACACTTGATCAGGTTGAAATAGAACACAAGTAAACAGCATATATTTGCCCAAGGCAGGTTGATTTTAATTTATTTTTGGAAGGAGTGGTCAGTTTGTGAAGTTCTAGAGACACGCAATAATTTTATTTGCTTAGTGAAATGTGGTCTCTGTATAGAATCAAATTCTCTCCTAAACAAAAAAGTAAAACAAAAAATAGAAAGGAATGAAATAATTAAAAACTATTTTATTGTTAATAGTATAGGCTGTTGGTATAACAAAAATATCACTAACACATTACAAATATTTTTGTCATCATTATGGTACTATTGAAAATAAATTACTTTGCATAGGATCCTTTTTTTTGTTATAACAGTATTTATTAAGTAATAAAAATGATTGAGAAACTGGCATGCCGCTAAATGCATACATCTTTACCAAACAAAATGTCTCTTAAACTTGTCCACACTTATTTAACTACAGAGAGTAAAGTAGAAGATGACAAGGTGTATTGGAGCTTGCCTTGAAAGCAAGTTGACTTTTGAACTACAAAGGAAATTTACTTTACCTATGTTTAGAAGTTAAAGCTTGGCATAATAAAATTGCATAAAAAATAACTACAGACTGCGTAAGAAACAACCATACTTATGACAAAACCAGAAGTCAGCTTCACTTAAGACACGAAATGCTCTATCAGTGCTTCTCTACACACTTGGGGCCTCCATCTGACTTATTCCAAAGCCCTGCTATGTCCCAGATTGAAGAGAAAAATATGAAGTGCTCAAAGTGATTCATTGTGGTGTCAAAATATATTAGAATTCCTATTTATTTTTTTATCTTAAAAAGAACAACAAATAAGTTTGCTCATATTTTACATATAGATTGACATTGGAACCTCCACTCAGTTATTCATATGTACAGATAGTTCTAAACTGATGATGGGTTACGAGTCTGACTGAAAGAAGAGTGAGATTTCTCTAGCACTGCAGTAGGAAGGTAGGGAGACATAGAGAGAATAAAGAAATATAGAAGATGAGGAGAGAGAATAAAACATTTAATTTATAATCAGAATCAGGACATGCCTGAAATAAGGCTCCATTAATAGTTAAACAGGGTATCCATATAAATCAGTACTGCTCTGCAAACCAATTTGCATAGATACGATAAGATGGGGTAGGGAGTTTTGCATTTAATGCCAGTTTATTGAGACATGGAAATTTACACACACTAAGTCCAATGCACTTGAGGATTACATAGGTAGTTAATTATTTTTATATTTATTTCCTAAATCAGTCATCGAAAATTAGACAAGAGTTTGATAAAATAGTGTTTCTTGATGTTTAGGTCCAAAATTGCTTATCAGAAACATCTCAGGGAATATGTCTTCCAAAACTTATAATTTTCCGGTTTTATAAAATTAATAAGTACATACTATCCAAGAATGTTTTGGGGGAATTATAAATGAAAGACATTAATATGCTTTCAGTAATACATACATGCAATCACACTGAAATGAAGACCATAAATTGGCATGAGGTTATCTCTTGGCAATGCATATTGTGCTTTCCACCAGTGGATTATATAATTGTTGTTTCTTCCAGAATTTTGTGGATTTAAGAATTTTGGAAAATAAATTCTAGACATGTAATATATACAAAAGGTCCCTTTCTGTAAACCTTTCTATACATTTTGACATTTCTAAGAAAAAATAATTGGCTAATAGGTTAGTATTAGACACTGGTATTTGCAGAGCTTTTATTATGCATTGACTTGTCAAAAATTTTAAAAAATATTATTTTTCTTTAATCTTAATGATTTATACTGCTTATGTCTATGGCTGACCATTCTTCTTTCAGCTCTTACTATTAACCAAAGGTACATTTTTTCTAATATCTATTGCCAATCAGGAGTAATCTTTAATATTGTTCATATATGTTTATATCAGATTGAATAAATCTACCAAATCTGAATTTCTCAATATACTGGGGTTGAAATTTTAATCCCAATAAAGCACAAGTTATTACTACAATGATTAGTATGTTTTGCACATCTATCTAGAGTGTAGATAAATTCTAAATAGATTTTCAATGATTTGTTGTCAACCATAATGCACAGTGTAATGAAAGGCTCATAAATGGCAATCACACACTCAGATGATTCAATGCTATGATAGATGCCCTTTCTTTTATTAAATCGGTTTTCATATATCTTACTTTTCACTAGTTGGAATTAGATAATGACTAATAATTCTGTACCTGCACAGGAGACAAAACCAATGAATTAATTTGAAGCATATTGAGATATGACAGATACTAAGAATAATTTATTTAGATTTATTTAAACTCAAGCAGATGTATAAATCTCCAAATGAATTGATGAGTTAATTATGATTTTTTTTCTATAGATCCTTTTAAACAAACGTATAACTTCGTTTCTGACTTTTAAGTGTTTAAAGGTTTGAAAAACCCCTTAACTATAAAATTTTGTTAATTAACTTTTCATAAACAAAAGGATAATTAGTCCAGTACATTTTGGCAAAATACATTATTGTAGAAGAGAAATTTTAATTTTACACTTATGAATACAGAAGATCAAAGTCTTTAATTCCATATGGATGATCTGAGTCTTCAATCAATCAAGATTGTGAGTCTTTAATTTGAAAGATAAAGGGATTAGGTAGAGTATAATAACAAGTATAATCCATACACTTATTTATAAATTGACTCATGGCACTATAGTAATGAATAATACTATAATAATAATAAAGGAGTCTTCTGGGTTGAGTGCTATTGGATTAATTCTCCCTCAACAGTTGAGAATTTTTGTAGAAATACATGTGGAACCACATTAACAGTGGAGTTACATATAATAATATACCATTTGCTAGAGTGAATAAAGAATGTGAAGTAAACACACTGAATGATATACGGTATCAACAGACATCATGAGATAATGTGTGCTTTAGTCTCTATTATGGAACAGTAGGACCCAGTAAGACTAGAAAATAAAAGAACCTTAGAATCCATCCACTGAGATGAATTCAAGGAGAGTCTGCTTGAAAATGAAATAAATACTTCAAGATGTTTACAGCTGGGGCCTAAATTAAATATCTAACATTAAGAGGAAACATTGAGATAAGTAAGAAGAAAAAACAACTGATCATGATCAAAATGAGAGTAGAAGGCATTGGATGAAGAACATAGATTAGTTTTAAATGGAGAAGTATTAACTTTTCTTCTGAAACTGTGGTAAAGAAAGAAAGAAAGGCCGGGCGCAGAGGTTCATGCCTGTAATCCTAGCACTTTGGGAAGCCAAGGCAGGCGGATCACTTGAGGTCAAGAGTTCCAGACCAGCCTGGCCAACATGGTGAAACCCTGTCTCTATTAAAAATACAAAAATTAGCCAGGCATGGTGGCGGGCGCCTGTAAACCCAGCTATTCTGGAGGCTGAGGCAGGAGAATTGCTGGAACGCGAGAGGTGGAGGTTGCAGTGAGCTGAGATTGCACCACTGCACTCCAGCCGGGGTGACAGAGTGAGACTCCATCAAAAAAAAAAAAAAAAAAAAGGAAATGAAGGACGGAAGGAAGGAAAGAAGGAAGGAAGGAAGGAAGGCAGGCAGGCAGGCAGGCAGGCGTTGATAGTGCAATGGTCACTTCTTTTAGAATATGAAATCAAGGCCAATGCTGCTCAGCACTAGTAAAGATTAGCAAAAGGTATTATCTCTCTTTCTTTTTTCGAGTCTTTCTTTTTTGAGGCATATGCAGTACCAGGAAATGTAAGCATGAGAAGATATAATTATAGCTGCTTCCTGCGCTCTGCAACTCTACACCATGCGTTCTTTCTTATCTCTTAGGCACTGCTGCTCTAGACAGGACAGCTGGATACGTTTCCAGTGATGCTGTCCTTGATGACAGCGGCCCTTTATGGCTGTTTTCAAGCCTACAGCTCTTGATGTTCAGACTCCAAAGGCTTATATATGCACTTTTGAAGCCTTACCATACATAAAGGACACAAGATTTTACCTTTTCAGGGCCCTGAATGCTATCTAGCTTTTGTGGATTATTAGAAAACACTTTCAGACTTCAACTATTTTCATTTTTCTTGAGTCTTGCCTCTGTCCCTGAGTATCTTGCATTATGTAAACTAGTAACTTCAAACACTTACTAAATCTCCCTGAGTAAGAGAAAGTCAGATCTCTAGGACTCTAATGACTGGCTAGGATGTCACAAGAACTTACATTAAAAAAAGGAAAGCCAAATTTCTTATTTATGAATTCATAGCATCAACATATAGACACATAAATGCAGCCTCTCACCCCACCTGCACAGATATATATATATGGAATGAGTTCAAACATCATTGAATCTCTATTTGGATTAGCTCCCATATTATTTTATAATTAAAAACCTTATTTTGGTACATTTTGGTTTCATAACAAATGATATTTTCACTGACTCAGAAAAGCATCAATTGTTATGAGTAAGTTTAAAGTATGCTTAACAGACTGTACCAGACATAACCTGAAATTAATTTCAAATTAAAATTATTTTAACCATAAAATAATTACTATCAATTCAGTGTCTCTTACTACAATTTCTGACATGTATGTTTATAATTTGTGACATGAATAGATTATTTAACTCAAATTTAAAAAGTAAAAGAAAGATTATATATCTGATTTATTAGAAAAACAAAGCAGAGACAATGGGGAATTTGATAAAGCCAATAGAATCCAAAGCAGTAGAAAAATGAAAATCTAGTATTTGTAATTCATCTATATTGTGGTTGGTCTGAAAATATTGAAAGAAATTTTATTTTTTTACCCAACATGTAAGGAAAATTATAGACACATATGTAGCATAGATGATATTCTGTGATCCACAGAAAAAAATAGCTTGTGTTTTCATTATTAATTTTTGGAGTGAGGGCTTAATTAATATGTATTTTAAACAGCATTTGGGAAGATCAGTGTTTTCCTATATCTTGGTTATTTAGTCTTATAAAAAATTCCTCTGTATCTTTTAAACTTATATTATTATCTTCATGTAAGGAAATTCAATCCCAGGAACTTAGCTTAAAGGCAGAGATAATCCCTATTTTCCATAAAGTTATCTGTGATAATAACACTGACACCAACATACCATTTATTCTGATGTGCACTGAGGAAGATTCAATGTTCATTGCATGAAATCAAGAAGATATTAAATGTAACTTTGTTTTTACTCTTAAAAAGATGCCCAAAGGCAAAAGTGCCATTTTCTGTCAAGCATGACTCAATTGATAGTTCACTCTTGATTCTGCACAAATGCCTCTTTTAAAATGATTCAATTCCTCTACTACCTCATCTTCTCTGGTCAGGCAGGAGTCATGGAGAGAGAAGATTGGCCTATTATCTTCCCACTCTGTCAGAAACAGCAGCAGTAATGGTCATGATTCTCTTGTATGCTACCAGTTCAATGCTCCATAAAACATATGAACTATGATATCTAGACTTAATTGTGCCTAGAGGAAAATAAAATGAAATGAGGTGGGTAGTTAAGTAAAATGTTGGTATATATGTTAATGTCTGTCTATGTATGTATCTTAATTCTTTAAAAACTACATTAGTATGTGAATTAAGCATCTTACTAGAAATTCACAAATTTAAAAACAATTTTTATTTTATCTAAAAGTTGAGTTAGTTTGGATATTCTTACAATGAATAAACTAAGGAGCATTTATAGAGTATATTAAGTTCACTTTTTTTATCCATTTAGGAATTAAAAAAAAAGTTACCAGGTGTTATTTGTCTCTTAAATCAATTAATTTTTAAACATATGGACAAAGCTTTGAGACTAATTGAAAGCGACCCTTCCTCCTTTTTTTCTCATTAGCTACTGAGAATGTGATTTTATCATTCTACGTATGTACATGCATAACTACGTGTTTGCATGAGTTCAGAAACCAGCTGCAGTAGAAAATATCCTGTGTGACAGTTTACTTTTCATGGCATTTCTGATCTTGCCAGTTAGGGAGTGAAAAAATTTCATGAAGTTTATTCCTGTCAGATTTTTCACATTTTTCCAAAGCAAGTTCTCAGAGAAATACAGATAAACTACAGATAATTTTTTAAAAACCACATACTAAAATAATTGTATTTAGTAATCTGAGGACCAAGAAGATCTCCCCCTTAGGAATTTTAATGATTATCTATAGAAAGCTATTAGTCCTTTAGGAAAATTTTACTAATAACTTTGGTGTGCTCTATCTGCAAACCCTAGTCATGGAGAGAGATATGAGTAGGAGAACTATGATACCTCCCCCAAAATAAAAAATAATAATAATTGCAAGGAACTAATAGAGATTGAAAGGTGGAACAAACCTCTCTGGGTAAAAGAGTTCTGAACTAATGTTAGTGGAAAGTTCCAGGAAGAACAGCAGAGGACTAGCACCAGATGAAGTAGACAAGAGTGATGCCAAGTGATGAGAGCACAGCTGGGGTGACGAACAGATGGCAAGAGGTGCAAACCTGCCAGCTCATGCATTTTCTAATCTCTTTTATCTGCTGAAAATGATCAGAAGAAGGAGCAGTACATGGAAAAGTATTAATAGCGCATACTGCTGGGGTGAGATCAGTGAATTTTGGCATTTAAGAGTTAATTGTGGTTCAGGAAGACATCACTCACTGGAGATGTCACCTTGAACTTTAACCAACCAGGGTGGTCCCAAGTTACCTATGCACTTTAGTCCCATCCAATGATCAGTGTATCATTTTAACACACTCTGTCCTCACTCCTTAAAATACGATCAGTGAAAGTTCCTGTCTGCCTTATACCTTCAGATTTCCAATATAAGTTACAGAAATTATTTGTCTTTACATAAAACTGAAAACTTTGGGGAATAAATGTTACGTTTTCCAAGAACTCACTATTCTCCCCACCATGAGCATCATGGCAGGCCTCCCTTCCAGTAGCAGCTCAAGTATCCTCTAACCAAGGAGTAAGATGGCGGTTCCCCATACTTAAGTACATTCTTGATGGTTCTCTTCCTACTTTGATCGACACAAGATAGTGTTCCTTACCGTTTCCAAAAGTTCTTTTTAAGGGGAAAAAATATAAGTAAACTGAGGAATTTAAGAAAGATGCTTTTAAGCTGCAGCTTGATGGACAAATGGGGATTAGACTGGCTAATGTCTACAGGGATATAACAACAGAGAAAAGGAGGCTTTAGACAGAGGAAGAAATATGAAGACCAAAAAAAGTCTTGATTTATTCAGAAAACTAAGGCAATAATGGTAAAGATAAAAAAATTAATGGGATGTAATAATTGATTTATTTGTATAAAAAGAAGATTCTAAGGAAAAGGCAATTTTAATTTAAAGTAAATAGAATTTATGAGATATTTGGTTTACTTAATTTAACATTTTTTCTACCTGCGTGTTTTATTCTCAAATTTTTATTTGTTAGCTTTTTTAGTAGATGTTTGTAATATTTAATTTTGATAATTGAGAAAGATTGATGTGACAATTTTATGCATATTTTATTATTGTGTTTAAAACTGAATTTAGCCTGTATACCATATGAATTATATGTGGGTATGCATGTATATGCAACCAGAATATCTAAATAATATTTGTATACATCTTGGGGGAGTTTTTGCAATAGCTTTAAAGTTGGATCTTTAATCTCATACTGTAGCAACAGGAATTGGTAAAGATGTAAAAAGAAACATAAATATTAACAAAGTTTGAGCATATTTCTTTCCTTGAAGCTCTTCATAATATTGTTAATTAAAAGTCACACTTCAAACACCAATTAATCTTATGAAAGCTTAATTTTATCTCATTGATATTATATCAATGAATTAGGTATGTCCAAAGATTATAACACCATGTTCTCTATTGACCATATGATTAATCACTTTAGGTTTTAGTGTTAGGTTGCCATTACATTTGAAGTAGAAGCCTTTCTTTCACAAGACTAAAGAACAGTAAATTAATACAACATTTAAGAAAGTGTCCATCTTTGCTAAATTGTCAGTACATGATAACTAGAAAATGTACTTACAGAGAAATTAATTTAATTATGTAGTAATAATATTTTTAAACTAAACTAATGTACATGAATTATAAGATAAAATGGGAAGCTATATAATATAATTTTGGGTCTGCTCATTGACTCCTATATGAAATTCCAGATATTATATTCAAATTATTCTTTTCTAAAAATAATAGAACAACCAGAAATGAAATGACTTTGACTCTACCTTCCCTAGATATTCATGAAGATTAATGTCAGATAAAGACAGAAAACTTATTTTCAAAAAGGAAATTAGATATCCTAAGCAATAAATTTTTTAAAAATAAAAAAATGCATTTTTTACTTTATTATATCCACACCCATAAAAATTTTGATGAATACAGAGAGTTATGACTTTTTATCATCATTAAAGATCAAAATCTGTATACTAAAGGTGATGAAAAATCTTGAGGGTATAAATTATATTTATAATTAATAGGAAGGGCTTAGGTCTTAACATCTGTTAGGTCATAACAGATGAATTAAAGAAGTGTGAAGTGAGAGTCTCAAGGTTATAAAAGAAAGGCATAATTTGTAGGTCTCGATTGTGTCATCTATAGGATGCTTGTACTTTGTTGTAGTTTCAACTAGATTTTAATGTTGCTTTTTTGTATTAGAAAGGAATATTTAATAGTCATATATTCTTCGGCATTTCAAAATAAGAATCCAAATATTGTTAAAAAAATCTTGAGTCTACAAATCTAAGCAGTAATCTGCAACACAGCATTTGTAAAAGTGTATAAACTTCTATAATGATGACCTTTAGTGTTTAGATAGAAATGGTATTATGTTCACGTCAAACATCAGGTAATTAAAACCAAGAAACGTTAACAATTTACACAAAGATACACTAATTTGAGCTTGGATTTAAACACAGATTAGTCTTTTACAAAGACTTTTACAAGAATATATATATATATATATATTTGGAGAAAGAGGGAGAGTTATAAAATTTAATCACATTAGAAAGGTTTATTAAACTCAATAATTATGCAGAAATGTCATAAATTTCTCGAGGTTGCTTCATGGAATATTTATTTATTTTTTTGTTACAGTGAGCATATGCCAGATTTTCTTCTTCATATGTAGATTTAGTTTTCTTACATAAAAAACCTTTTAACTGTTTCAAGTTAACATCCTGAAAATTGTATTTTTGAACATCTTACATTACATTACTTTACTGAAATATGTAATTCTTTTCCCCAAGTCCGGAAAATCATATTGTCTGCTTCCACATTAAGCTTTGTTGCTGTTCAAGTTATTAAAAAAAAATAAGTTTGAATGTAAAGCAAAGTTAGCAGCAAACATCCCCCCAAATAGTATAAGTCTAGACTTAAAGAGTTCATTAATTAGTAGTATTTTATTTTATTTATTTATTATTTTATTTTATTTTTTACTCTCTAGTGTACTCAAATGCCAGACGTCTCTTTATGAAGGAGAGGAACTTAGGTAGTAAGCAATTATTGAAGTTATAGAATTATAATCTGTCTTGAATATTCAGTTTTTAATATGACAATATAATATTGACAGGACTTAAAAGCAAAGTTTGTAACTTGCACATTTAAAGTAATAATCAGAGCTGATTGATATATAAATCATAGGTATATATACATAAATTACATATATGTATGATATAGACACTGAACATTATTTCTTAGTTGCTTAAAGAGCCATTTTTGGAAGAAAAGTAACTTTGTGACTGAACCTAATTGACAAAATACTATTAATTACTCATTTAACAATTTTATCAAACAGTTACAGTCCAATCCAACTGATATCCTATTTGGCAATGAAGGTATAATAGCAAGCTAAAATTCATTTAATGTCTGCAGAGACTATGGGCTTGTGAAAACGAAAGAATAACTGAAAGGGTTGCAAAATACATGTAAAGATAAGACCTGGGAAAGCCCTGTGAAACAAAGTTGCATAGTTCTGAAATAGAAAGCATGACACATAAGTAGCACAGAAAAGAAGCTCTCAGTGTTGGAAAAAATATGAAGAGAGATGAGGGCTGTATATGCTGAAACATGAGAGTAGAGACTGTGAAGGGCGATCTCTTTGAATGGTATTAAAGCTATTTTATAGTGATTTCCTTTTATAATAATGAAATTAATCAATTGTGTGAAGTCTGTAGATGGGAGGTTAGTTTAATCATATTTTGCATTTCAAAATACCACTGTAATGTGAAACATGGATTGGAGGATTTCTATTGACTACAGATTAGGCAGAGCAGGAATCTGTCCAAATCTGTTGAAAACAAAACTGGTGCCAAAACTTTCTTTAAAAGATTCTTTAAAACTGCACTGATAATGCTTCCAGCTTTACTCCAAATACCTGAAAATGGAATTACATGGCATAGTAAGTCTATTGTAGCTATTGCCGAACTGATGTGAAAATGAAAACTATCAATAGGATATTTAAATGTTGTGCTTGTCACAAGTGAAATAACACATGGTTTAGTGAACTAACAAAAGTGTTGCTTGTATTCAAATAGGCATGAAGGAAAAAAATGAGATGCGAACATATATCTAAGACGATAAGTAATCCACAGAAGTCTAGAGAATATATACTTTCTGAATGTTGGTTAAAATTGAGTATATCATCATCAGTAAATAAATGTTCATCTGAATGTCATTTTTTTTCTTTTTGCCACTATTTAATGTATGTTTTATGACAATTGAATGAAAGATTCTTAGATTTTTGTGGAATCATACTTTATATGTATGTAGTTTTTTTTTCAAAAATTTCCGTTAACATTAGATAGTCATTAGTAAGTAAAATTTCAAGATTATTATTTTGTTTTGATTTTGGGGTGGGAAGGGGAGGAGTATGTGTTTGTTATTATTTGATAGGGCTTTTTCCCAAACTATAGCAGAAAAATACTTTCTTTGAAAACAGGGTCAGACTTTTAAAACAATAAACTAGTTTAAAATTTTTCTTAAGCTCATGAGTATACAAATAATACTAGTGAAGTAAATGTAATATAAAATAAAACAATGCAAAAAATAACAAATTACTACTAGAAAATTTCATTTTTATTAAGATGTATAATAAACTATTCTTTATGATGTTTATTTGTTATATGAGATTGTTACTAGCTAAAGACAAAATTAAATGTACACAGAAAAATATGATATAAAATATATAATTAAAATGTTACATGTAATAACATAGAAGTATCTTTTTTTCTGAAAAGATTTGTATAATTTGTAAAAAAAATAAAATCAGTAGAATATCTGTCAAAACGACACAAAACTGAAATTTGTGCTATGGGTCTTGGCCCCAATTTTTAAATCTTAGCCAAATGAATTAAGCACATTTCAGCGACTGTGCTGAATAAAGAATTAGATAGATGGGCTGGGTTATTTCTTTTCTATTATTTTTATCTAATTTCAAAATCAGTTTTTTGCTAGCACCATAAAGTAAAAAAGTCTTCAATTATCTATTTTCTGGAACAACTTGTATCAGAAAGGAGTTATATTTTCTTTATTCAAAGTATAAGTTTGTTAGAACTTACCATAATAATATTTTAATTAGGTTTCTTTTTAATATAATGGAGATATTCAGATTTTTAAAACCATTATCTGTATATTGACGTTTTCTGTTTCTTCTTTAACCAATTTTAACATTTTGTAGGAATGTATTTGCTCAATTATGGATTTAAAATCGTATTGACGTGTGCCTATACTTCACTTTAAATAATGTCATGTCTATTGAGTTGGACTTTTCAAACTATGACATGAGGCAGGGTAAGCAAGATTAGGAGGCCGTGCTGTCTTGTCTCCTTGTTGGAAGCTCTGTGGGCTCTGCATCCCTTGCACACGCTTGCATCAACACTCAACTCTTTTGCAAGGTAAGCAATCCTACAGGAAAGCAGCAGACAGCCAGAGGGTTACAGGCTCCTGATACCAGATATGGACACGGAAGGAGAACAAAACTCCCTTCTTCCTGATGTAACTTCCGCAATTTCCAACCAATGGGCACCCAAAGCCCATGAAGCTATTAAGTACAAATTTCTGCCTTGGGGGTCTTGGGATTTCTATAGGTTCTTGCAAGGACAGCTAGGCTCAAGGTTTAGCTAATAATTACCTTTCCTTCATTTTAATAGCAACACACACACACACACACACACACACACACACACCTCTAGGTGGAGATTTTACATGCTAATACTATATCTGATGTGTGTTGTAGCATGTACAACTGAGTGTATGCATCAAACCTCAGTTTGTCTTTCCATACTTGACCTCACCAGTATTTTATGAATATACACGTACATTTCTCACAAAGGGAGTTTCCCTCAAGGCACTAGGGGTTGTCTCTGCCTCTGAGCAGCCTGCTCTACCTATCACTTGTCCAAAATTCAAGTGGCCAAGTTGATTGCAAAGCCAATCAACTTCTTTGGTTACTCTTACTTTGGACTTAATTTCAAATTCTTTTGTGTTAAGCAGTCAAAACCCTGAACCAGCCCACCCATTGTTACTACTTATATCTCTTGTAACCTAACATTGATATTATTTTCTACATTTCTTTTTCAATTTGTACTTTATATATTTGGAATTTATACTTCAGTTGTCTTTTTGTTGCTTGTTCCTTCTTAATCTTTTTAAAACATTTTACAAATGTATAATAAATTTTTTCCCTTGTGATTATTTTTAATTTTTTATTTTATTTAGCATTTTCTCATTTCACTGCATATTTACTTTGTTAATTGATATATATTAAACATATGTATTCTTAGGGTACATGTGATAATTTGATACATTTGTATAATCAAATCACAGTAATTGAGATATCTATCACCTTAAAAATGTATCTTTTCTTTAAACGAGATACATTTGAATTATTCTCTTTTAGGTATTTTGAAATATACTGATTAAAAACTTGAGGATTACCTTTCTTGATTAAAAACACCTATGCTGTCTTTTAATTTGTATATTTGTTTTTGTTGTTTTATTCCCAAAAAAATTATTTTCAACATCAGTGCAATGTTTACATAAGAAGTGCTTCATTCCAAACAATACATTGATAAATTTTTTTTGTATAATACTAATACAATCTGAGGGCATATGTTTGTGGATTGGTGGGTTTAAAACAGCTATTTTATTGCATTTATTAAGTAAGTGTTCACAGGTCTATGGTTGATCAAATAGTTAATTTAATATTAGTTTATTATAATTCACAATTAATAGGTACTGTATTTACTCTTTTGGTTATTGCCAGAATTTTCTATATCCAAAGTTATTTTCTTCATGGTTGCCCAAAATTGAAGAAGTAATTGTTACATTTCTTAAAGTTACCAATTATCTTGTATTATGCTTAAAAAAATAAAATGCTATGATCTAAGCCATTATGATTTTCTGCACAGTGAATCTGGCAATTTCTATGATTTTGTGCTCTTGATACGAATATTCTTTTTTATGGCATGTTTTTTTTTTTCCCTCTCTGAGGTACTATGCTGGACTGAATGGCAAACCACTCCCAGAGTATGTATTCTAAAAGGAAAAAGGAAAAAAAAATGGTTGAACATATTGAAATTGGGATTTGGCAGCTGTGGCCTTATTGGGTAGCTGTCTGGTCCACCCCTACCTCCACCAAGCTCAGTGTTTCAACATGTGCTACGGGGCTCTGTACCCCTTGCATTGGAGTGCAGTGCTTAGTGTCCATATTGCCCCAGTCATACCAACTTAAATTAAGGCTAGTGAGGAAAAAATAATTTGATAAAGGTTTATTGTAACCAAATGTGACTATCAATCTGGTATGACACACCAAAAATTTGGGTGTGTTCCACAGTCTATTAGAAATTGGAAGCCATTTTAAGACAGTGTAGAAGAAGAGAGGAAAATTCATCATATTGGAATTGTCCTTTTTCTCTGGAGGGTGCAATACAGAGTTTGTAGTCATTGGATACAGATTGCAACATACAGGTTAAAATGTCCGTATGTAAAACAATCAGTAAAACTTTGCGATTCAGAACCAAATCAGCCTTCATTGCAGTGTCAGTAGGTTATATATTAGTTAGTATGTCAACAATTTGAGGAATTCGTGATAGGATTCCTAACTCAGGGACAGGATGTCACCATTGATCATAAGACTTTCCCCAGCTGGGTTAATTTGGAAGACTGCTAAATGTGACCTGTAGGCTATCAGTCATACTGGGGTGCCACCCACAAGCAGGAAATTACTGTCCT
This sequence comes from Homo sapiens, assembly GCF_000001405.40. Classification (NCBI taxonomy): domain Eukaryota; kingdom Metazoa; phylum Chordata; class Mammalia; order Primates; family Hominidae; genus Homo; species Homo sapiens. The sequence continues at coordinate 194,709,601 of NC_000001.11, forward strand.
TTCTTCGGTTTATCTGTGAGTGGGCTGTTCCATCTTACAATAGCTCCACTGGTCTGGGGATAGTAGAGTGCATGAAAAGCCCATTGTATTCCTTGAGAGGGCAACCACTATAATGTTGCTTGGGCAGTGAAGGGTGTTTCATGGTCAGAGTAAAGTCTCCTGGGCTATCCAAAGCACAACATAAATTCCTCTCAAGGGTGGTTGTAGTAGTCCCAGAATCCGCATGAAATACCACAGTCTGCATAGGTGCTAACTAATGGCAGTGAGGTACTCTCAGTGTACCTCACTCTGTGTGGTCAATCTGTCAGACCCAGGTAAGCCCTAGCCTTCAGTTAATATGTCCTAATTCTCCTCTTTGAATAATCTGGGCCCATTGGAAAGAATCACACAATTGTACAGCATCCTTAGTCTCAGCATCTTGTAGAATCATCTCTTAAGCCTTTGCCCAGTCTTGCATCTAAAATGTACCTCGACATCAGTTATATATCCGTAAGTAACTGTTGCTACCTGTTGGGCACAAGCTTGATTAGCATGATAATTCTATTTATGTTCCATTTTGAAAGGTTCTTTGCCATCAGCATCCACATGAGTGTCATATATTTGTCCCCTCCAAGCAGCAAGCATGCTGCTATTGTCCTTGTTCCCTTATAAGGGATTCTTTAATAGTCCAGTCACTCAATTGAAATTCTGCTGACCAAGTGGCTAGGCTGTTAGCAATGGTTTGAGTCAGTGAAACTGTAACAAGATATGATGGTAGGGGTGGCCTGCACAACCATCACCATTGTAAAGTTCACCTTATTGGGTGAAACATCCATGTTCAGTCTCAATACAAAGATGGCCATATACTGGCCTGACGGCATCCTCAGCTCAGTGGACCCCATCGGCTTTTAGTTTCACAGGACCATCAGTTAATCATGTCGTATCATTGGCAAACATGCCTCTAAATCTTGATCTCCAAGTAGCTGCAGAAGGAGCTACAGCATCCCCTGTGATTTTCTTGGTCCCTTCTGGCAGGTTAGTCATTTGTTCACGGAGCCTACCGGTCTCTTCATGGCCTAGCTAGGCCTGATCATCAGTGTAACATTTATATTTGATAATTGAGCTCTGTTAAGGCTGTCCAATTTTATTTGTGGTATTTGTAAGTACCTGAGTGATAATAGACAGTTCAGGTTACAGCGTCACATGAGACACTCAGTCTTCACCAGTGCCAAATAGCAAGCAAAGAGTTGCTATTCAAGGGAGTATATCTGTTGGCTACCTCAGGCAACATTTGTGTCCAGAATTCAAGTGGCCAGTGGCAGTTTCCTATTGCCAAAGACTCTAATCAGCACGCATGGTAGTTGTAGACACTTGTAATTTAATTGGGTTAGCAAGCTCTAAATGTTCCAAAGGTAGTGCCTGGACCATGGCTCATGAATGGTTTATAAGGCCTGCTGCTGCAAACAGCCTCATTCAAAGTTGGTGGTCCTGTGAGCCACCTTGTACTAAGTGGGTCAAAAGAGCCCCCAGCTGGGGTACATGCTGTCTCCAGTACCCAAAGAGGCTTACCCACTCTGTTGGGTCTCCTTTCTATTAGCAGAAGCTTCCAGAGCAAAGGATTTTTACTTGACTGAATGTGGGATATTTCTCTGGCTTTCCACCCAAGTGGCCCCTGGGAATTGCATCTGTTGTGCCAGGCTGTAGGCTTCAGCAGGGTTGAAGTTCTAATCTGCACTAGCCAGTACATCAATGGCTCAGCAGAGTACCACAGCCACATGTTTCGTGATGGGCTTACTATTAGCATTTTATTGGTGTAATACAGATGACTGAAACTTTTGTGGGGATTGGATTTGTTGAAGATCAAGTCCTACCCACAGGCTCTACCTTGCAGGGGAATTGAACTATTCCTGAAGAAGCACAATGAAACTATACTGTGGCCCATTCCATGTGAACACAAATTTGTGTTGATCCTCATCCCACAAAGGGATTGAGAAAAAGGCATTAGCCAAGTCAGTAACAGTGTACCAATCTTACACATGGGTTGCCACTGTTTTAGTGACGATGATATTTGGCATCTCAGGAGCAAGGGTAGAATGTTGGCATTCAGCCTGTAACAGTCCATAGTCTCCAGGCCCCAGAGACCACTTAATTTTCATAAGAAATATTGGCCTGTAATTTTTTTTTATCTTGTGATATCTTTTCTGTCTTTAGTATCAGTGCAATGTTGGCCTCATAAAATAAGTTAGTAAGTGCTCATTCCTGCTTTTTTAGAAAAGGTTGATAAAATTTGGTGTGAGTTTTTCTTCAAATGTTTGATGGAATCTACCAGTGAAGTGATTCACAAAAAAGATAGTAAGGCAATGATGGACCTGAACAACACAATAAAACAACTATATCTAAAAGACCTATGAGGAACACTATACCCAGCAACAATAGTATACACATACATTCATGTGCATATGAGACTATTTCCAGGATAGACCATATGTTAGGCCACAAATAGGTCTCAGTAGATTCAAAACAATAAAAACATACAAAGTATTTTCTCTGACAACAGAGATATTAAGCTAGAAATCAACAACAGAAGAAAAGCTGAAAAATTTACAAAGCTGTGGATATTAAACAAACTCACAATCAATGGCTTAAAGAAGAAATCATACGGGAAATTAGAAAATACTTAGAGATGAAACAAAATGATAACACAACAGATCACACCGTATGAGACACAGTGATAGCTGTGCTAAGTAGGAAATTTACAATATAAACGCTTAAATTAAAATAAAAATATTTCAAATTAACAACAAAATTTTACAGCTTACGGAAGCAGTAAAATAAAAGTAAACTACACCGAAAGCTAACAGAAGAAAGAAAATGATAGATTAGAACAGAGGTGGAATAGAATAGGAAACAAAAACAATAGAGAAAATTAATCCACTAAAAGCTGATTCTTTGTAAAGCTCAACAAAATTTATAAGCCTTTAGTTAGATGGACAAAAACAATACAAAAAGAGAAGACTTAAAACTGTCTTTTTAAAAGTTATAAAACCTTTAAATGTCCAAATAGAGTTATCAAAACATAAATAAGGGAAAGTACTTATTTCAGCAATGAAAGAGGGTACCCAACTGCAGGTATACTGATAATAAAATAATTTAAAATGAATATTAATACTAACTTATACCCATCCATTCAACAGCCTAAATATTGGACATATTACTTTAAAGACACATGTTACAATATCTAAATTTAGGATAATTAGAATTCCTAAGTATTCCTGTAGCTACTAAAAAACAACAAACAACACTGAATAGATAACTTAAAAAACTTTGTCTACAAGAAAACTCCAAGCTCAGAAGGCTTTGCTAGTGAATGAAAGAAACATTTAAGAAACAAATAACAATGATTTGTTATTTTTAAGGAACAAATAATGATAATAGACACATTTTTATAAAACAGAGAAGTAAACAATTTTTCACTTATTTTTGAAGTTGTCATGACAATGATATAAAGAATCAGACATTTTAAATATTGATCTCTAGATCAATATAAATCTCAGTAGGATTTATATAAAATTTAAAAAACTGAGTCTAAAAATTTACAGGTGAGAAAGGGACATAGGATATCTCACACACATTTAAAAAAAAAAGCAATGTTGAAAAAATTTCACTATTGGATTTCATGATTTATATATAGCTAAAATAATCAAGAGAGTTTGATGTTAGTATGAGAATAATCATATAGATCAATGGAAAAAAATAGAGTCCAGAAACAGACATACATATAGATGACCAAATGATTTTGAAAAATATACCAGGATATTTCAATAATAAAATATAATCCTCCTAACAAATTGTATTGGAACAATTGGAAATTCATTTATAAAAGTAACAAACCTTAACTTTTTTCTCACAGCATAGATACAAATTGACTTGAAATGTATCATAGCCCTAAAGGTAAGAGTTAAGACATAGGAGACGATCCTTGGAACCTGGGAGAAGACAAAGATTTTTTAGAAAGATTACAAAGAGAAGGTCAGGCGCGGTGGCTCACGCTTGTAATCCCAGCACTTCGGGAGGCCGAGGCGGGCAGATCAGGAGATCAGGAGATCGAGACCATCCTGGCTAACACGGTGAAACCCGGTCTCTAGTTACAAAAATACAAAAAAAATTAGCCGGGCGTGGTGGCAGGCGCCTGTAGTCCCAGCTGCTCTGGAGGCTGAGGCAGCAGAATGGCGTGAACCCGGGAGTTGGAGCTTGCAGTGAGCCGAGATTGTGCGACTGCACTCTAGCCTGGGCAAGAGAGAGACTCCGTCTCAAAAAAAAAAAAAAAAAAAAAAAAGAAAAAAAAAGATTACAAAGAGAAGAAACCATAAATAAAACAAAACATATGAGAATAGTTGGATTGCAGTTGTCAAATTGCCTTTACCCAACATGTAATCATTTTCTAAAAGTATTAGAAAAATCAATCACATGACATTTTATTGAAGATCAATGAGGAATATTTTAAGTCTTTAAATCTTTAATATCTTAAAAAAACTCTTAGCTAAATGAACTATGGAGTGGTTGAGTATTCATTCTCTATTTCGTAATAACTTAAAACACTCTAGCTTAGAAACTTTTAGTATGATATCCTCATTGGTTTAATTTTTGCCTGAGTACTGAAAAAAAAACTTCATCAATATAACTTTCCATAATTTCTGGACTCCTCTTGATCAAAAGGAACAATAATATCTGAATGATTCACTGAATAAATTGATGACCAATGAATATGACTCAGTATTCCCCAAATTCTGAAAATAAAGTGATAAATTAAATGCATCAATATGTAATTTGACATAAAGCTCAGGCTATCCGTCAAGAAATGTTGAAAATATTCATCATGACATCACATTTCCTGGAACATAAATCAAATGATAATGTATTAAGTAAAATATGTTTTAATAATATCATATTTAAATTTGATGATACTTTAAAAATGGTTCCATGTGTGTTCTCTTGGGTTATTTCACAATCAATAAAAGGTCTGCAAGTGATGAATGCTATATATGTTTTTCTCCACTTTCACTGAAGGCATTGAGTGAAGTGTTTACAAATCTGATGTCACTGGATTGCTGATTGGTCGGGTTTTCATCTTAACCTTGCACAAATTTGAAAATAGACTTAATATTTCTCAGAATCTTGCCTGAAGGATCCAAATAACTATGCAATCTGTTTCTAAATTTTCTGTTATGTCACCTGTTTTCACCGTTGTCACAATAGTTCTGCCTTCATGTCAGGCCACAGGCAACTCAGTCTCAGCCGTAAACATTATACCATCTTTACAGTTAAAATATGAGACCCAAATAAATAAAATAAGAAATGAAAAGGCATTACATTTGATACCATAGAAATACAAAGGATAATTAGAGACTATTAGGAACAACTACATGCAAACAAATCAGAAAACATAGAGGAAATGGATAAGTTTTTGGATACATACAACCTACAAAGATTGAACCAAGACGAAATAGAAAACCTGAACTGACCAATAATGAGTAACAAGACTGAATCAGTAATAAACATTCTCCCAACACAGAAAAGCTAAAGGCCGGATAGCTTAACTGGTGAATCCTACCAAACTTATAAAGAAGATCTAATACCATTTCTTCTCAAACTATTTCAAAAAGTTGAAGAGGGGGAAATTCCTTCTAACTAATTCTATGACACTAGCATTATGTTGATATCAGAAACAGAGGACAAGACAAAAAAAAGAAAATTACGAGCCAACAACACCGAGGAACACAGATGCAAAAATCCCGAACAAAATGCTTGCAAACCAAATTCGATCTAACAGCACATCAAAAAGAAAAGATTAACTGGATTTATTCCAGGGAAAAAATATATGTGTATGAAAGCATTTTATATAAGTATTAGAAAAATAAACTATTTCTATATAGAAATGATATATATGTAGAAACTATATATAGTTTCTTCTACACCACACACACCCAATTCATTAGCCTATCTCTAAATACATTCACAAATACTGCTAGTTTTCCATTTCTGTATCACTGTTAACACAGTATAATGGGTGGTACAGTAGATGAAAATATAGGTTGCCTGAATTCAAATCTTAGTTCTAACATGTACTAAATTCATTGAATTTGGGAACATTTATCAACTATTTAGGTTTCAAAGCTGAAATATAGAGAAAACAGTAACTTTGAGGTAAATCACTTCTTTTTTCCCGCTTTTATTTTAGGTTCAGGGAGTACATGTGCAGGTTTGTTCCACGGGTAAATTACGTGTCACTGAGGTTTGGTTTATGTATTATCTCATCACCCAGGTACTGAACATGGTACCTGATAGGTAGCTTCACAACACTCTTCTCTAGCCTTCCCCCACTAGTAGTCTTCAGTATTTTTTTTTTTTTTTTTTGAGATGGAGCCTCACCTTGTTACTCAGGCTGGAGTGCAGTGGTGCGATCTCAACTCACCACAACCTCTGCTTCAGGGTTCAAATGATTCTCATGCCTCAGCCTCTCAAGTACATGGGGCTACAGGCATGCGCCACCATACCCGGCTAATTTTTGTTTTTTTAGTAGAGATGAGGTTTTTGCCATATTGGCCAGGCTGGTCTCGAACTCTTGACCTCAAGTGATCCACCCACCTGGGCCTCCCAAAGTGCTGGGATTACAGGCGTGAACCATGGCACCTGGCCCTCCTCAGTGTCTACTGTTCCAATCATTACATCCATATGTACTTAATGTTTAGCTCCCACTTATAAGTGATAACATATGGTATTTGGTTTTCTGTTCCTGTGTTAATTCACTTAGGTTAGTGGCCTCCCATTGCATCCACGTTGCTGCGAAGAACATGATTTCATTCTTTTGATAGTTGTGTAGTATTCTATGGTGTATATGTGTTCCATTTTGTTTATCCAGTCCCTCACTGATGGCCATCTAGGCTGATTCCATGTCTTTGCTATTGTGAATAGTGTTTCCATGAACATTTGAGTGCATGTGTCTTTTTGATAGAGTAATTTATTTCCCTTTGTGTACATTCCCAGTAATGGGATTGCTTGTTTGAATGGTAGCTCTCTTTTAAGTTCTTTGAGAAATCTCCAAACTGCTTTCCATAGTGGCTAAACTAATTTACATTCTTACAAACAGTGTATAAGCCTTCCCTTTTCTCTGCAATTTCACCAACATAGGTTATTTTATGACTTTTTAATAATTGCCATTCTGACTGGTGTGAAATGGTATCTCACCGTGGTTTTGATTTGCATTTCTCTAATGATTAGATGATTAATGATTAGTGTCTTCTTTTGAGAACTGTCTGTTCACGTCCTTGGCCCATCTTTTAAGAAGGTTATTTGGTTTTTGTTTGTAGAATTGCTTACATTCCTTATAGATTCTGGACATTAGATCTCTGTCAGATGTGTAGTTTGTGAATATCTCTCCCATTCTGCAGGTTGTCTGTTTACTCTCTTAATAGTTTCTTTATCTGTGCAGAAGCTTTTTAGTTTAATTAGGTCCCACTTGTCATTTTTTTGTTGTTGCGATTGCTTTTGGTGACTTAATCACAAAATCGACAGTAACAAAGAGTGGAGAAAGGACCCCCTATTTAATAAGTGGTGTTGGGATAACTGGCTAGCCCATATGCAGAAGATTAAAACTGAACCCCTACATTTTACCATATGGAAAAATTAACTCAAGACAAATCAAAGACTTAACTGAGACCCTAAACTATGAAAATCCTAGAAGAAAACCTAGGAAATACCACTCTGGACATGTCATGTATATTGAGAGCTAAAAGGTGTTTTTTTTTTTCTCTGAAATTTTGCCAGTGCAATTAAAGCAAATATGCAAAAACTATTTATAAAAAAATTATTTTGATCCATGGCTAAAGAACCCACAGAATGGAAAATTGTTGTGTCTGCCACTCCGAGCTTTCTTAAAATAGAGCAATGAGCAATGACACTGAGTACATGGTATGCCTGTAAGTTGCAAGAACCTTTGTACAAAACTCTTGTGTGTTTGAACACATTAAAAATAGATAATGTAATTTTGTCAAATATATATATATATGTATACACACACACACACACTTATGTATATACCCATATGTATACTTATATATATTATACTTCCATATAGGTATATTTGGAAATATACACGCAGGTATAATATATAGAGAGACATATGTACATTCAAAAGGAGTGGGGGAGAGAGAGAGAGACTTGTATAGGCAATTTTCTACTATTTTCTTGTCTGTGTGAGCTTTTCCCAAATAAAGTATCAGGGTAGTATAAATAGTTATTAGTTGGTTTAAGATTAAACAGAAAGAGAAATGCCAACTGAATGGTGAATTTAGAATTCAATAACTAAGCTCAAAAGCCATCAAAATGCATTGTTTTTATGCATATCACTTTAGCTGTTTTTTTTTTTCTGGTAATATCTGAATTTAGATGGAGCCATAGGAGAATTGCATAGAACATAGTCTATATTAAGGAGTTGGATTTTATTCCCATGGAAACATTTTGGCAATGAGTTATGCAAAAGAAAATGACTAAGCATTTTAGAATCTGATGCTGCTCTGTTTAATTGTTTTTAAAATGTTCAAGAGCTTTAAACAATTTAAATGATTGAAATTCGAACTGTTTAGATGAACTGCCTAATAAGCTGCATTTCAGTTGGAAACTTAGAGAAAAGAACACTTGCTGATTCCTTAGTTTTATTTTTAGACACTTTGAAAGAAGGTTAATGAGGGAATGTCTATCCATGTGAGTTTTTGTAGATTTTATAATACGCTTTACATTTTAATCAATTTCTGATTATTTGTACTTATAAGCAATATCTTTTATAATTTTGTATTTTCAATCATTTTATTTTTTCTCTAATTTAAATATGGAGAAAATACAAATTTGGTAAATAGTTTGACTATTTACTAAATAGTAAATAAGAATATTTCAACTCTCCCAAAAATTATTAAAATATTTTTCAATTTTTCATTTCCTTTAAAATAAAATTTTGTAATTTACAAAAAAACTAAAAGAAAGTATAATTCATGAACATATTCATGTTTGCCATATCACTTCTTCTTTTCTGAAATGTTAAACTTTATAAGTTCTGGAAATACTCATGAAGTTTTCTAATTGAAGCTGTAATTAAAAATAATCCAGATTGCTTGTGCCCTGGAAGAACATGCTAGAGAGGCTCGCCCCCCAGCAAGGCTATGTGGGGGCCTTTACAACAAGCACCATTGGTGGTGGTATCTTTCAAGCAATTAAGTTTTCACAATTCTCCAGTAGGAGTAAATCACAAACTCCAAAGGAGTTTGACAGCTATTAAAATCCATGTTCCATAATTGGGAGGTAGCTTTGCATTCAGAGAGGTCTGTTTCCCATGATTGACTGTAGTATGGCTCAAGTCAGAGGAAAAGAAGATCCCTGGAACTCTATTACAAGTGGTGCCATAACGGGAGCCATACTGGCAGCAAGAAATGGACCAGTGGCTATAGTTGGGTCAGCTGCGATGAGTAACATTCTTCTAGCTTGAACTGAAGGAGATATTATCTTGTTCACAAAATTTGCTTCTGAATATTTGCTGAAGAACTCTTCTAGTTGTCTTCAACCGAGTTACCATCCTCACTTTTTGGAGACTATGGACAATATCAGTAGGACTCCTTTCCCAGAATTTCTTTAACATAATGAACTATAATTCAAGAAGAATTCCAGAAGATCTGGCTAAAGTCTATTTTTAAAACCACAGATGCGACAGCTACGGCCAAATAGGCTATGAAGACACATTTAGACACATTTAACACTTTTTTTTCTATTGAAAGAAACATGGTAGAGCAAAGGGGTAGCTACATGATAATATATTTATTTATTAACACTTGGAGTATATTTCTTATCAAAATAAAAGTCTAATAGCATTAAAAGAAAATATAATAAATGCTTAGAAGATGAAGGACCAAAGGGCAAATAACAGTGAAATGTAACCATCATTTCGTTGGACACGTCTCTGCCTGGGTTTGTGTGTTCTGTTATTGTAATAATAAAAACTTCTGGAAATTAAAATAAATAATAATCTAAAGATTACTTTGCTTTAGAAAATCAAACTACTTTTTCAGTTTCCATGCCAAATTAAGATGTTATTAAATGTACATTTTCATTTTGGTTCTTTTATTTCTGCCTAGCCTAATAACTATATACCTTATAAATAAAAAAAATTCCATAATTTTGTCCCAAATAAATTTGAAAATTTAAGGAAAAGTTTTTTCTGTAGGTTATTTTTCCCTTTTTTCACCCTCTTCTCTACCTCTAAGAACAAACACACACAAACACATAGAGTAATGCACACACATACACACACATTCACATACATATACACTTCTAAAAATAATTATTACGCTTGAGATCCCTACATAGAAAAAAAAATTCACGCTTTTTTTTTAAAAGTCAAAGAGAAAGAGGATACTAGAAGAGGAAAGGTAAAAGAGATTCAAAAATTAAAAGATAATACAATTTTTTAAAATACTAGCTTTGTAGTTATGGCAGGTAAGCATGTCACTGTATACAGGACAGAGTAGTCAATCTTTCATACCATTTCATTGTGTGTGTTATTTCTCTTTATAAATACAAAATTCTTGGTGCTAATCTACCAAGCGAAAACTGTCACAGATAGAAGTTAGATGTAACTGTGAATACTCTGCTTTCCCATGTTCAGGAGAATACAGGTCCTAATAAAGAATATAAGGTAAGATTTGCTGTAATTTTCCTTTGAGGAGACCTCAAAAGAAGATCAATTTTTGAAGATGCTCACCTTAATAGATTGTGCTAGAAATTAGATGTTTTGAAGTCAATGGGCAAATTGCCTTTTATAACTTATCTAAAATGAATTTGAACACAAAGTTGTCTAAAACTCGGGGTGATTTGAAGGATTTCGGTTGTTATTTTAATTGCAAAATCACATTATTAGTGGAGTATACACAATTAATGGGTTATACTAAAAGGTCAATCTTTTTAAGCTCAAGAAATCCATTTCAGGTAAGCAAAGGCTAATTAGGGACTGAAACACAATAATTATCCCCTAATTGTTTGTAATTTTTCCCTAGATTATTGTTAAATTTTACTAATACTTAAAATAAGAGAATGTAATCCTTTTTCAGTAACATAACGCCATTCCGTACATATGAAATGTTCCATTTTCTAATAGTTAATATCTCAAAGTTTGAATTTATATGTCTAGTTTTTATAATATCAAATTCTAATTGTAAGTATGCATCTTAAAATCAAACGTTATTCATATCTAATGTTTTCTAATATTGTTATATTTTTGTTGAATAGAGGTAATGTACTTTTAATCTGTAATAATGAGGTAAAATACCTGTTTTGAAAACGATTTAATATTCATTATATGCAAATAGCGATGAACTAGAGTCAGATAACTTTTAATATACATATTAAATTTATGTATATTAATTTAAAATTTAAAACCTTGGCAAAAACCACACCATTTACATTTACTATTGAGACATATATACTTCTGCGATAATTTTTAAATAACATGTCACAACTAACACTTCTTGGTTTGTTTTTATCAGACCTTTATAGAGAACTTCAGAATTACCTGAAATATACTTTAATGTATTTCAAAAGCATGAAAAAAGAGAAAAAAGGAAATATACGAGATGTGTATTTGAAATTAATTTGCAATAAACACGAATATGTTTGTTTCCTCTAATATGTATCTCTCTTTGCCTAATTTGGGTATGCATCTATAATAAAAGCAATTACAACACACTTTCCTTTTATCGTTAACCTACAAAGCAACCTCAAATATTTACAATTATGAAGTATAATTATACATATAGATACCACTCAATACTTTCATATACACACACATGTGTAGGAAATATAAAATACATAGAAATAGACTGCATCGAAATTTAAGTCAGACTTATGTAGACAGACGCTTATTACTGAGGAGTAGGAGAATATCCCTCTCCAAAATATGCCACTTTGGCCTGAGGATTATTTTGAGCTGAAGGCAATTGAAAAAATCCAGATACAAGAAAAGCTCTCTGCTCACCTCATATTTGTGTAAAAGTATGACATAAGTTTATAAAGGGGCCCTTCTTGCCCTCTCTACCAAGAACGACAAAATTTGACCACCAGAGATGACTTCAGACCCTTATGACCCTGGAAACAGCACCAGGGGAATCTACATAACACACGTGACTAGCTAACTTTTATCTACCACCAATTTCCTATTTAGTTGCCTTCCTGAAATTGGCTACCCCTAAAAACACAAGTTCCTTTTCTTTAATCTTGTCACTTCTGTTTAAGCCAGATTTCTAAGCCGCCTCTTTGAGAACTACTTCCCTATCGCCCATGTATATAGAAATATACATGTTGATAAACTTCTGTATTTCTTGTCCTAAACTGTCTTTTGCTAAAGGACTCCAAGCTGAGAACTGAGAAAGGTAGAGGGAAAATTATTTTTCCTCCCCTGTGCTATCCATTTCACAGATAATGGAGCAGACTGGAGGCATTTTAACACATTAATAAGTTAATAAGATTTTGAATCCCAATTTCACTACTAACTATCTGCAGTCCTGACCAAGTGGCTCTCAAAGCTTAGTTTTCTCATCTGTGAAATGTGATTAATATCTTCCTCACAAGGATGTTTTCAAGAAGAAGTGATACATAGTATATAAGAACTCAGCACTTTTTCTAACACATATTTGATAATCAATTAATGTTAACTACTATGCTATTCTTTTAAAGGGCATTGGTCTATGCTGTGTTATTTGTTCACCTTTAATTCCCAGCACTCAGCATGGATCCTGGCAACTATCAGATATTAAATAATTATTTATGGACAAATAAAAATACTTTGTGTTACACATTTTATTTATATTTCTGAGAAGTGGTATTTCTAAGAAATAATTGATATTCAATGGAAAGAAAAATATTATAACCTAACTTCTCATTTTGAAGGTCACCAAGTAAAATGAGCAATATTTTATACTAAAGTAGGAGAGAAGTTTACTAAACTTTCTAGATTGAACTGTGATCCTTATTTTGGTTAAAGGGGTATCACTTTGGAACATTTTTAAAAAATTATTTATTTTTAAAAATGATATATAATATTATATATATTATGTACAATATAATGTTTTGAAGTATATGTACATTGTGGTATAAACTTAGCTAATTGACAAATGCATTACCTCACATAACTATCATTTTTGTGGTGAGTTCACAACATCCACTCTCTTAGCGTTTTTCAAGAACGCAATATATAGTCATTAACTATAGTTGCCCTGCTGCACAAGAAATCTTGGGAAAGGTATTTCTCCTATCTAACTGTAATTATGCATCCCTTGACCATCGTCTCCCCATTCTCCTCTTCCTCCTAAGCACCCTCTGGTTATTAGCCTCTGATAACCACCATTCTACTCTCTATTTCTCTTAAATGAACTCTTTCAGATTCCACATACGAGTGAGATAATTTGCCTTCCTAGAGCATGTTTTTCTCTTTAATTTGAGCACCTTCTATATGTTTTTTATATTTATTATATTATTCAATGCTCTGTTCAAATAAATTCTATGAGATAGGTTCTGTTGTTGTCCCTATTTTACAGCAAGGGGAAATTAATGAAGTTATTCTCCCAAGATGATTCAGCTGATATGAGTCATTTTGAATGTTTAATTTCTGAGGGTTGTGTGACTAATGTATGTGAGTGTGTGTGTTAGTGTGTGTATGTACAGAATCAATTATAGTCTGTACATTTATGTTGGAATTTAATTGATTAACATTATAAATCCAAAAACTTAGATTGTTTTAAGTTGTTTTGTAATTTGAATTTGAAAATCATATTTTATTTCCCTTGTGATTTAATTAAGATTCCACTGAACAAGTTAAAATATGAAATTCCTCTAAACAATCATTTTCATTTATAAACTTCGCCAATTGAATTACTGTAACATTTTATTCCATATTTTCACAGTCAAAAAGATATTCTCAAGCACTTTAATTACTTTAAGGTTTATCAAGCAAATTATTTCTACGCATTTAAATATCTTGCAAAAATAAGTCAAAATACCAAGCAGAGTAAATTAAATTGTCTTACACATTCCAATATTGTTTATAGACCATAGCAATGTTATTATTCTATACAACCTAAACTTACACATTTAGTAGTTCCACCTGCTTCTTTCAAAAAATCATGCCTAACATTCTGGGTACTTTTATGTTTCTTAAAGATTAATCTTCAATAATAAACACAATAAGAATGCTGAAGATAAAGCAACTTCTTTCTAGATTGGAAACAAATACATTAATACTGTGGGTTTTAAGGATTTGAAATATTTCATCATTTTATTCTAAAACTTATTTATCTGTAAAATGTCTGGGGTTATAAAATCACTCATGTACCTGCATAGGACAGTTTTACCATTTCAATTGTTCTAAGGTTCCTGGGTAAGACAAATTAATCAGCAATTGCGTATATGCAATAGGCATATATTGAATATTGAAATTTGGAACCAGAGCACAGCACACTGCCACAGTGATTTACCTGAACAACTATGAACCAATGGAGTCATTTTTTACAATCATGCTCTGTAATGTCTTCCACATCAGCAAACATTATCAAACATTCTGTAAGAGAATTTTGCAGATTTTTCCTATAGTTGGAAATAATAAACATTTGCTAATGAACGAAGATTTGAATCCACTTATTAGAACGTCTTGACTCCAATAAATGTATGGGTCTTCTCAATAAATTAGCTAACACTTATTCAAGTTTTGATCAATGTATTGATATTGATAGGCAAAACTTTCAATACCACAGTCTTAAAATTTAATACAGGAAGCCTTTTCAAGGTTAATTGTGGGAATATAGATAGTGTTATAGAAATTAATTTCCACATAGATAATTCCCCTAAGTTCATTTTTACTAAATTCAATCTGCCTGAGAATTGACCTATATATGTCTACTGGTTCTTCTCTCCCATATCCTTCCCTAATATCTTGTGCTTTACAAAAGGAAAATACATCTCCTTGCTCTTTTTAATTTTCTTCTGATGTATTGCTTAAGGTGGATTGCACCTGGGATGCAACAGAAAGTGTCAGTTAGAATTATTGGTTCTTATGGAAGCCCCTTTTATGATTTTTTATACCATAAAACATTCCTACCTTGTTTCATACATAGTTTTGTTAAGTTAATGAGGCTTTAGAAGCAGAATATTTGGCCCTTGTTGAGATATTTTAATGTAGAAAAGTTGGTGACACTGTTTTTCCTTTTCCATCCTTCATCAATTATTGTCAAATAACACATTATTCCTCAGGAAGGGACTTTTAAGAATAAATCCAAGAAAACATCAAAAGGAAAAATGATGAAGCCATGTTTAAAGGTAAACAATATTTTTGAGCTTTCTCACAACTCATTATTTGGATGAGTGAGTAGCTAAAAAGCAGAGCCATTAAAAAATTCAAAAGCTAAATTTGTATATGATGCTGAATCTTTTAAATGTCACTGGAGTGTTTCCAGAACAGTCAAAATTTTTGGATATACTGAGTGAAAAATGTGTGATTTGTTTTACACTAATTACTCAAAATTTAATGAAATAGGTAATACATAATTTTATAAAAATTATTTCATGAAATATTTGTTCCAATTAGGGGCATTTCTTATTTTTTTCATGCTATGTTCTACTTTCTAGTTATAATATTAGCTATTAGTTCATCTGATTTTAGCACTATTTAATTTTATATTTCATTCACACAAAGAATTTGATAGTGAGTTTTAACAAAACAAGTGGATGTATTTCTTATTTATTACGTTCCTATTTAATTATGGCCTAGATCTCAACATCAGACTTCTGCATACACTGCACCAAATAACTTGGAAATAATACCCTGCATTCTACCATACATCTCACTGCATAAATAACTTGTAGTTTTTTTTCTTCTTTTTTTAACATTTAAGTTCAGGGATATAAGTACAGTTTGTTACATAGATATATTTGTGTCGTGTGGGTTTTCTGAACAGACTATTTCATCACCCAGGTATTAAGCCTAGTGCCCATTAGCTATTTTCCTTTATCCTCCCCCTCCTTCTGCCCTCCACCCTCCTGAAGGCCCCAGTGTGTGTTGTTCCCTTCTATGTGTCTATATGTTGTCATCATTTAGCTCCCAGTTATGAGTGAGAACATGCAGTATTTGGTTATCTGTTCCTGTGTCACTTTGCTAATGATAATAACCTCCAGCTCCATCCATGTTCCTCCAAAGGACATGATCTTGTTCTTTTTTAAGGCTACATGCTATTCCAAGTTGTATATGTACTACACATTCTTTATCCAGTCTATCATCGATGGACATTTAGGTTGATTTTATGTCTTTGCTCTTGTAAATAGTGCTGCAATGAACATACACGTGCATTTGTCTTTATAATAGAATCATTTGGATATATACCCAGAAATGGAATTGCTTGGTCAAATGGTATTCCTGTCTTTAGGTATTTTAGGAATTGCCACACTGTCTTCCACAATGATTGAACTAATTTTACACTCCCATGAACAGTGTGTAAGCATTCCTTTTTCTCCACAGCCTCACCAGCATCTGTTATTTTTTGCCTTTTTAACTGGTATTAACGGCATTAGATTACTACAATTTAGATGAGAAATGATTTCATCCTCTCATAGTGTATTATAAACATGGACAAATTAATTATATTACCTGGAAATGATGTTGCCCATAACTTTACTTATTTTAATAATGTATATTAAAAATTATATAATTTATATGTGTACTATTTTAAAAAATATTTCTTCAATGCACACTAATGTGTTATTTAAATTGAAAATGAAAATAAACATTCTCTAGACAATGAATAAGATTTGCCTGTTTAGACTGAATGTAAGGATTGCTTTTGCTAAATTGTAAAATTATAAACAACTTCAATAAAAAATATAAAATTCAATTGAATACTCACAAGAAATATTTATGTGAAAGATTAAAAAGAACATTTTATTTAAAAATTGTAATAACGAATGTGTAGTGATATCATTTTTTCCCCAAAATTGTTTGTAAATCTAATAAAATAACAGTTCTTTACATGAAGGTATAATAAGTATGTTGCTAGTCATATGACAGGACTTGGTAAAACTTTTGGTAAAATTTCAAGAAATTGAAAAAGTAGATATATCTAATAACAGAGAAATGGATTTAATTACATTTTAGATGGCTTCCATTCACTTGATTTCAACACAATTTGAAAAGATTCTTAATCTAAGTATTAGTTGATAGATTATTGGCTATATTTTGTGATGATACATTATTTAAATTTTGGCTTTTAACTTGAAATGAGTTTGAATAATTACGCTCTAGACATGTTAAAATTCCTCTCATTTCTGTCTTCTGTCACCAAGTTTTCTCATAGTTTTGTTATACCTACAAAAATAAAATACTAGTTACAATAAAAGAGTAATCCTCAGGTATATAAGAACTATTTGAAAGCAAACAAAATAAAACAGCTCCATTCATCTTAACAAGAAATATATTTCCAAAATAATTTTATTTTTTGGACTTTAAAATTGTTGATCAGTATAGTAAAACATTCATTTTGACTTAATTGTATACAAAAGAGAGTCATACTAAAAAATTAAATAATTGGACTTGGTACGATAATATTTTGTTGGCAAGAAATATGACAGTGATTAATAAAAGGCTTTTAATCTACAAATATAAAATATTGGGAAAAAATTTAAGTGGCATAGCAGTACAATTTCATAGAAATAACAATCATGCAAAATTTCTGGCTACTGAAGATGTCTTTTTATACTTTATGCTATTATCAAATTGCTAGTTTATTTTAATTTCAGTGGAAGAGTGATAAAGCCACTGCACATTAAAATGTCAACTTCTTAATAGTACACTAGACATTATATCTCTATAAGAATATATATTTATAAATTTATTACAAAGGACTTCAGATATTACTCAACAAAGCATATGGCAGTACCTAGATTTTAATTTTTTTTATTTATTTTTTTTTGAGACAGAGTCTCGCTCTGTTGCCCAAGCTGGGGTGCAGTGGTGTGATCTTGGCTCACTGCAATCTCTGCCTCCCAGGTTCAAGTGATTCTCCTGCCTCAGCCCCCAGAGTAGCTGGGACTACAGGCACGTGCCACCACACCTGGCTAATTTTTGTGTTTTTAGTAGACAGGGGTTTCACCATATTGGCCAACCTGGTCTTGAACTCCTGACCTCATGATCCGCCCACCTCGGCCACTCAAAGTGCTGGGATTACAGGGGTGAGCAAAGGCCCAGTACCTAGATTTTTAAATTAAACTTAGAGATTCAGGGGTAAATAGTGTTTGAAAGCCTCTAATATTATAACTACCATCTCAGCTCCTTTATTTAGAAAATTACAGATGCAGAGCTGCAGGCACACATCTCCAACAGAGGAAACTAAATGTCACCACTAATCCAGCGAGGATAGATTGAGAAATGTGGGTCATATATAGTAGGTCCTCAAAGATCACAATGGCTGATGTGAAATATAGTGTTTAAAGAATAAATATTCTTGCTTAATTTGATATATCTAGCATACAAAGAGTCTTTTGTAAATCTTCTAACACATTAATGAAGAAATAGTAGCTAAGAAAAACAGCAAATTTTAAAACAATTTTAGGACTTCCATCAAAGCAACACCCAACTATAATATTTTAAAGTCAAATATAAATACCAGGTAGGCAATAGAAATGTGAAACAAACAAACAGGAGATGACTTAAAAATAAGTATATTTTTTGGGGAAAAATACTTGTGCCTAGGGATAAGACATTTAGGGACAATTGTAAATCATATAAATGCAAATGTAACCACATTTGGTCTAACTTAAACATGGGTTTCCATGCAAAGAAAAAATCAATCTGAAATCTAGGAACAATTTAAATTGTGCCACATCTTTTTTATTAGCAGCAAAAAAGCCAATAGGAAAAGAGGATCTGTGCCTGTATTATTTCACAGTGGTGCACAATGATGTATCCCATTGCATAATAATTATCACAACAGATAACCAATGAGGGCAGAAGATAAGACCTCGTCTGTATCTATTACCAACATATTTAACAACTTTAAGGAACATGAATTAAGGAACTGGGAGTTCAGAAAAGGACTAATTAAAGTTGATGACACTTATACTAAGTTCAAAGAATGAAGAAACAAAAAAATGGTACAGTTTAAGAATTTCTAGGTAAGAAGAAGAGGTGGCAATGGAAAGCACATGTGTAACACTGAGATGTACATCAAGAAGAAAAGGCAGGTCCATGATAAAGTGAATATTAAGATGTAGAAGGAAATGAAGTTCAAAAAGCACAAATATATCCAGGCATCAGTTCCCTTTCACACTTAGCTGAAATCACTGGAGTTTACATTGCTCCCAATGTAAAGAACTCTATAAAATAGAATAAGGGCCAGAATATGGATATATTTGCATTTTAAGATAGAAGTTGTTAGAGTTATTCTGGCTAGAGGACTTGAATGGAGAAAAATTATATAGACAAATAACTGTTGACAGTAGCGAAATCCTTCACGTATTTTGATTCTATTCACTTAGCTACATATTTGCTGACAAAATGCTTGTCAATTCTATGATTCATTCTCACTGAGACTGCTGCAATATATTTCTTTTGGGTTTTAGTCTATTCCTTCCCTCATTCTTCACCAATAAAATGCCACACAATAGGCAGTGTTTTGTTTGCTTGTTTGTTTTGCTTTACCTAAGTTCTCAGATAACTTTTTGTGTATATAATATGCCAATCTTTTAACATTTTCTGTAACCTGAATTGTTATATAATTGTGTAAAAAGGATGAAAGGCAGTACTATTTATAATTACACCAAAACAATAATTATGACCTAATTTTGGACATGCTGCACTGCATGGTTGCCCTGTCTCTAATGACCCATGACATCTGCTTCCTACCTACATATTCAACCTTATTGCATTTCACTCTCCAACTGTATTTCTCCACTTCAACTGCAATGCCCTTCTATTTATGTGTTCAATACAATTATTTGTGTCAGTTCAATACAAATGGTATTATAAGTGTTCCCAGGTTGGGTTTGGTGGATTATGCTTGTAATCTCAGCTCTTTGGGAGACTGAGGCAGGAGAATTGCTTGGGGCCTGCAGTTTGACACAAGCCTGGGAAACACAGTGAAACCCTGTCTCTAAAATAACCAACCAACTAACTAAACAACAACAACAACAACAACAAAAACACAAAAAAACTGTTATTCCCTTTGCTTGACCATCCTATTCAAAGTTGTCATTATTTTCCCAGTTACTGTCTGGTAATCATATTTCTGTTTTTATATTACTTCTTTTTACTTCCTGACTTCTGTTTTTGGATTTAATTTTCTGTTATTTGTCTTCTGTCACAAGAGTGAGACTATTTACAAGGAGCTACTTTTACTCTGTCTCAGTACCTAGAACAATGTGTCACACATGCAAGGCACTTAAAAATTCTGAAGTTGTATCAGCCTGTTTTTGCACTACCAAAAAAGACATACTAGAGACTGAGTGATTTATAAAAGAAAGAAGTTTAATTGACTCACAGTCCAGCACGTCTGGGGAGGCGTTAGGAAACTTACGATCATCGGGGAAGGCGAAGGGGAAGCAGGCACCTTCTTCACAAGGTGGCAGGAAGGAGATATCCAGCCAGGGGAAATGCCAGACGCTTATAAAACCATCGCATCTCATGAGAATTCACTCACTATCACAAGAACAGTATGGGGGAATCCATACCCCATGATCCAATCACTTTCCACTGGGTCCCTCCCACAAAATGTGGGGATTATGGGAACTACTATTCAAGAGGAAATTTGGGTGGGGACACAGCCAAACCATATCAAGTGTATATACCTGAATGATGCAATTCATGCAACGTTTGGAAAACATTGCAGTAGAACAGCCAAGATCCTATGAGTTACTAAAATAGCAGTTGGTATTAGAGATCAAAACTAAAAAGCCAATATAAGAAATATTGCAGCAATAGAAGAGGGAGAACCAGATTCACTGTAAAAGCACACTGCTTTTGAAATAGGTCATATTGACATTTGTGGAAGAATAATTCTTTATTTATTATAATCTTGTGTATTCCAAGATTTTAGTATATCTGGCTGCAGTCTATTAAAAACCAGTGATACTTCTGTCCTTGTAAAAATAAAATATGCCCTAACACATTTTAAACATGCCTTAGAGAAGTAGTATAGGTTGAAAACCATCAATAGTCAAAATGTTATCACAAACATTCAGTAACAATAAATCGGTGTTAATTATAAATCCTTGATCCTCTGCAATATGCCTGAAAACACAAAGCTTTTGGGCTAAAAGCTGTAACACCTGTTAGGAAGAATTTGTACTGTGGGTTTGGAATCTTGGATTTTCCCCCTTTATGAATTGTACTTGCTGTTGACAACCAGATACCTGACTGCAAGTATCTTTTCTTGTATTCCCATATATCTAGACAATGATTTTGTAAGACAATAAATTTATTCATTATAGAAAAAAAAGTTAATGACCTTCAGATTTATGATCTCAATAGTGAGTCAGATGCTGACAACAACCTAAGAGAAGAGCATTGGTGGAGGGACAAGTCTTAACAGGAGTTTAAAAATACTTAAGCTTTTACATGTGTCCAGAATGTACAGGCACTTTTGTTTTGTTTTGTTTTGTTTTATTCAAGTAGATCTTGGACTAAATTGCATATACAAATCTGAAAATTGACAGTATTATAAAGTGTTTGAGAAGATTACCTTCCCCAGTGATAATACAGAGTGGAAAAGGGCAAGTGTGGTATGGATAGAAACCAAACCCAGAATCCAGGAACAACATGTATCATCAAAACCCAGGAGCCAGAACGAAGATGTTCTCAGAAAATACTGAGAAGAAACAGTCAAACTTGGGTAGAAATCTATGAGAACATTCTCTGCAAAACCAAGTTTCTTTGTACCAATAAGCATTAATTTTGTTACTCTTCTGAATTAGACAGAAAATAATAAAATTTTTGTTTGGAAACAAGTCTTTCCTTAGCTTTGATCCTTTCCACTATGAAATTGATATTAAACGATAATAACTTAGTGGCATATGACTGTCTGTCAAAATGAAACAAATAAAATCATGTTTGAATGAATTTCAAGTTAGATAATTTGATTTCCTAAATGGAAATTTAATGTGTGATGTTTAAAGAATATTAAAAACATAAGATAATAAAAGACGGGATATATAACATCTTCAAACTATTGTCATTCTAGAAGTGTTCATTTTAGCATAATGTAATTCAAAGAATATTATTTTAAATCTAGTTGAGTATCAATCACTTTATTTCCATAGAATTTTCTTGAAATTATTTATTATTATAGAATATTTGTCCCCAAACTTATTATGCTTCTGGAATGGGAATGGGACTGGCTGATTTTAGCATTTCATTTTGAACAACAAAAAAAGAGACTTTAACATGGATGAGTGTAGTATATAATTTTTTCAACTCTTAACCACACAGATGTGAGTATAGACAACTTATCATTTATGTGTAGGTTTCAATGTAGCAGTATATCTAGTGGTCCACCTTCAATCATGAAATTTTTAACCCTCTAAAGCTTGTAGCTCAAGAGATTTTTGACATTTGAACCAAATTTCTGGATTCAGAAAACAGTTTAGTCTGTATTGTTTTAAATATTTAATTTTCTTTGAGATATCATAATTACACATCCATTTATAATTCATTTAATAAATGTTTATTGTTATGCATAATGACTGACATTATGCAGTCATAATGCCTGCCTTGATTATAAAATGATAAGCAAGGCAAACATATTCCTGCCCTCTTGTGCTTAGTAACTAGGGAGTCTCATCAGAGCTTACATGAAAGTAAATAGACAACTTTTGCTTTTCAGTATAGAGTTGAAGAAGGTTTTTCAAATGTATTAGGGCAGCCAGATAATATGTTTATAACAAAGCCCAGAAATCTAGAGGCTTTTCTAAACCCTACATGGACAATCTTTCTGAAAAGAGAAGATACAGAAATTTGGGAATACATGTCAGATACAGAAATTTTGCAAGTTAATTTTCCTAATATACAGTTTATCCACCTACAAAGTAAAGATAATAGTAATGCCTATGCCATACTTTTGGATGAAAATTGTATTATATATTACCTGTAATACATAGTGCCTAGAATATATGTGTGTGTCTGCATGAAACTGATATATTATCGATATTATTATGTATTCAGTGGAGTTCCCAGTGCAAATCATGAGAGAAAGGCTGAATACCAGAGAAAAGGCATAAGGGAGAAAAAGGGAATAAAATTTGACCATCTATTGACCCTCAATAGTTATAAATCCTCAGTAGTTGGGAGGACAAAAGAACTTCAGAGAGTGAGCATATACTAATAAAATAATTTTAAATGCAAAGTTGCAGTTTTAATAAGGTATTCTGACTCACTCCATAAGTCTCTCAAATTCCCACATATTTATCAAAATGTCAGTGCTTTGTGCAATATGTATATAGGCTCACAGGAATAAATGTAACAATGGATATATGTGTATTTATATGTCATATGTGAAGTGTGTGCTTATATATGTAAAGTATATATATATAAGTATATATATAAAGTATGTGTGTATAAATATTTTATACATAGACGCATGCACACACAAACACACACACATATTAATGCAAACCGGCAGGTAAGAAGAAAACTGATACTAGAGTGCATAATGAAAATGTTTCTTTACTTCTTCCTACAGATATCGGCAAAAATCTTGGTCTTGGACAGGACATTTTTCTTCCACACAGTGTGCAATTGGTTTGTTAAACCAAACTTCTACAGATTTCAAGCCCAAATGAATGTCCCAACTCCCATCTCATTTGCATTTGCATAGGTTTATATTTATGAAATCAGACATATATTTGAGGAATATATTTTAATTAATAAATTTATATATTTTAATTAATAAGTTTTTGATAAATTCCTATCACAGTATCTATTTAATAATAAAGACCACAGAAACAATTTTTAAAAGAAATTAGAAAAGCAATTAAAGTGGCCCAAGTACCTTAAGGACAGGAATTCAATTTAGATATATATTCTTGTAATAAAAGCATTCCTGAGAAAAGAGGAAAAATAACCCCTCGAGTGTCATACACATTTATATTTGTAATTTTTTAATTGATTTTGTTTGTTACTTTTAACTTTTATTTTTAAATTCAGGGGTACAAGTGCAGGTTTGCTTGATCTTTTTCTTGTTAAAAAATAAAAAAGATAGAAATTACTAGGGAGACTGACTACTTTTTGTACAAAAATGCTCAATCTCTGTAAAAATATTACCATTAAAAATGAAGCTTGCCAATATCTGTCCACTCTTGTGGTCAATAATATCTATGATATGACCATGTTGTCCTAAGCAAAGTGCTAATTATATACACATATAAGATGAATAATTAGAAACCAGGAAATAACTTTAGAAAAAGAGTAACATAACATTTGGAGTATCAGCAAGGTGCGTTGGTAAATATTTTTATTGCTAGTCAGATACGTTGATCAAGTATGTAGGAGAGACATACAGAGTTAGATTTAAGAATCTTCAGCAATTTAACAATGATTATAGATTTGCATATAGGAAAGATTTTTTTAGGAGAAGAATTTTAGATATTTGCTTTCTATTTGTTTTTCCAACATGTGAATATTTTTTCATATATTTAAGATATTCTCACCTATTGTATAAACTCAAATCATTGGTTTCTCTGTTTCCAATGCAACGTCCCAGGGCACAGACCTATGAACAAGTCTCTATCAGGTAGAGGCTATTGATTAGATCATGCTCCTCTATTCTACAATGCCTTTTTTCTTGCAAAGGCTGAATATTTAAAAATTATATTGTTCTGAAATAATTGCAGCTAGCATTCAGATATAAAAAGATTCTCCAAACTGTATGCACTCTCCTAATTTTTGGCAATTAGAACTAAAGAGATGTGAGAGTTGCCTTCTTGTTTTTTCTAAGGTTGTTTCTTTGCTGATTCAAAGAATTTTCAACTGAACATGTTCTAGCCAGGAGAAAGAGGAGAGGAAAGAAGAGAAATATGGATTTCTTCAAATATGGATTTCTTCTTAGAGGCATTAAATACAGATTTTCATCAGTTTTCTAGGTCTAAGTTGCTTCTAGCTAGCCATGTACCAAATAGAACCCAGGAGTGGTATCGTTACAGAAGGGTTCAATAAATATTTGTGAAGAATCAGTAGATGAATTAGCAGCAGACTTTTTTTTTGGAAGCCAGTAATGTCAGAAACATGGAGATTAGAACACATTCCAGCAGCGGTTCGGTTAATTGTTGCTGTGAACTTTAGTTTCCAGCCCAGAATTGACAGCAATGGAAAGTATAGTTATTAGTGCCTGGTGAGAATTGCTGCAGATTATTACCAGACCAGTTCTGTATGGTGGTTGATTGACTGATTCTGGCTGCTTTGTCTCAAGCCTTTATTGCCAGCCCTCTCTGTGAACTACATGATATCCTTTAATGAAGTCATTGTCTGCTTAAAGCAGCCGGATCCAACTCTTGTGACTAAGAATTTTGACTGTCACAGTGATTATTCAGACAGATGGCCAGAGGTCCAATAACAGAATCCAGACTTTTTTTTTCCTAAGGAGAATTAAGCACTATGGACAGAAGTCTATTCAAACTAATGTGATTTCAGATCTTTAAAATGTATTATAAAGAGAATGTAAGAGAGTTCACTTTTAGCAACCTCAGTTATAGGAGTTTTTGAACTCTCCTATAAGAACATGCAAGTACATTTCACACACACACAGTTATTTTCTGTTCTCATAAGTGATTTAGATTAACGGTGTCCCATTTCCTAATTTCTTGTAGATAAATCAGATTAACCCAACATACAACTTTTGTCCAGTAATATGCAGGTGCCCTCCCCCCACCATTGTTTTCTTCAATCAGTTCTGACACAAGTTTTTAAGTCTTGATATCTCACTGTCTATATTTTAAAAACACCATCGACTATGATAAGGAATCAAAAAAATCTAAGCACTTAAGTAATACAGCTGTATTCCCCACTTACACAAAGTCTAATGTGAATGTTCTTTGCCACACGCGTCTCTTTGGTGGCTCCTCTCCAAACGATAAACTCAAGGACTCATGCTTCTTCCACTGAATACCTCTATTAGCATAACAGTTTTCAGTCATGCATACCAGAAAAGAGAGAGACAGAGGGAAAGGTCATCATCAAAATCAATTCTTCCCACATTTCACTGGTAAGATCTCAGTCACATGATCCCACACAGGTGGAAGGCAACCTGGGAAATGTATCTTCCCATATTTCAAGAAGAAAAATAAATTGTTTGATAAACACATCACATAATCTCTGCCCACTGGCTGAGCTTGTTGAGAAAGATCAGGTTCTCAGAAAAATATATATGGATAACATATCCTATAAAGCATTTCTAATTTGATTACTATGAATATGTTTAGAAATAAAATGTATTCCCAAATCTCAGGAGAAATGAAAGATATTTTAGAAGTCAATCATTTATAAGGAAAGTTAGTAGATACTAAAGCATAAATAACCACACTCCTCATTAAAAAATATTAAAACAGAAAAGCAACTTTTTTTTTTCTAGCAGAACTGGAAATAATGTGGTCCAGAAACAGGTTGATTAGGACTCATCAACAGAAAAAACAGGAAATTAAAAAAGAATTCTTTTCCACACTCACTGAAGAGAGAAAACCACATATGGCAGAAGTGGAATATTTTTAAAAAGAAAGAGAGAAGAAAAAAGGAAAATCATATGCAAAAGCAAAAGAAAAAATCATTCACACATTATTTTAAATTCATTTGCTTTCTTAAAAATTCATTCATAAATTCTTAATTCCATAAAGCAGAAGAACGTTTTAGACAACAGCAATGTTCCATACATAAAAAAAAAATTAAAAGATTATGGTGATCAAAGATGAGACAACAGAGCTAAAGGGATACTGTGGATAATATAATATTACTGGAGAATCAGATTTGAAAATCTGAATCAACCCACCAGACAACCAAATCATTGCTAGGAAAGTTTAGGATATTCATTCATAATGAACAAGTTTAAAGAAAAAGGTAAAATACATAGAAAAAAAAACAGAACAAAGTATAAAGATTTATAATTATCTAGATACTTAGGATTTCCAAATTGAGTAACCAAGATAGAATATAAATACATTAAAATATTAAACATAAAATTTGCCCTTAAACCTAAAAGTCAAATGGATGTGAAATAACTTTTATTCATCTCTCCTTTACCTTTGTAAGTTTTTTGTAATTACCAATATTATATTTTGACTGAAAGAAAGAAATACATATCAACTAAAATGTAATGCAGTGAATAAGGAGGGTTTAAGTGTCCTTATTTGAGAGAGGGAAGGAGTGTGCTGTTAATTCTTTTGGAGTCTAGTTGTATTTTTAGGCAAAATTGGTTACAACGAGTGATTTGTTTTTTTAAAATCTTGTTTTGTTTTATTTTAAGTATGTTAAATAGGCCAAAATGTAGCATATGGCAGACATGTAAACCTAGGTTACAATATTCCCAAGCACCTTTTTCTTTTTTTTTTTTGGAATGTTATTTTTTTTAATTTTATTATTATTATACTTTAAGTTTTAGGGTACATGTGCACAATGTGCAGGTTAGTTACATATGTATAACCAGGCACCTTTTTCATGATTTCATACCCATATTGGTTGAAAACCTAAACCTAAAACCTAAATTTTTCAATTCCTTTTTTTTTTTTTTTTTTTGAGATGAGTCTTGCTCTGTTGCCTAGGCTGGGGCACAGTGGCACAATCTTGGCTCACTGCAACCTCCACCTTCTGGGTTCAAGCGATTCTCCCACTTCAGCCTCCCAAGTAGCTGGGACTTCAGGCACGTGCCACCACGTCCTGCTAATTTTTGTGTTTTTAGTACAGTCAGGGTTTCACCATGTTAGCCAGACTGGTCTTGAACTCCTAACCTTGTGATCTCCCACCTCGGCCTCCCAAAGTGCTGGGATTACAGGTGTGAGCCACCGTGTCTGGCCTCAATTCTTTTTCTACTTGACTACCAACATTTGATGGAGAATTTACCAATGAGATATAGAAGACTTGACAATTAAAGAGAGTATCTGAAGAACAGAAACAGAGTCATTTGTATCTCTATTAGTATTTTAGAACTCAATCCTTAACATAATAGCTGTTCAGAATCATGTTGGAGCAGAACAAATGTTTCCATGTAAAAGCTTCATGATAACTTTTTGCTTTCCTTCTAGCAGGAATATTTTTAGTTTTTCTGACTCCCCAGGGATTCTGTGAACTCTATAATACACTTACAGTCAGCCCTTTCGCTTAAATTATGCAGAGTGGTTTCTCTTGTTTGTAGCTAAAAACTTTGACTTATATGGGGCAATGGTTTAGGAAATACAAATGTTAATATTTTAAGGTGAAACTATTTTTTGAAGTGCAGCAGCAGATTTAACTGGAGGATATTGGAATCCTGGAGTCATACCAGCCAACGAGGAGCAAAACGACTTACCATCATAGTAATGGTACTCCACCTAATTCTCAGAACAAGTCAGTTCAAATACACAGATCCTTTTGAATGGAAAGCAAGATGTATCATATACTCTTGACAAAAGACCTAACAATAACTTCTGAAATATCACTATAAACCTCCTCCCAAATATTCCCAGAGATACATGGCCATTTTCCAGGATAATATACCCCAGGAAAAGAGGTAAATCCAGATGTTTCAGGGATAATTGGACTGTAGGTCTCATCTAATGCTAATCTGTGAGAAACAAGTTGCCATTTGCCCGTTTGGTCAAAATGGAGGCCTTTGTGGAGGTTAACTGATAAATGACATTTAGACCTGATGCTTAGAATTGATCCAGTGGTCTGTTACCCCATTCTTTAGTTATTTCCTAGGCTTCTGAATTGGTGTAGATATAGTCATCAACTGGTGGAGTCCTCTTATTAGCTCATCAAAGCATGGAATAAAAATAATGTTATAAAGCAGGGCCCTCTTTCCGAAACAATGTATAAATTAAAGGTCAAATGTTATTACTAAAGAAAAGTGATTACATCATTGAAATCTTGAAAGATGAAAGAACACTGATCCAGGGATATCCCGAATTAACTGAACTACTGGCCTAGAGAGAATGTGCAAGTCTTAGAGCATTAGAAGAAATAATTTTGAGCTTACTTATTGGGAGTGGCAGTAGTATATAAGAAAAAATAGACACTCTTTCTATTCTTTGGTGTCTTTCAAATGTATAATAGTTGGGTTTTTTTATTCTTTTTTAATTTTTTATTTTTTGTTATTGTACTTCAAGTTCTAGGGTACAGGTGCACAACGTGCAGGTTTGTTACATGTGTATACATGTGCCATGTGAGTTTGCTGCACGTGTTAACTTGTCATTTGCATTAGGTAAATCTCCTAATGCTATCCCTCCCCACTCCCCACCACCCCACGACAGGCCCGGGTGTGTGATGTTCCCCACCCTGTGTCCAAGTGTTCTCATTGTTCAATTTCCACCTATGAGTGAGAACATGTGGTGTTTGGTTTTCCATCCTTGCGTTAGTTTGCTCAGAATGATGGTTTTCAGCTTCATCCATGTCCCTACAAAGGACATGAACTCATCATTTTTATGGCTGTATAGTATTCCATGGTGTATATGTGCCACATTTTCTTAATCCAGTCTATCATTGATGGACATTTGGGTTGGTTCCAAGTCTTTGCTATTGTGAATAATGCCTCAATAAACATACGTGTGCATGTGTCTTTATAGCAGCATGATTTATAATCCTTTGGGTGTATGCCCAGTAACGGCATGGCTGGGTCAAATGGTAGTTCTCGTTCTAGATCCTTGAGGAATTGCCACACTGACTTCCACAATGGTTGAACTAGTTTACAGACCCACCAACAGTTTAAAAGGATTCCTATTTCTCCACATCCTCTCCAGCACCTGTTGTTTCCTGACTTTAATGATGGCCATTCTAACTGGTGTGAGATGGTATCTCATTGTGGTTTTGATTTGCATTTCTTTGATGGCCAGTGATGATGAGCATTTTTTCATGTGTCTGTTGCCTGCATAAATGTCTTCTTTCAGAAGTGTCTGTTCATATCCTTTGCCCACTTTTTGATGGGGTTGTTTGATTTTTTCTTGTAAATTTGTTTAAGTTCTTTGAGGAAAAAGCACCAGAAACAATTTGCTTTCATATGGCGCAACAAAAGTATATTTTTACTGTCTTATTATATAAATATTATGTGTCTCACATTCTGAGATATGCTGAAGAGGTATTGATCTTCTTACTCTTCCACCAGAAATTACATTGTCCTACTACATGAATGGGATCATTCTCACAGGGCCTACTTAGCAGCTTGTCTCATGTACCACAAATGTTTTGTTAAGACTTAGCATACTACAGCATAGGAGAAAGACTCCATGTAAAATTCAGGAGTGAAACCTGCCCCTCAGTGTTGTCTTCTTGGTTTAAGTCAGGTCAGACTATTTTTTCTAAAGTGAAATAAAAGTCATTTCACCTATGAGCCTGTTCGAGTTTCAGAAAAAATGTTTTTCAAATTTGGTAACAGTATTCTGATCTTTTTACTGTATAAATCATAGGACTGTCAGTATTTTTACAGGCTTAGATAAGTCTTTGCTCTAAACAGGTGTGTTACTTGATTATTATGACATAGTTGGTCAAATAATGCTTGTAGTGAGTGTGTCTGACTGGAATGCATTATGGAGCCTATATAATTACCTAATTGCACTAAGAGAATACTTAGGTTTCAGAGCAATTCTCTGTTCTCTGTAATTGGGAAGTATTCCCCTTTTTAGAATCAGTTTTTAGCTTGGTGTATTGAACTCCAACCATGACTCATCATCTGGTTCACATATAATTCTGCATAATATTCTTCCAGAAGCAGAAATAAAATGCTTTTAGTTGCCAGACAACTTAGAGTTAGCCTTGAAGGAGAGTAGAGGTAGAGAGAACTCATGGACAGTGCTTCAACCTGCACATGTTGTTTTCAGCTTCCTCTGAAAAGACAGCTGCCTTTTTTTTTTTTTTTTTTTTTTTCAAAAAAGCAGAGATCCACTCCAAGGTATGGGCAAGAGTTAATGGTATTGTTAGAAGTACTGAATAGCTAGAGACTTAAACAAGTATTACTGGAGGATTTTTTTCAAAAGAAATTTTGGGGAAAAATAATTTAATGTATCTTTCAGAATAGACACTGAGTGTGAAGATATTTTTCTCATATATTAACGCTCATTTTTTACTCTGTTACAATGACGATTAATAATCACGTGGAAATCTAATCTACCTCACGGAGTCAGTGAGCTTCTCCCTCAAATCAACCCAGTATTTACTCAATGGCTTCATGATCAAAGTGGCTATTATATAAGTCTCAAAATCTTAATTTTATGAAAGCCAATTATGGTATTGTCAATTCTGAATATGATTCTGTCAGCAGTAGAGATCAATGTCTGATCTTCAAAAGAGTGCTATATATCAAAGAAACCAGTTAGTCACTGGACTTATCCCCTCAGGGAGTAAGTAACAATAGTTTCTATGCAGAATACAGTAAATATAAATACAAAAAGAATTTCTTGAGCTAAAGTAGGAGGAAAGAAAAGTTTGATAATAGATAATCAGTGTTGAACAAAATATTTAATGTCATTTAATTTTTCAAAAAGTATTTAATAAAAATCACTTTTAGGAAGCCAAGATGAGCTATTACTTATTCTTATGTTTTACCTTGTTACTTTTATTAAATATTCTTTCTTTGTAAAGAGGAAGAAAAGAATGTGATAATACTTATATTATGCGTTATAGAAAGTTGTTTGAAATATGTTCAATATATGTCAGGATTGTGACAATATCTAATAGTCTGTATTTTATTGTTATGCAAAATCCAGTCACAGAATTAACAATAAATTATAACTTAAAAAGTGCCAAGTAAGAGATCCAACATGTTCCTTTAATGCATTCAAATTTTATCAATACTTTTGTAAGTACCTTCCCTTTGGGGAACAATTCTCTGTACTAAGGAGGAAGATAGATATAAAACCTTTTACTGAAACATACTCAGAGTCTACTTGGATAAGATAAACAGATAGATAGGCTATTCCAAAATAATGCAATGTTTGTATGATAGAGGAAAGTTCTGCAAGATTAATGCTTATGCATAAGCTTTTAGCTTTAGATTATTTATCTCTCCACTTTTGCTTTTTCCTCTCCAAAAAGTAAACTTAAATAAATGCACCACATCCACGCAAAATAATCGTAAATATAAAATAAACATTTCACCAGACATACCAACTAGAGCATATAAACCATGAATGATTACAAGAGTCAGCTGGAACCTCAAGGGTAGAACACTAGTGTAATCTATCAATAAAAAAACTCTTACCTACAAGGTTAATCATTGTAGGTGTGGGATGCTGCTACCTAAGTTGAAATAAGTACCCTCCCTCTGAAAAAAGGAAGGACTCTTGTGATTCTGATATTTCTAGTCCCATCAATGCAGTGGACTGATAGCTAATTTGACAGAAACAAACAAACAAAAGACATAATTAAATATATTATGCTTATAGAAAATTTGGGGTTGCTTATAATTCACCTGTACTTTACAAATGTTATCCACATTTAGGTTTTTTGATATCATGAAGCGGTGGCTCTTTCATTTTTGCATACACTTACTTAAAAACAGATAAAGAAATTCCATGTGGGCACTTTATAAGTTCATCCTTTACTTGATTCATCTTTTACTTTTTCATTACTAAAATTAAAAAGGAAATGAATACAATATAAATTTCTGGTAACAAAATAGCTACATGTAAATTAATAAATATTTTAACTGTGAATGCGTCTTAGTGCCATAAATTATTATATTCTTGGTTCAGGCAAACATGATAGAAGAGTTTTCTTTTGCATCTAAGAAAAGTCATCAAGTTGCATTTTTGAATGATACAATGTTGACATTTAGAACTTTTATTTCAAACACTGTGCAAAACAATCTTAGTAAAATAATGCTAATTTGTTATTCATAGTCAAAATTATTTAGAAAAGGTTCAAATAGAAATGGAAGAATGATGTTACACTGTTAAGTTATGTACATTCTTTTTAATTCTATGACTATTTCATACAGAAAAATCGCTTCATGGGTATACACAAGTAAAGCCAAACAGCACAAACTTTTTTAGTTTATTTTAGTATTTTCATGGAATCTACAATCACGTTGATATGTTAGAAATTGTGCTGCAGAGGGTGCCATTTTGCTCAGTGTTTTTTGAAAGTTTATCTAGGTGTAGGATACTCTTCTAATTTATTTATAATTTTGACTATTTGGAGCCAAATTACTTTGGATAAATGATGTAATATAATATATATATAAGAGTTAAAATGTCTATCTGCTTGAATTTTTATATCTTCATTAAGTGTTAATATTTCCAAAAAGTCATACACACATAGTATATTTACACAATATTAACCCATGAATTTACTTATTTTTTCTACTTTTTAATGTAATTGAGATGTTACTCACCTTTTTTTTTTCTTTTTTTTTTTTTTGAGACAGAGTCTTGCTCTTGTCATCCAGGCTGGAGTGCAATGGCAAGATGTCGGCTCACTACCACCTCTGCCTCCTGGGTTCAAGTGATTCTCTTGTCTCAGGCTCCCGAGTAGCTGAGATTACAGGCACCAGCCACCATGCCTGGTTAATTTTTGTATTTTTAGTGGAGATGGGGTTTCGCCATGTTGGCCAGGCTGGTCTCGAACTCCTGACCTCCTGATCTGCTCTTCTTGGCCTCCCAAAGTGCTCGGAATACAGGCATGAGCCACTGTGTCTGGCCCTGTTACTCACTTTTTAAAACATTTTAAATTCTTTAGTTTTTCTCTTTTGATTTGTTTGATCATTTTTGACTTGATTTTGAAGCTCTTGGATCTTTGACTTTCCAATTATTAAAATAATTATTTTCTAATTTATTTTAATTGATTCCTTTAGCTATATTTGTATTAAAGTCTCTATAAATTATAATTATTTAATTACCTAAAATCAAGTCTTTTAATTTTAATAATTTTTATCTAAAGGTAGTATGATTTTATATATTACAAGTTTACTTGTGATAAACATCACTCAAAGTTAAAACATGTCTACCATTTTAGCTCTAATATTCATTAATATCAGTATAGTTATATTTTGGAACTACTACAGTATATAATTATATTATTAAATTTTTAATGAACTTTTTTCCTATCAATACATATAAATTGCTTTGGCTCATTCTACTGAGTAGCTACAAGACCAGAATTTCAATAATCATTAGGATGTTGCTAGTAAGAGTGATACCAATTTTTAACTTAGGTGTGTTCTAGACACCAGGAAGTCTGAATGAATGAACAGTTTTCCAGTGTGTTTACACCAATTTTGACTCTCATAATGGTGAATGTTTCATTTGTTCTACATCTTCACAACTAATGATGCCACTTGCCTTTCTGTTACAGCCTTTTTGGTGGTTGTATAGTGGTAAAATATTTTGGAATTAATTTGAATTCCCCTCATGACTAATGAAGTTAAACACATTTCAGTATGTTAATTGAACATATGGATACCCTCTTCTAGGTGCCTGTTCAGTTATTTGCCTATTTTTCTATTGAATTTCTTGTGTTTTTTATGGAATTATATTTGATGTCAAATAATCCTAAATAGTGTTTTTTCAGATGTATTTATCACAATTATCTTTTTCCACTTTGTAACTCTGATTTGCACAGAATCTTAAATATACTTGAAATTATATGCATACATGCATATAAACATACATTCTCTGTATGTATAAGATGTTATATATAATTGTATATAAATATATTAGTTTTTATTTGTGTGTATATGTGAGAGAGAAATTTCTTTGCTTTCCTCCAATGAACTAGATATTTTCTTTCATTTTTCTTTTATAAAACATTTACAGCTGAATCTTTGTCCACCTGTAATTGATTTTCTATGTACATTGTGAGGTAGGGGTCAAGATACATTGTTTTCATATGTTTAAGGACCTTCACTCAAAATTTGATTTGGATGTCAAAACTGATGACACCACGCATGCACTAAGAGGGTATGAACAGATTTATCACATATATAACCAAGACTATGGGTAGAACTGGTTTACCCCCCATCCACTAACTGATCCAAAAATGACTTTGGTAAGCAGAGAATAGAGATGGGCTCCAGGTTTTCACTGTGGATACGTAGTGGGGCTGAGGTGAGGGCTTCCATATGTAGGTAGGGTCTTGCATGATTTGAATCCCCTCCTTTTCCAATCAGAGGAAGCACTCAGGTTTTTTTTTTTTTTTAATCAACTTGCCCTTACGTGAGGTACATGCAAAGGAGGAATGGGGGGAGGCTTTTTTGTATAATAAATTATTTGCATAGTCATTTTTCCTGGGTTCCTGGGATGAAGCTTCTATGCTCTTGGAATCTCCCCAGTGATAAGAGTATCTTTATTAATCATGGTGGGGACTTCCTGATTTTATGGTAATGAGGCCATTTATGGTAGGCCCATAAATAATCTCTGGATGGGGATGCCATTAGGAAAAGACCAACCATGTAATTAAACGGTGGCCTCTAAGCCAGATCATAGAAACACAACATTTAGGAAGGGGAGGTTGGCTAGATATTGAGTTCAGCTACACAGCCAATCATTCCCACTAATGAAACTCCAACAAAAACTGTGGACTCGGAATTTGGATGACATGATTGGTTGATGAGCACATGGTGATGTACCAGTAGGGTGATATGTTATGATTACATGAGAAAAGAACAGGGAAGCTCCACTTTCAAAACCCTCCTAGACCTTACCTTATTTGTCTCTTCATTTGGCTGGTCATAATTTCTATCCTTTATTATAATACATAACTGTAAAAATAAGTATTAGCATTGTTCTGAGTTCTGTGAGTTGTTCTAGTGAATTATCAAACCCATGTGCATTATGGAAAACTCTGAATTTTTATCCACTTAGTAAGAAGTGCCTGTGGTCTGGAGCTCCCTAAAGTGATAGCTGTCATTTGGAGTGAAGGCAGTGTTGTTGGGGAATGTGCCTTTAAACTTGTGGAATGTGCAGCAACTCTAGGTGGTTAACATGAAGAATCACATTGCAATATTGTAACTTTAAAATCTGTAATTAGTTAAGTATCAAATAATAAAGTCAAACTCTTCATTATAAATATGAATATTCAAATGACCCACCACTGTTTATTGAAAAGATTGTCATTTGCACATGACAGAGCAATGTGACCTTTGCCATAATTTAGGTCATCATACATATATGATCTGTTTCTACACAACCAGGTGTTTCATATTTGTATCTCTTTTCCTATACCGCAAACAATCTTAATTACCATAGCTTTGTATGATACCTGTTAGTCTAAGTCACCATATTCTTTATTTCTTCCAAATTTGACTTTGCTAAGCTGGTAATTTGTATTTCAATATGTTTTTAAATCAGTTTATCATTATCCCCAAAAATAAGACTGGGATAATGGTTAAGGGTTCATTGAATCTGTAGATTAGTTTAAGGCTAACTTATATGCTACAGTACTGATACCTCCTTCAGTGAACATGGTATAAACTTAATTTATAGTATTCAGTACTTATTTATGTCTGCCTATAACATTTTTTATATTTTAATATAGCTATGTTGCACATATTTATTTATATTCATTCCTAATATTTGCTATAAGTTTGGCATCATGAGGTGACATAATTTTGAAATTTAATTATCTATTGGTTTGTTGGTGATATGGACATGATTCCACTGTGGTCTATAAAATACTCTCAACATTATCAAACTTCGAATTTTTTTCTGATTTATTTCATAACCCAATACATGGTCTTTTTTTGGTGAAGTTTTCAAGTATGAAAAATAGTGTGTATTGTTAGGTAAAAATGTTCTCCATTTCATGGTAATATAATCATTTAAAAACCCTATAATTACACCACTTCATTTTCAGACTTTTTTAAAAGGCCCTATCTAAATGCTTAGATTTTTAAGGAGTTTTTTTCACATTCTTAGATTTAGATTATTGTTAATTTTCTCCTTGTAGAATGTCATGGACATAGAGAGTAGAAGGATGATTATCAGAGGCTGGGAAGGTTTGTGGGGGATTTGGGGGAAAGTGGAGATGGTTATTGGGTACAAAAAATATTTAGGAATGGTGAATAAGAACTCCTATTTGATAGCACAACATGGTGACTATAGTCAATAGCATTTAGTTCTATATTTTAAAATAACTAAAACAGTACAATTGGATTGTTTGTAATGCAAAGGATAAATGCTTGAATTGAAGGATACCTCATTTACCCCAATGTGATTATTATGCATTATATGCCTGTATCAAAATATCTTATGTATTCCATAAATATATACACTATGCACCCACAAATTTAAACATTAAAAAAATTATCAAGTAAATAGAATATACTGTTTAAAAATGTCATTTGTATTTCAAGAATATCAATTTATTTTTAAAATTTTTATTTTAAATTTTCAGATACTTCATAATCATCCATCAATATTTACATATTTATTTATATTATACAATATAGCAATTTAAATTTATAATACATATTTATTTATATAAATAGAAAATGTACATAGTGGTTTACTTATTAGTTTTTCTCTTCTCCATGCTTGCCCTCAGCAAAGCTTAGACATATATGTTTAAAATATGTTGTGAAATTCATTTTACTTAATTTGTACGTTGATATTTATGTAATGCTTGAATGCTTTCATTGAATTCTTTTCTTGGATACTTTCTTTAAATGGGGTAAACAAATGATTATGTTCTGAATTTTTTTTTTTTTTGTATCTGTAAATGTGCCTCATTTTTAATGTTATGTGTGTGAACGACAGTTCGGCTAAGAAAAGACTTCCAGGCTGTGGGTCTTCAGAGGTTTGCAGGTGCAAATTCCCTCTCTCCTAAAATCTACTACGGCAGATAAGAAATGTAGCAGGGTGATTTTTAATCATTTGTGAGTCATTTGTCCTCACTCTCTTGAGCTTATTATCTCAGCTCAGAGATATTATGAGGGTAAACCCATATTATTATAATAGCCTTACTATTGTTTCTGCCTGCATT
The DNA here is from genome assembly GCF_000001405.40 of Homo sapiens. NCBI lineage: Eukaryota > Metazoa > Chordata > Mammalia > Primates > Hominidae > Homo > Homo sapiens. The sequence goes on from NC_000001.11 coordinate 194,747,795, forward strand.
TGAATGGTGGGAACTTTTCAATATAAAGAATAAAGTTACATATTTTATTTTAAATTAACTTTACTTGAAATATTATGGGTATCCACAGGATAGACAAAATGATTTAATGTACAATCATAAGCTCAAGTCTTAAGCCTCAAAACAGCTTTGCTACCATTCAGTCTTCAGAACTGGTCAAGCTGTTGTGTGAGATTGAAAAATATATACATATTTTTTTCTGCTTGATGTCCACGAAAAAGTAAGAGTAAATCCTGTTTCTTACTGATTTGAATTGACAGCACTGATTCAGTGGTTTAAAATGACATATTCATCCTTTTAAGGGGCAAGATTTCTTATAAAGCCTATGTCAGGACTGACTACACAAAAAGGCTTTGGTTTACTCACACCATAATGTAAAATGTTGGAAAAGGGGAAGTTAATAAATACTTACAAAAGCATTTTACGTTGAGCTGTGTTAAAATGAACTCAATGTGGTTGTTTTCAATAGGAAGCCCACTAATCGTTATTGTGTAAAGCACAACTCCTCTAAGAAGGAAATATTCATTAGAAGGTAAATTTTATCTCAATTAGCTGAGTGGTTGTTTGATGACCCAATCAATAAATTCAAATATCTCACTCAAATCAATTAAAATATAATTTGTGCACTGCTGAATACATGCATTTCTGGTGCATTTGCTTAATTTAAAGGAGCATGCCATTCCATAAAGATCAAAGTATTATTAAAATATCATTGCTTTCATGGAAAGAACTGACATATATATTGTTTATTGTATCCTAAAAAAGTAAATAAAGGATTCTATACCTGACAGAAACATAAACCTGTATTTTCAGGAGCTCTATACCACTCCCCTCTCTCCTTCCCTAGTTGGATGTGATGCTATGAGAGCATTTTGGAAGAATATTTAACTAAGCTCATCAGGAAGCACTTCAAAGAAGTGCTTTTAAATGTTCAAATATAAATGTACTTTGATGACCTTCCTTTTATTGAGCCTACTATTAAAATGCTTTCCTAATACTTCCTTTCCCCCAAAGCCTTGGACAGTTAATCATATGATCTCTTTGAATAACCTTTGATCCTACAAGCTGATTAAAACCAAATTTGAAAAGAATATACAAGATATTGAGGCAAGTTGACCTTGGCAAAACTATAAACTAAATAAATATAGCCATCAATATCCCCTCATGAGAATGTGATTTTCTGTTTTAACTTAGTGATTTTGCAGTTATCACTTGATGGTGTCCCTCACTTCTTTGAGTGTTCTGCAACCCTATTGTAGCTTTCTATAAAGGTTGCCTATCTCAGACAACGTAAACTATGTAAAGACACAGAACCTTTAGGAAATCCATAATTAAATTCTCACTTCACCCACGGTATATTAGTGGGATTACCGTAAGCTATTCACTGTTTGAACTTGAATTCATGCATGTGGAACATTAGAAAAAAATTGTGATGCCATATAGAATTTAAATGAAATAAACTGATGATATATATGTTTTTTCTTTGTATACAACCTGCTATAAATTAGTATATTATTATGTTTAAGATCATGCCTTTTTTTCATTGAAGCCACTAATGATTCCTTTAATATACCACTTTTTGCTTTGTTTTGTTTCATATTCTGTGAATAACTCAGTTTGATAAACACATAAACTAACCTGAGGTAAAAGTCTTCCAGTTGATAGTAAACTTGTTTACTGCACACCGGAATGTCTAGTTAGGCAACATACTTAAGAAAATGAGCAAACTTAGAGTTATATGGATAACTATGGCAATACTAATTCAAGTACTGTCAAAAGCTTTTCTTTGGAATCATCTTAGAAAAAAATATCAAAATATTTCTCTATTCTGTTCCTAAGGGAAAATAATGTAAAATCTCATTGATTTTGATGTTTTTGGATGACTAAGGGTACTTTTTTGTGGCAATTTGAATAGTTACAACAAAATGTAATACTCATAAAGCAATATTAACATATCCAAATAATTTCTTGGCAATGTCTATTCTGTATTCTAATAAATAGTGTGTATGCCAAGCAGTGGCCAGCTAAGTTGCAAAACTCCTATGGTACAATTCACAAGTTCCAACTGTGGAAGTCTTTTTTGGAAAGAGTGATTTGTGATTGAGTTGTGATGGTATTATGAGTATGACATGGTTGTGTTTTTCAACTGTGGACCCTTTGCTCAGTTTCAGTGTCATGAGAATACTTTGTTTACAGTTTTGGTTAGCCCTAAAAATTATAGCAATATTCATAGTAATATTGTTTGATTTATAATTTCCTAAGAAGACAAAACATAATTTTAATATAAATAAATAAATAAGAAATATGCACATAAAAATCTCAACCACTGAGCTATTTTTTTCCCATGGAAAATGTAAATATATAATGTAGTTGAAGCAAAGGGAATAACCAAACTGAGCAGTGTAAAAGTGAAATTTCAAAAAAAGTATATTTCTAAAATTTACAATCCATAAAAAAGAAGTATAGGTTGAACATCTCAATTCAAAAATCCAAAATTGAAAGGCTTCAAAAAGTGAAACTTTTTTAATACACACATGAAGCCACAAGTAGAAATTCCATACCTGACTTCATGTGATGGCTTTCTGTCAAAATGTGTCCAAACTTCATTTCATGCACAAAATTAGCTTTAGGCTACATATGCATATATAACATAAATTTTATATTTAGGCTTGGATCCCATCTCCAAGGTATCACTTTATTATGTGCAAATATTCATACATTCAAAAACATCAAAATCTGAAACAACTTATCTTCCTAAGCATTTTGGATAAGGGATACTCAATATATAAGGATTATTCGATAGTGGGAAGACTCTTCTATGTACAATCTAAATAATGACTTAGATAGAAGCATTTTGTTTTACTAACTTAAAGGCAGGGCATAGTGGCTCATACCTATAATTCCAGCACTTTGGGAGGCTGAGATCAGTGGAGTGCTTGAGTTCAGGTGTACGAGACTATCCTGGGCAACATAGCAAGACCCCACCTCTACAGAAAAAGGTTTTAAAAAGTTAGCTGGGTCAGTGGCATGCACCCATAGTCCCAGCTACTTGGGAGGCTGAGGTGAGAGGATCAATTGAGCCTGAGAAGTCGAGGCTGCAGTGAGCTGTGATCAGACTACTGCACTTCAGCCTGGGTGACAGAATGAATCCTGTCTCAAAATAAATATAAAATAAATAACAATAATGTAAATACTTCAAATATCTCACTCTAATCAATTAAAATATAATTTGTGCACTGCTTAATACATGCATTTCTGATGCATTTTCTTAATTTAAAGGACCATGTCATTCCATAAAGATCAAAGTATTATTAAAATATCATTGCTTTCATGGAAAGAACTGACATATATACTGTTTAATGTATCCTAAAAAAGTAAATAAAGGATTCTAAACCTGGCTAGAGTTCATGTTTAGTTAAGTATTATTTGATATAAAACTTACTTTCCTATCAGTTAATTGAAAGTATGCATTGTGCATATACCTCTTTATCAGCCTTTTAAAATCTTCCCATTATAGAACATTATACTGTTTCTGTATGGAAATCTGTGACATTATGTAAAGTAAAATGTTTCAGTATAACTGAGTGTTATGGCTAAACTCTAAAATTTCTAAAATTTGACAAAAATAAAAAGCTTATTGAAAACTTAAGTGTTAATCATGCCTTATTTTCAGATATTTTTCCGGAAATAGTTCACTTTATATTATATTTAAGAATGAAGAAGACAGCTTGATGTATACTACTTCTGTAAGTTGTAAATCATTTTAATAAACAAAGAGAAATAATAGTTTATTTTCTACATTTTATAAAAAGGTATTAGAAAAAAATGGCAATGGTTTCTTTGCAGGGGTAGGGGGATGGTGCAGAGGATGCTATTTTTTTTTTTTTTTTTTGAGAGCACTGTAAAGGCCCTAGGCAAATACTTCAATTAATACCAATTCCATCTATCATTTGAGTTCCCCCAAACTCAATTATCCACTTGAATGGTTCCAAACTTCCAGAATAAACCTTTGAACAACACAGTGGAATTATCAAAAGTGAAAAAACCAAATTGATGCCTTGTCCCCAAAACACGGTTATTAATTTTGGTATCACAGCCTTCATGAAAACAATTAATGCATTTTTCTTCATGTAAATTATGCAATAATGTGGTTACAGCCTTGAAATATATTTAACCATATAGATTGTTAACTCACATTTATTGGATGTTTTCAATCTTTGAATAACATTTAGAATAATTCTTACTTAACAACAAATGGTTAGGCAATAATGAAATTAATTATATTACTATAAATAATTTTCACTAATAGTCATTGAATTTTCACTTACAGCCACTGATTTCATTAGAAAGTTTGCTGTAACATAATGTAAATTGTGTAAATATTTCTAATAAAAAATTATCCATTAACTTCTAATTTATGATGGTTAACAGAAAAGCTAAATTATCAGAACATCATTTTTATCCCATTTCTAATACCTCTAAAAATAAGCTCCTTGCTTAAAATGTTTAAGGTTGGTTTACTTACTCAAAAAAGAGATTTGTTGGAAGGGTTAAATGAATTTACATCTGCAAAAAAGCTTAACATAGCATGTTGTACATAGTCAATATTTAATAACTTAAGGACATATTGGTGTACCCTAGTTACAAAAACTTTTTCCTGTCTAAACACATAAAGAAGTTATTGAAGGCATTTTTTTTCATTTTGTCAGCATACAAGTATTTTATTTTTCTAAAATCCTGGTTAATTGATCGTACATTTTTGTTTCATATTAGAGTTGTATTTCACATCAATGCAGTAAGTATAATTGCTTCAATTTATATAAACTCAAATGTTTGAAAGATAAAATATAATGTAAATATTTAAAAACTATTAACATTTCTAATTCTGAAATAATGATGGGAAGCGATAATTCCCTAACGTTGATCAGTTAAGATTTTCACATTCTTGATCATTTTATATAAAATATAATCAAGTCAAATTATTTTTGTCATAAAGCAAACCTACCTTTTAGACCTAAAAAAATTAAACAAGAAAAAGTTGTTTTGTATCACATATATCTGTTCCTGTTCAATAAGTTACTCAAATATGAAAGATTGTTTATTATTTTTGGGTGTCCTTAGGGACTTTAAAGACAAAAATTTCTTCTTACCAACTCCAGGAAGTCAAGGAGCAAACAGAAAGTATATTTTTCTTTGGTTCATCTTCCTTCCTCCCTCCCTCCCTCCCTCCCTTCCTTCCTTCCTTCCTTCCTTCTTGACTGCCTGCCTGCCTGCCTTTCTTTACTAATGTAATGGGGTTAATTTTTAGGGATTTACTCAGCCAATATCCTCTTATTCATAAGTTCCTGGAAAACAAAAACTAAGCAAAAACTAATAAAACATCAGGTGCCCAAAAGGGAAGATGCAATCCCAATCAGAACAGCAAGCACTGTGTTGAAAACAGAAGCCACATATGGTTTTAGAATTACCTACGTTTCTCTTCTGAATGTTAAACAACTGAGGACAGAGCAACAATTTTCTGTAATCAGGGAGTAATTCCTGATCAATCAATTATTGAATGAATTATAAGATATTAAGTAGGATTATACATCAACTAACAGTGTAATAAGAAAGGATAAGTACCTGGCACATCACAAGAGAAAAAAAAAGATTTAGAAAGAACAGGTCCTAAAGTACACAACCTGTCAAATGGTTTTGTGAAATACCTAGTGAGAATGGGGCATAGCCCAGGGTTCAACCTGTAAGTGTGGAAATATTGTTTTTCACCTCAATGTGCATCCATGGTATTCTGGAAAATAGCGTGTCAATTTTCTTCTGAAAGACACCCCTTTCTCATTTTCTATCCTTATATTTAGGAAGGATTGACTTCATGTCTGAGTTTAGGATTTATAACTCAACTCTGTGATTGTTTAGGGGACTCATAATCATATTTTCTATTTTCTGCTAGGAATCGTCAAAATAAGTATGATTTGAGACTGGAATTGCCAGGAGCATGAGATGGAAGGCAATAGAAAACAGATGGAAAGAAAGCCAGGGCATATAATGTTTAAGCCTTAGAATCAAACCATGCCTAATACAAGACCTCCCCTGACATTTTCCTTTAATTAAGCCAATTTTTTTTTTTTCTTTTGAGACGGTGTCTCACTCTGTCGCCAGGCTGCAGGCTGGAGTGGAGTGCAGTGGCGCAATCTCGGCTCACTGCAACCTCCGCCTCCTGGATTCAAGTGATTCTCCTGCCTCAGCCTCCCGAATAGCTGGTTCTACAGGCACCCGCCACCATGCCCAGCTATTTCTTTTTTATTTTTATTTTTTGTATTTTTTGTATTTTTATTAGAGACGGTTTTTCACTATGTTGGCCAGGATGGTCTCGATCTCTTGACCTCTGGCTCCGCCTGCCTCAGCCTCCGAAAGTTCTGGGATAACAGGAGTGAGCCACCGTGCTCGGCCCCCAATATATATCTCTATAGACTTCAGAGAGTATATGTCTGTTCATCAAAAGAGTACTACTGGCACATATATGTGCAAGTAGAAACATTTACGCACATTTGCTGTTCACATAACTGTAAAAAACTGGATATTTTCTAAATGTAACCAGTGTTTAGGTTTTAAATAAAACTAAGCATAAAATTATTTAATAGGTTATTTATATAAAAGCATGAGAGTCACTGATTTGGAAAATAAGTGTCATAGCCCCCCCCCCCAAAAAAAAAGAAAAGAAAAATAAGTGTTTTGTCTCATCTTTAGGCTAAGTGCCCTAAAGATCTTATGGAAATATAAATATCTATAGAAAATGAAAAAGAAGCCGGGTGCGGTGGCTGACGACTGTAATCCCAGCACTTTGGGGGGCCAAGGCAGGCAGATCACAAGGTCGGGAGTTCAAGACTAGCCTGCCCAACATGGTGAAACCCCGTCGCTAGTAAAAATACAAAAAAAATTAGCTGGGCGTGGTGGCGCGCGCCTGTAATCCCAGCTACTTGGGAGGCCGAGGCAGGAGAATTGCTTGAGCCTGGGAGGCGGAGCTTGCAGTGAGCCAAGATACTGCCATTGCACTGCACTTCAGCCGGAACAACAGAGCAAGGCTCCATCTAGAGAAAAAGAAAAAAATAAAAATAAAAAAGGAAAGAAAATGAAAAAGAAATTATTTGGTGGTTTAAAAGAATTCTGTCTGTCACACATTAGTTTTCTTATAATAATAAATAACATTGTGACTTATTACTTATATTGCCCCCAAGACACTACTTACTTAGACTTTGATTTTAGCCTTCAGTCTCTATTCATATTACTAATTATTTGAGATAATTATTACCCCACATTTTTTATTTGCTGGTTGAACGTTGACAGTCATATTCTCAGTTTATGGGAAGTATAGTGCATTAAATAAAATTAACACTACATTTCCTCATATAAAATCAGCAGCAGGCATAAAAAGTTTTCTCTGCCCACCTATTTCAACATACAACAAAGATGCATAGAGAAGACTGTTAATCTTCCTTAGATCACTATTTTTCCTATCAAGTAAAACATGATACAGAATGGTTATAAAAGATACTTCACACTTGCATTATACTCTGGGCACTAAAATATGAATCATCTTGTCTCTATTAATTTCTCTTTCACAATGATACTCCCAATCCTCCACTGGTCTCTTTAGGAAGCTACTCCTGGAGATTATCATGTGAAAAGTAAAGCAGTTATGCTGTTTAACTGCATTTCAAGCATTTAATTTATTTCACTAAAAATAATAATTTTCAAATAGTTGCCTTAATGTAAAACGAATTAAAAAGTCTTTCCAAGCATATTTAATAGAGAGTAACAACTTTACAAAAAGCAATCTTTATTTTATTCCACAATAAGATAATATTGTCATAAAAACTTGAAAAGATATATGATATTCAGAAAATTATGTCCATATGGCAAGATGGTTGGTGACTCATGGCCCATAATATCGCTCATTTTGCATGGCTAAGCAGTTAGCCAAATGTGCAAATATAATTAGCCACATGCCTCATCTGTGAAAGAGTGTCTTTAAAACGAATCTGGTTCATGGAGAATATCAGGTTCATTAACTCTTTGGGGCCCTCTGGGTGCCATTTAAAAGGCATTTGTTCTCCCTGACTTAATTCTCTAAATCATACTCTAGTGGCTAGTCTTGGGTATTCATTTACTTGCAGAAAACTAGAGAGCGGGGGAAAAAAAAGAGAAAGAGAAAGAGAGGAAAAGAAGGAAGAAAGGAAAAAAAGGAAGGAAGGAAAGGAGGAAGGAAAGGTTCCAACTCTCACATTGTATCTCTTTCCACAATAAAACATGTTCTCAGTTTGCTATTCCCAGTTTTTGCTAATGAACACCCTTTTTGCATTTTGTTTAGAAACATCTGCACATTATTTGTGACTACATTAATAAATAACTAAAATGTTTTTGGAATATTTTCTGAATCACCATAATTAAGGTAAAACAGATTGTATGTCTTTTGACAGTATAGGTCTCAGATATCTGTAAAGGATTGCTTTCCAACTATTCATTTATTTATTTGAGAAACAAATCCACTTCACTAGGATCTTTGCATTTTTTAGAAAATATATAAAACTCAAACATCAAGCATATGCTATATTATGGGAAAATGTATACTCTAGAGATAGGAAAGCCTCATTGGAGTTATAATTGTCTTTGTCAGATAGTTCTGAATTCTAAGCTGGTTAATGGTTAAGATAATTTGGAAATATTATATTCATTTTTTATTGATGTTACTTTTTTCTAATTATAAAAAATAAAGTACAGCTCTTTCAAAACTTGGAAAAATTTGGCACCATATTTTGAAAGATAGTTTTTGTTACTTTTCCAAATATAAAATTGAAAGGTCTATTATTTTAACGTTCTTATAAAATGCAAAAGACATTGCTGATTTTTGTTCCGTATATTTAAATATTTTTTTCAGTTTGTCACTTGAATTTTAATTTTGTGATTTCTGGCCTCCAAATGATTTGTTTTTTTTTAAATCTAGTTTCTATTTATCTAACATTTATTAATATAGTTTCTATAATTAATTTTTTCTTTGTGTCTTATTCTTTTTTAAAAACAATTTTATTACACATCAGTTATCTCTCTATATCCCAGCACACTTTCTTTCAATGGCAATTTCATTTTGCAGTTTTGATATGTTTATGTTTCCAGATTTTTCCTTTCTAAATTTCATTTTAACCTAAAAGACTTTCCTGTGAATCTTTGTGGAACACTATTTGGCACAATAGATGAAACATTTCTAAAATGTTTTTACTTTTTGAAATTAGTATTCCATCTGCAAGCATTCTATTTCATGAAGTCAACGCTCCAACTTAGTTTCAGCAGAATGTCAAACTGAACAAAGTAAATAATAAACCCAGTTTCAGCTTTCTACATATGGTTAGCCAGTTTTCCCAGTACCATTTATTAAATAGGGAATCCTTTCCCCATTTCTTGTTTTTGTCAGGTTTGTCAAAGATCAGATGGCTGTAGATGTGTAGTATTCTTTCTGAGGGCTCTGTTCTGTTCCATTGGTCTATATCTCTGTTTTGGTACCAGTACCATGCTGTTTTGGTTACTGTAGCCTTGTAGTATAGTTTGAAGTCAGGTAGTGTGATGCCTCCAGCTTTGTTCTTTTGGCTTAGGATTGACTTGGCAAAGCAGGCTCTTTTTTGGTTCCATATGAACTTTCAAGTAGTTTTTTCCAATTCTGTGAAGAAAGTCATTGGTAGTTTGATGGGGATGGCATTGAATCTATAAACTACCTTGGGCAGTATGGCTATTTTCACGATATTGATTCTTCCTACCCGTGAGCATGGAATGTTCTTCCATTTGTTTGTATCCTCTTTTATTTCATTGAGCAGTGGTTTGCAGTTCTCCTTGAAGAGGTCCTTCACATCCCTTGTAAGTTGTATTCCTCTGTATTTTATTCTCTTTGAAGCAATTGTGAATGGGAGTTCACTCATGATTTGGCTCTCTGTCTGTTATTGGTGTATAGGAATGCTTGTGATTTTTGCACATCACTGTCCATCAGAGAAATGCAAATCAAAACCACAATGAGATACCATCTCACACCAGTTAGAATGAAGATCATTAAAAAGTCAGGAAACAACAGGTGCTGGAGAGGATGTGGAGAAATAGGAACACTTTTACACTGTTGATGGGATTGTAAACTAGTTCAACCATTGTGGAAGTCAGTGTGGCGATTCCTCAGGGATCTAGAACTAGAAATATCATTTGACCCAGCCATCCCATTACTGGGTATATACCCAAAGGATTATAAATCATGCTGCTATAAAGACACATGCACACATATGTTTATTGCGGCACTATTCACAATAGCAAAGACTTGGAACCAAGCCAAATGCCCAACAATGATAGACTGGATTAAGAAAATGTGGCACATATACACCATGGAATACTATGCAGCCATAAAAAATGATGAGTTCATGTCCTTTGTAGGGACATGGATGAAGCTGGAAACAATCATTCTCAGCAAACTATCTCAAGGACAAAAAAACAAGCACCGCATGTTCTCGCTCATAGGTGGGAATTGAAGAATGAGAACACATGGACACAGGAAGGGCAACATCACACACTGGGGCCTGTTGTGGGGTGGTGGGAGGGGGGATGGATAGCATTAGGAGATATACCTAATGTTAAATAATGGGTTAATGGGTGAAGCACACAAAACATGGCACATTTATACATATGTAACTAACCTGCACGTTGTGTACATGTACCCTAAAACTTAAAGCATAATAAAATAAATAAATAAACCCAAGCACAGAAAGTGAAGTGAAAAGTTTGATTACTCTAAGAAATGTTAAGGATTGATTGTAATCTTTCTTATAGAACCTTGAAGGAAGTGACATTGTTTGATTCATAAGAAAATAATTTATCATGGCTCTTCACCATCATTTTCAAAGTTTAATTCATTACATTCACTCCACAGGATCCCTTTTCTTTTCTGCTCCCACCAACTTTACTTAAAAAAATTAATTTTCACCCCTCCTTCCATCTTCCTGAATAAATATACATATATATAGAGAGAGAGATTATCTTGTCATCTTTCAATTTTTAAATTTTTTTCATTACACATTAAACAGCATAACAAAATCTCAGAAACAGAGAAAAAAACTATTTTATGATTAAAAAACAAGTTGTGAAAATTGATATTTTTATACTTTTTCTCCAAAATGTATATATTGATATATTATAATCGTATGTTTATTTCTACATCTCTATATTTTTGCTTTCCAAAATAAATAATTATTAAAATGATTGTTTCTTGGGAAAGAAATTACTGATAACAAAATAACATTAACAATAATAACAGCAATAATAATATTTTACATGATAGACCTGACCCTGTATGCCACATATGCTACTTTATCATAAGTGTTGTATGACTTTACAGATGTAGAAACTGAGGCTTATATAAGTTAAACAACTTGACCAGGGAAGAGATGCAATTACAATGTAAGCAGAGGCAGTATGTTGCCTAAATAATTATTGCTAATCTTATACCCTTTCAGTATATATGCTACATTTCTTAATTTTCTACAAAGGATAATATTTTCATAATATCTGTCTATTCCAATTTGTATACAGAAGGATTTCTTAAGAGATATTTATTGTAAAGATTCACAGAAAGATAAGGGAAATAGGAATAAGTTTCCATAGCTACACAATCATAATCAAACATAGTGTTCAGAATAAACATTAACCTTATTGACCAAAAATAATTTGTGCTTGAGTATGATTGTGTAGCTATGAAAACTTATTCCTATTTCCGTTACCTCTCCATTAATTTTTACAATAAATACATCTTAATGAAAGGGGAACCAAAAAAGAGCCCAAGTAGCTAAGAAAACCTAAGTGAAAAGAACAAAACTGGAATCATCACACTACCCAACTTCAAACTATACTACAGGGCTACAGTAACCAAAACAGCATGGTACTGGTTCAAGAATAGACACATAGACCAGTGGAACAGAATAGAGAGCCTAGAAATAAGACTTCACATTTACAGCCATCTGATCTTTGACAGATCTGACAAAAACAAGCAGTAAGAAAATGATTCCCTATTTAATAAATGGTGCTGGGATAACCTGCTAGCCATATACAGAAAATTGAAACAGGACTCCTTCTTTGCACCATATACAAAAATTAACTCGAGATGGATTAAAGACTTAAATGTAAAACCCAAAAGTATAAAAACTCTGGAAAACAACCTAGGCAATACCTTTCAGGACCTAGGCACAGGCAAGATTTCATGACAAAGATGCCAATAGCAATCGCAACAGAACAAAAAATTTACAAATAGGATATAATGAAACTAAAGAGCTTCTGCACAGCAAAAGAAACTATCAACAGAGTAAACACATAAGCTAGAGAATGGGAGAAAATTTTTGCAATATCTCCATGTGACAAAGGTCTAATATCCAGCATCTATATGGAACTTAAACAAATTTACAAGAAAAAAACTAACAACACCATTAATAAACTGTCAAAGGGTAGGAACAGAGATTTCTCAAAAGAAGACATACATGTGGCCAACAAACATATGAAAAAAAGCTCAGCATCACTGATCATTAGGGAAATGCCAATCAAAACCACAATGAGATACCATCTCACACCAATCAGAATGGCTATTATTAAAAAGTAAAAAAAAAATCAGATGCCGGCAAGGTTGTGGAGAAAAAGGAACACGTTTAAACTGCTGGTGAGAATGTAAATTAGTTCAACCATTATGGAAGACAGTGTGATGATTCCTCAAAGACCTAGAGGCAGAAATACCATTCAACCCAGCAACCCCATTAATAGGTACATACCCAAAGGAATATAAATTGTCCTATTATAAAGATATATGCATGTATATGTCCATTGCAGCATTATTTATGACAGCAAAGACATGGAATCAACTTAAATGCCCATCAATGAGATAGACTGCATAAATGTGATACATTATACACCATGGAATACTATGTAGCCACAAAAAGGAACGGATGGTGCGGGAGGCCATTATCCTTAGAAAACTAATGCAGAAACAGAAAAATCTAATAGTATGTCTTCTCACTTATAAATAGCAGCTAAATGATGAGAACACATGTACACATGTAGGGGAACAACATACACTGGGTCCTCTTGGAGGGTGTGGGTTGGAAGTGGGGAGCAGATCAGGAAAAAATAGCTAATGGATGCTGTACTTAATACCTGGTTGATGGGATGATCTGTGCAGCAAACCACCATGGCACGTTTACCTATGTAACAAACCTGCACATACTTCACGTGTCCCCCTGTATTTAAAAGTTGGAAATAAAAAACAATTAATTATAAGTCCTACGGTTTGAAACTGCTGCATGTACTAACAATGCCACCACACTGATTGGATTTTTTTCTATATTTTTTTCTGCATCTGATTTTCTTTAACTGATAATTGACTTGCATTAAATTTTTCAAGTGATGATATGGCTGGGTTAATCCTCCACTAAATAGATCACCTCCCCTCTATCATATAGATTGATACTTTGTGGTCTGGCATTACTCACTGAAAAAAATAGTTGATAATAATATTAGACTTATATAAAACAACATAATATGACAGTGAATATATTTTGTCAATTTTTATTAGAAGAGAAAAAAAGAAGAAGAAGAAACTATGCACATAACATTAATAAAGGTACATAAAGTTTTGTACATGCAATCAGGAAATAAAGTAAGATCAAACAATGAGCTAGATCAAAAATTCTAGCAAAAACAGTACATGTAGCTCTGAGTCCTTCAATCCTGTTTACCGTATTTTACTGTCAAATCTCCCTTTCATATAGCATAATCCTTAGGGCTAAATAGTTACTTTTTGAACTAATGAACATAGAGGCAGTGGAGAAAAGGTATAATGAGAAGTAATTAACAATATTTGTCAACTTATTGGAAGTGGAGGAGAGGATTCAGAATTGGACATTTTAAACTTGATGCCTTACAAGTTTAGATTCAAGAGAACAGAGCAGGCAACAAGAATAAATACATGGAAGTGTCCATAGGAAATCTGGAATATGTCTGTTTCATTCTTCTTCCACATGCCCATCAAAATCAAAACCTCTCTGATAAATTAACATTTATTTGTGCCAATTCCAATGTGACACATCATTTTCTATATTTTAAAGCATTATAATAATTAGATTTATGCTTATGTCTTATCTTCTTAGTATGTTTCTAAGTTCAAGTATGTTTTGCTACATACTGTGGTTCTTTTCCTGGTGGTGTGACCCAAACCTTCATTCCGGAAGTGTCTGGGCCATTTGTAGTCCTGACTTCACTGGGCTGTTGTAGTTTCCCATTGACTTTAATCACAGGGCATGGTAGTATTAAGCGATGACCTGATGAATCTCCCGTGTTCCATGCTTACGCTTCCTTATTCTATTGTGGAGTAGTAGACTGATTTCATCTTGATAGTCCAGGTCAGTCACCCCAGCCAACAATATGACTTTCTTCTTAGCATGTGGACCTAAAGGTAGGAGGAGTCCAAAGTGTCCAGGTGGCAATCTTAACTTCCACTTTAATGGAATCATTGTTGCCTCTCCTGGTGGCAGCATTCCTCCCTCTGGAACTAAGACCTCTAGGCCAGCAGAACTTAATGTCGTGGGAACAGGAAGCAAAAACTTTGCTAGTGGATCACTAGGGGTGATGCTAAGTGGTGCCACTTCCACTTCCATCTCTTGATTCCTGGACCTGTGAATCCTGGCTATGGGAGAAACCGTACCATATATTGGATGCTGATTTAGAGCATATGCGGCCATCTGAAGAACTTAGCCCCAGCCAGGCAAAGTATTGTCACCTAGTTGGCATTGTAATTTTGACTTCAAAAGGCCATTCCACTCTTCTATCAGTCCAGCTGCTTCAGGATGATGGACAATATGGTAAGACCAGTGAAGTCCATAAGCATGAGTGTGCTGCCACAATTCTTTATCTGTAAAGTGAGTGTCATGGTCAGAGGCAATGCTTCATGGAATACCATGAAGTGGTAGGAATGTGTTGCCTCCAAAATCCAAAGAGGCACACTAAGCATTTTTCTTTCTGGGTTGTAAGAGGAGCCAAGTGCAGTAACTTATCCTTCACCTTAGAAGGAATGACTCCACAGGCCCCACACCACTGTACTCCTAGACATTTTACTCAAGTGGAAGGTCCCTGAATTTTAGTTGGAATTATTTCCCATCCTCTGGCACACAAATGTCTCACCAATGAGTTCACTGTGTTTGCTACTTCTCCTTCACTGGATCCAATCAGCATAATGTAATCAATGTAATGGACAAGTGTGATATCTCATGGAAGTGAAAAGCAATCAAGTTATCTTCCAAAAAGATTATGACACAAAGCTTGAGACTTGATATACTCCTGAGGTAGGACGGCAAAGGTATATTGCTGGCCTTTCCAGCTGAAGGTATATTGCTTCTGTGGGCCGCATGAACAGGAATGGAGAAAAAAAGGCATTTGCCAAGTCAATGGCTGCATACCAGGTACCAGAAGATGTGTTAATTTGCTCAAGCAATGAAACTACATCTGCTACACTAGCTGCAATTCAAGTACCCACTAGGTTAAGCTTACAATAATCCACCATCATTCTTGAAGATCCATCTGTCTTTTGTACAGGCCAAATAGGAGAGTCAAACGGGGATGTGGTGGCAATCACCACCCCTGTGTCTTTCGAGTCCTTGATGGTGACACCATCAATCCCTCCAGGGATATGGTATTGCTTTTGAAGTACGATTTTTCTAGGTAGAGGCAGCTCTAATGGCTTCCATTTGGCCTTTCCCACCATAATAGTGCTCACTCTACCAGTCAGGGAGCCAGTGTGGTGGTTCTGCCAGCTGCTAATTACATCTATGCCAATTATGCATTCTGGCATTGAAGAATTAACCACAGGATAAGACTTGGGACGCACTGGACCCACTGTAAGTCAGACCTGAGCTAAAGCTCCATTAATTACTTGACCTCCATAAGCCCCTACTTTAACTGGAGGACCACTATGCAATTTGGGTCCCCTGGAATCAATGTCAGCTGAGGGCCAGTGTCCAGTAGTCCCCCAATTGCCTGATCATTTCCCTTCCCCTAGTGCACAGTTACCCTGGTAAAAGGCCAGAAGTCTCCTTGCAGGGGGGATGGGAGAAAGATTAACAGCATAAATTGTCACTAGAGTAGTGAGATCCTTCCTCAACGGGACTTGGCCTTCCCTTCATTCTAGTGTCTCTAGGTCTGTAAACAGGCTCAACTCTGGAAATTGACTGAGGGATTGTGATTCTCTGTTTTCTATTTCAAATTAGTCTTTTGTCCATTCAACTTGGAAGTTTTCTGCTTATATAAATTAAGTAGGAATGCAGTAGGCTTCCTATCAATTTCATTTCCAGGAACACCATGATTAATTAGCCAATTCCAGAGCTCTACAAGAGTCAGACTATTCTGAATGTTGCTTTGCCTCTGCTGTCCATTTCGGTAGCTATGTCCACCTTGCCTTTGATGGTTGAGTTCCACCACTTAGCCCCTGCAACTTAGGGATTCAATTATTCCCATTATATTCAAATTTTGTAGTTGAGTGACTGCAGTTGCCACTGTTAGATCTGACATACAGAGAAGAACAATTATAACGTTCTTCAAAGATGGAGGTGCCACCCTCACAAATCTATTTTGCAAAGCACTGGTCAAGGGTGTATCTTCTGGACCATCCCAGATGGGATGAATAGGTCTAAAGTGACTAATCCTCTCCACCATCCCAATCTCCCTAAGCCTTTTGGATCCCTTCCTCTACACTAAACCAAGAGAGATCAGGCATTTCCAGCTTGCTCACAGTGGACCATCTCTTAATTAACATTTCAGCTAACCAAACAAATAAACTATTAGAACCTTTTTTAACTCCTTGAGCTGCAACATTAAATGCAGAATCCCTACTTAGTGGCCCCAAATCAATAAATTCAGCCTGATCCAAATATATGTTCCTTGCACCATTATCCTACACCCTTAATATCCATCCCCATGCCTATTCTCCAGATTTCTGCTCATGTAAATTAGAAAAATCAAGCAGTTATTTTTAAGTGTAGCATACTTGCTCATGGGTCACACTCTGAACCTCACCTCTAGGGGCTCATCGGGACTTTAGTATAGTTATAGGTCTAGAAGCAATCAGGTGTGTTTGGGGTGGCTCCTGGGGAGAATCAACATTATCTTACCTGGAAGCTGCCTCAAGGGAGGCTATCACTGTTGCCTCAGGCAGCACAGGATTTACCAACTCATGCAAAGGTGGAAAGGCTGATGGCAGCATGGGTCAGGGAGGGGATGTTGCCACTATTGGGGATAGGGAAGCTGTTGCTTCTGGCAAAAAAGTTTCCTCAGAGTTTACAAGCTCAGTGTCCCCAGCTTCATCAGGGTCCTTCCACACATCCCCATTCCAAGTTTCAGGGTCCCATTCTTTTCCAATCAATGCCCTCACTTTAACAGAAGACGAGGCTGGTGCATGCATCTTTCATTGCAGGTCAGCCACTTGCATGATAAGAACTCACATCTGTTTTTCCACATTTTCAGCTCTTTCTTTACAGGAGATAAGACTCTCACTCAGGGCAATCTTAGCAGATTTAAGCTCAGTATCTGCTTCTGAAGCCGGGAGTTAGAATCCCTAAGTTCATCATTTTCTTTCATCACTTTTTCCAGTGAACTTAGGAGCAACCAACCAACTTCATTATGTTCTTTGGTTCTCCATATATAGTCAGAGGTATTATGTATAAACTCACTAAACTCTTTGCCTTTCATAGGCAGTGAATCAGAAGTGTCAAATGCATTTATTTTGCGTAACTCTTTAAACAGTCACACAAAGGACTACCAGTGTTCTCCATACTATTAGACATAGAATCCTTAGCATTTTGGGTCTATTCACATTAAGCAGCCAACTCCAGAAACCCCAAAACCAATGAAAGACCTTCATCCTTAATATTATGTTCCTCCAGAACAACTCCTAGTAAAAAAAAATCTGTATTAGTTAGGGTTCTTTAGAGGGATAAAACTAATAGGATGTATATATGTATGTATATATAGGGGAGTTTATTAAATAGTATTTTCTCACAGGATCCCAAGGTCTGATAACAGGTCATCTGCAAGGTGAGGAGCAGGGAAGCCAGTCCAAGTCCCAAAGCTGAAGAAGTTGGGGTCCATTGTTCAAGGGCAGGAAGCATCCAGCATGGAAGAAATATGTAGGCTGGGAGGTTAAGCCAGTCTAGACTTTTTACGTTGTTCTGACTGCTTTATATTCTGGTCATGCTGGCAGCTAATTAGATGGTGCCCACCCAGATTAAGGGTGGGTCTGCCTTTCCCAGTCCACTGGCTCAAATGTTAAACTCCTTTGGCAACACCCTCACAGACAAACTCAGGATAAATACTTTGCATGATTCAATCCAATTAAGTTGACACTCAGTATTAACCATCACAATACACAATGAAGTATGACTGAGGCATAAATAATAATGAAATCCTACAATTTGAAACAACATTAAAGACCTGCAAGACATATGTTAAGTGAAGTAAGACAGTCACAGAGAGACAAATAGTGCATAATTTTGCTCCTATGTTGAATCTCAAAAAAAGTAGAAATAAAATTGTTGATATTGTAGAAGCAAAGAGTAGAACGATAGTTACCTGAAACCGGGAGCAAAGAGGAGACGGAGGGTTGGAAAAACATTGGTCAAAAGGTAAAAAGTGACTAAGGAGGGATAAATTATTGTGTTCTACTGAACAGCAGGGTGACAGATGGTTATTAGCAAGGTATTGTATATTACAAAATAACTAGAAAAAAAGACTTTTGAATGTTTTTACCACAAATAAATGATAAATGTGTGAGGTGATGGATACATTATATAACTGATTTTATAATTGCCCAATGTAGATATGTATTGAAACATCAAATTAGACTTCATAAAAATGTACAATTACAGTATGTCAATCGAAATAATAATTAAAAAATATAACGTGTGTGCATTGGGGGGGGGGTGTATGTGTCTGAGCACTGGCCCACTTCCTATTTTATTTTGCTATTTTGATTGTTTTGTTTTATTTTAGGCAATTGTTTTTGTGACTTTGATACGATAGAGTCCTTGAGTTCCTGTGTTGCCCCATACATAAGTATGGCAGACTATGAAACATCAATTTATCTTCAGACATTAACCATCTCATCATATTTTAACTCTACTGATCATTTTATTACTATCAGATGAAAAAGTTTATTACTAAAAAAAATTTTTGATTCCTTCCAAAACTAATGCCTAAATAACATTTGTAATGGTTATATTATCTTCAAGCAATACTAAATATGCAGATTTAATTGCTTGTTCATTTCTGGTTTTATCTCTATTTTTTGGCACTTAAAAATGTTTTTAAAAGATATGCAACTGCAGTTCTGAAGAGGGAAAATTAGTACTTTTAAACCTCAAAATCTTTTCATCTAATTGTCCCAATGGCTACAATATAGACCACATACACACACACACATAAACACACACACACACACACACACACACACACACAAACACACATCAGTTTCTGGAGCTTATCAGTTTACTGGATGAACATTTTCATTTTAATTTTATGCCACTTAATGAACATTTTAGAGTTATGGCATAAAATAAACAGAATATGAACATTTTCAAAACTCTTTTGCTCTGTTAAGTTTATAGTTATTTTAATAGTCTGTTCAAAATTCAAAGACATATTTTCTTTAAATGAAAATCCCAACACAATACTTCAAGGAGCATATTAGGAGAAGTATGTAGAGGGGAAGAAAGCCCTTTGTTACAGGACTATTGAGGATTGTTTTCCATATAAAATTTATGGTGAAATGAAATGAAAAATATTCCTTTATGATCAATGGGATCATTACATTTTAAGATAGCAAGCAGTATAAGTTAGATGAGGTTGTTCTTATTTTTTCCATGTGGCAGATTTGATCAGTGTATTAAATGCAGCACTGAGTTGATTCTGGGGCTTACTTTAAGCAGCTAAGTCTAGAGAGTTGGCTGGTTGGAGATATTTTTAATAACATAACAGGAGATAGTCTTTGAATAATCCATCATAGCTCACTTTTATGTATTTCCTTTCCATGTTTTTTCTCTGTATCATCTGGGCAAATAAATAATAAATCAGCTTTGTGTCCTTTTGTCTTCTTTTTTCTTTATTTTTTCCCTCCCTCCTTTCCTTCCTTATAATTTGTTATACTAACCCTTTATTTTTATAATCATAGGCACATTTTAGGTCCAGATTCTGACTGTTTCTTCACTTTACTAATTTTAGGATTAAAGCATATAAAAGTATTCATGGGACTGAAAAATTGTTTAATCCTAATGTCAATATATAAACATGGAAAAGTCTCGAGGTGTTACATGAATCTGACAGTGGCAGTTAAGAAGTAGGTCTCTGGTTTCCCGATGCTGTTTTTATTTTATTTTATTTTATTGATGTAAGCCATGTTATTTCTTATCAATATCTTTTATATTTTTCATATCTGTATATTCTTTATAATGACAATTTAAATTACTATGGTTATAAATTACTACTAGTGTTAATATTTCCTGGAACAGTAAAAAGAAGTAGAAAAGATATGTGACATACAAATGAATTGAAAATAACTTAAATTACAGAATATTTTTAAAGCCATATATTTATCATTCTAGTGTTGCACAAACACGAAATCTATGTAAACAATAGGATTAGCATGAAAACTATGTAAACAACAAGATTAGCATATTTGCCCTAGATCATTTTTCCCTTTTGTAATGACTGACCAGTGATGAGTGTCTTGGCAATACATACATACACACACACACACACACACACACACACACACACACACACACAGAGCATTAGGCCATTTGCATTACTATTAAGGAATACATGACGCTGGGTAATTCATAGAGAAAAGAAGCTTAATTGGCTCATGGTTCTTCAGGGTGTACAGGAAATGTAGTGCTGGCATCTGTTTCCGGTGAGGACCTAAGGAAGCTTACAAACATAGCAGAAGGCAAAAGGGGAGCCAGTATGTCACCTGGTGAAAGTAGGAATAGAAGAGAAGGAGGTGCCACACACTTTAACCAACCAGATCTGGTGCGAACTCATTCACTATCGTGAATACAGCAGTAAGCCATTCATAAAGAATCTGCCTTCACGAACCAAATGCCTCCTACCGGACCCAACCTCCAACACTGGAGGTTACATTTCAACATGAAATTTGCAGGGGACAAACTTGCAAACTGTATTTGAGAGTCGGGGAAGTGGGAAGAAGGGGGAAAGAGGGAGAGGAGAGAGAGAGAGAAAGAGAGAGAGAGAAGTGAGAAACACAGAACAGCAAACAAGATGGATATTAAACCACTTCTGTTCTTCAAAGGCAAATCACCTCAGTGCACACCAATCAATGGCATCCTCCCACTTCTGAAAGCCAATCAGTGGAGAATTCCCTCCAATAAACACACCTCTTAATGCCATTCATCTATGCTTCTGTAAATGATGTCTACTCATTTTTACTTACGAAAGTTTACCATTCCCTGATCTTCATGCTTACCAAAACCTTATTAAAATCAGCAGTCTTCTCTGATTGGAATACTGTGATTGAGCTGCATGTATCTAACTCTATATAATAAGTATGTGACTTACTAGAGTAAGTTATAAATTCAGCTTTATTTTTTCATTTTAGATACTCAACTGTGGTCTCATCATTTTTTCACAAAACTGGAAATAGAACTGAAATTATATAAATATTCCTACATTTAGCCAAGAGTAAAAATACAAAAAACAAAAAAAGGTGGATCACACCTGTAATCCCAGCACTTTGGGAGGCTGAGGCTGGTGGATCACGAGGTCAGGAGATCAAGATCATCCTGGCTGACATGGTGAAACCCCGTCTCTACTAAAAGTCAAAAAATTAGCAGGGCGTGGTGGTGGGTGCCTGTAGTCCCAGCTACTTGGGAGGCTGAGGCAGGAGAATGGCATGAACCTAGGAAGCAGAGCTTGCAGTGAGCCAAGATCACACCACTGCACTCCAACCTGGGCGACAGAGTGGGACTCGGTCTCAAAAAAAAAGAAAATATAAAATAAATCCTGACTTCCTTGAGAAAGAAGTATGCATATATTTATTTTAGATAGATTATAGATATATATGCAAGCAGTAAGAATTAATGAACTTTTTAGAAGGAAACTTACAAAACTATTTTTAGAAACAGGTGGGTATTTTTATAAAAGGGCAAAAAATAGCGTTTACTATAAAGAAAAATTATTAATTAGATCACATTAAAGTTAAGCACTTTATAAAAAATTAATATCTTTCGATTATCAAAATATATCCTTGAAATAGCAAAAATGAAAGCCACGAAGTTGAAGCAGATATTTGAGATACAGATCTTCACATGTTTCTCCAATACAGAATATATGGACAACTGAACTTTTTAATCAATAAAGCAGGCAATCAAATAGAAAAAAAACTATCAAAACTGAGGAAATCGAAGAGGAGTGTCTGTGTGTGTTTATATTTTCAATTATATATCAGGAAATCGAAAGTTAATATACTACATTCATATAAAAATGAAAAAAAAATGGCAACCAAATAGTGATGAGAGTGTTGAGCCAGTAGGCCATTTTTCACTACTTTTGTGTATGCAAATTAGTTTTACACTGTTTATAAAATTCTTTGATGGTATTAACTGAAGTTGAATATACTGATATTTTATGACTCAGTAATTACCTAGTAGATATATTTCTAAGATGTGTATATATGTTCACTGATTATAGATATATTTCTGCCTGAAAAGTGTATTTATATTCACCAAATGACATATTCAAGAATGTTCATAAAGACACAATTTATAACAGCCTAAAATGGAAAAGCACAGCTTTAACAATAGAAGGAATAAACTGCTGTACACACCAGTTTACACTTTATGCTATGTTCATATTTCTGCACGCATGTGACATTTCAATAACATTTTTTTTCTTAAACGTACAATTTAACTTCTTTTTGTGATTATGAATGGCCTAAGAAATCAAAATCCAAATACAAAGTTAAATTTAAGTAGCCAGAGCCCAGTGCGATATTTTATGGGGTGACATTTTGAAGCAGCAACTCTAAAAGAACATGAGATGAATCTTTACAGCTAATAATTATGGTATAATTACTTCTGTCCTTGCCAATAATTTTAGAAATAAATGAAATAGTCTATTTTGCTAATTACAAAATGTCAAAATTATCCAAATGTTTGAAGTTCATCTTCTTTTACTTTTCTGCTAAGTTATATTTTATATTAGTCAAAATCCATGATATTGTAACTGGACAGCCACTAATACATATTACCTAATATTCCTCAAATGGGCAGAACATGAAGCGAGTGACTTGGGAAATAATATGGCTATTTTTTTCTTACAATATAAGCTAAAATTAATTTTCTTAGGATTCTTAGTTTCCAGAATATAAAAGAAAATCTTTGAAAGAAGCTCTATGTATCAATGTAGCAATTTAAATATTTGATCATTTAAAAATATGTAATTACAGATTCTAGAACTTACTTCAATTATTTTTTAAACTTATAATTCCTTACAGGCATTGCACAATTATTCAAAAATTTATATACTCTGTTTATAAAATTATTTTAAATATTATTTTGTTTAAAATTCCATCAATTCACATGGAGTTTTTTTGTTTGTTTGTTTGTTTGTTTGTTTTTTGAGACAGTCTCACTCTGTCGCCCAGGCTGGAGTGCAGTGGTGCGATCTTGGCTCACCGCAAGCTCCGCCTCCTGGGTTCACGCCATTCTCCTGCCTCAGCCTCCCGAGTAGCTGGGACCTACAGGTGCCCACCACCACGCCCAGCTAATTTTGTTTTTGTAGTTTTAGTTGAGACAGGGTTTCACCGTGTTAGCCAAGATGGTCTCAATCTCCTGACCTCGTGATTCGCCTGCCTCAGCCTTCCAAAGTGCTGGATTACAGGCATTAGCTACCGAGCCCAGCCAAAGGTTTTTTTTTTTTTTTTAATATTCCCAAATTTGTAATATCAACTTGCAATTTTATCTTTTCTTGTATAACTTCATTTTGGTGGCTTGTGACTTGGTAATCTCCTACCAATTCAAGACGAGTATTAATCAGTATTAATTTTCTTCTTCTTCTAACCTAAAACTTGACATATGATATCCTAAGGGGATTAGAAAAGTTTCTTTATCAGAATTTGAAATCATCCCTTCTTTGATCTTACAGAAAAGGTCTGACAATAGTCTTTAATGTTATATCACTTTGATCTGGTACATTGTATGTGGAGCCCTGTTTCAATGAAACAATAAGTACAATTTAGAGATTCTAATTTATAATTTATATCACATTTCATTTAAGTATGAGTGTAAACAATCTATAAAATCCTGAAAATAAAGTTTTTTTTTTACAATTTAATGAATGGCTGATAACATTATAAAAGATTGATGTAAACAGAACTCCACGTTACTCTAAGTCCATGGCTTTATCTTTTTTTGGTGCTTTTACAAAATCACATTCAACATATTAGGCAGTGAATCCCTCATTAGCTTTGTCTAAATGAAACAGAAAAATATTTTAAAGTACAGTAGTGAAGTGCATGGGATTACTGAAGCTTGATGAATTTAACCATTATTCTTGTTCTAAGTGAAAACTTACTCAAAATGATTTCTTATAGTCCTTGCAGCTGTATTTTCCAGAGTTCTACTGCATAAAATAAAGAGTCCCAAAGGAGAAAAAAAAAAACACATACACACAAGAATTAAGATTAGGTGTGATAGAAATATTATTGTTAGAATCAGTAAATACATGTATATAATATTAATTATATATTATATATCCATTATATTATAATGGATATCATTTTATATGCATATATACATATAATATATATTATAGACATTTATATAATATATATATATATCATGAGTAAAAGGGACTGAGAAAAAGAACATACCCATGCTTAATAAAATTAAAAATATACATTTTTCTAGTGGAAATAAGATAATATATCTAATATTTGACTCAGAGTGTATTCAACCAGAAAATTAAGTCCTCATTCCACTACTGAGCAGGTTCAATCTATATACTATTCACCCACTGTTTTGGACTATTTATGTTCCCCCTCTACCAAATTCAAATGTTCAAATCCTAACCCCAGTGCCATGTTATTAGGGGAGTGTTTGGGAGATAATTAGGTCATGGAAGTGGAGTCCTTATAAATGAAATTTAGAAAATCTCTTACTAAAGGGACCCCCAGCTCTTTCTTTTGCCTTTTTTTTTTTTATATATGAGGATACAGTAAGTTGGCAGTCTGCAACCTGGAAGAAGGACCTCACCAGAAACTGACCAGGCTGGCACTCTGATCTTAGGCTTTTAGCCTCTGGAATGTGAGGTATAAATTTGTATTGTTTATAACCATCCAGTCTACGGTATTTTGTTATAGCATCCCAAACTGACTGAGACACTTATTTTCTGACTCTAGAGCTATTACACTTAAGAAAAAAGCAAAAGGGTAAATAGCATCAGGAGGGCTGATGATACCAATTATATTCTAGTAGATATCATACTCACATAGAAATAATACGGACAGAAACAGGGTAATATCTTAATAGAAGAGTATTAAAGATGATAGATAATTAATGCAACATATTGATTGAGTATAAAATAAAATAACTCAGATCTTAGTGCTGAAACACTTGATAAAAGTGCTACCTACAATCACTTGGAAGACATATTAGATACCTAACTAACTTTTAAGTTTGGAAAAGAGGTCAGAAAAGAAAATTTTGATAGCATGAGTCACTTGGTTTTCGATAAGTTTGTCAAGAAAAATAGGGGTTCAAGACAATAATAAGTAGTTTGAAACCACTGATGACAGAGAATGACTGAGTTCACAAACTCAGTGAATACCTGGGGACTACCTCAGAAGTGGGCAAAATATCATGGAAAGGTATCATGCGTTCCAACAGTCATGTAGAGATTAAGCAACTGAAGATCATAGAGAAAAATGGACAGAAGCTTCTTTAAAGGACGATCTTTGGAAA
This sequence comes from Homo sapiens, assembly GCF_000001405.40. Taxonomy (NCBI): domain Eukaryota; kingdom Metazoa; phylum Chordata; class Mammalia; order Primates; family Hominidae; genus Homo; species Homo sapiens. The sequence goes on from NC_000001.11 coordinate 194,773,894, forward strand.
CTAATTGTTTTGATTGTCCACTAGGGTTATGAGAGTGGCCAAACACATGAGGCCCGACACTGGGCACAAGAGATAAACAGTAATTGGTCAATCACACATACTCACATCGTAGAGGAAGAGAACACCATGTCATGTAGGTCACATAAGGTTTTCACTCAGAAACAGAGTGAGCAAACACGGTCTTTGAGAAGAGCTTTTGTAGTGACAAGAGGTTGAAGTTACCCCTGGTTCCCACAGGAGGATGTGATTGGCTTGTTTGAATAACTGTGTAGGCTGGCAGGCAACTGAAGTGTACTACATTGTAATAGTCCCTGTATCTGGAGTGTTCTTGGTCAGCGGATCTCATTCATTGGAGTAGAGTGGAAGAGAGGAGTTGCAAACGGGTCATTTGAAGACCTCCCAGCTTCTACTGTCATGACAGCATGTAAATTGTAGGCCTTAACTGTAGACTTCACACCACGCTAATAAAGAACATTCTGTACTCAATAGGATTACAGTACTTCTATGGACCAAGGACTGGTATGTCTGGAATTATGCTGTGCCAGTTTCCATGGTAAATGGGAAGTATCAGTGGGTAGATAACTTTCCATTTCATTTTTAAACATCCAGATTAAAAAGAAACCACATTGTACAATTGGCTTAACCTATAATGTAGATAAATCTACAATGTAGATAGAATATAAAAATACTTCATTTTCCAACATGATGATTACAAGGCATCACCCAAAAGGACTGGACTTTGATCTTGATGATGTAACTATGTGAATTCTTGAGTCACTTCTGAAAGAGTTTGAGTGCAGTTTATTACCAACTAGAGAGTGAATTAGGCTTTTAATGGTCTCTAGTAGATACTAGTGATCTTCACAATTACTCATTTCCTCTTCCTGTTAAAGATAGCTCTGGCATATGACTTGTTTCAGCCAATGAAATACGACAAAAATGTCTTATGCGGCACAGTATTTTCTCTTTACTCTTTACTCTGGTAATAAGATTCTGTATATGATAAAAGCTCAGTTGGATGGAATGTTTCAGTGCTTCATGACCCATCCTGGTAACCCACCCCTGCTTTAAGGACAACTGTTGTAAACATTTTCAGGCATAATGGCATGGACAGCTGCATCACTTTTCTTTCTGCAGACAAGTAGTAGATCTATAGCGCATTCAAGACCTAATTTTTGTCCTTTTTAAAAAAGTAAAGTTTTAAGATTTAAAAAATGTAAGGCTTCATATTTTTTTAGAAATAAAGTGTTCTATGAATTTATTTCAAATAACTTTTCAGAACCACTTTTATACCAAGGAATATAGCAGAAATGTACACTTTTGCTCAAAATCTCAGTTGCCTTGGGGTGAGGTAAACACTCTCAAGTTTCTTTTTTTTAACTTATAAGTTCAGGGGTACAAATGCAGGTTTGTTACATAGGTAAACTTGTGTCATGGGGTTTGTTGTACAGATTATTTCATCATCCAGGTGTTAAGCCTAGTACTCAATTTTTATTCCTGATCCTCTCCCTCCTCCCACCCTCCACTATCCAAAAGGGCCCAGTGTGTGTTGTTCCTCTCTGTATATTCATGTGTTCTCATCATTTAGCTCACACTTATATAAGAACACGCAGTAATTGGTTTTCTGTTCCTGTGTTAGTTTGCTAAGAATAATGGCCTCCAACTCCATCCATTTCCTTTATTGATATATAATTAACACAACTGTATGTATTAGAAGTGTACAATTTGATAAGTTTTGATATATGTATACACTCCTGAAACTATTATTAACATAAAGAACATATTCTCCACCCCCAACAATTTTGTTGTCTTCCTTGTATATGAGTATGACAGACACTGTGAATGTTACCTTCTGAAGTCAAATAATACATGATAATTAGATACAAGACATTGAATATTTTTATTGAGTAGCAGATAATTTTTTGTTCCTATTGATATTCTTGAGCTTTTTTCAGGAATGTCTTTAAATCTTAAAAATTGTTTGCTTCTTTCCAATCTGATTTTAATATTGTGCTAGGCAGAAGCAGAAGAGCATTGTCTAGGGTTAATTTTTCCTAACGATGGAGGCAAGATAGTCTAAGTATTGTACTTGCTCCCTCATGAATGACTCCCACTCTGGTGAGTGATAACAGGCAATGTCTTTGGCACTTTGTAAGCTCCATAGATTATTTCCCCTAATTATCTCTGTAATTCCTTCCATGTCTTTGGGTAGTTTCCTTCCACGCCATGCACTAATCAACATTCAAATGAATACTTGAAGGTACACTTTAAAGCTCTTTGGTGTTCTCTTGGGAAGTAGCCTATTTCCTAGTCTATCCTGGAAATTTTGGTCACCTTATTCTGCCCAGATGTCTGTCTCTGTCTCCTTAACTAAGGGATACTTTCTGGCTCCACTTGGATTCCTGCTGCCTGTCCCCTGAGCCAAAGGCTGAAAATGTCTTCAGGCAGTAAACTGGGGAAACAGTAGGACTCATTTCGCTTCCCATTTCACAGCAATTGTTATCCTTTACTGCCTGATGTCTCATGTCTTGAGAGCCATTGTTTCATGTATTTTGACCAGACTTTTAGTTGTTTCATACAGAACAGTTAATCTTGTCCCTGCTACTGCATTTTGGCTATAGCTGGATGTTATGATTATTTTTAATTACAGCATAATTAGCCTTTCTTGATGTCTACAGGGAATATTATATTAGTATCAGTATGCTCAAAAATATATGCAAGACATATTTTAAAATTTTACATATAAATTCCAAAGAAGTTCTGAACACGGTGTGTGTGTATGCGTGTGTGTGTGTGTGTGTGTGTGAGTGAGTGATATAACAAGAGAAGTGCGATATTAAACAAAATTGATTAGGATTCTGTGCAAGACAGAAAGTCCAGGTAGCTGATTATACAATTATTGGCTGGGCTAGTGAAGTTTATGTTATGTAGGCACCACTAAGTTTTGGTTTTAATTTCACAAGACCACAGCTAGCATGAAGAAACCAGGATGCTACTTCTGTCATCCAGAGTTCAGTTTGCAGTTTTTGTCTCTTGTAACAGTGCTTCCACAGCCATCATTTTCTTGGAGCATGAGGCTGGTAATTAGACATTAAGACATTGAGTCCAATTTCTGCCAACACTAATTTCTGTCACAGCCACTTTAACTACCCATAATATTCCAGAAATATGGATCTGCCTCATTTTAAAATATAATACCAAATTTTAATTCAGAACTTTAGCTTTAAGGGTGTCTAAGAAATGGAATATTTAGCTTTCCAACCATAGAAATACAAGGTTGTTACTGTCAATCCACATGTTCATCACACTATATCACTTTACTCAAATTCTATTCATTGCTTTCTATGCATAATAAATGTCCAACTTTACTATGAGATGAAGCCAAAAGGGAAAACCCATGCACCATCAGTTATAGCATCTATCTCAAAGTTATAACCATTCTCTGCTTATTTGGCCAAAATTCCTCCTTGGCTTTCTGTAACCAAAAACTATTAATAGTCAACTATAAGAAATTCACCATATATAAAGTATTAAGGGAAAGTAATAGCAATATCTATATTCATAATATGACAAAAAAGAAAATATTCATAGGCACTGCATTAAGGGAAAGTCATAGGGGAATATAGCTATAGCTATAAATATAGATACATTTGAAAGAAATGGAGAATATATTCAGTTACTAAAGTCATTTCAGTTCACAAGGCTGTTGTTGATATTTGCATTATCATATTCTTATTCCACATATTCTGTGTTGCCTTTTCCGTTAGACAACATTTCAGCGCCTGAAATTTTATTACCTACTACTCTGAGCTATCAGTGTTTCTGCTTGTTCTCTGACTACAAGTTATGAAAGAATTGAACAATTCACCTGAGAATCCCATGTGCTCCAAACACACTCCTCTCTACCTACTTATGATGGTTAATTTTGTCGCACTGATTTGGCTAAGAGATGTCCAGCTAGCTGGCAAAACATTTCTGAATGTGTCTTGAGAGAGCTTCTGGAAGAGATTTACATTTGAAGTGGTAGGCTGAGTAAAGAATATCTGCCTTCACCAATGTGGGCAGGCATCTTTTAATTCATTGATGATCTGAATAGAACAAAAGCAGAATAAACTTACTTTTTCTCTCTCCGCTTGAGTTGGGACATCCTTCTTCCTCTTCTCTTGGACACCATCTCTCCTGGTTCTCAGGCATATGGACTCAGACCAGACTTAGATCATTGCTCCTCTGATTCTCTTTGGACTCTGAAGTACACCTCCAGCTTTCTTGGTTCTCTAGGTTGCAGATGGCAGATTGTGGGACTTCTTGGCTTTTGCATCCATAGGAGGTGTGAGTCTATAATAAGCTGTATTCTCAGATGAATACAGTTGTTCCTTGATATTAATGGGAATGAATTTCAGGACCTCCCACAGACACCAAAATCCACAGATGCTCAAGTCTTTGATATAAAATGGTGTATTATTTGCAGACAACATATGCACATCCTGATGTATACTTTAAATAATTTCTAGATTACTTATGTTATCTAGCACAATGTAAATTTTATGTGAATGGTTGTTATACTATATTGTTTAGGGAATAATGAAAAAACTGCATGTGCAATACAGACACCATTTTAAAAATATACATTTTTAGTTGAATCCATTCAGGCAGAATCCACAGATATGGAGGGTCATGGAATTAGTTCTGTTTCTCTAGAGAACCCTAATACCTGACGTTTTGATAATAAGAATTAAGCGTCTCACAAAGTGCAATCAACATTATCTTTCCTTTTTGGTTCAATGACAGATCCAAAATGGAATGGTGACTGCATAGAACCAGGGTCAAGTTCTCTGGGTGAATTTCACCTCTGCACAAGAGCACAAACTTGTAGTAATGGAAAACAAAAATGTGTTTGTGGATCATTAGGAAACTCCACTTAAAATCCTGAACACCAGAAAAATATGTGTGGCCATGGGAACAACAGAAACAAATATTGCCTAGAGAAAACATGTTCTAACCCAGAATAGTTGATTACCACAGTCCATACAAACAGATACTTGCATGTATCACATACCACAGTACAATATACTCACTGTTTGTAGAGAGGTATTGCTAAGACTTCACAAGCTCACTCTAACTTTACATGAAAACAGTTTATTCTGGCTGAGAAAACTATGGTAAAGCACATCCTTAGACACAAGCCACTCCATAATTAATGTTGTTATTAAAAAGTAAATTGATAATTCAAAAACGATATTGTGTGTGATATCATAAAAGTGAATGAGGCATTCAATAAATCCACAATTAATAGTGCTTAGATCCCACCCTCACCCAGGGGAGGCAATGAGTGGTTGTGCTACCCCACCCAGGAAACTATGCTTTTTCCGTGGATCTCTGCAACCCGCAGATCAGGAGATCCCCCTCATGAGCCCATGCCGCCAGGGCCTTGAGTCCAAAGCACAGTGCTATGCAGATTCTCAGCAGCCTCTTGGCTGGAGATTGCCTAAGACTACCAAGTACCTGGGGAGAGGGGCAGCCATCATCACTGCTGCTGCCTGCTGCCTAAGATGACTCAGTTCCTGGTAGTAGAGGGAGCAGCTATCAGTGCAGTTCCAGTCCGCTATTTTTCTGCTGCTGGCGCTGGGGAGACTGGGTGGTTTGGACTTAGGAGGAATTACCCACAGCGCAGCACAGCAACTGTGGCAGATGATGGCCAGGCTGATGATGATGATGATGATGATGATGATGATGATGATGATGATTCGACAGAGTTTTGCTCTTGTTGCCCACGCCATTGCAATGGCGTGACTCGGCTGACTGCAGCCTCTGCCTCCTGGGTTCGACCGATTCTCCTGCCTCAGCTTCCCGGGAAGCTGGGATTACAGTCACCCGCCACCACACCTGGCTATTTTTTTTGTATTTTTAGTAGAGACGGGGTTTCACCATGTTAGCCTGGCTGGTCTTGATCTCCTGTCCTCAAGTGATCCGCCCGCCTCGGTCTCCAAAAATGCTGGGATTACAAGCGTGAGCGACCGTGCCGGACCCAGGCTGACTCTTTGGATCAGACACCGACCTATTCCTCCTCACCAGGCGGGACCTTCCTGTGGGAATTTTAGCAGCTCCAACGAGGGGTTTATGGGCAGAACTTTGATCTCCCTGGGACCGAACCCCTGGGAGAAGGGGTGGCCACAGTCTCCATCGATCAGTGGACTTAATCTTTCCCCCTGCTGGCTCTTAGGAATCCAGGCAGTCTGATTTAACGGGATTTCCCCTAGTGCAATTCATCCCTTCTGCCAAGGGGCAATCGGAGCGCTTCATTAAACAGGTCCCTGATCTTGTGCCTCCTTACTGAGACATCCCCAACGGGGGTCATAAGACACCTTATAAAAGAGTGTTCCCACTGGCATCAGGTCAGTGTCTCTCTGGAATGGAGCTCCCAGAAAAAGTCGGAGGTAGCCATTTTTGCTGTTCTGCAACCTCCACTGGTAACACCTCCAAGAGTGGGAAGGATCCAAGTGAACAGGGTCTGGAGCAGCCCTACAGAAAAGGGGCCTGACTGTTGAAAGACAAACAAACAGAAGGCAACAACAACAACAGCATCAACAAAAAGTCCCCTCAAAAAACCTTCCAAAGACCAAAACTAGATAAACTCACAAAGATGAGAAAGAATTAGCAACAACAACAAAAAAGGCTGAAAGCTCAAAAAGCCAGAGTGCCTCTTCTCCTCCAAATGATTGCAACATCTCTCCAGCAAGGGCACAGAACTGGGCAGAGGCTGAGAGGGATGAATTGACAGAAGTAGGCTTCAGAAGGTGGGTTATAACAAACTTTGCTGAGCTAAAAGAGCATGTTCTATCTCAATGCAAAGAAGCTAAGAACCATGATAAAACATTACAGGAGCTGTTAACAAGAATAAACAGTTTAGAGAGGAACATGAATGACCAAAGGGAGCTGAAAAACACAACATAATAACTTCACAATGCAACCTTAAGAAAGACTTCCACAAAATAATAGTGGAAGACTTAACACCCCACTGTCAATATTAGAGAGATAATTGAGACAGAAAATTAACAAGGATATTCAGGACTGGAACTTAGCTCTGGGTCAAGTTGACCTGATAGATACCTGCAGAACTCTCCACCCAAAAACAACAGAATATACATTCTTCTTGGCGCCATAGGCACTTAACCTAAAATTGATCACATAATTGGAAGTAAAATACTCCTCAGCAAATGCAAAAAAACTGAAATCATAACAGTCTCTCAGACCACAGTCCAATCAAACTCAATATTAAGAAACTCACTCAAAACCACACAACTACATGGAAATTGAACAACCTACTCCTGAATGTCTCCTGTGCAAATAATGAAATTAAGGGAGAAATCAAGATGTTCCTTGAAACCAAGGAGAACAAAGAAACAACGTACCAGAATCTCTGGGATGCAGTTAAAGCATTGCTAAGTGGAAATTTATAGCACTAAATGCCCACATCGAAAAGCTAGAAAGATATTAAATCAACACCCTAACATCACAACTAAAAGAACTAGGGAACCAAGAGCACACAAACCCCAAAACTAGCAGAAGACAAGAAATAACCAAGATCAGAGTGGAACTGAAGGATGTAGAGACATGAAAAACCCTTCAAAAAATCAACAAATCCAGGAGCTGTTTTGTTTTTTTTAAAAAAATCAATAGAATACATACACTGCTAACTAGACTAATACGGAAGAAAAGAGAGATTAAATAGACACAATGAAAAATGATAAAGGGGATGTCACTACTGACCCCACAGGAATGCAAACAACCATCAGAGAATACTATAAACACCTCTATGCAAATAAACTAGAAAATATAGAACAAATGGATAAACTGCTGGACACGTGCGCCCTCCCAAGGCTGAACCAGGAAGAAGTTGAATCTCTGAATAGACCAATAATGTGTTTTGAACTTCAGGCAGTAATAAATAGCCTACCAACCAAAAAAAGCACAGTACCAGAAAGAATTACAGCTGAATTCTACCAGAGGTACAAAGAGGAGCTGGTATAATTTCTTCTAAACCTATTCCAAACAATTGAAAATGATGAACTCTTCCCTAAGACTTTTTGAGGCCAGCATCATCCTGATACCAGAACCTGACGGAGATACAACAAAGAAAGAAAACTTCAGTCCAATATCCTTGATGAACATTGATGTAAAAATCCTCAATAGAATACTGGCAGTTGAATCCAGCAGCACATCAAAAAGCTTATCTACAACGATCAAGTTGGCTTCATCACTGAGATGCAAGGCTGGTTCGATATACACAAATTTATAAACGTAATTCATCACATAAGCAGAACCAAAGACAAAAAACATATGATTACCTCAATAGAGGCAGAAAAGACCTTCAATAAAATTCAACATCCCTTCATGTTAAAAACTCTCAATAAACTAGATATTGATGAAACATATCTCAAAATGATTCCCTTATAAAACCATCAGATCTTGTAAGAACTCACTATTATGAGAACAGCAAGGATGTAACCGTCTCCATGATTCAATTACCTCCCACTGAGTCCCTCCCAGGACATTTGAGGATTATAGGAACTACCATTCAAGTTGAAATTTGGGTGGGTACACAGCCAAACCAGTGACCATTCACATAGAAAACAAATATGCTCTCATTCAATGCTTACTCTGAAATTTGTATATGTACATCATTCTTCCCCAGAACCCTTTTTGAGGAACCTACTAACCATTTTTTAATTGTCCTTATTTTGTTGCCATGTGGCCATCCATTTTTCATAAATCATTACAAATTTGTAACTCAGGTACTTCTTTAGTTCCATTTTTGATTGTTTGAATAAAATGGTTTAGCCTTCCACTTCCAGATGAAGCCAATCAGTGAGCAAAAACAAACTATAAATAGGTTTTGGATTTGATTTCCGGAGTTATCCACTTAATATAATCTCTCCATGAGCCTGTAGACATGTAAGAAACATTAGTAGCTTTAGGACATATAGTGAATCCTATCTCATTTATACCATTTCCATTCGCTAAAGGGGTCCTTCTTCAAAACTCTGGGAAGCTACGACTATTTCTCATAAGAATAATGGCTCTAGGCCAGGCATGGTGGCTCACGCCTGTAATCCCAGCACTTAGGGAGGCCCAGGCGAGTGGACCACCTGAGGTTGGGAGTTCGAGACCAGCCTGACCAACACGGAGAAACACCATCTCTACTAAAAATACAAAATTAGCCAGGCATGGTGGCGCATGCCTGTAATCCCAGCAACTCGAGAGGCTGAGGCAGGAGAATCACTTGAACCTGGGAGGCGGGAGTTGCGGTGAGCGGAGATCATGCCGTTGCACTCCAGCCTGATAAACATGAGTGAAAGTCCGTCTCGAAGGAAAAAAAAGAATAATTGTTCTTAGTACAGCCTGTTCCACAAACTAGAGATCAGCTAGATGCTTCTCTGATTGAAGATTTCCATAGGCTGATCCAGGGTCCTGATCCTGAAACATTAAGCCTGTTTAGATCCACTGGAACAACAAGGTGGAAAGCAGCCACAATGGCAACTAAACTTTCTCTAATTCTGTGTTACTTAGTTCACGAGTTAAAGCCAAATATTCAACTAAATATTCTCTTACTTCTCAAATCTAAATAGATCCAGTAAGCATCAGGTCTTCTATCAGCTAAGAAATACAGCTGTTACAAGAGATAAATGCAAAATCTCACTTAAAAAAATGAAATAAAATTCAGAATTAGATAATAAGAAACAAACAGTAATCACAGGTTATATGATTACGTACATAAAAACATTCAACATAAATAAACTTTCAGAATAAGAGATTAGATATCCATTGTACACATATATGCATTTTATTTCAAAATTAAAACAATAAATGGTTTTTCTTTTCTAACAGATTCTAATATTTGTATGGAAATACAATAGCCTAACCACAACCAAAATGCTAATTAAGAAGAAAATGGGAGGAACATGTATTGTCATATATCAAGACTTACACTAAGGAACCATAGGATTGTTGCAGGGATTGACAACATGACAAATGGAGCACAACAGCAAACCCAGGAATAGAGCCATGCATTTACAGATGCTTGATATGTACAGATGTGGCCTTCCAGACAATGAAATGAGGACAGACTCTTCAATAATTGGTCTAGAATATTGGTCTATTCATATTAAAAAAAAACAGGATCTCTACATCATAATATTAGAAAAATCATGTCAGGTGGATTTAATACTTAAATGTGAAGGTCAAATATATAAAAGCTTTTAAGAGATAATATAGGTAGGAGAGTATCTTCATGAACTTAAGGAAAGGAATGACTTTTAAGGCAAAACAGAAAGCATGATGTAAGGAAAATATTGATATGTTGTATATATATTAAAACTAAAAACTCGGCTGGGCCCAGTAGCTCACGCCTGTAATCCCAGCACTTTGGGAGGCCAAGGTGGGTGAATCACAAGATCAGAAGTTCAACACCAGCCTGGCCGACATGGTGAAACCCTGTCTCTACTAAAAATACAAAAAAATAGCTGGGCACAGTGGCGTGCACCTGTAATCCCAGCTACTCGGGAGGCTGAGGCAGGAGAATCGCTTGAATGCAAGAGGCGGAGATTGCAGTGAGCCAGGATCGTGCCACTGCACTCCAGCTGGGTGACAGAGTGAGACTCCGTCTAAAAAACAATAAAACAACAATGAAAACTAAAAACTCATAAAAGTGAAGGAATAAGCTAAAGAATGATGAGTATAGGCAATATATAAAGAACTATAAAAATCAATGAGGTAAAATTTTTTAAAAGACAATTGAGAAAACAGAAAGTTTATAAATGATGAAATCCAAATGGCCAATTGTCACATGAAAGGGCCTTTTTCAGCCTCTTTAGTAACCAGTCCAAAGCAAATCAAAGCCACACTGTGATGTTACTGCATCATAGATTGGTCTGCTAACATTAAAGTTTACCAATATCAATGTTATCCAAGGCATGAACATATGAGAACTCTTACACACTGCCAAATGTTGTGCAAAATGCACAAACATTTTGGAGAACAAGTTGGCAGTTTCTGCTAAGGTTGACCATATTCACATACTGTAACGTAGCAATTCTTCCCTCAGGTATAAAAAAAAAAAGGAGCACTCTAGAAAAAGGAGTGCACATATAAACCAGTTAATATTCATAACATCACCATTTAGAATTGCCAGGAACTGGACAAACCCAAATATTTATCAACACTCAAATAAATGAATAAATTGTGGTATAATAACAAAAGAATATGTAGAGCAATAAAAATTGATTAACTAAATCCACAGACCATGGGAAGAAATGGGCATAGATAATGTTATTAAAAGCATAAAACAAAACCACCCCCATCACAAACATATACATGGCAGAAAGGAAGGCTAAGAGATGGCAGATAAACATATCTTCCTGTGAACTCTTTTTTTTTTTTTGAGACGGAGTCTCACTCTGTCACCCAGGCTGGAGTGCAGTGGCGCAATCTTGGCTCACTGCAAGCTCTGCCTCCCAGGTTCATGCCATTCTCCTGCCTCAGCCTCCTGAGTAGCTGGGACTACAGGTGCCCGCCACCACGCCCGGCTATTTTTTTTGTATTTTTAGTAGAGACGGGGTTTCACCATGTTAGCCAGGATGGTCTCGATCTCCTGACCTCGTAATCCACCCGCCTCGGCCTCCCAAAGTGTTGGGATTACAGGCGTGAGCCACCGCGCCCGGCCTCCTGTGAACTCTTAGGAAGGTTTTTCTTTGTCTCTTCTTGTCTGTCTGGATAATGAAAATAAGGAATCATAAGAACTGTATCATTATAATATGAAGAACATAGGTCTAAAAGAGACTGTTATATGTTCTGAAATCTAATCAGCAGGTTTATTTCTGCTATATTTAAACTTTGCCACAGTGATGGTACAAAATGTTTTGTCAAGCCAAATGTATAATATTAAGCTTAAGAGGAAAAGTTGGAGAAAATGAAGATAAAATTAATGTCACAATGAGAGGATACTTACTTTTAATATTTCACTAAGGAGGATATAATTAAAGGCAAAAGTTTTTACTCTATTATTCTCATATTTTTTTCTTCTCAAATCTGAGAAGAGATTCACACTCATAAGCATTTCTAAGATGAACAAACTACTACATTATTAATGCTTAATAATGCTTTACAGTGTTATTAAAAATCCTAATACAAAGTCTCCCCTTAGCCTATTTTTAGGGGAATAATCTGCATGATGCTCCTGCTGAAAAGACAGAAACAGATGTGGTTTTCAACTCATAGCCCACTCTATAGGACCACAACGAACGAAACTGGGATGAGTGGTTTAGAGGCGAGCATTTAACCCATAGACTGGACGGACATTTATAGTGAAGCCTACTGAGAAAAAATAACTCTTTTTGTGAGAATGTCTGTAAGCAGCTGGGACTTAATGCACTATGAGAAGACAATGGGGTGCACAGAAGTCACTACTGCCTTTCACACTGATTTTGTCTTTCTGAGTTTTTAGGATCTTGGCAATATTTTTTACATTATCTGTATTACTTTTACTCCATTTGATGTGAAATATACCTCTATTCTTTTGGCTTTATGTTACTTCATGGGGTCCATATACTCTAATATTATAAAGAAACTTCAAAATCACTAAAATTTCTATAGTTTTAAAGCATCTGATCTTTCTCTATTCTCTCCTCTTCCCCTATTATGTAATATACAGTTTACCATAACTGCCTAACTTATTTTTTTTTACATCCAAGAACTGAGAGCCTGATAGTCATTGGTTAAACCCATACTTTCACATTATTAAGAACTAGAAATGAATATGTACAGTATGGTATTTAATCAACTAGTAGAAGAAATAAAAGTTTGAGAAAACACAGAAACCATGTAACAAATATATATATATACAAATATGTATATATATATATATATATATATACATGTATCTAAAACAAAATTTGAATCTTAGAAAAAAATAAAAAGGGGATGCTTAGGTTTACTTCAGGAATCATTATAACTTTTAATTTGACAGATGTTTAAGATACATAGAACAATGTTTGTATGATTAAATATTAAAGACACACTATGTGTAATGCTCCTAGCTTACATCTGGTCAGTGAAAATGCTTAATAAATGTTTATTCTCAAAAAACAAACAATCCAACATAGGGACATATTTTTGAACCATCAGGATTCTTGAGTGATGGTTCTCACTGATTTATGAATAAATCCAAATCAGAAGTATGTGGGAATTTTTAATTTCAAATTACATTAAAAAAATTCTGCTTCCAATGATAATGTAGAACAGTTGGAATATGATTACGTAATGTATAGTATAGATAGCTAGACAGAGTCACTATCACCCCAATCATAAGAAAAAGCAAATTAATCTATAAAGTTATAACCGAAACCCTCCAGAGAGCTAACATTGCAGGAAAAACACTTCGTTTGAAGAGTGAGGAACACAGGCATTTGCAAAAAGATTTGGGATATGCTTCTCTTTACACCTACCAAAGGATAAGAGGAATCTGCTAAAATTTTTAACAGCATTAAAGGCTGAGTGTGGCATAGAAATAAAGGCCCTGAAAGCTTCAGACCCAACAAGAGCTCACGTATACTTAAAGGTTCTTCCCAGATCTCTACCTTGCACAAACAAAAGAGATTGGGGGCAAGATGCAGAAACAAGAAAATCCTCATTTGGAGTGTATGCTTGGAGAAGAGTAGGGATTATTCCTGAAGAAAAGAGTGAAAGCTCTACCCAAACTCTCTCCCCTTCAGAATAAAAGTTTGCAGTCACTAAAGATATGGTATAAAACCATTTCGCCCCCAAGGAACAAGTAAATACTTATTGCAGAAAGGTTTCAGGGCACTGAGGAAGGTAGTGTATCTGAGAAAAACCCATGATAGAGACCCAGCACGAAAGGCATGTATCATGCTAAAGATTATCTTAGATATCCCCCATCACTAGATAAGTACCATGCCATCTACAGTTGGGATGTGGGCAGGTAAAATGCTAAAGAGAGACCCTGTTTAGGTTCCGGGAGCACAAGAAAACACATAGCTGATGGCGGATGAGGAAGATTAAGCAAAGCTCTCCAACATACCAGCTTAAGCAAAGCTCTCCAATGTACCCTCAGCATCAGTTAAGCCTAGAGAATTTTGAAGCTAGTGGTCCACCATAATAATAAAACCTGAACCCAACTTAAGTTTTGACTGCATTCATCTAATACCCTTATTCAAGGATAGAAGAGCTATGATCCTCTCTAGGAAAAGCTAATATTTATCTCAGACTCAGGTATCTTTCACATCATAAATTGTCACAGAAACCTGAATTAAAACTGCACTAAAATTCTAATATACAGACAAAATCTAATATACAGATAATAATATAACAAATATTAAACAAAGGTTGAGACTAATGATGACAATAATGTAAAACAAAACAACTTTGTCATAAATAGCTAGCGGGAGTGTGTATTGACACAACCACTTTGGAAGTTATTTGGAAGTATTTACTAAAGCTAGACTGTGATGCAATAATTAATTATATGCCCAATTGTGTATATATTTATATCAAAAGACATATAAGATAATGTTTGTGTCAGTATTAATACAAATTCACAATGAAAAAATATATTTCTAAGATGTGATGATTTATCTTGAGTTGTAATATGTACTGATTAAAAGAACAATTCATCAAAATATATAATAATCATGACAATATAGGCACTTTAGAATGCATCAATTAAAATACATAGTATAAAATTGTATTCATTTAATTAAAAACATTTATTAAAGTCTTAGTTTGTGTTAGGCCCTTTTCAGGCACTTTGAAGACATTGGTCAATGAAAGGGAAATTATCTTTGCTTGTCTAGCTTTTATTCCAGAGTAGAGAACCCACGACAAATCAATTCAGCAACAACTGCACTTGGAAGTTTTTACACATCACATTCAAAAACTGATAGATCAATGAGCCAGATAAAAACAAGAATATAGACCTTAATTATGCAATTAGGAAGCTTAGACTATATGTCTAATTTTATGTAGAGACTCAGCAACGCATTACTTTATACGGTACATATGAAATGTTCACAACAAAATTATTATGTATTAGGCTACCACGGAGGCCATGATTATTGGTCTACCATCAACAAAAAAGATGAAACAGATAAGCTCATTCTATCTCAATGCAATAAATATATAAATTAAGAGCATTCACGTAGTAAAAACATCCCCTATATCTGCAAACAAAATAACATTTAACTAATTAGCTTTCAGGTTAAAGATAAAAGCTTGGCTCCCCCTTTACTCTTTGGAAAGTAAGCTTTGAAGGTTGGCCCTGGTGCCTGGGAGAGATTTTCTCAGCTCTCTTCCTCTTCCCTATGTCCTTGAAAAACTGTTATCTTGCATGTTGGGGATACCTCATAAGCTCCACTGACTCTCACTTTTTTCTCTGCTGCTGCCTTCAATCATCCCTTGCTGATTGACGCCTTGCAATCAGAAAGACCCCTGGCACCTAAGGCCATCTCTCTCAGGTCTTGTGCTCTGCACCATCTTCTGCACGTGGTGGAAGGTCAAATGGGAAGTAGAGAATGGGTGAGTGTAGTATGGAGCTATGACTTGAACTCCTTGAAATTCTAGCCATTGACCCAGCCCAGGGATAATTAAAGAGTTGTTAAAAATGTGGCTAATTTCTCCATACCTCTTACAACAGCAGATTCTGCTTTTGTATAGCTGCTTTGCCAAGACTGAAAGCAATTCTCTTCCCAGAGATGTCTAGTCACTTTCTGGAATTCAGCATATTTAGATTTCTCTGTGTCCTGAGCTCTCCAATGGGTTTAAAAAATATTATGGTTTTGTGGTTCACTTGGCTTGTTTTTATTTTATTAAAGGAGATATGATAGTCTACTGAGACTTTGTGTGCTCTAAACACTAGAACCCTAAACATCATTCATAAACTGCATGATGACATTAATAATATGACTATAATTTAATGACTGTATTGCTAACAGAGAATGTTATCTGAATTCTGAAACCAGCTATTGCTTTTAACTGTTTAAACTTGGAAGTGTTTTTTCCACCTGAGATCCACTTAGAGTTTGTATCCAGTTATTTCCAACACATCTTTCCATTCAATCATGCCTTACACTCATTCAGAGACAAATTCCACTGGGCATCTGTCTTTGCATGTGCACCCACTCATTATGGCTATGTTTAGATCCATGATTAAACAGAATGGCCTCTGTCCTCCTGCTTATCCCATCCCCATGTCCTCCTTCAGGGAAAACTGTTTAATGTAAACTCATTGTCCCTTAACTTACACTTCTTTCTAGAATACTTTCTCCTTGCCTCTTAAGTTACCTTGGATATAACTCTCCCCACTAAATAACAACTTTCTTTGCAGTTTTTGAAGTAAGGATTGTTTATTTGTGCTATTTCCTATGAGAACTATTTCAGGTGGTAGTTGAACACCATTTTTCTTGTTCAAAATTAATCCTTCTCAAACATGACATTTTCATTTTAGAAAAACAGATCATTTGGAGCTCATGCATTCCAGGTTTATACAGCTCTACATTCTTTTGGAACCAATTCATGTTTTCCCATCTTTGTTACAGTTGGAAATTATGTAATTTCTGCATATATGTGGACTTCTCAACAGAGAGACCACATACTGTTCCCCTGATTCCTCTAAGCCAATGTTTTTTACCTCCATTCCCTTAGTCTTGTTCTGTAACCATAACCTGCAATTTGTCATACTCCTGAACAGCTCTACCTCTGAATTGATTAAACATTGAGATTTCTGACAGCAGAGCTTCCAGCTCTAAGTCCCATATTGTTTTACCTTCAATGAGTTAATTGCTTTCCCATTCTATCCCTATTTATTCTCAATTATTTTCTGTTTTTACCCCTCCCCCATAACCTAAAAAGTCCACATAATATAACACTTTAATCACTTTCTCAAGATCCCCCTTAAATTGAACACTTCTACATTATTTTCTTTTATAGTGCCTTACATTTCATTTGTGAAAAACACCAATTTGAATTAGGTAAATGCTTATATTTCAATCACCTTACAAAAACTGATAATAAATGTCACACTGTAGAATGTTGTTTATAAATAGTTTTTACAAAAGATATTAAGCTACGTTTTGCCTTGACATCAGGTGTTTCATATTAAATGAAACGATTTGATTCATTATTTTTATCTTGATCCTATATTCTTCACAATGAGGAGAAAGGATTTATAAAGATTGAACAGGTTTATTTTTAAAGTAATAAAGAGCAAAGCACCCTGAATTTGCTATATGAATTACAAACAGGAATATTAAAATAAATAAAATACTGAATTTTAAATTTTATGGCTTATTTTTGATTTGGAAATGACAGCATGACTGAACACCTATAGTGCATTGGAAGTCAAACATTATCAAAAGACTGAATTTTGCACCACTCTGAAATGAACGGTACATCATTCTTGATCTGCATGCTTGGATTGCTTATGTTTTTATATTTAACTTGTGTGATTTTAAGAAAGATTTAATGTATGAGATTAAAGAAATGTTCATGAGATTTGAAATGACACTCCTTAACCATAGCCAGTATTATGGGACTGATAAAAAGCTGCTGTGTCCCACCTTGCTGCTGGAAATAAAATGATAGTTCACAGTAAACCTGTTCTTCAATTAATCATTGAAAAGAAGGTAAAATGTTTATAAAGCAAAACATTTCAGAAACTCAAGACAGTTAGATGTGGTAATAAATGAGACAAACAAATGAGTTTTTAGGATATTATTCTTCACAGTGTCTCATGATTTCAGTCTTGAATAATCGAGGGCCACAATTTAAGAAGTACCTTGGCCGGGCGTGGTGGCTCACGCCTGTAATCCCAGCACTTTGGGAGGCCGAAGCGGGTGGATCATGAGGTCAGGAGATCGAGACCATCCTGGCTAACAAGGTGAAACCCCGTCTCTACTAAAAATACAAAAAATTAGCCGGGCGCGGTGGCGGGCGCCTGTAGTCCCAGCTACTCGGGAGGCTGAGGCAGGAGAATGGCGTGAACCCGGGAAGCGGAGCTTGCAGTGAGCCGAGATTGCGCCACTGCAGTCCGCAGTCCGGCCTGGGCGACAGAGCGAGACTCCGTCTCAAAAAAAAAAAAAAAAGTACCTTACACCTTTGGTGGTGTCTATAATTTTAAAACTCTTAATGGCCATTAAAGATCCAGCTAAAATATGTACAGGAACACCAGATAGAAAATGCTATCACCAGGAATTCAAATTTTACATTTGGTAGTCCCCACCAAATCTTCACACATCATCACATTTTTCAACCAAGGGCACTGTATTAGTTTGTCTTCACACTGCTATAAAAACCTACCTTAGAGTGGGTAATTTATTAAAAAAAATAAGTTCAATTGACTCACAGTTCTGCATGGCTGGGAGGCCTCAAAAAACCTAAAATCATGGCAGAAGGCAAAGGGGAAGCAAGGCATGTCTTACATGGTGGCAAGAGATAGAGAGAGCATGAGGGAGAAGCAAGCAACTTCTTCACAAGGTGGCAGGAGAGAAAGAAAGAAGGAGGAAGAGTCACAGTTTTAAACTATCAGATCTCGTGAGAACTCACTCACTATCATGAGAACAGCATGGGTGAAACCGCCCACATAGTCTAATCACCTTCTACCAGGTCCCTCCCTCAACACCTGGGGATAACAATTTCAGAAGACATTTGGGTGGGGACACAGAACCAAACCATATGATGTGCTAAAAGTAAATGAATTTGCACAAAAGAAATTATATATATAATATTAATATATAATTAATATATAATAGATAATTATATAAATATATTATATATTGTATATAATATATAAATAAATAATATAAATTTATTACATATTATATATAAATATATAATATATAATATATATATAATGATTGTATAATATAGTATATATAAATATATATTATACATTTATATTATATTATATATTATATATATATTTGACCATATATATATGGTCAAAACTTGTTTAGAAGCCAGAAAAACTGAGGTTTAAAGATGAATAGGAAAAAAATCTGTGACCTGTGACTACCAAAGCACTGTCCTGTTTTGAACATTGGGGTAGATAGTCTACAAGACTTTTTTTAGTATTCAACATAATTTTATCAGAGTTTCTAGAACTGGTAGTAATAGCATTGCAGTAGAGATTTCAGCATATGTTTTCATTTTTTTTTCCTGGAGTACGCAAGCACATTCATTACTGTTTAGCTTATCGTAGTATCTTTATGCATGGAAATACTACTTTGCATTCTCCATGATTACAATTGCATTGGTTATCTAATGCACTGTAACAAATTATCCTAAAATGCAGGCTCTTAAAGCAACAGGCATTTATTATCTCATAATTTCTGCATGTCTAGCATCCAGGGACAACTTAGTTGAGACCTCTGGCTCGGGTGTGCAATCAAAGTATTGGCTGGGACTGTAGTAATTTTAGCACCCAGTGGTGGGTGGATCAGCTTCCAAGCTTACTCATGTAGTTTTTGATAACATTCAGTTTCTCCAGGTTGTTGAACTAAGGGCCTCTGTTACTTGTTGGCTTTTGGACAGAGACTGAACTCTTCCTGCATGGACTTAGTGAAAAAGAGCACAAGGACATAAATATCAGGAAATAAAGATCATGGGAAACCATTTCAGAAGTTGAATACTGCAATCACCCCACTCAAGTCTATAATTGAGAGAAGAAAGCAAAGAGCATAATATTTGTTATAATTGTACTAAGTACTGTTTTCTGCATGGAAAAAAGGCCAAAAAACATCCAATTCAAAAAATCAATAAATAACTAATACATATAAAAGTCAAAAATAGCAATTTAAGCTTCAAGGTGAGTATCTCCAAAATAATGCCCTGAATACTCTGATTAACACATTCACTATAAATTCAGCCAATGGCCATAGTGTCTGAAGTGAGAATTGTAAATAATGATGAATATGGCTACATTGTGTCCAAGAAATCTGACTCAATTTTTGAAATGCATCCATCAATTATCTTTAATTTAGACGTACATCATATAGTCTTTGTATCCCTTATAGTACCTTATACATTATAGATGCTCAATAAACATTCATTATGGGAAAAAATTACTGCCCAGTGATTATCTGTTTCAGGCATTCAAATTTGGTGAAACGTAGGCACAAATTTGCGAATTTACAGATTAATGAGGAGGCAAGATGTATGTAATTGAAAACACGCACAGTATCAAGTGGTTCCAAAAGTAGTTGTCAATGTAAGAAGTTAAATGTTTTTAATAATGCGAGGTAGGATGCAGTCCTGGGATTGAGTAGATCAAAACTCAAGGAAAATAATATTGTAAAGTGAGTGGTTAGTATTATTTAATTAATTATACTTCTATCAAATAAATAAATATTTTTGGTGGGATCACTTTAACATTCAACTAAAATAATGCAACTTATTACTTTAAATAGCTATACACAGCCAAAAATATTTGGTAAGAAGTGACAATCCAAAAAATATGAAAATACATGCATATAAACATGGATACACAAACACATGCATAAAGGCATGAGTTAATGTGTGATTGATGAAAATAGTGAATTAGTGAAAAATAAAAATGAAGCCAATTCCATTTAGATAAACCAGAGTAAATATAAATTCAGAAAAATGTAGAGGATCTCTGGTTTTGGCAGGCTTAAAAACAATGCATTCTATTTTTTAAAAAATCATTTCTATTTCTTCCAATTCTACTAATGCACATGCCTCACTTTTCTATAGACAAAGTCATACCAGTTAAATGTAACAAAAATAAGTAATAAATAGGATCAATAAAGGAACAGTCCATTATTTTTTTTTGCACTGCTTGAAAGTTTCACAAGAAATATATACCTCTCATGATGATAGAAATTAAGGAATGTCTTTTATAATGTATTTTGTCAATCAGGATTTTTCTTTCATATGCATATGTCTTTTATATATAGTCTTATACTTGTTTTCACTCCACACCATATATTCCATATAGCTTAATTTCACACCTTCAATGTTGAAAAGTTCTAATCAAAGATAACTTTTTACTCTGTTAAAAAGGTTAAAATATTCTGTATATTTCTTATTTCTTCTTATATTTTCAAGTTGTTAGCTATTCACAGTGATTCCTATGTCAGCCAGAAAGGGCAAACTTCAGCTGTGAGTTACGATCTTCTGATTTCTGACAGGCTCTGTTTATCCACAAAAGGACTGGTTTTTACATATTCAGTATGCACACACAAACTGTCTTACTGTGTCTCCTGAAATGCTAACCTCATCAAGAAGGGGTTGACTCTACTGTCTCTCCGTCAAGATAGAAAGTTTTCGTTGCTCCCTTTGGTCTTGCACTTGCCCTTGTATTTGCAAACGTTGTATGTGACTTTCTACTAAAGAAAATTAATTTAACATGATATATTTTAATGTTTAGAGTCCAATAGAGAGACAGACATGTTATAAAACTGGAAATATATTTTAGCACAACTGCCTGAATCTTGATTCTATCATTTACTAATGACATAACTTTAGGTAAGTGTTTGAAAAAACTATATTTTAAATGATGGCCAAATTAATATCACCCAAGAATTTAATTATATGGAAGAATTGAGGCAGAACAGATTAATAATCAAAGTTGCAAAATAATCAGCAAGTTTTCATAAATAATCGCCAATGTAAGAATTAAGAGAAATCTTACAAATGTGTTAATCAAATATTAATATTTAAGCAAAAAGCAAAACACCAACCAGCTCTAGGCAATAATGATAATGCAGAGACTATAAAATGTTTTTCACCCAAATTATGGGAATTCAATGTATTTGTTTATGCACAGACACATTAGAAGTCATGTGCCTTTTTGAACTCTTTTGCTCATGGACCACTTTTTAAAGTACTAAATCATAACTTTCAGTCATGAGTTAATATTTATGCATGCCAACTAACTTTAGTAACTATAATAGTCAATGAGCTTTGCTTATATATACAAATTAAAACATGTGGAATTTTATTTAATTGCCCCATTAAAACCAACCAAAAACTCTTGCATTTTAAAAGTAGCTTTTAACTAAGCAGAGTTTACTTTAGTCTGCTTATGTGGTATAGAGCATATGTTGGGAATTTTTCTTTTTAACAAGTTACTAGATTTGCATTCACAAGTTAAATCTCTATCTACAGAAACTTATCATATGTGAGATTTGAGTCAGTTTCTTTTACTCGTGTTAGTGAAATGAATCATCTCTTAAATCTTCTATAAAAATTTCCTCAGAGTGAGTTCAAAGGAGCACTAGTTTTTACCTGAATTCCGGCAGGAAGTAAAAGTGGATATCTAATTCAATTAGTAGGGGAAACACTAGGTTACAAACCAATTACAACTTATTTATTTCTTAGTTATTTTATTTATTTTATTTTACTTTAGTTTATTTATTTATTTATTGAGCTGTAGTCTCGCTCTGTTGCTCAAGCTGGAGGGAAGTGGTGTCATCTCCACTCACTGCAACCTCCACCTCCTGGGTTCAAGTGATTCTTCTGGCTCAGTCTCCCGAGTACCTGGGATTATAGGCACATGATACCATGCCTAATTTTTGAATTTTTAGTAGAGATGGGGTTTCACCATGTTGGCCAGGCTGGTCTGGAACTCCTGAAGTCAAATGATCTGCCCACCTTGGCCTCCCAAAGTGCTGGGATTACATGCGTGAGCCACTGCACTTGGCCTAACTACAATTTAAAATATTATGTATATATTATATATAAAAATATTACATAGTAGTATATATTATATAATACATTGTGTAATATATATTAGCATATCATACATTTATATAACATAAATAATTTATATAATATATATGTCTCTAATAAGATAGCAAAGGCACAGAATTTTCCAAATATATTTGGTCATATGATCTCATTTCCAAAGGGACTATTATGAATCTAGAATAGTACTGTCCAATGGACATTTCTATAGTAAATGGAAAGTTCCATATATGTTCTGTCCAAAATCCAAAAGGGTAACTACTAGTCAGAAATGGCTATTGAGTATTTGAAACATGACTAGTGTAACTGAGAAACTGAATTTTAATGTTATTAAATTTTAAATAGCTCCTGGTGGGTAGAGGTTACTTTATTGGACAATTCAGGTCTGTATTCCAAAAACACATTGCATATATGCTGTTCCATCATTCCATTTTATCAGTAATTTGGTTAGATGGCAAGTACCCCTAGGGCACATCAACCAGGAATGTGATGATTGTAGAGATTTCCATGGAACATGACTTGGGAAAGTCTGTGTGACTTGTTCTCAGCAGCATTAATGAGGGCACTAATGGTAAGGCCCAGGGGAGATGTCTCCAGTAATAGAAAAGGGCCAAGAATCAGCAGTGGATGTTGGGTGACGCCAAAGGCAACTATACATTTTAAATTTATTATTTATTTCAGCTCTCTGATAAGCACCCCTAATTTATTGATCCTCTTAATGTTTATGATAAAGGTAGAACAGTCATGAATAAGGTAACATGAATTGGTACACTCATGCCACACAGCTTCTTTTCATAAACAAGCCCAGAATTGTGGCATAGAATGAAAGAGGCATAGAATGAAAATGTATTTCCTTGAAATGACACTAAATTATCATTATGTTTATGATAACACATGCAAGCATATATGATTATGACATTACTCTAAGTGAAATAAACCAGACACAAAGACACAAATATTGCATGACCTTCCTTATATATGGAATCTAAGAATGTCACATTCATAGAATTAGAGAGTAGGATGATGTTGACTAGAGGCTGGGGGCTGCAGGGAAGTAGATTGGAAAAGGAGAATTGTTGGTATAAAATGTATAAATGTTCAGTTAGACAGGAAAAATTGGTTCAGGTGATCTATTGCACAGCACGGTGACTCTAGTTAAAGATAATATATATTTCAAAATTGCTAAAGTAGTGAATTTTTAATATTCTCTACACAAATAAATGATAAATAGTCGAGGTGATGGATATGGTAACTAGCCTGATATGACTATTCCAAAATGTACAAAATGTAAGCATGTATCAAAGCATCATATTTACCCCATACATATATACACACACACACATATACATATTATTTTTCAATTTAAAACAAAATGTAAAATGATTTCTGATTTGTTAGGTTTTATTTTATATCTTCATTTCTAGTCATATTTTTGACTAGAAATTCTTTTATGTTAAATAATTTATCTACTCTAAGTTTTCACCTAAAGTATTAAGTAATAACTTCCACAGTTTTTTTCTGGTTTTATTGATGTTCATGTCCTTATTAACTTTATTTTTACCTTTTTATTTCTTATAAAAACTGTGTGTTACTTTAGTGTAAACCTCACTTGTATCCAATTCTTAAAAAAAAAGTGTATTTTTATGGCATAACAGGGGTAGGTTTATTTCTGCGTGAGTGGAATAGACTGTGGTTGCTTTTCTCTGTTAGCCATTTCTGTATCTTTCAATTTAGAGAGATGCACTATTTTGCTTTAAGTCTTTCCTTGTATCAGTTTGATTCACTCATCCCTCCCATCTGGTCCTCTTATTTCGCTTAACCTAGTGCTACTGACTGCTCAAATAAATTTATATCTGTTAACTATTTTTTTAAGAGTAAGTTTATGCGTTTTGGGAACATGAACTTGTTTCTTCTCTTTTTCATTTTGAAGAACTTGAATCATTATCTTACTCTTCGTTCTTTGTGTGTTTCTATTAAAGTTTTGCATTTATAAATAAATGGGAACCTCAAAGGATTTCCCCAAATTTCCCTGATAATGTTCAGACTTGTTCACCGAAGTTTTAACTAACTATGGGTCCACCCATTTTGTGTGTGTATTTGCTGATAAATTTGGTCTCTGGAGTTAATATTAGTTATCACCTTTCATTTCCCAGCACTCCATTGAAGAAGTTCTTGTGTTTACTTTGACGTTATTGGTAATTAACATTGTGAGCCTATGTTGTAGTGCTTTATTAAAGGCTCAGGCTTGTGGAAAAAAATGTCTATTTAGGTCATTTGCTCATTGTTTTATCAGGTTACTTTTTAATTTATTTGCTATTGAGTTGTATGAGCTCCTTATACATTTTGAATAGTAGCCTCTTATCATTTCCATGGTTTACAAATATTTTCTCCCAGTCCATAAGATGACTTCTCATTTTGTTTATTTTTCTCTTTGCTTACACATGGAATCTGTAAAAGGCAAATACATTGAAACACAGAGTAGAACTGTGATTACCAGGAGCAGAGAGGTGGGGGAAATGGGGAGATGTTTGTCAAAGTGTACAAAATTGCAGTTATAGAGTATGGGTAAGTCTGGAAATCAAATGTACAGCATGATGACTGCAGTTAATAATACTCTATTGTATACTGGAAATTTGCTAAAAGAGTAGATTTTAGAAGCTTTTACCATACACACAAAAGACAAAAAAGATAATTATGGGAGGACATGGATATGTTAATTTTCTTGACTGTAGTAATCATTTCATGTATCTGTATATAAAAACATCATGTTGTACACCTTAAATATATACAATTATTTAAAAGATATAGGTTTTTAAATTTGCTATATGTGATAGGCAGAATAATGCTACTCTCACCTCTAATAGATGTCCACGTCCTAATCC
This sequence comes from Homo sapiens, assembly GCF_000001405.40. Taxonomy (NCBI): domain Eukaryota; kingdom Metazoa; phylum Chordata; class Mammalia; order Primates; family Hominidae; genus Homo; species Homo sapiens. The sequence goes on from NC_000001.11 coordinate 194,799,549, forward strand.
CCAAAACCAGAGAATATGTTACTTTGTACAACAAAAAGTACTTGGCACATGTGACCAAATTATTGATCTTGAGATGTGGATATTTTCATGGATTATCTGGGTAGGCCTAATATAATTACAATGGTCCTTGCAAAAAGAAGGCAATGCGACCACAAAAGCAGTAATTGGAGTGACGCAGCCATAAGAAATGCAGCCACCGGGAGCTGGAAGAAGCAAGGATGGGATTGTGACCTAGAGCCTCCAGAAGGAAACAATCTTGCTGACACCTTGACTTTAGCCCAGCAAAACTGATGTTGCACTCCTACCCTCCAGGACTGTAAGACAATGAATCTGTATTGTATGAAGCCACCAAGTCAAGTGGTAATATTTTTTACAGCAGTATTAGGAATCTATTATACTGTCTTTATTGGTCTACATTATTTGGGGCAAAAAGTGTTTTGGTAGGTTCACAAAAATAGGAATAAATAAGATATAGAATATAGTTAGTAAATGTATTTCAGAAATTAAAATAATCTTTCACTATTTCTTAAATTATTTTCATCATCTTTCTATTTATTTTTTCCTCCTTTGGGACTTTTATTATCTACATTTTTGCACTTTTACTTCTATTCTTGATATATCCCAGATTTTTTTATTATATAACCTGAATCTTAATATTCTCTTTCTGGATTTTGTTGCAAGTATGATGAAATCTCTCTATCCAGGCTAACATTCCTAACAAGAAAAGTTGGGGGGAAAACAGATGATTTACGAAAAGAAAAAAGAAATGTTTTGAAGACATCAAAAAGCTGTAAAAGCAAACAGCAGTCGAAGATCCAAAATCCCAGAGAGAAAGGAACTCTTCTGGACAGCATTCCATCTTAACATCTTAGGAACAGACAGGATTCAGAGAAGGTAGTTTTTCTTAATAATGATGCTGAAGACTTGGAATTTGGAAGAATTCTCAGAAGAAGATAGACTGCTAGACTGCTCGCTGAACTGGTCTTCACGGGAACTCAGTGAGTAGTTTGGGCTTTTGCTAACATCTCTTCTTAAAGGATAAGCCAAAACAGTAGACTGGCAAGCAAACATCTTCAAAAGGTCTTCTCCAATTGATCTCTAACCATCTTTCACCACCTTTGCACTAGGAATCTTTCATCCACTTTCTGAAGACATAAAGGTTTAAGTCAGGCTTCATGCTGCAAACGGGATTTTGATTTTGAATTATTTTTGTTTTTATTAAATTTTTTTTAGAGATGGGATATCACTCTGTCACCTAGGCTGGAGTTCAGTGGCATGATTATAGCTCACTGCAGCCTCAAATTCCTGGCACAAGTGATCCTCCCATCTCAGCCTCCCAAGTAGCTGGTAGTACAGATATGCATCTCAAGCCTGGCTTATTTTATTTAATTTATTATTTTGGTTTTTTAAAATTATTTTTTATTTACAGAGATGACATCTCACTATGTTGACCAGGCTAGTCTCAAACCCTGACCTCAAGCTATCCTCCCACTTCAGTAATCCAAATTGCTGGGATTACAGGCATTAGCAACCACCTCTGACTGGATTTTTATTTTCTATTGTTGTCGTCATTATTTTCTTTTACCATATGTTTCTTGTTTTGGAAATCACATAGAAATTACAAGAAGTTGTAATATATTTTAGAGAGTGGAAGTGAACAATCTCTTTAAACGTTTGAGCTTACTGAGTGACAGAGAGCAAGGGCTAGAGAGAGAGAGAGAGAGAGAGAGAGAGAGAATGAGATTGTTGTCTTCTACATTGTCCAATTTTGTACTGTTCCCAAGTTAAAAGGCAAAATTATTCTCTAAATTATTTTTTATGTTTTCAAGAGACTGTAATCATAAATATTGGTGAAATTATAGGGAGATAACTCAGGAATAAGAATATAGACTGCACAAGATAGAAAGGCACGATGGGTGCCTTTTTTTGTGACTTCTAGATCCATTCTCTTCCTCTCAGTGAGCAGAACAATGACACTTAACATAAATGTATAATAGCTTTAATGAGGAAAATAAATAGAAAAATCGGTGTTTTTTCTTCTTTAAGCACACATTTGTTTTACTCAAGTGTAGCATGTGGTATGTTAAACATTAGTTTTTGGGGTTTTGTTTTTAGCAGCACATTCCCAGCAACGTTTCTAACATGTGGTAATGCATTTTAATTCTTATGTGCCAGTTTACAACTATGTCAGCTTCTGTTGTGTGTAAACGGTATGATCAGCGTCAGGTAAGGGTGTAGCTGTTTATCGTTCTCTAGGGAAAAATAGAGGCTACTATGAAGTTGAGTAAAAAGGAGTATATCACTTTTTTAATATAGAAAAAATATAATTGGTAATTTCTCACTGTAGTGTGTATAAATCTAAAGCATGCATGCCAGCAAAATAAAATGTTTTATGCCACGAGAAAATTAAATTAGCGAATAATCTAACTTTCCTCATATAAAACAACATGAAAACAATGCGTATAGAAAATGTGTGTATTTATAATGCTCATTTTGTTGCTGTGGTTTTGGTCCCTTGCAATATATTTGTTTTCCTAGGACTAACACCTGAAGGCATTTCTGGAGGTCATTACATCCATTTCTCCGACTTAGAGAAGGTCTGAAACAACCCAAACAAACCAATTAATCACACAGCCTGAGTCTCATCTCTCACATTGGGGGAGTACTAGCGTTGAAAATAACTGCTACAAAGCCTTTCAAGAATGATTCCATATAAAATAGAACACCAAAACGCCATCAGTGTCTATTCACAGGTCCTCAGTTGTGGAGCCCCTCGGACATTATAATGTTCCATATTTTTTGTAAGTATTTCATTTTGATATTGTCATACTTAAGCCAATTTGAGGACTAGTGATGTGAAGTAAACATTTTTAGGCAGTCCTATAATCACTGATCATGGAATATAACATCTCCTTAGTGCTGGCAAGAGAAGTGAAATGGGAGAGGGTGCAGCTAACAGAGATGTGATAAAAGGGTGTGCAGGACTTTGAATCTGCTAACCATAGCCTGCCCTGCTTCAACCTCACCCCTGCCTTCCTGCCTCAGCTTTCAGAATTTTTTAATAATAAAAGAATAAGAAAATACAATCTTACATTCTGCTGCAATTAAATCAAACTACGTGTGGTTTCACACCAAAAGTTAAATGTTAAAGAGTGATAGATTGTTAATAGCATGCAATGTTTGGATTTCTTGCCCTTGAAAATCTGCAGCATGAATTTGCTGACCCTGCGTTTATCCCATGATAAGGAGACTTCATAGGCATTGTAAGATTCTGAAATTCAGGCACTCTGGGGTTCACATATCTCCATGGTTTAATGTTTAAGAAATATGAAGAAGAAAGAGAAAGGGGAATTAGAAACTTCCTCTCTCCGATTGCCATAACCTTTTCCCTACCTTGTCAGATAGTGCCTGGGGCAAGCCTAAAGTTAAGATAGCCCACATGTTATCTTTGTCCTAGAGATTTTGTCTCCATGTCTTGCCTTGCAAGAAGCTATCTTTTTCTCATCTTTCTTTGACTTTATTACAGTAATTATTATTCCTTTTTTAGTTTAAAAGTATCTACATAGATATTTCTAAATTAATTATATAAGTTTTGGCAAAATAACTGAAACTGGGAAGAAAAAACAATTCAAATACTTTAGAAAATAATGTTTTTTTCCAGTAACAATTTTAAAGTATATAATTTGACCTTTATAAAGCACATTGTAAGGAAAACTCACATATAAGAGTTGTCAAAATGATGCTCAGAGGAAAAAAGTGGGAGACAATTTTGCATAGGAATCTGTGATGATTAATCATTAGGTAGGTGACCAAAATTGACCCCTGTCTTCAACAGGTCTTTTCCCATGTCTCCTACCTACAATAGTGACTACACGTAGGATTTCTTTTAGAACTTTAAGCAGAGAGTAGTTATTTCTAGGTAGAGAAAACAAACTTACAAATACAAGGCAATTAAAAAGAAATCATGTTTTTCTTCTTCTTAGAATGCTAGAAGACAATTATTTTCCGTGATACAAAAGTTTGTTTCACGTATATCATCTGCAGTACTGAGAGAGAAAGAGAATATGAGTAAAACCCAAATACTGGGAATTTGGTAATACTTAGCCATCATTTCATAAAACACTGACCTTTTTCTTAAGCCCTTTTTTCCTCTATTATGGTTTATAAGCATATATGCATGTGTGCATACAGATACATGTGTGGATACGTGTGTGTGTGTGTGTGTGTGTGCTTATATACATAAACGGTAGGCAACCATCACAAGCTAAATAATCCAGAAGACAGAAAGCTAATATAATTTTCATTCTTGTCTATAATTTATATTTTTATGGGCAAAGAAGAATTGTTCACATAAATAACTGTATGATAATATGAAATATATATTTGAAATATATATATTTATTATTTATTTTTATGGCTATATTATAGTTGTACACATTTATGGAGTACATGTGATATTTTGATACAAGCATACAATATGTATTCAAATATGGGTAATTGGCATACCCATCAATTCACATTTATCATTTCTTTGTGTTGGGAACATCTCAGATGTATCTTCTAGTTATTTTGAAATAAACAGTAAATTATTAAGTATAGTCACCCTATTGTGCTACTGAACACTAGATCTTATTTTTTCTACCAGCTGTATTTTTGTACCATAATCAAATCCATCTTCATCCCCCTTTCCCAATAATTTTCCATCTCTATAACCACTATTTTATTCACTATGTCCATGACATCAATAATTTTTAGCTCCAACATATGAGTGAGAACTTGCTATATTTATTTTTTTGTGCCAAGCTTACACTAAAAATAATGTCCTCCAGTTTCATCCATGTTGCTGCAAATGATAGGATTTCATTCATTTTCATGGCTGGATAATATTCTGCTGTGTATGTATACCACATTTTCCTTATGCACTCATCTACTTGTTTACCATTAGATTGATTTCATACCTAGACTACTGTGAAAAATGCTGCAACAGTTGTAGGAATGAAGACATGTTTTTGATACACTGATTTCCTTTCTTTTGGATCTATATCCATCAATGGAATAGATGGGTCAAATAGTATTTATATTTTTGGTTTGGGGAACTCCATACTGTTTTTCATATTGGCTGTACTAATTTACATTCCCAGTAAGTGTCTAGGAGCAATTATCTTTCTCCACATCCTTGCCAGCATTCGTTATTTCTGTCTTTTTGATGATAGCCATTTTTATGGAGGTGATATGATATCTCACTGTAGTTTTGATTTGCATTCCCTGATGATTAGTGAATTGATCATTTTTTTCATATACCTGTTGGCCATTTGTATGTCTTCTTTTTAGAAATGAACTTGATATTTATATATAATGGAAAACATTTTCTGGAGCCAAAAAAGGGTCGAAATTTACTCTGGAAAAAATACTATTGTGTTATACATTGAATTGAGTTCCATTCCCCAAATTTATATGTAGAAGTTCTAACTCCCTACTTCTTAGAATGTGAGTTTATTTGGAGTTATGGTCTTTAAAGTGATAATTAAGGTTAAATGAGGTCACTGGTGTGGCCCTTAATCCATTATAACAGATACTCTTATATGGATAGGAGATTAGGACAGACATTGACAGAAGAAACACCATGTGAATACACCTGTAAAATTGGCCCTCAATGTAAACTCAAGAAGAGACACCTTCAGAAGAAACTTACCCTGCCTATACCTTCAGCCTTGGGCTTCTAGCATTCATAACTAATATAATACATTCCTGTTGCTTGAGCCACTTGGTGCATGGTGCTTTGTTATGGCAACTATAATAAATGACAGAAATGCATATTAAATATCAGATAAACAGATAAACATGCTGCCATTTGTACATGTAAATGAAGAACATTTTCATTGTTTACATTTAAGAATAAAGGATACATTAAAAATTATCCCAGTAAAAATATCATTAAGAGTACATATATTAGACCACACTCAGAGTTCCCTTTTTGTACTTCTTTTCTTTTCTTGCTTATAAAATCCAGAAAGCAATAAAAAACAATTGTATTTGTTTTTCCATTTTTGAGAAAAAGCAACTATTTCCATGTCATTTTCATAGCTGTTAAGCCTTAGCTATTGGGCCAAAGTTAGGGTCTTTTCTAGATCTGGCAAAAATAGTAGTATTTCTTCACATTTCAAAATAAATAATTTATATAGTGCTTTCTTTGGATAATTCCCTGTAATTATTTTTTTTTAGATCACATTTTTCCTACTATGGCCCCTTAGCTGAGCAAACATGCAAACTTGTCTTTAAACCACTCCGTCACTATCTATCTTTTACCCTACTTTATTTTCTCTATATGAAAAAACTCTACAAAAAAGTACCCCTTCTGACATGTATACCTACATGTTTACATGTGTTTTTACCAGTACATGCATGCACACACTCACATACATTTCAGGAGAGTGGGTCCTGTTTTATTCATGTCATATATTATATGCTAGATATTTATTTAATGTCATTGTTATTTAATCTATTAGATTGAAAGGGAAAGAGTCTGTCATTCACTTTTAGTTACTCATCTTTCCGTAGGTACAGCAAAGTCAAGAGGTTTTTGGCCTTGCTCTTTGATGAAATGCATAAATACATCCCAGTCTCCTCCAAAAAAGTTGGAAAGGCTAAAACATTTTCTGCAGGATTTTGCCCTGATTCTTAGAGATTCCAGAGCTTGAGAATTTGGTGATCTGAATTTGTATAGGCTCTTCTGAGACCCCATTCCACTTCTTGTTCCTGCATGGAAAATGCTGTCATTGTGTCTTTTATCTTAATTACCAGATGTATTCTTTCCAAATAATGGAAGCAAAGAAAAAACATAAGCAAATAAAATCTGGACCCAGAAAAATAACATAAGCATTCTTAGATTTGATTTTTTTAAAAGCATAATTTTTCAACTCTTTGTCTTGCTCCCACTCCCACCATGTGATATGCCTGTTCTCATTTTACCTTTCATCATGATTAAAAGCTTCCAGAGGCCTTGCCTGAGTCCTAGCAGATGGTGGTGTCATGCTTGTATAGCCTGAAGAACCATGAGCCAATAAACTTTTTGTATTTATAAATTCCCAAGTCTCGGATATTCAATTACTTGCAATGCATGAATGGCCTCACACAGAAAATTTGTACCAGAGTGGGGCATTACAGTAAAGATACCTGAAAATGTGGAAGCAACTTTTAAACTGGGTAATAGGCAGAGGCTGGAAGAGTTGGGAGGGTTCGGAAGAAGATAGGAGGATGAGGGAATATTTGGAGCTTTTTAGAAACTGGTTAAATGGTTGTGACCAAAAAGTTGATAGTGATATGAACAGAGAAGTCCAAGCTGAGGAGGTCACAGGTGAAAGTTAGAACCTTACTGGGAACTAGAGCAAAAGTTATGTGTATTATATCTTAATAAATAACCTGGCTTCATTGTGTTTATGCCTAGAAAACTGTGGAAGATTGAACTAAAGAATAATAATTTAGAGCATCTGGAGGAAAAAATTTCTAAGCAGCAAACCATTCAAGATATAACCTGGGTGCTTCTAACCATCTATACTCAGATGCAGGAGCAAAGAAATAAAGTATAAATTTATATTTAAAGGGGAAGCAGAGCATAAAAGTTTCGAAAATTTGCAAAATAGCCATGTGGCAGAAAAATAAAAGCCTTTTTCAGGAGAATAATTTAAGAAGGCTGTGGAGCAACCACTTGCCAGAGAGATTTGCATAACTAAAAAAGAGCCAAGTGCTAATAGCCAAGACAACGAGGAAAAGGCCTCAAAGGCATTTCAGAGATCTGTGTGGCATCCCCTCCCATCAGAGGCCTGGAGGCCCAGGAGGAAAAAGTGGTTTCAGGGGCTGAATCCTGAAAATCCACAGGGGCAGAGCCTTCTAAGGCCTTGGGAGCTCACTCCTTGTACCAGTATACACTGGGTGTGAGACATAGAGTCAAAGGAGATTATTTTGGATCTTTACAGTTTAATGACTGTCTTGCTGGGTTTGGGACTTGCATGCAGCCTGTAACCCCTTTCTTTTGGCTGATTTCTCCCTTTTAGAAGAATGTTTACCCTATTCCTGTACCCCTATTGTACCTTGGTAATAAAGAAATTGTTTCAACTTTAAAGGCTTATAGGTGGAAAGAACTCATCTCTAGATGAAACTTTGGACTTGGGACTTTAGACTTTTAACTGATGCTGAAAGGAACTGAAAATTTTGTGGGATGATTGGCAGGGGATAATTGTATTTTGCAATGTGAGAACATGAGATTTGAGAGGCCAGGGACTGAATGATATAGTTTAAATAGTGTCCCCTCCAAATCTCATGTTAAATTGTAATCCCCAGTGTTAGAGGTAGGCCTGGTGGGAGGTGACTGAGTCACAAGGCCAGACCCCTCATGGCTTGGTGTTGTCCTCCTGATAGTGAATAAGCTCTTGTGAGATCTGATTGTTTAAAATGTGTGACACATCCATCTCCCCACTCTCTATTGGTCCTGATCTGGTCATGTGACATGCCTTCTCCTGTTTGGTCTTCTGCTATGAATAAAAGCTCCCTGAGGCCCCCCAGAAGCTATGCAGATGCTTCTACTATGCTTGTACAGCGTGTAGAACCATAAACCAAGCAAAACTTTTTTCTTTGAAAATGAAAAAAACAAGTACATTTTCCAAATTAGTGTTAAAATGTTAATATAATCGGATTATACAATATTTAACATAACCTCTTCTTAATATAATCTGATTCCCAAATTACAGAGAGGAGTCTTCCTATAAATACATACATATTTGTTCACTTTCCTGCTTAAAATTCCTCGGTGACTCTCATTGGTCTTCGGAAAGTCCACATTTGTAACATTCCTTGCAGGAACCTTTCTAGCAAGGACTTATTTAAAAATTCATGCTACATTGTAACTAAAAATTTCACCTTGGGCCTGTGAAGTTTCTTTTCCTGTTTTGGAGTTCCAAAATGCTTAGAATAGTATTTCAGAATACCACATTTCATGTGATTATATCACACACCAAAGTAGCGGCTGTGAGAATGTAAAGAGAATAAGTCTGGGTTTTTCAAAACTGCATACTGTTTTTCAGCATGACTTTCAGCAGAATAATAATATAGCCACTCATCATTGCCCCTGGCTATACTCTCTCTGCATGGCATTTTTCAGTGAGAGGGTTCAAATATTTCAAAGACACCTAATACTTTTAAAATGGAGGTGACAAATGCATGTAATTGTTCTCCAGACACTTTGCGCACAGCAGTGTAAAATTTGAAGTAATCAAATCAGGAAACATAGCCTTAAAGCAATTTCCTCAGACTTATGGTCACATTGAAAGCAATATATTCCTGAATTCAACAATGTGTGTGTGCATGATCTGAGGTCTCCAGAATAGTTAACTGAATTGTGGTTATTATATTAGTGATCAACTGAGGACTTAAATACCAAAGATGGGGGTGGCACTCCATGAAGACAGGCCTTATTAAGAGCTGAAACTATAATAAATGAGACAAAATAGAACACATTTTACTTAAATCTGTAGTAGTTTGTATTTTATGTAAGACTATGACTCTGGCTTCCTATTGTATCATGCTTTAAACTGTTTGTGTGAAAATAAATTAAAACATGCATTTTATTTTTAAATTTCATTTCTGTTTTTAGTATTAAAGGGCAGTAAACGGAGAATGGTATGTAAGTACCTAACTTTGCAAGTGTATGGGTTATTTACTGAGGTTAGTTTTAAAAAAATAGGATGAGACTATTTTTTAACAATATTTTATCATGGATATCAGTATATTTAAACACTAAGTGTAGCAAATTCCAATAGAAAATTCCCACAGGAAGCCTTTACCTTGTTTTCCTGCCAAACTAAAGGTGGCTACGCCCTGAATAATTCTAAATGTGCCAAGATTTAAAAGTGCATGGTTTTCAGCACTGCACTTGAAAGAGCCTGATGCAGCAGAATTCGGTACAGTTATTTTTTCACAGTGTTCAGATATTGCCCTGAATTAAACGATTCAACCACTACAGGTTTTTGAAAAATCTGTTCACATTTTCATTTTTCAAATTGCATATTTCTAAATTGTTTGCTTTATTTAAAAGGAAAGAAAAAACAAGGAATATTAACAGTAAGAAAGGGTTGGATATTCTAACAATGTAGAGAGATCTCTCAAAATTTTAGGGCAAAAGTACTTTAGGACATCATTGCAACTGGAGAATTATTATCTCTGTATCTCTTCTCCTTGGGGCCACATAGGCTAGATGCTCTGTTTTCTCTGCACTGCTTTATTTCAGTCTCTCTGAAGATGGCATACTGTCTTCACGCCTGCATTCATTGGATTAGTCATAGTTCTCTATAGATGGCAGCCTTACCTTTTTGGTCTACCTACTCTTCAACTTTTCACAGTTAACACAACTAAGTCCCTATGTTTCATTTCAAAAATGCCATGGAATCTAATTGGCCTGTTTTGGCTCAAGTTTCCATTCCAAGTTTAATCAGCTCTGGAAAGAATCCAGGGTCATTTGAAACACAGAACAGTTCAATTCAGGCTCTGACAGTGCAAAGGCTAAGCATGAAGGCATATATAGAAAGCACATACTGGGATCTCCAGTATCTGATTCACTAAAATGTAGTTTACCTTAATTGAATATAGGTAAATTATATTTAATGAAGCTTTCCTTGAAGGGTTGATTACATCAAACTATTTGTTGCTTATTTTTATTGGTTGTAGTCTGTGAGTGAATCTTGATAGGAACTTGATTACTTATAACAGAGTCTGGGTAGAATATATTTATTTAGCAAAAAAATTAAAAGCTTATTGATTACAGTTTACCACACTTTAGAAAGCGAGGCAGTAGGAATAATCCAGGACTAGACAAATGAGCACGGATTAGTAAAGATAGAGATCAATTTATTGCTGAGAAGTTAAATCAAGAGAGATGAGGCCAGAATTTCAACTGGAAATGCTGTTCTTTCTGTTAGCTTCCTGTTAACTAGACCCAATATTAGATTGAAAACTGTCCTTATAATGTGTACTATTCTATATAAATGTTTACATTTACTGTTAGTTTCTTTTTCTTATTAAAACTCATTCATGGCTTTTCAAAGATGATCTATATAAGTATACTATGCTATATTGTAGCTTGTCACAATTTAAAAATAAAATATCTCTTTACTAACATCAGAATTAAAACAGCAAGCTGTGGTTAAATCTTTATCTCTATTTACCAAGATAACCTCAAATGAGTTATTACAACATATTAGTTCTCACTGCTCAATTTAAAAATATATAGATAGGAAATTAATTTTCTTTCATTGAGAAAATTATAATACATTTAATACATAAGCTATTAATAAATTGTGTGCTAAATTGAATTTAAAATCACCTCCAAGAAAGCCACCACCCTTACTACTAATAACATCTTAGATTACATATGCTTTCGATTATTGTTCCAAATTTCAGTTGCTTCCAATTTCTGAGTTTTCTTTTCAGCTTTTATTTTGAAAAGCATGATGATTGTATTAGTCCGTTCTCACACAGCTATGAAGAAATATAAGAGACTGGGTAATTTATAAAGAAAAGGGTTTTAATTGACTCACAGTTCTGCATGGCTGGAGAAACCTCAGGAAACTTACAATCATGGCAAAAGGCAACTTTACATGGGGTGGCAGGAGAGAGAATGAGTACTGAGTAAAGGGGAAAGCCTCTTGTAAAACCATCAGATCTCACGAGAAAAACATGGAGAAAACCATCCTCATGATTCAATCTCCACCTGGCCCCACCCTTGATGAGTGGGTATTATTACAAGTCACGTTGAGATTTGGGTGGGGACACAGAGCCAAATTACCCAAGATTAAAGTATTTTTATTTAATGTAGAATCATTTTTTAAATACAGATTTAAAATTTGCAATATTCCAATTTGTGTTCTTCCTTAGAAAGTTTTAAGTTTCATGAAAACAATTTCAATCTGCTTAAGGAAATTGAGACATAGCATGGTCTCTTTTTAGCAAGAGGAATCTATGCAGGCTACCGTTACATAGATTCAATTGCAGCTTAAATCCTTATAGAGTTATGGGAATTATCTGAAAATTAGCCTGTGCATTCCTTAAGTTATTATAATGTGCTATAAAATGTAATATTGCCTTGTATACATTTCCTAAAGACATCAAAATTCACTAGCAATGGACATGTCAACTGAATATGTTTGCCTTTAAACTAGACACTAAGTGTTCATTGGAAATATCTCGGAGGGAAAAAGAGAAAATTATTGTAATTCAGTGAAGAAAACAAGATCTGTCTAAAATATGACAATGAGTGCTCATGATTAAGAGAGTCAGTTTTAAAATCTGTCAGGTATGAATTTTTCAATATCTATATTTATTCTCAAATATACTTAACATATCACAGATTAGTGACATTAAATTAGCAATTCAAATGTTTACATTTAAAAGGTTAACAATATGCAATCCTAAAATAGAAAAACATGTTAAAGTTTAAGATCATATAATATAAATCATAAAATTGTTAAGCAAGAGAAATATTATATCCCTTTGAAAATGTCATGTAAAACATACATACACAGTCATACACACATTGACACATTGGGATAAAGCTAAAAGCATGATCTGGAATAAGAACAGATTCAAAACCAACATTTTAAGAATGGTTATATTCTACATACAATGTAGAATAAAAAGCATGTATGGGAGATAAATATTTCTGTCGAACTTATCTTATTTTCAATTTAGAGAAGATATTCAAGCAATTGTTCTCCATTGAAATGACATTTGGAAGTTTCACTAATTTTTAATGGAAAATAAGATTTTAAAACTTCACTTAAATCTTTATTTGTTGCTAATTAATGACCCTCCACACAAATTCATTATCTGAGTAGATTCTATTAGTGGGGTTTTGCTGCCTCACCCATCCACTTCTTTGCTCTCAATCATGCATTAGTGACACTTTTGCTCAAGGGAAAAAATGTATCAGTTGTTCTGAAAAGAGAGGATAATTTCAAAGAAAAATAGCCTATAACCTTATAATGCAAGATGCAAAGAAAATTAGTGGGGATTTGATCAGTCACAGAGTGCAAAGGCTTTCTTTTTCTATAACTGAACTTACTGTAATTATTTTCTTTAATAGATACATTAATAGATGTATAGGGATATGTGAGTGCTTCCTGATAGTTCTGCTTTGAAATATTTGTAAGAAGGAAAAAACTCTATACACAAAATAAAAGTGTAATAATAGAAGGTCATGGAGTTTATAACCTATTGTGGCAGTTTCCATAGTGATTTCGCAAAGAGAAATACTGTGTGCTACCCAGAATAACCTCTATTACATATAAAGAGACAAACCTTCAGTAAAACAATCATTTTAATGGATCTCAGGCTAATGTGGCTCTTTCGCTTTATTTAGGTTTCATGGTCTTTGAATAGCATAGTCACAATTACATTCTCATTTAATGAAGTTAATTTTTTAAATTTTGTGTACATTTTTAATCCTTCCAGAGAGTTAGAAATATAAAATTTATACTCATTGGTATCAGTACTTATGCTAGTTATATCGTATTTGGCATTTCTTTTGCATAGAATAGTGCTGGAGCATAGTAGGTGCTTAATGAATATGTGTGCAAAACCTTACAAGTGTCCCCATTTATTTAACTAAGATTTTATCCAATTTGTATGGATAATGCAGGACTTCACCTGTAATGCAGGACTAGAGCAAGAAGAGGTGAATTGTGCAATATGATCATGGGTCTGAACATTTAGTCATGTTTATCTTGGCCACATTCCAAACCTGATATATGAAAGTAAAGGTACATCTCAATATTTTGTTTACTGCATCAATATTTTATCTTCTATGTGGAATCTGGAAAGAGGTTTGAAGTAGAGGAGATAACAATTGTTGTTGCTTATGATTTCATTGTAATTTTATATAAATTTTCTCATTTAAATTGTGCAATTCTGGAAGGTAATTATGACTAGCATAATAGGATTCCCAATCCAGATAGCAATTATTTCTTTAGTCCTGTCAGAACAATGTAAAGAAGGCTAAAATATACGTTAGCAATTGTCGTTCAACATGTGGGTTTGTATAACCAATAAAACTAATTCATAAAGCAAATATTTATCAAGAACTGATCTGAAACATGAATAATAAGGCAGCAGTCTGTCAAATATTATGTAGATTGGAGCATTTCACTCAGAAGGAATAGCTGATAAGACTAAGGAGAGAGAAGTTTTGGTGTGTTTGAAGGACAACATACAGTGACGCTGGGCCGATTGGATAAGAAAGAAGAGGGGATTGGGTGTAGTACAGAAACAAGTAGTGGCATCATCATGACTGGTCTTTTAGTTGATGGGAAACTGCTATTATCCCATTATATTTATGGGTAACTGTCATTGGATAGTCTTAATTGTGGGATATGTAGACAGAAATTGTTGATGTTGTCAAAACAGAAAGAAAATACAGCCAGGGAATTTGTTTAAATAATTCAGAAAGATGGTAATGGCTAGAACAGTATTAGACATGTTAAGAAGAGGTGAGATTTAAAGATGCTTTGGATATATATAAATTTTTTATTTTTTTATGTTTTTTTTTTTTTTTTTTTTTTTTTTTGAGACGGAGTCTCGCTCCATCGCCCAGGCTGGGGTGCAGTGGCGCGATCTCTGCTCACTGCAAGCTCCGCCTCCAGGGTTCCCACCATTCTCCTCCCTCAGCCTCCTGAGTAGCTGAGACTACAGGCGCCCGCCACCACGCCCGGCTAATTTTTTGTATTTTTAGTAGAGATGGGGTTTCACCATCTTAGCCACGAAGGTCTCAATCTCCTGACCTTGTGATCCGCCCGCCCCGGCCTCCCAAAGTGCTGGGATTACAGGCGTGAGCCACCGCGCCTGGCGCTTTGGATATATTAACAAAGACTTCCATATGGATTATATATTGGCGGTGCAAGAAAGAGAAGAATTAGTGATGACTTCTTGGACCTCGGCCTGATCAATCTCAAACTCTTAAAAGTTTTTCCAGGACTCATTCTTGTCCCACCATGTTCTAACAGCTCAAGAGTTCTATACAAGTATTTTTATGACTACATCCTTTAGGATGTTCCATTGTAAAAGTTTGCACTGCATATACACAATGTGCATCTTCAGCCACCTATATTATTATCAGATTTGGCAACAGGAGACTATGTAAGCAGATGGTAAGGAGTAACAAATCAGCATTTAGAATTTAGAAGAATGAGAACACATAGTCACAGCAAGGGGAACATCACACACCGGGACCTGTTGTGGGGTGGGGGGAGGGGAGAGGGATAGCATTAGGGGATATACCTAATATTAAATGACGAGTTAATGGGTGCAGCACAGCAACATGGCTCATGTATACATATGTAACAAACCTGCACGTTGTGCAAATGTACCCTAAAACTTAAAGTAAAATAATAATAATAAAAAAAGAATTTAGAAACATGACATTAGAGAAGTTATTCTCAAACTTGCAAGATGTAAAAATACTACTCATAGCATCATCACCAATTGAGGGTGCCATAAAAAAAAATAAATGAATGTTAATTCTTAAAATATTTATTTCTCTAGTTTTCAATCACTGATTTATCTGTAATGCTTACCTTAAAGTCAGGTTAGATTGGAGTTCTTCTTGTTCATCGGTTTATTACTTTTTTTTTGTTTGTCTTTTTGTTTTACACATAACTAGGAAACTCTAATGCAATTGGGAATGGCATAGTCCATTTGGTGGCTATGCTACATAATTTTAAATATCTTAATCGATCCTGGAGCCACTATTTAAATAATGATTTCTAATTGAAGATTGTATTTATTGTAACAAGATCTGTGTGTCACAAGGAAAAGCTGAAGATGGGATTTATTAATGTTTCAGGCAGTAAAATGTAGTTATAATCCAGTAACTGAATTTTCTTTTGTAAAGTATTCTTTATTATGTTGCTAGCTCTGAAAGTGATTTTTAAATAAGTATAGTATCATTTATTTATTTATTTATTTATTTGACTCCCTCCCAAAATTCATTAATAGTCAATCCCACTGAGCAAGCTCTTGGCATTAGTGTAGTATTGCAATATTCACACTGTACTAAAAACTGGGCACTGAAGTGATCAATTTATTCAAGATGGAGATCTATGCTATCTAATAGAGTCTATCTTATCAACTGAGTCATCTGATCTCCAAGTTATTTTTAATGGCTTATTTCTAATATCTCACTATTACAGAAAATTTTGTAATGATAATCTTTACACAAAAGGGTATGTTGTATCTGTCTCATACTAACTTTAAAAAATATATTGTTAAACTGTTCAGAATTTTGGAAACAATTATAAAACACAGCAGTTAAAAATTAAGTTACTGCCTACCATGCTGCTGGATTCAGTTTGACAGCATTTTGTTGAGGATTTTTGCAGTGAGGTTCAACAAGTACATTGGCCTGAAGTTTTCTTTTTTTGTTGTATCTCTGCCAGATTTTGGTATCACAAAGAAAATATGGTGCATATACACCATGGAATTCTATTCAGCCTTATAAAAGAATGAGATCATGTCCTTTGCAAGGACCTGGATGGAGCTGGAAGGTATTATTCTCAGCAAACTAACACAGAAACAGAAAACCAAATACTGAAAGTTCTCACTTATAAGTGGGAGCTGAATGTTGAGAACACATGGACACACAAAGGGGAACAACACACACCAGGGCCTATCAGAGAGTGGAGAACTGGAGGAGAGAGAGAATCGGGAAAAATTACTAATGAGTACTAGGCTTAACACCTTTGTGATTAAGTAACCTGTACAACAACCCACAGTGACACAAGTTTACATATAAAAGAAACCTACACTTGGCACTTGTAACCCTGAACTTAAAACAAAAGTTAAAAAAAAAGCTAAGTTACATCAACTAGCAATTAAAGAATTCATATTGAAAATAAACTCATCTATTCCTAATTATTTTACTATATTTTATTGTTGCCTGTGATCTGTAAGTTTTTATATAATGTTTTGTTACTGCAAATCTCTCCCAACTGCACACCCAGTGGTATAGTGTTACTGTACTGAATTATATCCTGTGGGTACAATTATACCCTGAAAATTGACAAATACTACAGATCAGGCTTGAATAAATGTTTTATTTCATATTTAGACTTACTACAATAAAGGTAAAAAATTAATAATATTGATTAAAATAAATCATGTTTTTTGTGTAGCTTTTATATCATGACTGGCACAAAATTTAAATAAATTTTCTTTCACTGTTAACAGCTAATGTTTGATTCAGCAAAGGAGTTGCTCACATTCTTGATGAATAAAGAAAGCCTTAGCATATATCTTATGTTTCCCTTTTTTTTTTGCTTGTTAATGTATACAAAAATATTAAACAAAATTTATGTTGGGATCACTTGAGAGCTGGTTGCTAAGCATTTATCAGCACGCCAGTACTTAATGTCTCCTTGTACACATGTGAGAGATTTTAAAAAGTATAATTCTAGGGGATTGATTGATGTCTTCCAGTTTGATTCATAATGCAGTAAGCATTAGTAGTCTTGCCTATGACTAATTACGTATAACTGAAGTCTAAAAGAAAAGGAAAGAGACAGTAGAGTAGAAATATATTAAAGAAATTAAGACAGAAATTGTTGCAAATTTGCTTAAATTGTCCTCACATAGATACAAGAAACTCAGTGGATAATAAGCAGAATAAAGGGAAGAAAAACTACCTGTAGTTTCATGAGAGTAAAATTACTAAAAATCAGTGTTAAAAAGTAAATACCAAATGAAGCTAGGGAAAATAAAAAGACACATATGTAGGTAGGTGATCAGCTATACAAAATAATACCTGAATACTCTCAGAAACAATAGAGTTTAGAAAACATTGGAATGATATCCTTAAATTGTTGAAAATAAAAAAGTCAACACAATTTCTGTATTTAATAAAAATTTTCTTCAAGAAAAGGCAAACAAGAATATTTCCTAAGAAAAGTTGGCCAGCAGACCTGGTCTTCACCAGCAGACTTGGTCATACAGAAATGGTAAGTGAAGTTTTCAGACTGACATCAAGTGCATCTTATCTACACTCAAGAATAAAGAGCAATACAAATAGTAAATATATGATGAAATATGTCTGCGTTTTCCCTTCTTTTATTTCATTTAAAAGTCAGAAATGGTGGATTCAAAATGTTTGAGAAGTATGAATTTTATTATGGGTTCTAGAATCTAAACAGTAATGAGTAGTAAGTCAGTAAAATCAGTAGAACACTTACATATAATATAAATGTAAATTAGAGTTGCCAATTTTTACATCATAAGCTTTTGTGTGGGTGGTTGATTTGAGTTAAACATGACTGTTGACCTAAATCATCCATCTGGATGCAGAAATTGAAACTAACTAAGGCAGGGGATGGAGTGGACCATGAGACCAAAACCAAAAGTAAATATATTAATGAACAAAAAGGCAATGTTTCAACCAAGAAATCCTATACTGATTGCCGATAAAATGGTGAAAATGTTCATATATCCAAATACCTTGAGCCTGAAAGTCACAGGTAATTATGCAAGAGGTTAAAATCATAAATATGGGGCATACCTTCTGTTCCTAATGTACCTGTCATGGGAGATGCATTTAGGTGAATTATAGTGTCCCCACATAAACAGCTATGTATACATATACATTTTGAATCTGAAATGAGTAGGTAGGTTAAAACTCAGTTTTCTCTTCATGACCGTAACAGGACATGAGAGATTGTTTAATGTGTACAAAAATACAGTTAAGGGGAATAAAATCTAGTGTTTGGTAGCACAATAGGGCAACTATAGCTAATAATAATTTATAGTATATTCCAAAGTAACTAGAAGAGTAGAATTGGAATGCTAATAAACAAAAAAATGATAAATACTTAAAGTGATGGACTTCCCCATTATCCTGATTTGGTCATTTCACATTGTATGCTTGCATCAAAATGTCACATGTACGTCATAAATATGTACAACTGGTATGCATGCATAAAAATTAAAAAGATTTTGTCTGAGGTATTAGTATAGTATTAATAGATTTAAAACGCTTAAGGGACATGCCAGAACACCAATGACAAAGTTAAAGTAGATGATTGAGAACCAGTTAGATAACTCTTAAAATTCAGAAGGCTTGAAAAGGTAGATTATGCAGAAAATCCAAAAAGTGGTATCTTTGTATACAGTCTTTCTTCATGAACCCTGCTCTCCTAAGGTGAAATAGTGGTAGAAAGTGAAGTACTTGGAGTGCCTGCATGTGGCCTGGATTGTGTGGTACAGTTAACAATGTCTGATACATGCTTGAGAAGTCTAAAGGCTAGAAGATGTTGCAATAGCCTTGATGTGTGGCAGGGTAGAAACGCATTTACTAATGCATGGAAGAATAATTAAATTTATCTCTCATCGAAATGTGTGAATCATGGGAGTAATCTAGATGGAACACATGAAAAATATTTTTGCTATAGGTGTACATTCTGAGCAAAAGGGTTTATCACAAGATAATGGCATCTAAAGAAGAGATCACTAGAATGTGGACTGAAACAGACAGAACAACAAGAGAGACAGTTTGAATGGAGAGCTGACAAAGTTGCTGAAACAGAACTGTTTATGTGTCTCAAGAGTCTCACTTGATGAATTGCATCTAAGAATTCTCACAAAAACCTCTTATGAGTGGATAACAGAAATAGCAAGTTTTAAATATCAGACTGGCCCAGGAAGAAGACATCTTATGATTGTACCTTTTAACGAATAAATTCATCTCCAAGCTCAGAGGTGTCAGTAACTGCAGCTAGTCAGAAGAATGGGAGAAGGGAGAGGGAGAAATGAGTAGAAAAACAAGAGAAAGCATTAATTCCACCTAATATAGATTCTGGTTGGAGGAGCAAAGGGGAAATTGGTGCTTCTGAATGAAGGGCGAAGTTTGAATGAATATATTAAATGGGACATTAAATGGGACATTTAATATATTGAAGGGGACATTTAAATTACTGAAATGAAATTGGGTTTGAAGATATGATCATAATTGATCACAGGACTATCTATTAAATACAAGTTACCAGAGAAGCCTTGGGCTTGGCCAGAGTTTTCATTTAGTTATAAGAAAAATAGTTTCCCTGCCACATAAGTATTAAAGAAAGTGTGGGAGAAAAACATAAAGTTGTATTTTTACTATATCCCACTTAGCGTCACTGTTCAAATACAAATTATGTTCTTTAATGCATTTTCTCACAACTTCCAGATACCTAGAGGCAACTATTGAATATGTTGGAGGTCTCCCACAACTAATTACAGTTAAAGTTTTAATGCACAGTTATAGATTATACTTTTCATAAGTATGACTTTCTTGAGTTTATGCACATATCCCAATGAAAATGGAAAGTGTTCAAATTTCATATGAGTGAGTTTTCATACGACTTTAGTCATATGTAAAATAGAATGACAATAACAATCTTGTAAGGTTGCTATGAGGTTAGTGGATAACTTATTCTAATGAATTAACACACCTTGATCATTTAATATACACAGTTATTGCTGTATTACTATAATTGCTGTCACAATCAACTTATCTAATTCATTAACTTGAATTGCTTAGTTAGATACATGTGAATAAAATCATTGGAAGTGATCTTCATTACTCAATGTTCCAAGTTTTACTATATTACTGAAACTTCATTTGCCTAATTGAGCAAAATAGGGAAATTTTAGAATATCATGATATAGTATATTAAATATTAAGTAACTAAATTCCATAACAATATTGTACATTTTTAAAATAATATATTTACCAAGTAGAGTTTATTTAATCAATGATATAGTAGTATATTTCTAAAATATAAACATAAGGATGAATGATATGTTTTAATAATATATTGAGGTAAAACTCACATAACATAGAACTTACCACTTTAATCTGAACAATTCAATTACACTTAGTTCATTCACAATGTTGCAAAGTCACCTCTATATAGTATCAAAAATATTTCTTTCAATATACTGATTTTTTTAAACAGTAGTATATTTTCAAAGTTATTTTAGAAGTAAAACATCACTGAATACAGTATTCAGTATATTCTTGATATTTAAAATCATCATGGATTAAGATATTTTAATAAAAATTGATAAATATTTAATTCTCTGGATTATCATGAGCATTTTTCATCAGTATGTGATAGCATATGCAGTATATTCATGATAATAAGTTCATGAATTAATATATACTAAAACTTAATAAATTATATAAATTATTTTCAGCATTTTTCATTACTATGTGATAGCAAAACATTTTTAAATTGGAATAAGAAAACTAATTGCAATATTTAGTTTAAGCAAGTATATTCTGTCATGAACATAATTAAAGCATCATGTAAAAATAAATTTAGGTGAGTCAGATATGTTATACCAGCAACATATAAACATTAATATTTACCTCAATTTAAAAATAAAATCCAACCATAAATGTATTTGATCTAATATATTGCATAGAAAGTTTTGTTGTGAATGCTCATCCCTAAGACTTTTTATTGCTAGCGCATTGTGTGGTTACATTTATAATACACGCCCTCTTTCAGTATCTGAGTTCTGGCTAAGGGGAATTGGATGTGGAGGAATGTGTCCTGAGATAGGATGCTTTTGTAGAATATATGACAATCTGATTTACATTGATTTTAGAAGCCAGAAGAAAGGGGTTAAGAAATTAAAGTGGGACAAATTGGCTGGTGTTGCTAGTTGGTTTCTTTGATTGAGCAGTTGATGTTTTCTGGCACTGAGTATGGGATCATATTATTAGTTTGTTTTAATAGTGTGTTACTTTCATCTGTTTTTGTTGTATTTTTTTAATTAAGTGCAAGGAGAGATTACAAAAGGAAGGGAGAAAAGAAAATGACAACTCAGGAGTAAAAAAATAGGGATTTTGTATAGCTAGAATATTATAGACCTGGAAATGAACCAAGGCAACTGATATGATGGGCAAAACTGACTAAATTGTAGGTGGTATGTACCTAAACACACATTCTGTGTTTTCTGAATCTTCTAAGAAATGGAGTCATAACTGAGAGAATTAAAATAGGATCTGAATGTATATCTTTATTTTGCTGTGCACACGTCTGAAACTAGGGCATCTACTACATGAGAAAACAATGCATTCAAAAATTGTCAGGCCCCTAAGCCTGTATTATAAATATTGTGTAAGCATATATTTTTAGATTACAGTTTATTAAATAGGGGAACACATTCTAAAATTAAGAACGACTATGTAGAAAAATTGATATAAATAGTTGAAAACTATTCTAGTAATTTTCAATGGTAACTGCTCAATAAAGAACATTTTAGAATCTAATCTATGTTTGTACACTTACATCTTCTAGGAATAATAATGTCCATTGTTATTTAAACACAATTGATGGTAACTTTAATATATTATAATGAAGCCAAGTGTTACCACTGTTCAAGCATTAATATGCAACTGGTCACTTATGCATTTTCATATTCTGTAAAGTAAGAAAATGTACTGTTTGGGAGAATGAATTCTGCATAGAGAGGTCAGCTTCTGATATTGCTGCAAAATTAAGCTTTGCCAACACAACAAAACTTGTTTATTCAATTGCTAAGCTAAGTGACCCAAAATGCTAGAAAGATATTCTAAAGAAAAGTTTGATTTCACTAAAGATGTTATAATTTAAAATGTTTGAAATGTTATTTTTAATTGACTATATTTTTTAAAATACAGGTTCATTTATTTTGCAAATACAAATAAAATCTTATCATCAGTATTATTTTTAGAAATTTGCTTTTATTATATGACAACACAACCCTGATAACTTTCCATGTGGGTAAACATAAAACTTTCTTTCTCGTTTTTAATGATTTTATAGTATTCTACTTAATATTTATAGTACTTTACAACTGTATTATAGTTGTTTTCTTATGTATTCACTTTTTGCATTAAAAATACAAAAATTCAGTGGACATTTGTAGGTGGTAATGATTTATAGGTAAAAATACATTTGCAAGTATTTTATTTTTTAAGATTGACTACTATAAGTAGAATTTGTAAAAGGGAATAAACTTTGAAATGTTAGTATCTACTTTAAAACAGATAACCACATCTCCCAATATGCAAGAAAGCCTCTTGTCCTCAAAATCTTGTAAAATAGAATAGTATCGAACATCTAGAGAGCAAAGAGTGGAAAATATTTTTGTGTCTGTTTCAAGTCCCTGAATGCTAGTGAAAGTGGTCATCATTTTATGATTAAAACTTGTCTCCTTACATTATTTTATTTGATTTGCTATATTTGTTTTGTTTGGATTACTGCTATGTGGAGAATTTTCACATGATACTGCTGCTTAAAAATTATGGGTATATAGGTGTATATATTTATGGGGAGATGAGATATTTTGATACAGGCATACAATGGTATAATCATCACATCAGGGTAAATGGGGTATCCATCACCTCAAGCATTTATCCTTTCTTTGTGTTACAAACATTCTAATTTTTTAAATACTTTTCTCCTTGAGCTAACAAAATTTTTACAGAAAATCTTAGCTCAAACCTGCCTTCAGCAGAGCACACTTTCCATTCTATTTAGTTACTGGTTTTGGCATCAAACTATATGTCCTCAGGGCTATTCGCATTCAGCTTCTTCCTCTTTCCTGCCCATGTCCTTATTCTGTTTTTCTTCAATATTTTACATTTAACATAAAACATACCACTCATTTTCTAGTTAGTAACAATGCACTGTATATTTCAAAGTAGCTAGAAGAGAGAACTGGAAAGGTTCTCAACACACAGAAGTGATAAATACTAAAGGTGATGGATATCCCATGTACTCGAATAGATCATTACATATTCTATACATGCAACAGAGTATCACATATCTGTATCCCATAAATATGTAAAATACTATATGCATCAATAAAAAGGTTAAAATGTCCTTCTTTATATACAAAACAAAAAAAATGCTACCCTCCTAATAGTTTATGAGCACTCAATTACTAACTATAACTAATTACTAATGACAACTAATTAATAAGTAACCCTCCACTGACAATGGTGACTGCTGTTCTAAACTTTATGGCAATTGCTTGCTTATTTTTTATTAGTTTTTCTACCTAAGCATCTATCCCTAAATACTACCCTTAATTTTACCTGTTTTGAACTTTAGATAAATTAATGTGTAAATATTAAATTTTTCTCTGGTCTAGCTCTTTTTTTTATTAAAATGAGGCTTGTAAAATTTATCCATATTGTTTGTAAAATTGTAGTAAATGCTTTTTCATTGATATGCAGTATTCAGTTATATGAGTATCCCAATTTATTGAAACATTCTGCAACTGACGGACATTTGGGTTGTTTGAGCTAAGATTTTATTTACATTATATTATTGTACATGGTGACTTTTATAACCATATATATCAGTTTTTCTTTACACTTTTTGAATATGTATCCTGTTAAAGAATATCTTCCCCACACTGGATAAATAAAAATAAATATCACATATTTTCTTCTAACCATTTAACAGTGTTTTTGCCTATAGTCTTTTAACATTTTTATAAACGTGTTAAGAAACTTTGTTGAATTATACATCCATTTTTGGCAGGTTTTGAAAAACAAGCTTCATCATAAATTAAGCCTCTATATCTACTTGTATTTGATTTTTACTTTTTTGGTCACATGTATATTAGACTATTTCTCGAATATCAACACAAAACTAACTTCTTTGAAGTCATTTTTCCTACATCCTTCTTTTTTCAAAAATAATGTAAGCATAGTAATAGGTAGCCTTTAGGAGGAAGTATAATTTGTGAAAGCTTACATAAAAAACTAGTTGGAATTACCTTGAATGCAACAAAAATTTGGTAGATATCTTTGTGGCTTAGACAACAGAAATTTATTTCCTACAGTTCTGGAAGCTGAGAAGTCCAAGATCAAGGTGCCAGTCAATTCAGCGTCTTGTTTCTGGTGAAGGCCCTCTTCCTAATTTGCAGATGGACACCTTACTGATATATCCTCCCCTAGCATGTGTGGAATGCCTTGAATGCAAACAGAAGTCTGGTAGGTATCTTTGTCATTTTGGGCTACTATAACAAAAATGCCACAAGGAAGTCAGTAGGAAAAGAGAAAAACTACCTTAAAATTTGAGTAGAAATAGTCTGCAAAACTGTCTGGGGCTGAACTCTTTTATGGTGGCAAAACTTTGCAAATAATTCCAATTTATTTTTATTTAAATACTATACTTTCCAGATGTGGTGGCTCATGCCTGTAATCCCAGCACTTTGGGAAGCCAAGGCGGGCAGATCACCTGAGGTCAGGAGTTCGGGACCAGCCTGACCAACATGTAGAAACTCCGTCTCTACTAAAAGTACAAAATTATCCAGGCATGGTAATCCATGTCTGTAATCCCAGCTACTCAGGAGGTGAGCCACAAGAATTGCTTGAAACCAGGAGGTGGAGGTTGCAGTGAGCCAAGATCACGCCATTGCACTCTAGCCTGGGCAACAAAAGCAAACCTCAGTCTCAAAAAATAATAATAATAACAATAATACACTCAATTTTTCTAAAGCTTACGAGTGACCCTTGGCAATATACATTCTGATAGAAAATATGATATCCATTTGAGATAATCATTGAAATAAATCTGGGCTTTTGTCTTTAAACTCCATTTATCTTATTTAATTAATTTGTTTATTTATTAGTGCGTACAGTCCTGTTGTTTTTGTTTGACCTATTCATGTGTTTCTCCCACCTCATTTCTTTGCAAAAGATTTTAATTTAATTTTTAAAGACTACACATTAAATCGGTTACCAAGATATTTTGGAAATAATAACAATAACAATAAACAAAATTCCTGCTACATGGAGCTTAGGCTCTCGTTTAAAACAGCATAAAACAGAAAATAAAATCAGATGAAGAAGTAAAATATATAATATGTGAGATAGTAACAATGTATAAAGAAAATAGTCAGGAAAAGTGAAAGAATTGTTCAGAATATATTGCAATTTTAGACAGTGCCTGCAGGGGAGACCACAGTGAAAAGCAACAGAGTGAACTATATAGAAATTTGCTGTTTATTTTTCTTAGTGGTTATCCTAGATCAAAAATAAGAATCCAGGATTAAGCCAACACTGATGCTCTACAGTTGTTTTAATTGAATTGTACTCATAGAAATATCTTATCTCTTCAACTTTTATTTAAAATAAGAAATTATATTTTGTATGTTTTTCTCAAATTTTTGCATCCTGTTAACTGTGCTTTGAAAAGATTAATAACCTCATTGTACAAATTAATTAGAATATATATGGTAATAAACACAAAATGCATTATTAATAAATTATAGAGAAAAGGAAAAATGTGCAATAGTTTGGCAAACGCAATTAGTTTTTAAAACAGTGGACACAAGCAAGAGTAAAAATATGTCAGGTAAGAAACTAAAATGCTTTGCAACTAAGCAAAGATCTATTCAGACACTGAGTTTTCTCCTCACAGTTTCTGCTGGACTTACCACAAATTCTCAAGAGAGCACACGTATTTTAAATAAATGTTCTAAAAGCAAAGTCCTGAGACATTATTTTCAATGTTATGTTCGGCTTTTTTTTTTTTTTTTTTTTTTTTGGAGATGGAATCTCGCTCTGTCGCCCAGGCTGGAGTGCAGTGGCATGATCTGGGCTCACTGCGAGCTCCACCTCCCAGTTTCACGCCATTCTTCTGCCTCAGCCTCCAGAGTAGCAGGGACTACAGGCACCCGCCACCATGCCCGGCTAATTTTTTTTTTTTTTTTTTGTATTTTTAGTAGAGATGGAGTTTCACTGTGTTAGCCAGGATGGTCTCGATCTCCTGACCTCGTGATTCGCCCACCTTGGCCTCCCAAAGAGCTGGGATTACAGGCGTGAGCCACTGCGCCCAACAGAGAAGTTTGGCTTTTTAACAGCCTTGTTGATCTATCCTGATGACAAAGATTTTTTTAAAGAAAGAGGAACCCAGATTGTTAAGTAAACAAAGCTGCCAAAAATTTTATCACAAAAAGTAAACCTTTGGAATTTTCAAAAGCAACAATAGAATGCAGAAATAGAAAATCTGTTGTGAGCTAGCAACTGAATTCCAAAAGTTTCATTAATCAAGTTCACCAAAGTGCATATTTAGAAGTCATGTCCTTTGCATTAACATGGATAGAACTGGAGGCATAATCCTGAGCGAATTACTTCAAAAACAGAAAATCAAATAGTACATGTTCTCACTTATAAGTGGGAGCTAATCACTGGGTATACATGAACACAAACATGGGAACAGTAGACAGCGTGAACTACCAGAGCAGGGAAAGGGAAGGCAGCTGGTTGAAAAACTGCCTATTGGGTACTATGCTCACTATCTGGGTGAGGCATACCCATGAAACAAACCTGCACATGTATCCCTTATATCTAAAATAAAAGTTGAAAATTACAAAAAGGAAAATTGATATTTGAATGAGTTTTTCAAACTTCTATTGAAAGTATAAAATAATGCACACATTTTTCCCTGTGCTATACTACATGAAAGGTCAAATTACCAATCATATTCAAAGAGGTGCACCTCATAGACAAAATAAAATGTCATTTAGAAACACCTGTTTATCTTAATAAAATAAATTTTTAAACTAATTAAAATAAATTTAATGTAATATTCACTATATTTAAGCAATTGTTCATTTTTTTTTAATGAAAAACATCCCCATTTTCCAATGCATCCAGGGGTTTCTACCAGGGAGATTTTTGAGGAGTGTGCTGATTAATGTATTTTTAGGCACTTCTAAAGTTTATTCTCACAGACATGTACAGGTTTAACTCAATATACATGTACTAGTATTAGGAGGGAGAAGGAGCAAAGGAGTTTGATTTATTATAAGGAATGGACTTATATAATTATGGAGGCTGAGAAGTCCCAATATCTGGTACCATCGGCAAGTAGTGAACAAAGGCCTGAGAAAGTGGAGGGCCACTGGTGCAGGTCCTGGTGTCTGAAGGCCCCAAAACCTACAGTTTTGATGCCCAAAGACAGGAGAACATTTGTATTCTAGCTCCAGAAGAGAGAGAGAGAAATCACCTTTCCTCTGCCTTTTTTGTTTTATGTAGACCCTCAATGGATTGGATAGAGTCCACCTACATTGGCGAGAGGAGATCTTTCTTACTCAGTCCATTGAATCAAATGCTATCCTCTTCCAGAAAGACCCTCACAGACATATTCAGAAATAAGGCTTTATCAGCTATCCTTTTTTTAAATTAATTAATTTATTTATTTTTGAGGTGGAGTCTCGCTCTGTCACCCAGGCTGGAGTGCAGTGGCGCGATCTCAGCTCACAGCAAGCTCCGCCTCCCGGGTTCATGCCATTCTCCTGCCTTAGCCTCCCAAGTAGCTGGGAGTACAGGTGCCAGCCACCACGGCCGGCTAATTTTTTTTTTGTATTTTTAGTAGAGACGGGGTTTCACCATGTTAGCCAGGATGGTCTCGATCTCCTGACCTCATGATCCACCCGCCTCGGCCTCCCAAAGTGCTGGGATTACAGGCGTGAGCCACCGTGCCCGGTGGGCTTTATCAGCTATCTTAACCCAGTAAAGTTGACACCTAAAATTAACCATCACAGATAGCAAATAAGCACATGAAAAGATGTTCCAAATTATACATAATCAGAAAAACACAATGACAAAGAAATACTACTACACTCCTACTAGAATTGCCAAAAATCGGATCATC
Source organism: Homo sapiens (assembly GCF_000001405.40). Taxonomy (NCBI): domain Eukaryota; kingdom Metazoa; phylum Chordata; class Mammalia; order Primates; family Hominidae; genus Homo; species Homo sapiens. Next base: position 194,828,282 of record NC_000001.11, read on the forward strand.
GACAAAACCCGATGATGGCAAGGATGTGAAGCAACAATACCTCTCATTCATTGCAGATGGAAATGCTAAACAGTGCAGCCACTCTGGAGGACAGGCAACATTTTACAAAACTAAACACACTCTTACTATGAAATCCAAATTACACTACTTGATATTTATCCAATGAAGTTAAAATCTTATGTTCACACAAAAACCTGCACATATGTAGTTACTGCAGCCTTATTCATAATTGTCAGTCATTGAAGCAACCAAGATGTCCTTCAGTGTGTGAATGGATAAATATAATGTGGTACATGGAGACAATGAAATATTAAAAAGAAGTGAGCTATTAAGACATGAAAAGACATGGAGAAAACATAAATACACATTACTAGGTGAAAGAAGCCAATCAGGAAAGGCTACATATTGTATGATTCGACTACATATTTTGAAAAAGTAAAACTGAAGAGAGAGTACAAAGATCAGTGTTTGCCAGGGTTTAAAGAGAGGGATAAACAGGCAGAGAACAGAAGATATTTTGAGCAGTGCAACTGCTCTGTATGATACTACAATGGTGGATACACAAACTTCTGTTTATCTAACCTTACAGAATAGTCAACACCAAGAGTGTACCCTAATATAAACTGTGACCTCTGAGTGATAATGATGTGTGAATGCAGGTTCATCAAATTTAATACATGTACTTCTCTGGAAGATGTTGATAGCTGGGGAGTATATACATGTGTGGAGGTAGTGAGTATATGGAAAATCTCTTCTGCACAATTTTGCTAAAAAACTATATTAAAACATGAAGTTTATTTTAAAAAGTAAATTCTGCTCATAAGTAAAATTTCTCAACCTATTAAAAAGGAGGATGTAAAGCAGAATTTACAGCTGACTTAAAAAAAATTAAAAGTATTTGGATGCCCTTTATTTGTTTCTCCTGCCTGATTGCCCTGTCCAGGACTTCCAATACTGTGTTTAAGAAGAGTGGTGAGACAGGGAGTCCTTGTCTTGTACCAGTTTTCAAGGGAAATACTTCCAGCTTTTGCCTTTTCAATATAATGTTTGCTGTGGTTTTGTCATAGATGGCACTTCTTATTTCGAGGTATGTTCATTCAATACCTAATTAATTGAGAATTTTTAACATGAAGGGTGTTGAATTCTATTGAAAGCCTTTTCTGCATCTGTTGAGATAACCATGTGGTTTTTGTCTTTTGTTCTGTTTACGTGATGAATCACATTTATTGATTTATGTATGTTGAATCAACCTTGCATCCCAGGGATAAAGCCTACTTGGTCATGATGGATAAGCTTTTAGAAGTACTGCTGGATTTGAATTGCCCATATTTTGTTCAGGATTTTTGCATTTATGTTCATCAAGTATAATGACATGAAGTTTCTGTATTTTGTTGTGTCTCTGCCAGGTTTTGGTATCAGGATGATGCTGGCCTTATGGAATGTGTTAGGGAGGAGTCACCCCTCAATGTTTTGGAATAGTTTCAGTAGGAATGGTACCAGCTCTTCTTTGTACATCTGGTAGAATTTGGCTGTGAGTCTGTTTGGTCCTGGGCTTTTTTTGGCTGGTAGGCTATTTATTATGGATTCAGGTTTAGAGCTCATTCTAGGTCTATTTAGGGATTCAATTTATTCCTGGTTCAGTCATAGAAAGATGTATGTGTCCAGTAATTTATCCATTTCTTCTAGATTTTCTAGTCTGTGTATTGAGGTTTTCATAATATTCTCTGGTGGCTGTTTGTATTTCTGTGGGGTCAATGGTAATATCCCCTTAGTTATTTCTAATTGTTTTTATTTGGATCTTCTCTCTTTTCTTCTTTATTAGTCTAGCTAGTGGTCTATTTTATTGATTTTGTTCAGAAAATCAACTCCTGGATTCATTGCTTTTTTGAATGATTTATTTGTGTTTGTGTGTATCTCAGTCTCCTCCAGTTCATGTTTGATTTTGGTTATTTTTTGTCGTATGCTAGCTTTGGTGTTGGTTTGCTCTTGGTCCTCTAGTCATTATACTTGTGATATGAAGTTGTTAAATTGATACCTTTCTATCTTTTTGATGTGGGTATTTAGTGTTGCAAATTTCACTCTTAACACTGCCTTAGCAGTGTCCCAGAGATTCTGGCATATTGTATCTTTGTTCTTATTAGCTTCAGAGAGCTCCTTGATATCTGCCTTAATTTCATTATTTACCCAAAAGTCATTCAGGTGCAGGTTATTCAATTTCCATGTAACTGTATGAGCTATTTTGAGCTATTTTCTTAGTTTCAAATGTTATTTTTATTTCACTGTGGTCTGAGACAGGAAGAGAGAAGTTAAACCAACCCTGTTGCAGGTGACATGATTCTATATCTAGAAAACCTTATAGTCTCTGCTCAAAAGATCCTTAAGCTGATAAACAACTTCAGCAAAGTCTCAGGATACAAAATCAATGTCCAAAAATCCATAGCATTCCTATGTGCCAGCAACAGTCAAGCCAAGAGCCAAATTAGAATCACAATCCCATTCACAGTTGCCACAAAAGTAATAAACTATGGAGGAATACAGCTAACCAGGGAGGTGATAGATCTCTACAAGGAGAACTACAAAGCACTCAACAAATAAATCAGAGATGACACAAATAAATGGAAAAACAGTCCATGCTCATAGATAGGATGAATTAACATCATTAAAATGGCCGTGATGCTCAAAGCACTGTATAGATTCAATGCTATTCCTATCAAACTACCAATGACATTCTTCACGAAACTAGAAAAAAACTATTTTATAATTGATATAGAACCACAAAACAGCCCAAATAGCTAAGGTAACCCTAAGCAAAAAGAACAAAGCTGGAGGCATCACGTTACCTGAATTCAAAGTATACCACAGGGACACAGTAACCAAAACAGCCTGGTACTGGTACAAAAAACAGACACAAAAACTAATTAAATGGAATAGATCCCAGAAATAAGGCCAACCACCTACAACCATCTGATCTTTGACAAAGCTGACAAAGAAAGCAATGGGGAAAAGACTCCCTATCCAATAAATGGTGCTGGGATAACTGACTAGCCATATGCAGAAGGTTGAAACTGGACCCCTTCCACACACTATATATAAAAATCAACTCAAGATGGATTAAAGACCTAAATGTAAAACCAAAACTATAAAAGCCCTGGAAGAAAACCTAGGCAATGCCATCCTAGACATAGAAACAAGCAAAGATTTTATGACAAAGTTGCTCAATGCAATTGCAAGCAAAATCAAAAATTGACAAATGGAAAGTGCTTCTGCACAGTAAAAGAAACCATCAACCGAGTAAACAGACAACCTAGAGAATGGGAGAAAATTTTTGCAAAGTATGCATCTGACAAAGGTCTAATATCTAGCATCTATAAGGAGCTTAAACAAATTTACAAGAAAAAACAAAAACCCCATCTTAAGAAGTGGGCAAAGGACATGAACAGACCCTTTTCAAAAGAAGACATACATGCAACCAACAAGCATATGACAAAAAGCTCCACATCAGTGATCATTAGAGAAATGCAAATCAAAACCACAGTGAGATACCAAATCTCACACCAATCAGAATGGCTATTATTAAAAAGTCAAACATGCTGGCAATGATGTGGAGAAAAAGGAAAGCTTATACACTGTTGGTGGGAATGCACATTAGTTCAACCATTGTGGAAAGCAGCGTGGCAATTCCTGAAAGACCTAAAGACAGAAATATCATTGCTGGACAGCCAGCAATCCCACTTCTGGTTAAATATCCAAAGGACTATGAAACATTCTTTCTTAAAGACATATGCACACATATGTTCACTGTAGCACTATTCACAATAGCAAATACATGGAATCAACCCAAATGCCCATCAATAGTAGACTGGATAAAGAAGATGTGGTACATATACACCATGGAATACTATCCAGCCATAAAAATGAATGAGATCATGTCCTTTGTGGGAACATGGGTGTGGCTGGATTCCATTGTCTTTAGCAAACTAACACAGAAAGATAAAACTAAATACCACGTCCTCACTTAGACGTGAGAGTTAAATGATGAGAACACATGGACACAGAGAGGGGAACAACAGACACTGGGGTCTACCAGAGGGTGGAGGGTGGAAGGAGGGAGAGGAGCAGGAAAAATAATTAATGGTTACTGGGATTAATATCTGGATGATGAAATAATCAGTACAACAAACCCCCATGACATGGTTTTAACTTTATAACAAACCAGCACGTGAACCTCCGAACTTAAAAGAAAATTTTTTAAAAATGTAATATGAATGCTTTGTGTATTTCACTAAAACTATCTATCCATCTATCTTTCTGCCTTTCCTTTTCTTTACTTTTTCACATATATTTAACCTTTTGATGTTTAGAATTTCCAAAGTGACCTGAAGCCAAAATAAATGTAATAAACTGTGCAAACCTCAAAGTTACTTAATGTAATAACATAAACATGCATTTTCATTATTGACCATCAATTATTATTGTGACAAAAATATAATTTGCTCTATAATGCATATCATTTGTTACTAATTATATGTATATAAATGTATGTATATGCTTCCATTTATATAAATATGAGTGCACATATGTATACATATAAATATTACATATGTGTTGCTTTCTAAAATAAACACTACATTTATTATTCTTTCTTGCAGGTAAGTGTGGCTATGTAACTAACTTTTGCTTAACGTATACCAAACATTACAGAATTTAGGTCTAAAAGTAAGGTTCTGCAATGGCAAACTTTAAAATACATATCATTTATTTAGTAGATAGACAATTAGTGGTAAGGACAGAGATTTTGTAGGAGAAAAATCCTGTGAATTATTTGAAATGATTGCTTTCAATACCTTGATAATTGAGCTCAAGCTTCTTAAATCCATCTCTATGAGAAAAGCTTGACAAAACTCAGGGTATTCACGAATGTTGCCTGATCTCTTACTCTAAACAAAGTTTTTAAAGGAAGAAACAAACTCAGAAGACATCTAGACACGTTGTCAGCACACATGACAGGGAATGCAGCTCTTCTCAAAAGAACTGCCACTGCCTCAATTACACTGTCTAAATTGACTGACAGCCTGAACATTTTGAGTCCTTTCTGAATTAGCCAACTGCTTCCTTACTCTTCAGTTATAAGAGGTTGTTACACTGAAGAGGCAGCCATAATAGAAAAAAAAAAAAAAGCAACTGTTGACCTAAGACTCCTTCAGGCCCCTCACATAAAAGCTTGTTTGGATATGGACAGGCTCAGAGGCAAACAACAGAGCAATGGTGGGTCCTTCTAAACCTAGGGGCTGCCAATGGTTATATTCTCAATGACGTTTTATTAATTAAGCAAATAATTATAACGGTAACTAGTCTATCTCTATACCTTCACAAATCTGAAATAATATTGGCAATATTCCCCAGAAAATAAGAAGATAAAGTTACAGTCTGTAATTATTTTCTTCAAAGCAAAAAACATCACAAAATCTGAGCAGTGAAATTACACCTGTTGTTATGACAGGCTTTTGACAATATTTTTTTATTTTTATGAAACTAAGTGAAAATATTAAATGCAAAGGTTGATATGACAAATAAAAAAAGGAAAAGAATAAAAAACAACTTAAGGTGTTAGTAGACCTAATAATTCCGATGAACAGAGAAAAGTGGTTACATATGTGTATTAGTGTGCCCTAATTATCAGTGCCATATCACAATACACTAGCACTTTATAAAAATAGATTCAGTGAGAACACTTTGACACAAGAAGGGGAACATCACACACCAGGGCCTGTTGTGGATTGCGGGGAGTGGGGAGGGATAGCTTTAGGAAATATACCTAACGTAAATGACAAGTTAATGGGTGCAGCACACCAACATGGCACATGTAACAAACCTGCATGTTGTGCACATGTACCCTAGAACTTAAAGTATAATAAAAAAAATAAAGAAAGAAACTTAAAAAAAACAGATTCATTATCAGAATAGAAAGTATCATAGCAATTCATTAAAATTGAACAAATACAGGCACTACTTATTTTATACTCCATGTTTGAAAACTTCAAACTCCATTTTAGAAAAGATTTTCTATTATATGTCTAATATATAATTCATATTTATATTAAACCACATATTTGCTAGTAGAGAACCTACCTTTTGCACCTAGTAAGGCATGAGTAAAAATTTTGTGTAATGCATACTTTTAAGAGTAAGGAAATTTTCAACATGGTACAAAGTATCGTGCTATCCTTTTAAGCAACAAGTATCCACAATGGCAATGCCTTTACATTTTTCTCATGGTCATTTTGCCATCTTCACATCGTTGAATGATAAACTATTCATTTTGGAAAGAAAAATAAGAAAAGATAATTTAACAACAGATAATTTACTCTCAGACAAATACTCTCGCTAAGCATCTTCTTTTCTGACTAACATATGAAGGTACATAATAATTCACTCATTATTCAATAAAAGTTTTTTTCTCACTATGGTGTGGCCAGAATTATTGTGGAGAACCAAAAATTAAGAGAACCAGAAGTGCTGGCTGGCTGTAATCGTGGACTGAAAAGACAAGTAGGTGAAACTTTCTCTGGCCACTATCTGTAGGCCAAAATAACTGGGTTCAGTACTGTCGAATATAGCCAGGAAGTTCAGTACAATAAAGATATAGTGTGAAAATCCATGTGAGGTCTTCTTAAAAGACATGAGTTCAGGGAGGGGAATTCTACAGAATTTGTGCATCTAGGATGATATAAGGTAAGAAAAATTGTGAATTATTTAGGAAAAACTGGAATAAAGGATCTATGTGAATAATTCACATCAACAGAGGCTGCAAAAGGGTTATCAGTCAAGGGTTTTTTATGCCTTGGTAAACAGTGTTGATATTATTTAGAGAGTATCTGCAAAGCTGTGCCACGAGATGAATGAACATATAAGAGTGAGAAATAATTAGGATGTATAGACAAATACCAATTCATTCAAACTGTAGCTGAGAATTTCTGGTATCTGCACACTTTAAATCTACTTTTATGAAATAAGTGAAGGTTTCAAATGTAAATATTAATGTAAATAAAAAAACATAAACATAAAAAAGGAAATAGTGTATCAAATAAATATGTTTGGAGCCATTCCTACATATTTCCAAATTGTCTAAAAAAGTCAATGCTTTATATAAGATATGTGCACCTGAGTTGATTAAATTATGAGGGAATCTTTTAGTAACATATATGAAATGTTTGTAGAAGACAGTGTTCAAAATGGTAGAAAATTTAAAAACACAAACTATTTATTATGCTATGTTTTTAGATAAAATGTACATGTTCATGTAATCACAGATATATATTTGCTTCAAACATTGATATATTATTTAAAAAAAGGCTCACATGTAACAAGTGATTGATACAGTCTTTAAAATAGAAAAAAAAGTCTCATATAGGTTAATAGATTATTTAGAGCATAAAACTTTCTATTAAAATATTATGTATCTTTGGAAATGATAAGCTAACATTTGGAGGGCATATTATTAAATGTGCTATGAATAATACAATTTTTAAAAACACACTATTAAATATAGCTAACAAGTTGACTTATTTCTTGAGTGAAAGTTGAGAATATTTGGATATACTGAGCAGGTATTATTTTGTAATTGTTTATGTTTAAGCAATTAATATTAATTTAGAAAATATTTTAAGGTAAGAATAAATTCAATTTGTATTATTTATGATTTGAATATATTAAATAAACATTTTTATACTACTGTTAACTAAACGTATATATGATAGTCAAATTTAGGTGTTATCAGCTATTATATCTAAGGCATATATGTAAGTCATATGTAATAACAATAACTTTTTTCATCTTTTTGTAACGGGAACCAAAGAAAATTTAATTAAAATATAAAAATAATAGTACAGCATAGACAGCTGTTTGTGCAAGATTTACTATTTTTGTGTGTTGTTTTATTGTTTTGAAGAAATATAAAAAACAAATGATCATAAAAGATACATATGTAATCCACTGTAGAGAATTAATAAACATTTCCATCATATTTGTCTCAATTCTCTGTAAAAAGGAATCAAATCTTATAATGCCCTTCACCTCACTTACTTGAGGTAATCTTACAGTGCACTTATTTGGCACAAGGGACAAGTATATGAGATCTAAATCAATATATGGTATATTGAGTGTTTTTATTCTAATTGAGTATATTTCTTTTCCTTTATGATTTCTTCATTTTATGTTTTGTAAGAAAACTTCCTTGACTCTGAGTTGGAAAAGATATTTTAGTATATTTTTATATTCTAAATTTGATTGCTTTAAGTTGTATATTTTCCTATAGAGAAATGATATGTTTTGGCTGTGTTCCCATCCAAATCTCACCTTGAATTGTAATAATCCTGATGTGTCAAGGGTGGGGAAAGATGGAGATAACTGAATCATGTGGGTGGTTTTCCCCATACTGCCTTCTTGGTAGTGAATATGTCTCATAAGATCTAATGGTTTTATAAGTGGAAGTTCCCTTGAATAAGCTCCCTTGCCTGCTGCCATATAAGACGTGTCTTTGCTCTTCCTCTGCCTTCCACCATGATTGTGAGGCCTCCAGCCACGTGGAATTGTGAGTTCATTAAACTGCTTCTCTTTATAAATTACCCACTCTCTGTATGTCTTTATGAGCATCCTGAGAATGGACTAATACAAGGTATTTAACTCATTAAGGTTATAATGTTTGAATATGGTATACTATAGTGATATTGTTCTATTTTCCATATGAGAAGCTTAGATTCTGCAAACTATTTATTATTTATTTCATCTCTTCCCAACTGATTTTGTCTCCAATATTACATCTCAAGATTCCATAAATGTGTGCATAAATGATGACTGTTCTGTTTGATTGAGCAAGGCATTCATACAGCATCCCTGTCCAGTACCATCTGTTCTTAATAACTCTACATATATCTCATCTTAATATTTGTTTTGGAAAGCCTCCATCCTTATTTATCTCTTCTAGAATAGTATTAGCCTTGTTTCTTTTTATTGGCAAATAGTATTCCATCTTATGGTTATAACAAATTTAGTCTATTAATTTACTAATTGATGGATGATTAGGTTGTTTCCACTTTTTAAAATACTATAAATAAAGCTACTATGAATATTGATATGCATATCTTAGTGTGGGCACGTATTTTTATTTCTCCTGGATCAATACCTGGAAGTAGAATTTCTGTGTTGTAATTAACTTCATTTTATAACATTTAATGTGAGCTACCTTTACCTGGAGTTAAGAGGAGTGGTTTAAAGCCTGCACTCACTGTGCCATTTTGTCTGGAAAAGAGGGAGTGTGATTTATGAATTTAGAAATAAGACTTAAACTAACTTAAAATTCAGGAGTTTCCTAGGTTATAAAATGCCTCAAGAAACTTGAGCACGTTCTGTTTTCTTTCACAGTAGGCCTAAGGGCTTTTTATTAATATTGTTTCATTTTAAACCCCAATATGGGTACCTAAAGAGCTTTATGAGCAGGAATATTTCTTTATTACCATAACCCTCCTCTCCTGCATATTAACCATTATTTATTGAATACTGAATGTGTCTGGTATGTGCCGTATACTAGGCTTTTGATCTATATCTGTGGTATGCATATGTAACCTGTATATCCTATACAAACAAATACCTTGTGATATGGCTTGGATCTGTGTCTCTGCCCAAATTGCATGTTGAATTGCATGTTGGAGGTGGGGCGTGTTTGGAGGTGATTGGATCATGTGGGGGAGTTTCCCCTTTCGGTGTTGTTCCCATGACAGAGTTCACTCGAGATCTGATTGTTCAAAAGTGTGTGGCACATGCCCCTTTTATCTCTTCTTCCTCTTGCTCTGGCCATGTAAGACGTGACAGCTTCCTCTTCATTTTCTGCCATGACTGTAAGTTTCCTGAGGCCTCCCCAGAAGCCGAGTGCATGCCAGAATTTTGCTCCCTGTACAGCTTGTGGAATTGTGAGCCAGTTAAACCTCCTCTCTTTACAAATTACCCAGTCTCAGGTATTTCTTTATAGCAATGCAAAAACAGATTAATACACCTTGTAATATTCCAAAAAAGAAAGAAGTTACTCCAATGATCTATTTAAAGTAACTAAGATTCCAAGAGATTATGTAACATACCTGAGGTCACCAAACTAGACATTGGCAGAACTAGGACTCCACTTTAGATCTCTCTTATACCAGAGTATGGTACACATTCTTAATTTCTACATTATCCTATCTAAAATTCTTTATAACATCTCCAGAGATGAGAATGATATCATGTGTTGTAGGCTGAATAATGGCCTCCCAAAGAAATCCATGTCCTAATACCCATACCTGTGAATATGTCACCTTATGTGACAAAAGATACTTTGCACATGTGTTCTAGTTCAGGATCTTGAACTGAGGAGATTATCTTGATTTGCATGGATGGGCCCAATATAATCACAAGGGTCACAAGGGAGGTGGAGGATGATAGTCCAAGAAATATTATGTAGCACTAATGCAGATGCCAGAATGGAAAGAAGACTCTACATCGAAGACTTTGAAGATGGAGAAAGGGGCCACTAGCCAAAGAATGCAGGTGGCTTCTTGAAGCTGGAAAATGGCAGGATTCTCCCTTGGAAACTCCAAAATAAATATAGGCTTAAAGACATCTTGATTTTAGTTCAGTAAACTTGATTTTGCCCTATGATCTTGAAAACTGTAAGATGATTATTCTGTGTTTTAGGTGACTAAGTTTTTTGCAATTTATTTTTATTTATTTTATTTATTTTTTTTGAGACAGAGTCTCACTCTGTCACCAAGGCTGGAGTGCAGTGGTGCGATCTTGGCTCACTGCAAGCTCCGCCTCCTGGGTTCATGCCATTCTTCTGCCTCAGCCTCCCCGGGTAGCTGGGACTACAGGCACCCGCCACCATGCCCGGCTAATTTTTTTGTATTTTTTTAGTAGAGACGGGGTTTCACTGTGTTAGCCAGGATGGTCTCGAGCTCCTGACCTCATGATCCGACCGCCTAGGCCTCCCAAAGTGCTGGGATTACAGGCGTGAGCCACCGTGCCCAGCTGTTTGTCACAATTTATTACAGCAGCAATGAGAAACTAATACATGCCAAGATTCCTTTTTTATTGCATGAGTTTCATCTTTCTTACACTAGCATCTCAATTCCTCTGCACTCTGATATCAGTTGTATTATAGTCTTCCTTAAAAGCTTTTCAGTGATGCTTTATATTCTAAGCAAGATTAAATATTCACTGTTCCTTGAAATATTCACTATTCCTGATTCTCACTGGATTCTCTGCTTGCATTCATTCTTCACCTCTAGCACATTCTCATCTCTCTTATACAATCATTCATCAAGGTCCCAGTTTAATTTATAGTTCACCATGATGGTTTTATATAATTTAATTGATTTTTATCTCTCTTTCCCTCTGTTCCATTAATATGTGTGATTACCCATTTTGCTTATATATGGTCTTCTAGTAAAGTCTTGTATGAAATTATTGCACTCTTCCCTCAACTACTTTTTATAAGATGAGCACAAGTCTTGTTTATATTTCAGCTCATCTTAAGGACGTTAGCAATGCCTCTAAAAAAAGCATGAGTATTGCAAAGAACAGAGGCCATGCAAATTGTTTTGAGTACGGGTGGGGGGGCATTTTTGTGAATAAATACTTGTTTATATAAAATCCAAGCAAGGAGTGGAAAAAAAAAAGGAGTCAGGACATAAAGAACTAATTACTAAACATTAAAATATTAGAAGCAAGAGCATTTTATTTCAACAAATAGTCTGTCATCTTATTTCCCACTGTCACCAGTCCCTCTAAAGTGTTGACCTTGCTCACGTATTACCAAATAATTCTGCTTTAAACCTAACTTTAAAATACCTTTCAATTCAAGTGCACCTAGGTGTTGGATCCTTTAGTTCAAATTATCAAAAGATAATGAATCTAATTTGTCACTGATTTGAGAGTCTGTAGTAAGGTACACCTTGGTTTAATTAGCTTTACATACGGGTGGAGATGGGGTTAGGGCACAACATAATACTGGTTTTTCTATGGCTGTGACTAGCAAAGTTTAATTAGAAAAGGAAGGTGTGACTACATGGAATTTGACAAATACTACCTCAAATCACAAAACATAAATGAAATGATAGTAATTTCCCTCATAAATAGTCATTCATAGTTTAATAATTTGAATAGTTTGTTCACTGGATTTCAAATTAAGACATTAAGTAGATGAAACATCTATTTGTGTTTTCTTGCCTTTTTAGCCACTGTAAAAAATTTACATAAAAAGTTAGTATTTTTAGCCAGAATTTATCTATGTAATCGAGTGTAATCTGTGTAATATAAGTTTATGATAAAAGTAATTGCACTTTTATTTGCCTTTTAGGATTATTGGTTTAATGATTTTATTAGTCCATATTTTCTTAATTTATATTACTGTGATACCTATAAGCAATTAAGCAGAAATAAACATGTTATTCATAGAAATCCTTACACGAACAACTAAAATGCAACAAAAATCTGTGAAAGGTTTTACATGCATTTATTCCATTCAGCTGCCTTCATTTATTAGCTGTATATTGGATCATTTGGAAGCCTTTTAGGCTTAAAAAGATATGTGTATACTAGTAATAGCTTCTAAGAATCTATTGATATAATTTTATTATAAAGCAGTAGATTAGGCTATCAATTTGAAGTACAGAAATTTTAAAAAATAAATAAATATTTAAGGAGATTTTTCAAAGTACTCACATGAAAACTTTTAGTTCAAATTGCAATTGTTGCCATTCATTTACTCTAATTTCAAAAAATTCAGTAAAGCAACACATAAGAGCTATTACATAAATGTCAAAGTGAATAATAACTTTTATTTTAATGTTAAAGTTCTGGAATTTAAAGACCCAAGAATGAAAATCCTGTTTTTTGTTTTGTTTTGTTTTGTGTGGGTGTGTGTGTTTTTTTTTTTGTCTATAATTATCCTGCCACCTCACATTTATATTCCCAAGCATTTCTTTCTTTATGTTTAAATATTAGTGTTCACTAGGGTACTATTTGTCTGTGAATTGTTCCTAGCTGAATCTACCTAAACCATAATATCAATTAATACATTCTATAAATCTAAAATCTGTATCTTCAGCCAAGGTTCTCTGTTAAGATCTTAAGTCAGACCTAACTTCCCATGGTACATAAACACACAGATACTACACAACTAACTCTGAAACTAAGATAGTAAAACTGAACACATAATATTTACCCTTTTTTTTCTGCTTATGCCAGTACTATATGTATCCTGCCAGACACCTTCTTTAACTCTCTCTGAGGTGGATTATTTGATGCATCACTACATCTAGCTTTAAGACTGAGAGTTTATTTCCCTGTGACCTGGAGTGCTAACAGCAATACCACCTCAGCCATCAGCTCTCCTGGGAAAGTGACATCTCAGAAGGGAGGCATTTCACCAAATGCGACTTCTTCCCGGGAAGCCCACACTCAGTGTTTAATGTGGGAGTATGCATGCCATCCTCCTTACTGAAAATGGAGCTATTTTAAAGGGCTTTCTCAGCTTCCAAGCTAACTGTAGGGTCAGCATAGATATTTTTTTTTGGAATTGCATCTTGTCTAATTTCTGCCTCTGCCCAAGTCTATTCCAAATTTATCCTGTAAAAAGATGAGAAAGATGTAAATTTGGAGTTGGATTACTTACTACCTTGATGGCAATAATATCATTATAAATGATAGAGAAAACGTTGATGGTACCTGGCACAAGGTAGTATTGCCATTATGAATTTTTTTTTTTAGCAATGGTAAGATAAGCTAGAATTCCAATGCAAAGAAATAAAGAAATTTGCTAGTAGGTCCAATGTATCAGACATTGGAGAAATATAAAGGGAAACATTAATTTTAAGGACAACTGGATTAAGAAGTTATTGCTGAGTTTAATGATGTATTTGCAAAAACAATATGAAAAGGCTGAGAATAATTTATCAGGTACTAATAGCTACATGTGAAATCCAGAAGGCCTCCTTAGCAGGATTTAAAGAGGCTCTCATCTGCTGAAGCTGGAGGGAAGAGAAATGTGGGTGATATGCTCCTGACCTAATAATAAAAAGAGCAGATGTCCAGGAAGGTTAAAGTCTCTACCAAGGTAAGTCTGCTATGGCTAGGTCAGGGCATTTGTTGAGAAAAATATAGGGTCCTCATATATAGAATAAAGAAAGAAAACTCTGACCTAGTGTTTTCTCTCACCTTCTCTCCTATCTACTAAGTCAATGACTAGGGTTATAAGTGTCAACATAACCTCTTTGTATAAATCCTCAACCTGATAAAAGAACAAACTAACTATATCTCAAATTACCTACAGAATCCAACCAATATGTACTGGCAGAAGCAAGAGAGTATTCATGGAATTACACCAAGTGGAGAGAATATAATGGTGAATAAGGAACTATTTATTGATTTGAAAGCACACTCATAGAATTCAGGATGGAACCCCCTGCTGAGTACTCTAGAAGATGATAAAACACATTGCTAAGATGGCTCCTGGAAGTACAGAAACATAATAATGCACATTTTGGTGTTGGAGAAATGCTGAAATTGCCATGACGCATGGTGGAGTAAGGGATAAAAGGCTTGGGAAAGTAAGCATGGTAAAGTGGATACATTATGTAAGACTAGAAGATCCACCAGATCACTGCGTTCCACAGAAGGGCAAAAAGCCAAGAAAGAATGTTCTTGTGAAAGGATTACCAATATTATAAATAACTTCAAAAATTTTCCTTTGCTGGCTGGGCTAAAGGAGGAAGATGCAATAACAGAACTAGACTAATTGGTAGCAATAGGGAAAGTAGGACCTCTAAACAATAGAGTTCAGATGATGGCAGTTCAATATCAAGAGAGCAGGTAGATGGATTTATCATAATTAGAGATGAAACAGTAGCAACTGGGGGGCAGGGAGAACCTAACTGACAGAGAGTATTTGAGATAATAATCTGACTCAGCATTACTAGGAATAAAATATATAGATGAGGGAGGGGAGGTCTTTCTCTCAAGTTTATTTCTTATTGGGAAAGACCAGACAAGAAATAAGCTGGTAGGAAAACACAAAAATAACATTATTTCTGTGATTGAAACTATGAAGTAAAAACGTAGTAAATAATAGTTATCATGAGAGGCTACTTTAGCTACTGTGGTTGGAGGAAACACCTGAGAAGACCTGACTTGTGTGAGTCAGTTTTGCAGAGAACCAGAGGAAGACATGTTCTGAAAAATTAAGCAGGATATTAGTTGATGGGGAAACCAGGTCACTATGACAAAATTAAATGTGAATAGATTTTTAAGAAGTGATACAGTGTTATATAAAGGGAGAAAATTTCAGGCCACGTGAAACACTGACACAGAAATACTGAAGTAAATGTACGTGGAGATCTGAGATGTTATAGAATAGTGTGGGGAGGGGAGAGGCTCACTGTGATTACAGCAGAGTTGGGGACAGAATAGAGTAGCTGAGATCAGGGAAGCAGTTGGTGCCATACCATTTTTTAAAGTTATATATTTTTTTCATTATTATACTTTAAGTTCTGGGGTACATGTGCAGAACCTGCGGTTTTGTTACATAGTTGTGCACGTGCCATGGTGGTTTGCTGCACCCATCAACCCGTCACCTACATTAGGTATTTATCCTAATGCTATCCCTCCCCTAGCCACGCACCCCGTTGACAGGGTGTGTGATGTTCCCCTCCCTATGTCCATGTGTTCTCATTGTTCTATGCCCACTTATGAGTGAGAACATGCAGTGTTTGGTTTTCTGTTCTTGTGTTAGTTTGCTGAGAATGGTACCATACCATTTTATGTGAAGTTGAGATAATGATATAGTGGCACTATCTAACTTTGATTTTAAGAGTTTTATTTTAGCTCCTGGGTGGAAAATAGTGTTTGTATGTGCAAAGATAAAAACAAACAATAAAGTTAGTACAGTAGTCCAATAATTCAAGGGGGCAATTATGGTGGCCTGGCCCACGGTCATATGAGAGTATTTGTTGAGAAGCAGATGGATGCTGGGTGTATTTGAGAACTGAGCAAACAACATTAGCTACTGGAATGTATTTGGAATTGCCAGAGAAGGAAGACATTTAAGGACAAATACAAAGTTTTTGGTTTGAGCTACTTGGGGAAGGAGGCTGCCATTAATTGAGACAGGATGGATTTTTGGAGAAGAAGATTTGAGACAAAGCATAGGTGCTGAGCTGAACACTCAGAAATTTAAGATATCTGTTGATCACAGAAGTAAAGATATAATATAAGCTCTGTTATAGATGAGTATTGAGTTGAGTTTGTTGATTTGAGAAATTTTGGAGTCGTTCATTTATCAATGGAACTTAAAGCAAGGCTTTAATATTCCATAAGCAGTGCTTTTATATAGTAGTTTGATATATCACTGTTATATTTAATTTTATTACTACATAATGATTTCACATATTTCTGAGGTACATGTGATATTTTGATACATGCACACAATATGTACTCATTAAAAAGATAACTGAGATATCTATAACCTCAAATATTTATCATTTGTTTTTGTTTTGGGAACGTTCCAAATCTTTCTTCTAGGTGTTTTGAAATACATAATAAACTATTGTTAAGTATAGTCAGGCTTTTTTTTTTTTCTTTCAAGTCTTACTCTATTCTCAGGCTGTACTGCAGTGGTGCAATCTTGGCTCACTGCAACCTCTGCCTCCTGGGTACAAGCAATTCTTGTGCCTCAGCCTCCAAGTAGCTGGGACTACAGGCACGTGCCACCATGCCCAGCTAATTTTTGTATTTTTAGTAGAGACAGGGCTTCGCCATGTTACCCAGGCTGGTCTCCAACTCCTGACCTCAAGTGAGCCACCACCTCGGCTTCCCAAAGTGCTGGGATTTTAGGCATGAGTCGCCGCGTATAGCCAGCCTGTTTTATTGAACACTAGAACTTATTCTTACATAACTGTTTTTTGGTCCACATTACCTCACCTCTGTTCATTTCCTCTTCCCTTCTACATTTCCCAGACTCTGATAACTACCATTCTACTCTCTATCTCCATGAGATCCACTTTTCTGGCCCCAACATATGAGTGAGTACGTGTAATATCTGTCATTCGATACCTCGACTATTTCACTTAATATAATGTCCTACAGTTTCATCTATGTTGCTGCATATGATAAGATTTCATTTTTTCTGTGGCTAACTAGCATTCCATTATGTGTGTGTGTGTGTGTGTGTGTGTGTATATGTATATATATATATATATATATATATATATATATCAATATACTGATTTCCTTTCTTTGGATATATAGCC
The DNA here is from genome assembly GCF_000001405.40 of Homo sapiens. Classification (NCBI taxonomy): domain Eukaryota; kingdom Metazoa; phylum Chordata; class Mammalia; order Primates; family Hominidae; genus Homo; species Homo sapiens. The sequence continues at coordinate 194,845,615 of NC_000001.11, forward strand.
TACGATGAGATCACTGAATCACAAAATATTTAGGAATAAATGTGACCAAAGAAGTGAAAGATCTCCATATTAAAAGCTATAAAACACTGATGAAAGAGATTGAAGAGAATTCACTAAAAATGGTAAGATATGTCATGCTCTTTGATTGGAAGAATTACTATTGTTAAAATATCCATACTGCCCAAGGGGATCTACAGATTCAGTGCAATCCCTGTCAAGATAACAATGAAATTCTTACAGAAACAGAAATACAAAATGTATACAGAAACACAAAAAAACTCCAAATAACCAATCCTGAACAAAAAGAAAAAAAGTGGAGGCATCACATTACCAGAATTCAAAATAAACCACAAAAATATAGTAATCAAAAGAGTATAGTACTAGCATATAAACAGATACTTAGACCAATGGAACAGAATAAAGAACCCAGACATAAATCCACACATTTACAGCCAATTCATTCTCAACAAAGGCACCAAAAACATATATTGGGGAAAAGATAGTTTCTTTAATAAACGGTGCTAGGAAAGCTAAATATTCCATAAGCAGAAGAATGAAACTAGATCATTATCTCTCACTATACAAAAAGGGATTAAAGACTGACATGTAAGTTTGAAACTTTGAAACTATGAGATTACTAGACAAAAACAAGGGGAAAATGCTCCAGGAAATCGGTATGGGTAAGGATATTTTTGGGAAAGACCTCAAAAACACGGGCAACAAAAGTAAAAATAGACAAATAGAATTGTATCAAAGTACAACATTTCTTAATGGCAAAGGAAACAGAGTGAAGAGTCTGTCCATTGAATGGGAGAAAATATTTGCAAACTACCCTTCTGACAAAAGATTAACAACCAGAATATATAAGGGACTTTAATAACTGAATAGCAAAAACAAACTGAACAACCTGATTAAAAATGGGCAAAACACCTGAATATTTATTTCTCAAATGAAGACATAAAAATGGCTCACCAATATATATACAATAAAGCTCAACCTCACTAATCATTAAGGAAATGCAAATCCAAACCACAATGAAGTATCATCTCACCACAGTGAAACTGTGTATCATCAAAAAGACAAAATAACAGATGGTGTTGAAGATGCAAAGAAGAGTATTCATACACTGCTAGTGGGAATGGAAATTAGTACCGCCACTGTGGAAAACTGTATGTAAATTCCCAAAAAATCTAAAAATAGAGAAACAATAGCCTTCTTGCAAAACAACATTAAAATTTTACTATGAGGCTGATAATTGAAAAGTACAATACTTACATGTAGAGAACTTATTATAATTAAAGTAAGATGTAAGTACCCCTCTCCAGGATAAAAGTTGATAGCTCTTTTCATCATTAATTTTTCATTGAAATCTAGGAATAAAATATATGAACTTTCAAAATCATTTTGTCAGTGTTTCAATGTAGTTAACCTATCTATGCATGCTTTCTGGTCTGTGTTCATGTGAATTTTTCAATACTTACATTTATACTTCACAGAATATATTGTGCTTTCTTCTTTCTAAACTTGTGATGGAGAGTTTCATTTTTTAAAAAAGCAGAACTACTGCTTCTACAGAATTCAAATTTTGCAAATTGTTCGCCACATATTTATGTTTAAAAATTGTGAAAGTAATGTAATCCTCAAATTTTCATTGATTAATTTACTTCAAATTAGTTTTGTTCTTCTTTTATCTTCCTTTTATTTCAGTATAATGCAGACTGTATTGTGGTGAGAGGTGAAAATTACAGCAACAAACTGTCCAAGTTCAAATCAGGATTCAACCACTTGCTAGTTGAACTTTAGGAAAATAAGTAAAGCTCTCTTTGCCTCTGGTACCCTGTCTCTAAAGTTAAAATAATCATAGAACCTAACTTGTGGACTTTGTAAGTCTTAAATGAATAACACCTGTAAGCTAAGGAGCACTGGGGCTAAAACATATTCAGAATTTAATAAATGTTAACTATTATTTGCAATTACAAAGGGATTCATTCATTATACTGATAAAGATATTTCATCTGATTGGCCTAGAGTCATCAATACCAAATGCCTGTAGTACCTAATGAATATAGAAACTAATTATTTTTTCTAGCAAATCTTATTCATTAGAGTTAATTATGACTAAACAACTTACACCATATCTCCTCTTATCTACAATTCTAGCCATCTAATTAAGAAGCTCACAAATAAAAAATCCTGACAAGTGATGTTAGCTGTCAGAGTGCTTTAAAACTTGTCATATGTAGCACATAAAGTCCGAATGTATATGGGAAATTAAATCAAGTAAATATAATTAATATACAGAGTTTTTATATTATTTTTATTGTTACACTAAGGGGTTGCTGGTCAACGTAACAGTCACTAGGACATATGAAACTGATTACCTTTTTCATTATTTAATATTGAGACATTTGGAAGATATTGCGTAGCACACTATCTTTAATAGTATATTTTCAGTTGCTTCATTTAATTAGTATTTATTAGTTGTAAGTAACCATGCTTGGAAGATGTATGAAAATATGTATTGAACATTATACTTTAACATCATAAACGTGTTTAGCTTTGTTGTTGGTGTGATCACTAGGAGTCCATAAGAAAACATAAAGTACCTAGATTTCAGGTCTTTGTTTAAGTTTCTGTGGCTACTAAAAGCCTCACTCAAAATATATAATATTCATAACTTATTTGTATGCCTACTATTGTGGGAGAATTTTTCTTTCAGGATTGATATGCCTAAATTTCTCTGAAAATCCAAATGTTACAAAGAAAAAAAAAGATATTTTCCTTTTTGATTTGAAATAATTTAGGGCTTACCTCTGAGAACAGAGGAAAAATTGATTTCAAGAATTACACCTTTCTTCTAGTAGAATCTGGGTCAAAGAATGCTTAATAATAAACACCTATTTTTATTAAAATTATGTAGATCAATTATTCTATAGAAAGTAGGAAACTTTAGTCAAGTATTTCTGATGTGTAATGACATCTAAATTTTATACTAAAGTAAGACGACTAAATCTATTATATCTATTAGTTGTTTACATTGGCCTAACGATTATTAGTAATCTTTCAATAAGTGCAAAATTAAAGTTGGCATATATTAATAACAGTAAATATCCATGTTAAAAATAATAAACTGTACCAAATTGAAACACAAGCATATATTTGAAATAAAATGTGCAAAACGCATGGAGACTGCAGTAATTGAAACAAAATCAGTTTCTAACTTAAAAATTTAAACAGTGAAATAAAATTATGCTAATCTAATGTATTTGCTTTATTGTGCTTTTCAGTTCATTATGTTCCATGCATAAATATGAGATGGTTATTTTTCATTTGATAATACTCCTTAAGTTATTTGATTTAAATTGGTTTGCTTCTTTTAAGTGCTGCCAAACACTTGGAAACACAGATCTTGTTTCCAAATGAGCCTTCACTGCCTGCAATATTTTATTTTTATTTAGTTTTGTTTACATCACATAAAAGGGATTACAAATTATTTTACTTACTTGTATTATGAGACTATAGTACATAAATATTTCAAGTTGTCTCTCAGTTTTTTCCCAGAATTCTGTGTACAATAAGAACACATTAAAAGTCTAGGATACTGCTGAAGATAGTAAGTACTTCTGGTTTTTCCAGCGGCTCATGTTCTTGCTGGCCAAAGTCTTTGACCGAAATTAACTTTGTTGTTTTTTTTGCTTATTACACCTTTCTTTCTGTCTTCACACTAACCATTTTATAGCTTCTCACGATTAGATAATTGTTTCTATTCCCTTCACAGTAATATCTACTTTCACTGAAGGGCTCATGATTATGTCAAAAAAAATTAAAAAATAGGCAGAGTATAAAGTGATGCATATGCTAAGGCCTAAGAGTATACAATATGTTCATTTCATTAAGGTTTAATTCTTTCTAGTTTTATTTTTAAATTTCTAATATCTGGTACAATTACACTCAGGTTATTTTGTGTTAGTTATAGCCACTGCTGTTCAAAGTGACAAAAGCTACACCTTACAGAAATAACAGCAAAATGATAGCAAAAAGTACAAAATAATAGCAAAGATTAAAACACTGCAAGTTATTAAAAATATTAGCTAGGAGTAAAACAAATTATACTAAAAGGATATCAAAACAATTATTATAGAATATTGTTTTACTTAAATACATATTTTTGAGATTTTTTTTTCTCTTTTAGGGAAAGCAAAAGGGCAGTTATGTCCCTCCTCCCTCTTTTCTTCCTTTTATCATCTTTGCTTCCTTTTTTCTGTCTTTCCCTTCATTTCTTTCATTATATATCCCTTTCTTTCTTGCTATTTTTTTCTTAAAACAAATACTTAGGGTATTATGGGATAATATTTATCATGAATGCAAATGTCTTATTGAATGACTGAAACAGGCATGATGTGAGAGAAACAAATGCCTACAAATGTGTATCAACTGGCGTTGGCCCTTTATTCCTTCATGTCAGACATTTAGATGGGAGTGGTAGGTACAGAACTTCCTTCATTCTAAATACAGCCAAGCAACACAAATGGGCTATGCTCACTCCAGTTAACCAGATCTGCCAACTCTAAAAGAAATTCAGAAATCCAGTTTCTGTAGTGGTAGAATTTGTTTATAAAATTTCTAATTTATGAAGCCTAGAGAGATTTTAATTTTGCAGACCTAAAATTTATAGGCCAAATGATTTATGTGTGCAGTCATGGCTGTCCAGATTATAGCTAAAGCTATGGTACACTGTAAGGGAAACCAGATTCCTATGCCTGAATTATAACTTCCCAACCTATTATTTGAGGCTTGTTACTTAATTTTTATGGGTTTCAGTTTTTATGTCCACATAAACATCAGCGACATTATGAAGATCAAAGAGGTAATTTACAAAAATGAAAAGCGAACAGTGCTTTCCACATACATAGGATCAAAATTGTGGACATTTTTGGAACATAGGTATATAAAAAACTACCATGCCATATGCTCATGTAAAATGTCACAATTTAATAAGGAAAGCAGATTTGTAAACAAATAAAGTAAAATATGATTATAGTTCCAAAGCAAAAGAATGAATAAATCACAGAAATACAAAATAAATTATACTAGAATCCAGAAGAGGGAGTGAGGAAAAAAAAAGGGCAAGACAGAACTATCTTAAATTACAGTACAGTACCTTAAACTTCAAAAAATGGTTTCACTCCTCACTATTATACTGAGATTACAAAAAACAACCATCTTTACAAATAATGTAAATATTATTTGATCTCTACCAATTTAGTGATTCACTTTGTAACTTACAGAAGAAAATGTCCTAACAAGCAAAATATTTACCTTATCATTCAAATTATCGAATATACCTTGAACTATATATGCCACAACATAAATGCGATGCATCTTTTAATCTTTCTCATAAGTGTGTAATACTGATGTACTGACATCTTACAAACAAGATAGTGTATATATGCTAAATAAGTATAGTGTGTATTTTAAACACAGGTGTATAGGCTTATAAACATTCAAATATGTGTGGTAAATTTGTTAAACCATAACATCAATATCTAATACTTCTAAAATCGTGTATAAAATTTTAAACAGTAACAATAGTCCAAATAATATTTTCTGCTGCTTTAGAAAGAAAAGACCAAAACACTCTGCAGAAACAATTAGCATAAAAAGCCTCACTGCTTCATGTTCTCCAAACATTTGAAAGAAACTACTACCTGACCATTTCACCCAAATATTTTTTGTTCCCCCAAAGTCACCCTCTTTCCCCACCCAAGTTTCCCCAACTCCCAATCCAAGTCATAGCCCTAGTCCTAAAAAAACCCCTTTGAACTTCCATTTCTGAAAAAATATTAATGATTTTTCTTAGCAGCAGATTTATTTGCTCAGAAAAATAAGAGCGAGCAGAGCTTGTTTCTTTAATACATATTTTTTGGAATCTTTATGAAGGGTATTGAGTATTTATCTATTAATGTCATTCTCCAGATGCATAAAAACAGTACATTTCTCAAGCATATCCAATTAAATAGAGTTATCATGATTCCATGCATCTATTAAAACATCTTTTATAGCTCTCAATTACTTGAAATGCAACCAGATTTGGCTTTCAAATATTAATTAACCTTAACACACAAAATCAATATGTAATGTGTTACATAGAATCTTCCCTCCCCTTCCATAATTAATTTAACTCTGGGATTGTATTTTTTCATGCTATGGAAAAATCTGTTCTTCTAATTAAACAAAGAAAAGGTCCTCTTTTTCTTGTTTTCCCAAAGAAAGGCAATTCTCAAATTCTCTGTAAGATATGAAGTTAAAATTGGACCAATTACACAAAAAACAAGTATGCATTTGACAAATTTCTTTCTAAGCTCCTCTTTCTCTAGCAAACCTGGTCCCCCTCAGTGCTGGGTGCTTTTTGCTTGGGAGGCATATATAGCTAGGTGACCCTCTAACATGGCAAGTCCCAGTATTTTCTGCACAACAATTATGTGTCACTGCAGATGATGCCACCAAATTGACAAAGGTAGAGCATGCAATAAAGACAAATGTTTTGCTTTGTTTTGAGAAACTGTATGTAGTATCCATTAAATTGAATGTACATGTAGCCAATGTCCAAGAAATCTCATGCTCAAGAAAAACTGTATACAGATCTGTAAAGAGATAAGAACAAAAATATTTACTTTAATGCAGTATCTCTCAGGTAATAATTGGACAACACTAGATGTTTATAATTAGAGAAGTATTAAAAGTGCGGTGTAAACAAAACACTTTTTATAGTTAAAAGCAATTATGTATGTATAGATCATAAAAATAGACAACAGAACAAAGACTGTAACACAATACCATTATGCAAATCTTAAAAAGGCATATTCATAGTAACAATACCACATATTTCAAAAGTTAACATAAGTATTAAAAGATAGATAAAAACTGTGTCTGTAAAGAATGAGAGTAGGGATGCACTTAGAATGCAAAATTTAAAAATTGAAAACAAAAATGACAACTTGGACAGACTAATTATGCTAATATGCCATGAAATTTAGCATATATTAATCCAACTTTCAGGAACATATTCCCAAAAGAAAAATTAAAATATAATCAGGTGAGAAATTTTGTGACACAATTTTAGTTTTATTGTTCTTGGTTTTGCTTTTTTTCTGTCTCCTGCATTGAGATGATAGTATTTGGGGTTAAATTGTTACACGTAATTAATGTCATCAAGGAAAGGAAGAAAGAAATCATAGTCTTTATCTTATTTATAGAGCCTTTTCTTTTTGTAACATTTTAGTTTATTTTCAATTGACACATAATAATTGTACTTATTTATGGGGTACATAGTGACGTTTCTATATATATAATGGATAATGATCAGGTCAGTGTAATTAGCATATCCATTATCTCAATTTATCATTATCTCATATCACTATCTCCATTTATCATATTTGTGTTGGGAACATTCGACAGCCTTCTAGCTATTCGAAACTTCACTATCGTTAACTACAGTCATCCTACAATGGTATAGAACACTAAATTTTTTATCCTACCTAGGTGTAATTTTGTTTCCTTTAACAAATTTTCCCCAATCTCTCCATTTCCCTTAACCTTTCCTAGCTCTACTGTCCTGTGTTCTACTTCTAACTTTTATGAAATCAACTTTTTTAGCTTCCACATGTGAATGAAAACATATTGTGTTCAACTTTCTGTTCCCGCCTTATTTCACGTAACATAATGGCCTCCAGTTTTGTCGATGTTGCTGCTAATGATAGTATTTTAATTTTTTTATAGCTGATTAGTATTATATTGTGTATACAAACACATTTTATTTATCCATTCATCTGTTATTGGACAACTAGGTCAATATCATATATTAGCTATTGCGAATAGTGCTGCAATAAACATAGATGCCTTTTCAGTAACACTGTTTTCCTGTCTTTTGTGTCTTTTTAGGGACAGTTTTTAAATAATATCTTTTTTTTTTCAATATTTCTTTTCAAATCAGAGGGTACATGTGCAGGTACATTGCAAAGGTGTATTACAAGCTGCTGAGCTCTGGAATACTAATGAAGCTGTCACCCAGATAATGTGCATTGATAAATGCCCAGTAGTGAGATTGCTGGTTCAAAGGGTAGTTCTATTTGTAGTTTTATTAAGGAAACTTCATACTGTTCTCCATAGTGATTATACTAGTTTATACTCCAACCAACAATGCAAAAAAAAAAAAAAAAAAAAACTAAAATTTGTGTGAAACCAAAAAAGACTCCAAAAAGCCAAAGTAGTTTTAAGCAAAAAGAACAAAACTGACAGCATTGCATACCTGACCTCAAAATATGCAACAAAGCTATAGTAACCAAAACAGCATATCGGCAAAATAAATAAATAAATAAATATTAAAAAATTAAAAAAAACAACCAGACACACACGCCAATGGAACAGAATAGAGAATGCAGAAATGAATCCATGCATTTACAGCCAGCTGATATTTGGCAAAAGTACCAAGTAATACATTGGGGAAAAGACAGTCTCTTTAATAAATGGTGCTAGGAAAACTGAATATCCATATGCAGAATAATGAAACTAGATTACTCTCTCCTCATATACAAAAATCAACTCAAAATGGAATCAATACCTTAATGTAAGACCTGAAACTATGAAACCACTAGAAGAAAACATTAGAGAAATGCTCAGGTAATTGGTCTGGGCAAAGATATTTTTGGTAAGGCCTCAAAAGCACAGGTAGTAAAAGCAAAAATACACAAATCGGATTACATCAAATTAAAGAGCTTATGTGCAGCAAAGGAAACAATCATCAGAGTGAAAAGACAACTCACAGCATGGGAGAGAGTAATTGCAAACTATCCATTTGACAGGGAATTGATAACCAGACTACAAGGGACTCAAAGAACTCAACAGCAGACCAATCACCACCAACAAAAATATCTGATTATAAAAATGGGCAAATTATCTCAACATTTACTTCTCAAAAGAAGACATACAAGTGGCCACCAAGCAGATGAAAAACATGTTTAACATCACTAATCATCAGGGAACTGAAAATCAATACAACAATAGGTTATCATCTCAAGCCAGTTAGTAGCATTATCAAAAAGGCAAAAAAATAACAAGTGCTGGTAAGGATGCAGAGAAAAAGGAACTCTTAGAGAGGGTTTCCTTTTAATACGCTGTCCAAAATAACTGATTTGAAAAGCTTACATAAATATGCTTGGACCAGCTAATTATTTCTGTTAGCCAAACATGTTTCTAAGAAATAATGTTTTTCATTTTAACCTCTATTTTCAGCTTCATTTTTTGCAATATTTAATTCTAGTGTATAATACAATAAGAATAGACAACTGATAATAGAATCAGCAAGGATTCCGTGGCGCATGATGAGATTTTAAGAAAGAAAACATTTCTCTTTTATGTGATGTGAACAAAAATTCTGATGAACTGAATTGAGCTGAATTCATAACAGGGACAATAAAGCTTTAATTGTTCCTCTAATGCATACTCTAACCTTTAAGATGACTCTGGCTGACATGTGGGTAAAGAAAAAGGAAAAAGGGCCCGGCGCGGTGGCTCACACCTGTAATCCCAGCACTTTGGGAGGCCGAGGTGGGCAGATCACAAGGACAGGAGATCGAGACCATCCTGGCTAACATGGTGAAACCTTGTCTTTACTAAAAATACAAAAAATTAGCTGGGCGTGGTGGCGGGCACCTACATTCCCCTGAGGCAGGAGAATGACGTGAACCTGGGAGGCGGAGCTTGCAGTGAGACGAGATCGGGCCACTGCACTCCAACCTGGGTGACAGAGCGAGACACTGTCTCAAAAAAAAAAGAAAAAAAAAAAAAGAGAAAGGAAAAAGAAGATACAGAAAAGCAAATAATAGGAGAATATTACGGTAATCTAACTGAAGATTCCCATCACATTTTGAATTTAGAACCAAAAGTACTTGACTTTCTTTAGTAAAATATTATTTATATTGTAGGGTTGTTTTGTTTTGTCTTGTTTTTATATTTAAGTGAGGTAACAATTATAAAGTTTCTAGGTTTGTGCTCAGTAACTGGAAATATTAGGTTGAATTCCAGATGTTTCTATTTTCTCAAAACACCAAAATGATTTGTATTTTTAAATATATAGCTTTTTATCAATGAGCATAACTGTTTACTTTTTTAAGAGTTTTATTTTCTGTCCATAGGACACCAAGATCTACTTAAATAGAAAACTAGAAAAAAAAAAAAACAGTCCACTTTCTTTCTTTGCATTAATCAAAGCAACTAGTAAATTATAATTCATGAATTTAAATCAGTCCTTGAATATATGAATTTTGTTAGTCAATTAATATTTTAGGGTTTCAGGAATAAGATATGATGTCATGCTTTATTCTAATACTAATTTTTATGACATATACAAGTTAATATTAGATATGATTTTCTGAAGCTCCTTGAGACGTGCTCTGTTGTGATTGATTCTGGGTACAGAATAAGCAAATTGATAAGCACATTTCTAGTCAGAGGCAATGTGTCCTAGGTAAACTAAAATGCATGTTGTTTCAAAGAGTAAATTAAAAAATTAGAATCATTTTTGATTAAGAAAAGTGTTTGAATTAATTGAATTTTACCCAATTTGTTAATTTTTTGGCTCACTGACCAGGACTGATCTTGTCTTTTGAGAGCATTAATAGAAAAACAGTTTAATTAGTACATAATAAAAATATTTGATCTATGAAGTAATATTATACCTTACTTTTTCTGTATCTGGCAAAATAATAATTGCAATATCTATGCAAATGAAATCTTTACTGCCTTCTTATGCATTAGTAAGAACACTTAACAGCCTATACATGTTTACGACACTTTCTAAAAGTTAAATAATTTGAATTGAAGAATAACAAGATTGCAGAGGACAGTCAATTTCTTCCAGCATAAAATAGGAATGTAGTTGCTAATTCCACTTTCCATTGGTATGTGCACATGAATATATCTTGCAGAGTTTCAACATGCAAAAATTTCTAAAAGTTGGGATATAAAATGCAATATTGATTATCAGTTTTGTTTTGTTTGTTTGTTTGTTTTTAAAGAAACAAGGTCTCACTCTGTTGCCTGGGCTGGAGTGTGGTGGTGTGATCATGGCTCACTGCAGTCTCAACCTCCCAGGCTCAAGTGATCATCCCACCTCAGCCCTCACAGAGTGGCTGGGACTACAGGCGCTTGCCACCAGGCCCCACTAATTTTTGTATTTTTTGCAGAGGTGGGGTTTTGCCATGCTGCCCAAGCTAGTCTTGAACTTCTAGGCTGAAGCAATCTGCCTGCCTCGACCTCCCAAAATTATTAGTTCTTGAGTAGTAGCTTGGCAGTAGTATGATGTATTTGGACAAAATTCATATAGATATATGTATATTTTAATAAAATTTTGCATTATTATAGTGAAATATAACTTTAATATTCTTTTCTTCTTTCCCAAGTGTTGACATCAAACAGAGAGAGGAGAAAAAAGGAATAAACAATAGTTACCAATTTATTTTATTTTTTTACAGGGAGGACTCCTTATATGTAGTTCAAATATTATGTTCAATTATTGGCTCCATTATATAAAATAAGTCATATGTTTATTTTCTCACTCTCACTCTGACCTTAGTATCATTATCTTGAACTTCAATACAGATCTTTAAAGTCTAACTGATTGCAACCCACCAATTGGGAATATCTAATAATTCAGACAACTGTCAAGGTTAACATGGCTTTACCATTTAGTGCGAGAAGAAAAGTTTATGACATAATAATACACTTCAGGAGTATGTGAATGTTTAGTTTATAAGAACAATTATTTTAAGCAGTTGAATTGGCTTTCAATGATACATATATGCATTATTCATGTCAGTTTTAAATTATCTTTATGTATTCATCAACTTAGGACCCATGCTTGGTAAAAATTTGTCAATAGTTTGAAGGGTTTTTTTTTTTTTTTAAGACTGGGTCTCGTTCTGTTGCCCAGGCTGGAGTGCAGTGGAGAGATCACCGCTCACTGCTGCCTCTGCCTCCTTGATTCAAGTGATTCTCCCACCTCAGCCTCCTAAAGTGCTGGAAATTACAGGTGTGAGGCACCATGCCTGGCCAATAGTTTGAAGTTTTTGAATGTGCAGAACATCTTATAAATAACATTGTTACATACAAATTTATTTACTTGCATTAAGCCCTTCCCAGATACACTAACATTCAAAGAGAAGTTTGTTTTTTAATCAAAAAGATACTTTTACTGCTAAGATAAATGATGAATATAAAGGATTAAAAAGTTCTATTTAAACCACTAATCTATTGAAAGAATTTGAGATACACACTTCCTAACAATCCATGTTATTTATATATTGAAAGGATTTTATTTATAAATTAATAATGCTCTAACTCTGGACTATAGTATGTTCTAAATAAATATATAAATCAACTTCAGCTCTAAACATTTTTCTAAATAGTTCTTATATTAGAAGTCTCTATATTACTTTGCTGTACTTTTATATGTGCTCTTCATTGCTTTGATTTTAGTTACCTATGTTTCAATTAATCACCAGCAAAGGTAGTAGAAGAGTGTTTCCAAAATGAGTCTGATTTCTGTCTTTCTCAAATCCAGGGTGGTTCTTCTACACATAGAACTTACTATCTAGCATATGATAACAACTATAAATGTTATTTTTCAAATGAACTGTTTTAAAAAAATGAAAATTATTTGCAAATAATTTCCAAGTAATTACTTAAAGGATACATTAGCGCTAAATCAACCTATATATTTATATCAACTACCTTTCTCGGGATAGAAACGAAACAGATTCTGGTAACTTCAAAATGTTATGTTCCCACAATTTAAAGGAAAATATTTCCACCCATAAAAAAGTTTCAAACACTAAAGTGCCACAAGCCTACTGCCACTCACTTTGGCTATCCTGCAGTCCTGTGTTATTTTTATTCTATACTAAGCATCATTAATAAGCATTTACTTAATAGGACTTGCTTATTTTCACAATTTCTTCAGTAGTGTTACTATTCTGGGAAAATTTACATAGGTCTACAAAGTTGTGAAGAAACCGTATGCCAGGCAAAACAAAAATAATCCTTTATTTATGAACATAAGCTCTCGTCTTGGGAGCATTTAAGGGAAAACGAAATCATGAATCATAAATAAAACCAAGATGAAGAAGGAGACATCTGAATTGAAGAAAATGGAGATAACCAGAAAGAATTCTTACTATGTCGGGTGCCGGTGGCTCACGTCTGCAATCCCAGTGAGAGGTGACAGCATGCTGGCAGTCCTCACAGCCCTCACTCACTCTCGGCGCCTCCTCTGCCTGGGCTCCCACTTTGGCGGCACTTGAGGAGCCCTTCAGCCCACCGCTGCACTGTGGGAGCCCCTTTCTGGGCTGGCCAAGGCCGGAGCCCACTCCCTCAGCTTGCAGGGAGGTGTGGAGGGAGAGGCGCGAGCGGGAAACGGGGCTGCGCGCGGCGCTTGCGGGCCAGTTGGAGTTCCGGGTGGGCGTGGGCTTGGCGGGCCACGCACTTGGAACAGCTGGCCGCCTTGCCGGCCCGCCGGCCCTGGGCAATGAGGGGCTTAGCACCCGGGCCAACGGCTGCGGAGGGTGTACTGGGTCCCCCAGCAGTGCCAGCCCACCAGCGCTGCGCTTGATTTCTCGCCAGGCCTTAACTGCCTTCAGGAGCCTCCCCGACAAGCGCCGCCCCCAGCTCCACAGCGCCCAGTCCCATGGATCACCCAAGGGTTGAGGAGTGTGAGCACATGGCGCGGGACTGGCAGGCAACTCCACCTGCAGCACCGGTGCGGGATCCACTGGGTGAAGCCAGCTGGGCTCCTGAGTCTGGTGGGGCCTTGGAGAACCTTTATGTCTAACTCAGGGATTGTAAATACACCAATCGGCACTCTGTATCTAGCTCAAGGTTTGTAAACAGACCAATCAGCACCCTGTGTCTAGCTCAGGGTTTGTGAGCGCACCAGTGGACACTCTGTATCTAGCTGCTCTGGTGGGGCATCGGAGAACCTTTGTGTGGATACCCTGTATCTAACTAATCTGATGGGGAGGTGGAGAACCTTTGTATCTAGCTCAGGGATTGTAAACGCACCAATCAGCGCCCTGTCAAAACAGGCCACTGGGCTCTATCAATCAGCAGGATGTGGGTGGGGCCAGATAAGAGAATAAACGCAGGCTGCCGGAGCCAGCAGTGGCAACCCACTCGGGTCCCCTTCCACACTGTGGAAGCTTTGTTCTTTCGCTCTTTGCAATAAATCTTGCTACTGCTCACTCTTTGGGTCCACACTGCTTTTATGAGCTGTAACACTCACTGCAAAAATCTGCAGCTTCGCTCCTGAAGCCAGCCATACCACGAGCCCACCGGGAGGAACGAACAACTCCAGACGTGCTCCCTTAAGAGCTGTAACACTCACCGCGAAGGTCTGCAGCTTGACTCCTGAGCCAGGGAGACCAGGAACCCACCAGAAGGAAGAAACTCTGAACACATCCGAACATCAGAAGGAACAAACTCCAGACGCGCCACCTTAAGAGCTGTAACACTCACCGCGAGGGTCCGCGGCTTCATTCTTGAAGTCAGTGAGACCAAGAACCCACCAATTCCGGACACACCAGCACTTTGGGAGGCTGGGGTGAGTGGATCACTTGAGGCCAGGAGTTCAAGAACAGCCCGGCCAACATGGCGAAAACCCGTCTCTACTAAAAATATAAAAATTAACTGGTCGCCTGTAGTCCCAGCTACTTTTGGGGCTGAGACAGGAGAATCATTTGATCCTGGGAGGTGGAGGTTAGAGTGAGCTGAAGTCTCGTCACTGCACTCCAGGCTGGGCGACATAGCGAGACTGTCTCAAAACAAAACAAAAAAATAACAAAAAACAAACAAACAAAATTCTTACTAGTACATTCAAAATGATTCCAGAGTATACATTATCCTCTAAATACAAACACAAAAACCAAACTTTTTTTAAGTTTATCTAATTTTTTAGTTCTTTGCTTTTTTGATATATTTTATATGTAAGTATGTATTTATCTGTTGTATAGATTTTCATTCCCTCTGCCTGCTTTTCTTAGACTGTTTCTGTCTTCCTTGAAGATATGGAAGAAATATTCATAGATTAAATGTACTGACACATAAGCCTTCTCATATGTGATTACTATATTTGTTGACCTGTTCCCGCACCCCCGCATTGTTTAAATGATAAACTTCTAAGTCCTCTTCTTCCTCAAATGGCTATGAGGTTTGCTATTTTGTGTGTGTGTGTGAATTTTGCATTATTTTTGCTTACTTCAAAACTGTAACTTTCAGAATATACATAATGTGATTGTATCTTTTGGTCTATAACTGGATTTTAAATTTATATTTCAACCTACAACAGTGCCACAATATTTTCATTACTGTAATATTAAACAGTTGACATGTCAGACTCATAATTAATAAGTATTATAAACAACTTGCCTGCTTATTAACTGATATTTATTCTCCTAAAAAATTCGGTATTTCTAACAAAATTAAAACTTTCTTTTACATCACAAATTGTAATTTTTAAAAACTCATAGATTATTTTTGGAAAAATTAACACTTTTGTAACATATTTCCTAAAAACAAAACATTTTACATCTGACCGTATATTCAAGTATTAATATATGTCCCTCATTAATCTTTTGAAAATTTAATATACATTTTGTATAATAATTGTTAATTGTATATCTTGATACTTTATGTATCCCCCGCCCCCCGCCCTGAACACTTAGTAAGTTTTCTATTTTTTTTCTGGGAGAGAGAATACTAGAAATCAATTATATATCTACATTTTAATTGAGTATTCGAGATAGTTGAATACTCTTTTTACTTTATAGTTCTTCACATTAAAAATGGATCTTGTTTTTTATTGCTTAAGTCAACATTTAAGGAAATAAACTTTTTATTTTTTAATGTAATTAATGTTTAAAAAAACAATTTTTTTAAAAAATCACAAATATGCATGAGTTTTAGTATTTTAAATACACCATTTGTTTTAGTTTGCTAGAATTCAGAAAAATAATTCATGTACATTTATAATGGATAATGAAATTCTATTTTATGATTTTTGTCAGAAATCTAATAAAAACTATTTACTAAAGGAAAATGTTTTAATCTGAAAGAATTTATATAGCATAGGTGATATTGTTGTCTTTATGTAAAACTGTCTACCTTTGAGTGAATTATCTGAAATACAATTTTTTTATTATTGTAATCGTATTACCTCTTTTGGAGGTGATTTTTAGATTATTTATGTTTTACAAATAAATTGCTATTTTGTTTAATCCTTCAAATTCAATCCTTTTCTGTTTCCTGGGTTGTATCTGTTACATTAACATTATTGTTTCTAAAATGTATAATGTTGGGGTCTTCTATTTTCTCTTTTTATTTTATTTTTTTTCAACTTTTAAGTTCAGGAGTACATGACCTTTGTTACATACCTATTCTTGTGTCACGGGGGGTTGTTGTACAGATTATTTTGTCATCCAGGTATTATGCCTAGTACCCATTAGTTATTTTTCCTGATCCTCTCTCTCCTACTCTCTTCCCTCCAGTAGGCTCTGGTGTGTGTTGTTCCCCTGTATGTGTCCATGTGTTCCCATATTTTAGCTCCCACTTATAAGTGAGAACACAGTGTATATGGTTTTCTGTTCCTGTGTTAGTTTGCTAATGGCCTCCAGCTCCATTTGTGACCCTTCAAAGATGAGATCATTATTTTTCATGGCTGCATAGTATTCCATGGCATATATTTACCACATTTTTTTAAATCCAAACTATCATTGATGGGCATTTAGATTGATTCCATGTCTTTGCTATTGTGAATTAACTATACCCAAAGAGTTTTTTTTTTTTAATTTTGGACTATTTACCAATTCATTAATTCTTACTTATTTGTAATTATTTATGTTTCTATAATATTACATTCCATTTGTATCTCATTATCATAACTTTTTTGAGGACTCATAGCTCTATTTTTAATAAAGTTTTCTTTCTCAATTAAAAATTAAAGATGTTGAGAAATCTGAAAATAATTTGACTACTATATGTCCACAGAAATATAGTTGCATTTAAAATATGTTTTAAAAAGTATTCATATTTTATTTTTACTAAAATTATTTCAAGTATTCTGTTTGCAAAATATTAAGTGAATATGAATACAATTTGTTAAGATTTTACCTGTGGCCTGATGTGTGATCAGTTTTTCTAAATGTTTATTACATTTTTGAAAAAGCTTCATATTCCTAAATTACATACACATTTTTTAAAAGTAAGGAATAACTCGGCAGAGACAGGAGGATCACAGGGTGAGGAGATCGAGACCTTCCTGGCTAACATGTTGAAACCACATTTCTACTAAAAATACAAAAATTTAGCCAGGTGTGGTGGCGTGCACCTGTAGTCCCAGCTACTCAGGAGGCTGAGGCAGAAGAATCCCTTGAACCCAGGAGGCAGAGGTTGCAGAGAGCTGAGAGTGCACCACTGAATTCCAGCCTGGGTGACAGAGCAAGACTCCATCTCGAAAAAAAAAAAAAAAAAGAAAAAAAAACCTCAATTTTAACAATTAGGTTACTCATTTTATCTACTTGTGTCTCATTTTCCTTTCTAAACTTATCTGCAAGCATATATTAGAAATCTTAATTTCATTTATTCAATAGAAAATGTAATACTCTGTAGTTCACATTAATTTCTGTTTTTATTATCATGACATTGACATGAAAATCCAGTCTTAGAGAAAATAAAACTACAGTGCTGCATTAGAAACATGCTTTATATTTAGCAGCACTCCTGGATTAAAGGTTTTCAAATAAATTAGATTGAAAAATACATAAATGATTTTGTTATCAATTTGTTGTTCTTTTTAATATAGCTTTAGGCTTTTAGAGAACAATTTCTCATACAGTCAAAGTAGAATTAATAATGCATCAGAAATTGTTAACATATATTATTTCATACATTTGCAAAAATATAAAACTATCTGCCTGAACATTATTTTAGCATTGTGGATAATACTTGTGTGTATATGCTGTGTAACTTACAAGTTAAAATCATTTAAATCATTATTCGGCATTACATAATCAAGAAATGTAGTTTAATTTGATTTTAGTTTTCTTATAATTTCTTGCATTGTTTACAGTTCATCAGAAGTAGTTTGTTTTAAGCCTTTAATTTATCATTTTAACCCTATTTCTAACTATATTTGTATTATAATATAAAAATAGTAAAAGATATAATGGTTTACCTTACTTTATTGTCACTAAAATTGGTTTTACATGTAATAATGTTCATGAAATATTTTATAGCATTTCAGATTCTCTTTGCTTTCAGATGGAATGTTTTAATTCAGCTAAATTTTATTTCAAGTTAATATGAAATTTTGTTTAGTAATTATGGATGCTTATGATTAATAAAACTTGATATTTTTATGTGAAACAGAA
Source organism: Homo sapiens (assembly GCF_000001405.40). Lineage (NCBI taxonomy): Eukaryota > Metazoa > Chordata > Mammalia > Primates > Hominidae > Homo > Homo sapiens. Next base: position 194,864,091 of record NC_000001.11, read on the forward strand.
CAAAAATATTTCCACACATTGTGTTTTCATAGCAGATTTATATAAAGGTAACTTAGAAGCACTTCTCTTCATATGCCACATATATCTTTTATACATTAAATATATATAATTGAACATATTATATGTACATGTTTTGGTGTATATGTGATAATTTAATATATTTACAGTATTTGTAAAGATCAAATCAGTGTAGTTGGGATATCCATCACCTTAAATATTTGTCTTTTCTTTATGCTAGAAACATTTGAATTATTCTTTTCTAGTTATTTTGAAACATATAATAGATTATTATAAATTATAGTCATATTACTGATCTATCAAACAGGTTTCATTTTTTCTCTCAGATTGTGTATTTGCACCCATTAATCTGCCTAGTATTTTAGATATTATCCAGTTGTATTCATTACATCATGAAATAAATAAATAAATATATATATATATATATATATATATAAAATATTATGATTATGTATTTTGGAGACAAGGTCTCCCTGTGTCGCCCGGGCTACGGTGTAATGTGTGATCATGGGTCACTGCCACCTCAAATTCCTGGGCTCAAAGGATTCTCCTGCCTCAGCCTCCTGAGTAGCTAGGACCACAGACGCATGCCACCATACCTGGATAATATTTTAATTTTGTGTAGAGATGAGGTCTCACCGTGTTGCCCGGGCTTGTCATGAAATCCTGGGCTTAAGCAATATTCCTGCCTCAGCCCCGCAAAGTGCTGGGATTACAGGTGTGAGGCACCCCACCCAGCTTTGAAATATTTAAATTGAAAATCACCTTTTACCTAACTTACAGATAAGCAACATTAAGATGTAATAATACAATAGGTAAAACTTTTTAACAGGTAAAATGACTGTATAAAATTAATGTTTATATGTATATGCCTTTTGTTTCTACAGAATATACATTAAATAGGTAGAAATCATAAAGTGTTGAATTAAGCAATGATCAGGTGAACAAATACAAGAAAAGATTCCAGTGGATCTCAGTTTCAATGTGTGCAATTAGTGAGAGTTAGCACCCCAATCAAATCTAATATCATTTTAAGTTTTATTCACACAAGCAAAAGGCCGAAAGGGGTAGTCCCAATGTACATTTAAACTGTATTAATCAAACTACATTTGGAAAACTATAATCAATGATGCTTTTAGTGGTATCTTTATCATCTGAAGTGGAAAAAAACTTAAAATTTGACAATCAATATTCAGAACAAAGCTATAGGTTTGTGGGTTTTTTTTTTTAACTTAAGAATATACAATAAGCAAAAAGAAAAATAATAATTAAAATGTATTTATTTTGTTTTCCAAATTTATACCTATTTAGTGATCATGACTTTACAGTCACTATCTGTTTAGCACATGTGACTTTATAATTTGTATGTTGAGACACTTGGATACTAGTGGAGAAAAAAACAGTATTGAATGACTAGTTCCTCATGACTTGCCTAGCGGTGCATACATTCGCAAAAATAAACACAGCTGGGCATTAGTTATAACAGTAGAAACGTTTAGGTCAATAACTACTGAGAGTGGAGGAAAGTGCTGTTCTTCCCTCTGATTTATGCAGAGGTGATTTGGGCATTTTAAATGGAGAAAGAGGGAGTGGAGAGAGCACAGAGCTCAATAGAGTCAGCAAGTGAGAACTTTCGAAGGGTTAGTCAATGTAAATGCAATTAGGCCAGGTGTATCTGCTACTTGGCAGTTAATGAAGCTATTTTTCTGTTCTCCCACAAAGACTGAGAGGCAGAGGCCCTAACCTTCCTGATGATTATATGCCAAAGAAATTTCTCTCAGAGCCTTGAGAAAATGTCTAAGTTGTAAGAGATACATATTTATATTGTAAGCCCTTTATAGTAAATGATTTAAGAAAGGGAAGACAGGACCTGATATGGTATGGCTCTGCGCCCCCACCCAAATCTCATGTTGGATTATTATCTTCATCATTGGAGGAGGGGTCTGGTGGGGTGTGATTGGATCATGGGGGTGGATTTTCCCCTTGCTGTTCTCATGATAGAGAGTTCTCATGAGATCTGGTTATTTAAAAGTGTGTGGCTCTTCCCCCTTCTCTCTCTCTCTCTCACTGTCTCTCTCTCTCTCTCACTGTCTCCTGCTCTGCACATAAGATCTTCCCCTTCACCTTTTGCCATGATTGTAAGTTTCCTGAAACCTCCCAGCCATGCTCCTGTACAGCCTGCAGAACTGTGAGTCAAATAAACCTCTTTTCTTCATAAATTGTCCAGTCTCAGCCCTTTATAGCAGTGTGAGAATGGACAAATACAGGGCCCATTATCAGGTGATGGCTACAATAAACAGTAAATTTTCCTGACAGAGCTGAACGTTCTCAAGCAGACATTTTAAAGAGGAGTAGGAGTCATCCTAGGGACACAGCCTTAGGCAGCTAGAAGCCATGCTAGAGTTTAGTGGATTTTCTTAGGGCAGGGGCTGGATGAAGTTGTGATGTGCAAGAGAACAATTAATTTCAGGAAGAAAGATCAGGTTCTAGCAGTTCGCTGTGGGGAAAACATGGTGCAGAAGGAGAAAAATGGTTTGGAATGAGGTTGGAGATTTAGGTGGGTGATGTCAAGAAGGGGTACAGATGTTTTCTATTGTTTTTCAAGTGAAATGAAAAGTGATGGGCTATACCAAATAAATGATGTACCTAATTTACTGCTAACTTTTTAAAATATTAGTGGCGGTGTCACTATTTACAGTGGGAGAGACAGGGTACAAACAGAAAAATATTAGAGATTTTGTGGGAGTCCTGGCTAGAGATTTTGGGACCTGGACAAGGCATCAGTAGAGACAGGAAAGTATACTGAGGTAATGATTTTGAAGTTTGAATTAGAGTAACTCACTTGAGTTTTTTTTTTGTTTCGTTTTTTGTTTTTGTCATAGGAGAAGTAAAGGAAAAAATATTAAGAATGGTTTTTATATATGTATGAATGTATTTCATACTATTTCAAAATTAATTTGCCTGATATATTTTAGATATAAAGCCCTTAATAGAAATATGATTTGGAAATATCTCCTATTCCATAGGTTTTCTTGTCACTCTGTTGTTTCCTTTGCTGTTCAGAGCATGGTTGGTCCCATAGTTCTATTTTTGCTTTTGTTGCTTGTGCTTTGGTGAGATATCCAAGAAATAATTGTCAAGACCTATATCAAGAATATTTTCTTCTGTTTGTTTTCAAGGTTGTTGGATTTTAAGTCTTGCATTTAAGCCTTTAATTTATTTTGGGTTAATTTTTGTGTATAGGGTAGGATAAAAGTCCAATTTCATTCTTTTTTGTGTAAATATTGAGTTTCCCCAAACCATTTGTTGAATAGATTATCCTTTCTTCATTGTATATACTTGGCACCTCTTTCAAAGATCAGTTGATATGTGAGCAACTTCTAAAATTCAATTGCAAAAATGTAAAAAATAAATAAATAGATATCCAGCCTAAAAAATGGGAAAAGAACTTGAATAAACATTTCACCAAAGATGACACACAACAAGCTAACAGGCATATGAAAAGGTGCTCCACATCACTAATCACCAGGGAAATGCAAATTATACGCATGATGTGATACCACCTCACACCTGTTAGGATGGCTATTAAAAAAAAAAAAGAGGTACCCAAAAGATAACTAGTGTATAGGTTATGAAGAAATTGGAACCTTTCTACATTGATAGTAGGAATAGAAAATGGTGCAATAAAACGTAATGCAGAGTTTCCACAAAAAAAATAAATATGTATCTACAATATGAACTAGAAATCCCACTTCTGGATATATACCCCAAATAATTGAAATCAGAATTTAGAGGAGATATTTGCACTCTCATTTTTACTCTAGCATTATTTACAATAGCTAAGATATTGAAACAATTTAAATGCCCGTCAATGGACAAATTAAAAAAGAATGTGTGATATAAACATCGCATAGAATGTAATTTGTAGAATGGTGGTTATCAGGGCTGGGAGAGGGGGGGAAATAGAAAGTTAACCAAAGGGAAACAAGTTCCAATTATGCAAGAATAATAATTTCTAGAGATCTGTAGTATGCCATAATACCAATAGTCAACAATACCGTATTGTAGACTCAAAAATTTGTTAGATTTCAGGTTAAGTGTTCTTACCAGAGAAAAAAAAAAAAGGAAGGGTAAGAGGAAACATTTCCAGGTGCTGCATATGCTTAGTATCTTGATTGTGGTATGATTTCAAGGGTGTATGCATATGTGCAACCTCATCAAACTGCACGTATTAAATAGGTACAGTTTCTTGTATGTCCATTACAACTCAATAAACCTGTTAAAAATATAAAATAAAATATTTCACTGACAGAAAAATAAATTTAAAAATTACCTCTAAAAATAATTTACCGGCCGGGTGCACTGGCTCACGCCTGTAATCCCAGCACTTTGGGAGGCCGAGGCGGGCGGATCACCTGAGGTCAGGAGTTCGAGACCAGCCTGACCAACATGGAGAAACCCCGTCTCTACTAAAAATACAAAAAAATTAGCCGGCATGGTGGCACATGCCTGTAATCCCAGCTACTCGGGAGGCTGAGGCAGGCGAATCGCTTAAAACCGGGAGGCAGAGGTTGCGGTGAGCCAAGATCGCGCCATTGCACTCCAGCCTGGGCAACAAGAGCGAAACTCGGCCTCAATAATAATAATAATAATAATAATAATAATAATTTACCATTAGTATGCTAAAATAACGTAATGAAACGATAATCTTTAAAGCCTGAAGAACTCTTTTTAGAAAAGTTAATAGCTATGCTTTATATGTACATTCATATATGTATATATATTAATCTATCTCTGTATATATATATAAAACCAAACCACTAACTTTACAGATATACATATAGATGTTGTGTGTGTGTGTGTGTATATTTGTTTCTTAGTGAGATACACTTATTTTTAGTACTAGTGGATACTAAATATAGTATAGAATAAGGGATACTAAAAATGTTTGAATCATGTGCGTAAATGATGGCTTAGAAATCAACCTAGTTAATCCCATTTGTTATGAGTATGATTTTATTTCTTTTCAGTTTCACACTAGTATACATTCTATATCTTTTCCCTTTTTTCAGTCTTTTTAATGTGTAGTCTAATTACTTCACATATATAAATATTATATATATACACATATATGCACAGATATACTTTTTTTCATGATGAATGATGACACTATCAGAAATTCCCTACATTTCCCATTGGTGAATCATAGGAATAACAGCCAATGAGATACAATTTTTTTGTTTTTTTGGTTTTTTGGTTTTTCTGAGACAGAGTTTCACTCTTGTTGCCCAGGCTGGAGTGCAATGGCGTGATCTTGGCTGACTGCATCCTCCGCCTCCTGGGTTCAAGCAATTCTCCTGCCTCAGCCTCCCGAGTAGCTGGGATTACAGACACCAGCCACCGCGCCCAGCTAATTTTTTGTATTTTTAGTAGAGACGGGGTTTCACCATGTTGGCCAGGCTGCTCTTGATCTCCTGACCTCAGATGATCTGCCCTCCTTGGCCTCCAAAAGTGCTGGGATTACAGGTGTGAGCCACTGCGCATGGCTGATATACAATTTTTACATTAGATAACTACCATGAACTCAATAAATTTGCCCAGAAACAGAGAGGTGACTCCAGTATCATTAAAGAATGGTGAGTCACTTACAAGTATTCCAAGCTACTTGATATCTGATGACTTTTTCCAACATTTTCAGTTAAATACGCTTTGACCAATGTAAGTCCAAATATTTTCTTTTATATTTTAGGTGCAAACACATTGGTGCAGTTCCTTGCAGTCTCTGGTTCTATCATTTAGAACATGTACACAGACGTTTTATCTTTCTGTTATGAAAACAATACCAGCCTTGTTGTCTGTACATAGGTTTTTAACTTATGTGAACTGGTATAAAGCAGATAATTTAGACAGATGTCAGCATCTTTGTTTTAAAATAAAATATTAAAATAAACAATTTATCAACTATATATTTATCACTTAACTTTTGGTAAGTGCTAGGAATGTGCCAGGTACTGTGGCACTTTATTTTAAGATGCTTTTTCGAGAGTGGGGAAGAAAGGAGAGACAGAGATGGGGAAGTGTGGAGGGATGAGAGAGGAGGTCGAAAGCTGAAGGGAGAGAGAAAGTGGAATTTGAAGAGAAAAGGAACAGCAGGTGCAAAGACTAGAAAGTGTAAAAACGGCATTTTCAAGGAGTCACAATTAAGTCTGCATAATAATAAGTGGTAGAAGATAATACAGGAAATGCAAGCAGGTTCTGAATAGTAAAGGTAGTATCTGCCATGCAAAGGAGTACAATATTTGTTATTTTTGTTTGTCCAGCATTCAAACCACCTTGTCAATTGGAATTTCCTACTAAGACATAATGTGAGGCAGGGTCCAGTCTTCAACTATAAAAATGGCAATCATTTAAAAAATCTTTTGTCCCAGGTCCCTGAAACTATTACACAGGCTTAATCACCACAGTATATTATACAGGAAAAAAAAGTCTCTTAGGAGAATATAGGTAACTTGGATTGATTATATAGTTAGCCAGTCATGTTCCCCTTTATATTCCTCAATAGGAATGTAGTAAACTTTGCTCTATGGTAGCAAGAGAAAATTTAATTAGCCTTAGTGATCATCTGGAATAAAGAACCCAATGGGTTCTAAGATTATGGGGACTGCATCATGACTGCCATTCAGCAGTGTGAACTAAGAAGGAAATCAAGGACCATGAAGTGGGATGCAGCCTCAAAAATAAGGAAACTTTAAAAAAAGAATAAAAGTTCAAATAGCAGCTCAAGGCAGTGGTAGAAATCAAGAAATTGTCTGGGACAGTGATAAAAGAATCCCTTATCTCTTGAAGCTGCAAAACTGAGATACCTGAAAACCCAAATCAAACATTGATCTGTTGAGCCTGCTGGGTTGCCAAGTACAATGTCAGTTACATTTCAAGCCCTGCTAGGCATTCTATGTGAAAAGTAGGACATCTATAGGATAAGATTGAAATCGTCAGAATTAGAATGATTTAGATTGCGTTAATACCTACATGGAAACCTCACACTAAATCTCCCTTGCAGACTGCCTTGCCTTTTCTTCTTTCTGATAGGGTTAATGATGATGCTTGTCAGTGGCAGTTTTCTGAACAACAACAAAAAAAGGGAACACATGGTCCTCATTTCCTGTGACTCTTACTTTTGTTTTTAAATATCTCTTCATAGAGTTCATTCCCTCATGGAGTTAAGGGAGAAGGGAAGAAAAGACCATCAAAAGTCAAACCATAAAGAAGAAGTTCAAGACAAAGAATTTGGAAACTTTTTCTAATTAATGTAGGCAAAAAATCTAAAGAATATGCCTAGAAACTGGATTCTAAATATGCTTAAGCAATGAGAGAGGGGAAAGTTTTATGCAGAATTGGAACTGATAAGTTTTTCAAACTTTCCTGCCCCTCTTGATCCACAGTTACACTTCATTCTGCTGATGCTTATGACATTATGAGAAATTTCCTGTGTCCATTGGACTTTATAGGGTAAATTTAAAGGCTCCTTTTAAAATGGATGTGCAAGACTTTCTGGGAAAAAAATCCTAATTAAGCACTTTTGTGCCATTACATCATTGCACAGGATGCCCATGAATGAACTTGGAATGGACATATGTATCCAATGGGAAAAATCAGTTATATACCTTATCATCCATGTTTACTGAAAGATGTGGTTTGAATTAAGGGTGAGAAAATGTACTCAGGAAAAGGGCACATTTCTGTGTCACATAAAGATCACCAGAAATATATAATGAATACCAGGCAAGGATTGCTGTTGGATATGTGCTCAAAACAGGAATACACCCTTCCAAGTTTCAAAATTACAAAAAGAAGCAATAAAACTTGATTCTTCAATATGATAATCAAACAGTTATTGGAAGCAGATTGACAAAACTTGGACCCATTTCATTATAGGAGGCCAATGATTTGTCTTTCTTGAATTAGACAGTTGTTCAGTATTTTTATATGAATTTCCCTTCCTGCATGCTTTTTTTTAGCATTACCATCCATGCACTTATTGAATAACTTATAAATTTTCATGACAGGCTGCATAATATTGTTCCAAATAGGGAATTCACTTTGTAATATAATAAGGTAATGAGCTATTGGTCACGTGATTTCTGGTCATATAGGATGTCCCATCTGTTCAGAAACATCTGGCTCCTAGAATAAAGGAATATACTACTGAAACTACAAATAAGTAGATTACAATGGAGATGATATCTTGAGTATTTGAGATGCTCGTCTATAGGAAGTGCCATGTTTTCAGAATTGACAGACATTATGTGGTTATGTTCATATTTAATTGCCCATATAGCTTCTAAAAGAATGAAGGCAAGCTCAACTACCTGGAAGCGAAGAAACTAAACAATAGGAAGTTACCTGAAGAGAATTCCGAAGACTGCAACAACAGCTGAGTCAAAGAAAAAGGCTATTATTACTTGGTATTGCTGACGGTGCAACCTAACTTTAAGACCACTTTATTTGTTTACTGTTTTGTTGCAAGCAGCATTCTCGATATAGAGAGTGAGCAGTGAACAAAACACGTCAAGTCCCTGATCACATGAAATTTGCATCTTATTGTGGGCAGATGCATATGAAAAAATAGCAAAATATTAAAGACAAAGTTGACAGAACTTGTTGAATGGACTGAGTGACAGAAAACAAGAATGATTAAATAATTTTTGAGTGGAGAAAGAGAAACAATGCAGTGGCCAATTTCATTAAATAGGAAAGTCTGTGGAACAGCAGGTTTGTGGGAAGAATCATTTATTTTCTCAAAGTAGTTTGATTATCTTTACAGTATGGTAGTTCCTATAGAAATATTCTTCAAAGCAGGTGTGAGAAAAATTATTTGGAATTAATTGGGTTTATATAGAAAATGACATGGCGAAGAATTTGGATATTCAAGGTAGATGGTGAGGGAGTTAAGCCAGAGGAAACGCTATCAGAATAGAGCGAAGGAGAAAATGAAGGAGATATGGTAATAAATATCTCCATGAAATCAACTAACAAATATCAAAGGGGTAATAGCATTAGAGCTGGAAGAAACGTAGGCTATCTTGAGATTTGAAATGTAGGACAATCCCGGAGGGCAGAGCCTGCAGTGAGCCGAGATCGTGACACTGCACTCCAGCCTGGGTGACAGCGAGACTCCGTCTCAAAAAAAAAAATAAAATAAAGAAAGAAAAAAAAGAAAAGAAATGTAGGACAATTTTGGTAATATTAAACTCCAGGTTGTGGACATATAAAAGGAAAACAAGTAGAAATAATAATTGGAAATAATAAAACAGGCTTGACGGGGTCAAAATATTTGCCACTGTGCTATTTGTTTGGGTCTATCACATTAATCAGGATTGTGACATCACGCAGATGAGAGAAAAAGGAAGTGAGTCATACAACTGAAGCCTCTAGTTACTGAGACAGAATGACGAAATTCATTTGATAGCAGATAAGAGAAATCGCTTGATGACATGAGCCACGCCTAAAAGGCTGAAGCATTTTTTAATAGCACTGAGGAACATTAAGAATGCCTACTCTGCCATCTGTTCTGATATGTAAAATCTGGATGGATAAAAACCTTTATTATAGTAAAATTTATAAAATATTAATACATTCTGATTTTTTCCACCTCATTCTGATACAGTCAAAGCAGCCTGTAGTCAATTTCCTGAGACTGCTTTGTTTCTCCCTATTTCTTTCTTTCTTTCTTTTTTTTTTTTTTTTTTTTGAGGCAGAGTCTCACTCTGTCATCCAGACTGGAGTGCAATGGCACAATCTCCGCTCACTGTAACCTCCACCTGCCAGGTTCAAGCAATTCTCCTGCCTCAGCCTCCCAGTAGCTGGGACTACAGGTGTGCACCACCATGTGCGGCTACTTTTTTGTATTTTTACTAGAGACAGGTTTCACCATGCTGGCCAGGCTGGTCTTGAACTCCTGGCCAGGTGATCCGCCCGCCTTGGCCTCCCAAAGTGCTGGGATTACAGGCATGAGCCACCGCACCCAGCAGTTTCTCCCTATTTCTATGCCTTTTATTGTGTCAGATTTTGTTTTTGATAGTGTCCTTGAACTCTTATTGAAACATTACATATTATTTAATGTTCAGTTAAAAGTTTAATGCCTCCATAAATACTTTTGTTATTTCTGCTTGCATTAATGTTTTCCTCCCTTAGTACTGTGCCCCTAATATGCTATATTTAATGGTATTGATGAGATGTTATTCAGTTGAAAGAGGCTTTGGAAATCGTCTTTGGAAATACATATTACATTAGAAGACATAAAGAACAATTATATATGCTACAATCACACAGAAAGTTGCTTCCACAACTAAGTCTAGAACTTAGTTTTAGAATTAGTTTCCCTAACTTCTCTCTAGTCCCATATATTTTCCATGTGTCCTAATATCTCTTCCAGGCAGACAGTGTATGTGTATGTGTCATATCACTATCTTTATTAAAAATTTGTGGATAGTATTCATTCATGTTAATCATCTCTAGGTCACTAAATGCATTATAAGAAATTTTTCCACATGTAAGAACTCAAATCTGTTGAATTAATCTATTCATGAATGTTCAGAGGAGAAGATGATTGAGTAGGAAATAAAAATTAAAAATTTAAATAATACCAGTTTTATAGCAGAAATAGATGGTTATAATAATAAAACAAATGGTAGAAAGTAACAATATAAAAAAGAATGAGGAGGAAAGGAAGACAAAAAATGATTAGCAGGTATCTTTATTTTCTGAAATAAATTACTCATTCAATTGAAACATTGCATACATTACCTCATTAAGTGCATGTAAGAAAAGACAAAATTTACATAACATTGTCTCACATTACGAAGAAAATAGTTTCAGATATGTCTCGCTCTCTCTATACACACACACACACACACACCATAAAATTCACCCTTTAAAAATATACAATTAAGTGGTTTAAAGAATATTCTCAAGTTGTACAACCACTGGCACTATCTAATCTTAGAAAATTTTCACCACCCCAAAAGAAACTGTATCTATTAGCATCTACTCCCCATTCCCATTTCTCACTAAGCATCACTGTTGCATTTTCTGTATCTATGGATATAAGTATTCTGGACATTATATATAAAGGTAATTATAGAATATGATATCCTTTTAAAATGGCTCAATTCTCTTCGTGAAATTCTTTCAAGGTCTATCTATAGCATAAGATGTACCTATACTTCATTCCTTTATACTACCAAATAATATATTCTGCCATATGAATATACCACATTTTATTTGTCCATTCATCAGTTGGTATATATTTGGATTGTTTCCACTTTTGGATATGAGGAATAGTGATACTATGACTATTTGGATACATATTTTTGTATAGACATATGTTTTCATTTGCCTCAGGTAGGTACCCAGAAGTAGAATCAGTGGGTCAGCAATTTGTTTTGCAATAAAGCTTCTGAAGAAATGCAGAATTTTTAATGTATCATGACACAATCCTACAAGCAATGTATAAGGTTTCTAATTTCTCCCCATTCTTGCCAATAATTCTATTTATGTGTTGTTTTATTACAGAGTGAATGTGAAGTGATATTTCACTACAATTTTTGAGTTGCCTTTCCCTAATAGTTAATAAGGTTGAGCATAATTTCATGTATTCATTTGCCACTTTATATCTTCTATGAAGATATATTTATTGCCTATTTTAAACATTGAGTTATTTTTATTATTAACTTGGGAACGATTTTTATATATTTTAGATACAAGTCCCTTGTAATATGAAAGATTTACAAATATTTTCTCCCATCTGTAAGTCATTTTTTTCCCTTTCTTTATACTATCATTTGAAGCTTTATAAAAAATGCTTTTGGCTGGGTGTGGTGGCTCACACCTGTAATCCCACACTTTGGGAGGCTGAGGCGGGCAGATCATGAGGTCAGGAGTTCGAGACCAGCCTGACCAACATGGTGAAACACCATCTCTACTAAAAATACAAAAATTAGCAGGGCATAGTTGAGCGTGCCTGTAATGCCAATTACTCAGGAGGCTAAGGCAGGAGAATCACTTGAACCTGGGAGGTAGAGGTTGCAGAGAGCCAAAATTATGCCACTGCACTCCAGCCTGAAGCCACAGACAAGACTTTGTCTAAAAAAAAAAAAAAAAAAAAAAAAAAAAAAAAGCTCTCTACTTTTAGGTAAAGTAGAACTTACCCACTTTTTTTTACTTATGTTTTATTGTCATGTTAAGAAGGTTTTGCCCAACCTAAAGTCACCAAGATATTGCTTATGTTTAAAAAATTAATCAATATTATTCAGAATAATGAGTTAATAATAATTCTATGAGTGGTATAGTTTTAGCTTTCACATTTAGGTCTAGGATCTATTTTGATGTATGTTATATATGGTGTGAGAAAGAGATCCATTATTTTGCATGTGGACATCCAGTTGTCCCAGCACCACTTGTTAAAAAGACTACGATTTTCCCTGTTGAATTATCTTGATATCTTTGTTGAAAGTCAGTAAGTATAAATGTGAGTTTATCTCTGGATTTCAATTTCATTTCATGTATCTTTTTCTATGCTTATACAATTATCAAACTATCTTGATTACTTTATAGCAAGTTCTATCATTGTAAAGTGTCAATTCTTCAATTTCATAATTTTTTCAAAATTATTTTTGCTAAAACAACTAGCTCGGGTTTTGTTAGTAATTGCATGAGATCTGTAAGTATTGCAAGCTTGACAATATTAAGTCTACCAAGCCGTGGATATGAGATTGCGTCTTCCTTTCATTTGTTTATTGATTCACTTCTTTCAAAAATGTTTTGCAGTTTTCAGAAAATACGTTTTATATTTTTTGGTACATATTTTCCATTATTTATTCTTTTTCATGCTAATCTAAATGGAATTGTTTTTTTTTTATTTCATTCATTTCTATTGTATGGAAATACAATTGACTTTTGTATGTTTAACTTGTGATGTAAAACCTGTTGAGCTTTTTTTTAGTTCTAATAGTTTTTCTCTTTGCTTACTTAGGATGTTCTGTATACAAGGTCATGTCATCTGGAGATAATTTCACTTCTTCTGTTCAATCGGCATGCTTTTTATTTCTTTTCCTTGATGAATTGCATTGGCTAGAAACTTCAGTGCAATGTTGACTACAAATGACAAGAGCAAACATCCTTGTCTTGTTGCTCTTATTAGGGAGAAAGCAGTTAGTCTTTCACCATTTGGTATGACCTTAGCTGAGGATTTCTTGTAATGCTCTTTATGAAATTAGGGAGGTACCCTTTTCTATTTCAGTTTGTTTTGTGTGTTTTTGTCATGGAAGGGTGTTGTATTTTTTTTCAGATGCTATTTCTGCATCTATTAAGTACATCTTGTGATTTTTATTATTCATTCTTTTCATATGTGTTACATTAATTAGTCGATTAGTTTATGTTAAACAAACCTTGCTTTCTGGAGTAAATCTCACTTGATCATGACATAAAATCCTCTTTTTATGTTGCTGGATTCAGTTTGGTACTATTTTAAAAGATTTACACCTCTATATTCATAAAAATAGTGGCATATAGTTTTTTCTTTCTTGTGATGTCTTTTTTTAAAAAATCTTGTTATCAAGGTAAAGCTGGCCTCATCAGTGAGTAGGAGTTTTTACACTTTGGTTTGCAAATTAATCTCCTTATGAAGATGTATTCCTCTTTTTAAAATTCCTTTTATTTACAGAGATTAGAGAAGAAAATTTCAAACAAAAATTTTTATTTAATCAATAAGGAGACTAATTTGGAGTTTTTAATTCATTCACAAATGTTTAATTTGGAGAAAGAAGATAAAGACAAATATTTTTTAGTAACTTGGTCTTCTACATTTTCATGCTCACATTCCCTTTCAATGTATAATTGGTTGATATGACTTCAGCTATTTCCTCCATGCTTACCATTTCCTAATTGGCATATTTAGCTTTGGTTTATTTTGTTTATTTTTATGAACAGCACTACAGTCTTTAGGAACTACTGTATTTTTAACTTTAAATCATATGCCCAAAACCACTTTCAGTTTATTATTTCTTGGATTCTAAAAGTGCATTATCTCTTTTGTACCTAGAATAAGAATTTCCAATAATCCACTCACACTGGATATTTCAGCTCTTCAGTTTTTACATATTTTGTTTTCTCATTCATTCATTTGAATTTGTACTATATTTTTCAATTATTATAACTTTCTTGTTATTATTCAAATGATTCCAGCTGTGGTCTGGCTGTTTTTTCACATGTTACAAAGGAGGAGAAGGAGGAGTTTTAGTCATCTAAGGTAACGTTATAGTAAGAATTATAGGGACTGTGGTAGTTCTTTACCTTGGTCTATCATAGTCTTGTATTTCTTATGTGGAGAACTCAACTAGATTTTGGACAGGCCATCATGATTTTCTGAGTAAGGATAAATTCATTGCTTCACAGTCATTTCAAACCATTTGTACTCCACAGCAAACTCAGGTTCTAATTCACACAAATCTTAGTCATTGTCCCTCAAGTACACCCAGTGTGCTCATACTGGTGGAACAGAAGGAAACATATACATATGAGTGAATGTTTGTGTGTGTGTGTGTGTATCCCCTTTTCATTATCTGAGCTCTGATGTTAAACCAATTCATTACCTAAAACACTTACAGTCTTCTAATTGTTGGTAGCAATTTGGTCTTTTCTTGCTGGAGGCTCACAGCCAAGCTCATTTCAAAACATCAGAGATTCTCCAATATTTAGAATAATAAAACATAATATGATCTGGGCATTGGTCCCTTTCCCTCCAGAGCCTTTCAACTTAGTCATATTAAAAAGGGTAGCTCCTGGAACACAAATAGTAATTTCTATTACAGTATTCCTCCAGGATTAATAGTGTCTACTTTTTTGGACATTAACATAAATATGAATGACATGTTAAATAATTATTTTTAAAACTTTGAAGTACGAGTCAAAGGAAGCTTTTTTTCTCTATTGGTGTAAATAACATTCTGATACATTTTAAAGGTATATTCCCTACATTTTAATTTAGTTTCTGTGCTCCTACAAATTTGTATTTATAGACACTGAATTCAAAAATTCCATATAATTGTAATGTGTCATGAAATATTATTCTCCTTTTGATTTTTTCAACCATCTAAAAATATAAAAGCCATTTACATTTTAAAAACTGAAAGTTAACATAATTGTATGCTTCCATCATGCACATGATTCTTTGAGTACATATATTTTAAAATCGTTGAAACTAGCTAATTAAAAAGTGCATTACCTCACATCAGTGTCAATTTTGTGGTAAGAGCACTTAACATCCACTTTCTCTACATTTTTCAAGAATACCGTATATCATCATTAACTATAATCACCTTGTTATACAATAGATGTCTTGAAATGTATTCCTCCTCATAATTATGTCTCTTAACATTGTATGTTAATAGCAATGTATATTATTATATTTCACTATGTATTATTTGCTTTAACACTAATACTACTAACACTAATGAACTAATCATTAACTAACAGTTATTGAATTAGTATGTGTCAAATATTACGCAAAACACTCAGATTGATTATCATATTTAATCCACACAATTGAGATCAGTATTACTGCTCTCACACTATTGAGAGTGTAGCTGAGTTAGAAAGTTAAGTAACTTGGATATACTCATGTCACCAAGCCAGTAAATCTTGCAGTTGGAATTTGAACTTACGTCTCTCTTAATCTCAAGCAATTTCCAACTGCTAAGCCATTTAGTTTTTCAAAAATTAATAGTGATATAACGGAATTCTTGGAAAATATGTAAATATGTATCCATTTTCCTCATGAAACTCCAATAAACAAAAATAAATAACTTTAGAAGTATACATTTGGATAAATTGATAAACATTTTTAAAAGAGAATAGCAATGTTAAAATATAAGACTAAAGACAAAGATATGAAAAATACGGGAGGAAAAAAAATCTAAAAGTAATTATAGGCTGGGCGCGGTGGCTCACGCCTGTAATCCCAGAACTTTAGGAGGCCAAGGCGGGCGGATCACGAGGTCAGGAGATCGAGACCGTCCTGGCTAACACAGTGAAACCCCGTCTTTACTAAAAATACAAAAAATTAGTCGGGCGTGGTTGCAGGCGCCTATAGTCCCAGCTACTTGGGAGGCTGAGGCAGGAGAATGGCCTGAACCCGGGAGGCGGAGCTTGCAGTGAGCCGAGATCGCACCACTGCACTCCAGCCTGGGGGACAGAGTGAGACTCCGTCTCAAAAAGAAAAAAAAAAAAAAAAAAAGTAATTATAAATCCAGGAATTTCAGAAAAGGGTACACAGAGAACAAAACAGGAAATTTTGAAATAAATTAATCAACAACATTTTCTGTCCTGAAAAGTGTTATCTTCAAATTACAAAGCCCTTTTTAATGCCCAGACAAATCTATGCTAAAATACCCACATGAATGACATTATTGGGAATTTCAGAATTCTAAATTCCGACTGAAAATTATATGAGTTTTAAGATGTATGTGGGGAAAAAAAATAAGAACAATTTATAGTCAGAAGTCACTGCACTTCTTAATACCACTGAAAACAAGATAAAATAACTTTAAAATTTCTGAGGCAAAATGATACAGAAATGCTACAACCAGTCAAATTATATATCAAAAGTGAAGGTGAAGTAAAGATCTTTTCAGAGAAGCAACTGAAAAATCTTGATTCCCCAGTATTACTTCTTGGAAGCTAAGGAACAATCTGCACACTCACAATGAGGGAAAGGAGAACACATGATCTCCAGGAAACAAGAAAAGAGAGAGATGGATGGAATACCCCAAGATGAAGGTAAATTGAGATACTATAAACACAATAATGAACTAGGCCTAGAAACACAAAAAATGGATGATTACAAAGGAAAGTCTCCAGTAAGCAAATAAAAATAAAATTGAAAACTCATGTATTTGATAACATTGAATATAAATTTATACTTAAACCAGAGAAATGTAGACAAAACAAAAGATGGAAAACATAAACACTTAATATCCTCAGGAGAATAGTTATATTTTATAAGGGTATTATAGTTTATTACATTGCATATATCACTTCTGAACTTGATATATGCATACACACATTGATAATTAATAATAATGGCATGTCTACAACGGTTGGCAAAGAGAAGTCCTTGTGAAAGTTGAGGCTTAGTATATGAGAACTAAATATTCATGTCTGTAGTAAGAAGCCCAAAGATACTGCTTCAAATTAAAAGATTTTAAAAACACTATAATACTATTATTCTGAAATTTCCAGGTAAAATCACAAGTTATGGCTAAAATAGTTAAGGTTTTCCCTGGGGAATGGTAATCTGCAGGTTTGCAGAAGGTGAAGCACAAGACTGAAGCTTTACAATAATAATTCCTTTAGAACTCTGACGTTTAAACTCCGAATATATGTAAGTTTGAAAATATGTATCAATAAATAAGGAAAAGGAGACAGTGAGAGAATATGATAGGATGTAGAAATAGCCTTTGTATTTTAAAAAGCAATTTACTGTTTGCAGAACAATGAATAGATACCTAGGAACTTCCAAAGTTGACCAGTGAGGTTTCCTTGTTTATTTTTGTGAGTATTATTTTAAGCTCATGAATTTGAATATATTTTTTGTTATTTAATCCACTATAATCATTATTGTTTTAGATGTTCCTATTTTTCCCATCTAATTGATCTTCTTATTGCATAAGAGAGAAAAGCAAATGTGATCTGTCTTCTAAGTCAGGGGAATAAATATTATATAGCATTTATTATGAAATATAATTGTCCAAATTGAGCAAGTCATTAGGTATTATAGCCCATTACAAGGTATACACAGAGAAAGCATAAAAGATGAAACTAAAGAGGTTAAACATCACCATAGGGATACAGCAAACAAACACAAAGAGGTTCAAGAGGTTTAATATAAAAATAAAATATAGAATAATTGAAAAGTTTGAACCCTGATTAAATTTTGAAAGAGGAATGAAATAAGAAAATAAAAAGTATTAAAATTAAAATATTAAACCTGAGGAAAAAGTTGAACCATAACAAAAAGTAATTGTGTTGCTATAGTTGTAATATTTTAAAAATAGTATTGACATAGTCATAATAATAACATACCTTCAATGGCAGGTTGAAATTCCAATGATAGGATGATAATAAGTAATGATTGTTATTTTTAGGTATGATAATGTTAAAGTAAAAAATTATTTCTTACACATACTGAAATATTTGGGGATGGAATTATATAATATTCTAGATATATTTTAAACAAATCCTGTAGAGCTAAAGAAGATTTAGATGTAACTGAGAAAATATTGACCAGAAAATGATAATTATAAAAATTATATGATGAGAACGAAATAAAAATATATTATATTATTCTATTTCATTATATACAAATGTCTTCATAATTCAAATTAAAAAAACAATAGCACATATTGAATGGGTAATATATACCAAGACCCAACCAATTTACTCACTACAAAAATTTCCATGAGGTCCTTTATTGTTATTGAGTGGGTAATATATCCAAGGAACCAACCAATTTACATATTTAAAGAATTTCCATGAGGTAGTTTATTGCTGTTAGCTTTATTTTACAAGGCAAAATAACTCTTTCTTACTATGATGACTGACAAAGTAGTAGTATTTTATTGTATTTGTATAGATATACTTACTGTATGATGATAATCCTAATGTCAAATCATACCTTCAAATAACTAATCAAAGTTTACTATGTTAATATATGTTAGTTTTATTATGAAAATTGCAAACATATACAACACTAGTTTGAGTAGTAATTTCACATGTCTGAGCTTCAGGAATTTTCAACTCAGAGGTAATCTGGTTTAATTTATGTGACTCACCAAAGTATTTACTTTTTATTACTTTACTGAGATAAAATTGATGGAAATTACTAAACAGCCAAAACAAAAAAACAAAAACAGAAACAATCAAAGATCAAAATAGCCTTAAAAAAAGGGAAATGGAAAGTTATTGTTGAAACAATGTTATATCTAAAACATCCAGCTTTCATCAAAATGTATGAGGCCTGCAAAAAATATTAGAAAGTGTGACTTACAAAAGTCACAGTAAGGCTGGGCGCAGTGGCTCACGCCTGTAATCCCAGCACTTTGGGATGCCAAGGCGGTTGGATCACCTGAGGTCAGGAGCTAACATGGTGAAACCCCTACTATAAATACAAAAAAATAGCCAGGCATGTTGGAGCACGCCTGCAATCCCAGCTACTCAGGAGGCTGAAGCAGGAGAATCGCTTGAACCCAGCAGACAGAGGTTGCAGTGGGCAGAGACCATGCCACTGCACTCCAGCCTGGGAAACACAGCAAGACTCTGTCTCAAAAGAAAAAAAAAGTTATAGTAAATACAAACTGTCTCTGAATGGGACCATATACTGGTTGTTACTAGTAGACAAAGATGTCAATGCAGCTCTCATAATTACATTCAAATAATTAAATGATACTATTTCCAAATAATTCAAGGCAATTTAATAGAGATGATTCAAAAATAATCACAATAAAGAGATTATTTTAAAATAACTAAATATAAATTCTGAATACGAATTATAATAAGTTAAATAAAAACTTTACTCAAGGGACTCAACAGTAGTTTGAGATGGGAAAATAAAGATCGGTACACTTGAAGATAGACAGGTAAAGTTTGTCTAATCTGAAGAACAGAGAAAAAAAAGGATGAAGAAAAATAAACAGAGCCTCATAGACCTGTGGGACATCATCAAATCCATATCAACATGCATTTTATGAGAGTCCTAAAAGGAGACAGAGAGACTAAAAATACATGGAGAAATAATGACTTTAACATTTATGAAAAACACTCATATAAATATCACAAAAGCGCATTGAATCAAAAGCAGGTTAAATGTAAAGAAATAGCCAATTAGAACATAATCAAACTACGGCTTAAAGCCAAAAACAAAAGGAAACCTTGGAAGCAGCAAGAGAAAACCAAATTATCAGGAAAAATAGAACATGCTTTGTAAGAATGTCTAATACTAATAACTGGAGACCCAAAGGCAGTGCAATTGATATTTAAAGTGCTGAAAGAAAACGAACAACTCTCTTTTGTTCTCTCTCTCTCTCTCTCTCCCTCCATATATATGAATTTTATAGCCAGCAAATTGTTCCTCAAAGATAAAGGTGAAATAGAGTTACCCCCATATAATTGAATGAGAGGTTTTGTTGCTATCAAACCTGCTTTCCAAAAATACAAGAAGTCCTTAAGTTTGAGAGGAAATGACTGTAGGGATTAAAGAGTTCTCAAAATATAAATTTGTAAGTAGAAAAAAAAAACTGTACTGAATATTTTTCTTTGCTTCTCTCAATATCTTTGAATGATATGGTTGCATAAAAATCATTACAGCACGGTGTGGTTAGGTATATAACATAGATGTAATATATACAATCATAATAGCACACAAAGGGAAGAGAAGGAAATTGATTTACATTAGAACAATTGTTTTTTTATTTTACTAGAATTTAGTTAGTACAATCTAAGTAGATTTGATAAGTTAAATATACATTGTAATTTTTATAGCAGCTACTAAGAAAGTAAGTGTAAAATATAAAACAAAACAAGATAACCTAGCTAAATAGAAAACTGAAACAAAGACAAATAAGGAGGTACAGAGTAACGAAAAGGGTATAAGACATAGAAAACAAATAATAAAATAACATATACAGATGCAACCATATCAATAAATTTGTAAATACAAATGAACTAAAGAAAGCAAAAACAAAAGGACAGATTTTCTGACTGGATATAAAATAAGATCCTAATTTATTTTTTCATCAACAGTCACGTTTCAGTTTTTTATACGCACATACTTTGAAAGTAAAGAAAAAAAAAGAAAGCTGGCATGGCATTGATAATAGCAGACAAACTAGATGTATATATAAGAATTAAAGATAAAGAGGGGCACTTCCAAATAAAAAGAGTCACCATATCAGGAGTATACAAAACTTTTAAGTATATACACTGCTAAAGGAAAGCCATAAAATGCGTAAAGCAAAGATTACAGAATTGAAGGGAGACATGTAACGTGTGGCAAGAATACAATGAGGTCTATAGTTAACTCTCAATAATTCATATAAGCAAAGATATGGAAGACTTTAACAACTATATAATCAACTTGGCTTAACTTGCACTTACAGAGCACCCGATGCACTAACAACACAATAAGCATCCTAAAAAGTTCAATGAAACACTCAAATATAGATCACATGTAAGCACAAAAAATAGGATTCAATGAATTTGAAATTATTGAAATTACACAAAGCATTTGGTCCAAGTATAACAGAAATTAGCAATCAACATAAAAAGAAATTTAGAAAATCCTCAAATTTTGGGAAAAAAAATCTTCGAAATAACTCATGCATCAAAAAAGAAGCCAAAAATTAAAAACGTACATGTTGTGGCTATAGATATAGATAACTGAATGAAAACAAAAGAAGAGCATATCAAAATGTATGGGCTGTAACAAAATAATATTATAGAGGAATATTTACATTTTAAATGCCTAGTATTAGACAAGAAATATGGTTTCCACTCAATAACCTCAAATTTCAACTTAAAAAAAAAACAAGAAAAAAGTGCAAAATAAACTCAAAATAAATGGAAGGAAGGAAATATAAAAATAGAGTGAAAATCAATAAAATAGAAAACAAAGACATTAAAAATCAAAGCAAAACTTTATACTTTGAAATGATAAATGGAGATATCTCTAGTTTTATTTACTATGAGAAATTGAATTACCAAAATCAGGAGTTAAAGAGGACCCGCCACTACTACACCACAGAAATTTAAAGAATTTAAGAGAATATTATAAACAACATTAAGCCAACAAATTAGACAAATTTGATGAAATTGACAAATTCCTATAATGATACAAATGACTGAATCCCTGAAGTAATTTTTAAAATTAAATTGAACACATAACATGTAAAGGAAAGTAATGATTGAAAATCTTATTAGGAAAGTACCAGAAAAGATGGCCTATTGGTTAACTCTATGAAATAAAAGAGTTAAAAGCAATTGTTCACAAACTTTTTCATAAATTAGATGACAAAAGGTCACCTCTGAACTAATTATTTGAAGTCACTGTAATCTTAGAACCAAAATCACACAAAAATATTACAAGTAAAAAGCAAACAGGCCTGGCGCAGTGGCTCATGCCTGTGATCCCAGCACTTTGGGAGGCTGGGCCGGGTGGATCACGAGGTCAGGAGTTCAAGACAAGCCTGACCAATATGGTGAAACCCCATCTCTACTAAAAATACAAAAAAAAAAAAAAAATTAGCCTGGCGTGTTGGCATGTGCCTGTAGTCCCAACTACTCAGGAGGCTGAGGCAGGAGAATCACTTGAACCCGGGAGGCGGAGGTTGCAGTGAGCCAAGATCATGCCACTGCACTCCAGCCTGAGTGACAGAGCGAAAATCCATCTCAAAAAAAAAAAAAAGGGAACAAACAAAAAATACAAATATCCCTCAAAATATATATGCAAAATTGCTCTTAACAATGAGCAAAACAAAATTCAGAAACTTCTAAAAAGATTAGAATATGACTAAGTTATATTTGTCCTAGGAAAGCAAGGTCAGATTAACAATTAAAATTTTATTTATATAGTTTTTATTCTTAAGAATGAAAAACATAAAAATTACATAATTCAATAGGTGCAAAAAAAGCATTTGACAAGTCAAACACCATTTCATGTAAAACCTTCTGACAAAGTAAGAATAGACAAAGTAAGAATAGAACATTTAAGCAGTCTAAAAATTAAATACTGCAACCAATGAATAAGTTCAGTTATATTACCAGACATATCATTAATATAAAACACATTATTTGTATTTCTACAAACTACCAATGAACAGTCTGAAAATGTATTTCAAAAAACAATTCTATTCACAACAACCTAAAATGTAAATGACATATTTAGTAATAAACTTATCAAAGTCTAAGACCAACTCACTGAAACCACAAGTCATTGCTAATAGAAATTAAAGAATATATAAATAAATGAAGACAGATTTCAATAATTTATAATTACCAATTTGAAGACCCAGTAATGATAAGACGGCAAGTCTCCTGAAATTGATTTAGAGAACCAACAAAGTTCTTATAATTATAATTATCCAATACCCTCTTTTTTGTGGAAATTTACAAGTTGATTTAAAAATATATAGGAAAAAACAAATGACCCCAAATTCCCAAGTGATTTTGAAAAAGGACAATAAAATCAAAGACTTAAACTACCCAATTTCTTAACTTATTGCCTACAAAGCCATAATTATTAAGCTCATCTGTTGATCTGGTATATATATATATAGACTGATGTATTAATGGCATAAAATGATAAAAGTTCTGAAATAAATCCTTATATTTCTGGTCAACTGATTCACAATAAAGACAACAGGGCAATTCAAGGTGAAAATAACAGTCTTTTCAAGAGACTGTGCTGGGAAATTTTTGTATCTATATGCAAAAAAAATACTCATGTAGACTTTTTTTCATAAAATACACAAATATTAACTCAAATGGAATCATTTATAGAGATGCAAGTTATAATTCTAAAAGAAAACATAGGAGACATTTTTATGACTTTGAATTAGGCATAAAAATTCTTGGATGCAACACTAATGTGAAATCTATTAAAAAATAAAACTTATGAATTGTATTTCATCAAAAATTTAAAATATTTTATTTTTGCACCTCAAAAATACTGCTAAGAAAATGAAGGTTGCCAGGTGGAGGTCATTAGGGAAGAGTGCTAAGTGAAAACGCTATATAATTGCACAATGTTTACAGGGGTTTGTGGTTTTCCTGCTCAGCCCACTGCTACTGGACTCTCCCCAGTGTGCAAGCCCATAATAAAATCCCATGTCTCCTTTGAATAAAAATGTAAATGAAAATTGGAATAATAAGCCAGAGGCTGGAGAAAATATTTGGAAACCACATATGTCATAAAGACTTCCATCCAGAATATTAAAAAAATACTATTATAACTCATTAATAATGAAACAACGACAATAACAACAAATTTAGAAAATGGGGTCAGGCTGCCACTTCCATCAAAGACAAATGACAGCAGGACCAATATTCCTGCAAAATAAGATTCAGTCCCGTATGCTTGGCCTGATTATGCACACAAAGTGAAACAAAGATAATTGTCCATATAGACTCTCCCAGTTTGGCTTTGCTGGAACATCTCACAAGGCCATTTCAGTCAAATCCCTGAGAAAATAACCAGTTCCTTCAATTGTGTCCCATTACAAAATAAAACACGTGGTTATTAATTGTATGCAGACAAACACATTGCCATGAGTTAAGAATATTCACAAATAGTTTACAAATTCTGGAGAAATTAGGCAGAGAGATAGAAATATGGCTCAAATTCCATATACAAAACTATACTCAATACACATAAAGTATATTTCAAGGCTGTAAATAGCTAAAAAGCAAAAGATTCTCCAGGCTCTGTAAAAAGAAAACAAAAAGAATCATCAATATTTCAAACAATGATACCCATAAAAATTATTTCTGTCTTCCATTCGTTCAGTCCATGCATGAAATCAACTCCTGCTCTGTTTCACATTAGGTTAGCAATCTTTGCAAACACATCAGCCTTTCAATTGGCGCCCTGGAAGTTTTCTCTCTAAAGCAATGGCACAATCTTCAAAGTTATCAGAAACCTGCATTCAAGAGTTCTTTTCCTGAACTCTTCTAAAAAAGTTAGCCTTGGACTGTAGCTGATTAAAGGTTCCTTTTTTTGAGAAGGATCAAAGCAAAACATCTATTGTGGATGACAAAAGTCTTAAGACAGCCATAGTTAAAGACACAGTAGACAAGGAAATTTGGTTATTTCTGTGGCATACAGCAATTTAACATAATCATAATTTTTACTGACAATATATATTATGACACATCAGAATTTTAGGAATCTCATATAATCCTGGAACATATATTAACAACATATCTATATAAATATAACTTAAAATAATTCCAATGCCACCTCAGATTTTGGTGGTCAGAGCTGTGGACCTAGGCCTCTCTGCACTCTTAGGAGCCTGGAAAGTTACCCCTGACCAAGACCTTGCAGGTGCGTGCTCTCACTGCCTGGCTTCTCCCCACTGTCGGTGTCCACTCCAATCTTGGAGCAATGTGTTGCCAAGCCCATGCACTGTTGCAGCCTGACCAGGGGTGCACACACTTGGCAGTGCTGACACGACACGTGTGCCCCCTACTGCCTCAGTCCCCTCTGGACTTTGGGCTCCAACAAGTATGAGAAGGAGGCTGAGTGGGGGCTGAGGACGGCCTGGCACTAGCCTGCAGGTGTCCTTTGGCACAAGCAGCCTGGGCACCATGGACAGCAGCAGGAGGAAGACAGGCTCCTGGGCAGAAGGAGGCAGGTACCCAGTGAGGCCTCACTTTCAGGCCAGGGAGGGCCTGGAGGCTGAGGGCAGACTGCCAGTCCACAAGTGCATGAAAACAGACACACAGAGAAACAGGAAACATTACATATGTCTTACACACACCATCCACATATACCTGGGCTTTCCCTTCAGTCCCAGATTTCCACTTCCTCTTCTTTGTCTCCTTCTTCTCTCCTTCTTGTTCTTCCTTTTTCTTCTTCTTCCTTCTTCTTTTTTCTTATTTATTTCTCCTTTCTTCCTCAAGTAACCAATCATTTTAGTCGAGGCCAAAAAATTTACCATACCAGATCCTTTCTCAAAATTATCTTTTCTTTATAACCTTCCTTACCAGAAATACATCTTCATATACATAATTTTCTTCACATATCTCTCCCCTACTTACTGGTTCTTTACTACCTTGTTTCATAAATATCTTTTTCAAATCTGTAATTTGAACTAACTTTTAGGTTAGTTTTTAAACTCTTTTTCTCACTAATAACATTCTTTGGCATATTTTATATACAGAATTATACATGAACTATGATTCTTATCCTTAGTAACTTTAAATTTTGGTGAAACCCTAAAAAGCAAGAAATCGTGAACTATCAGATATGAGCACTTTATATATAAGAATAATTCCACAATTTTTAGAAAAATATTTTAACATATCATAATCCTTTCTTAATTGGAAATGACCCAGATATCCAATGCATATTAAAAATAATTTTAAGATTTTAAATTACACAAAAAGTTTACCTAAAATATTTATTCCACTTACATGTACTCAATTTTTTTTCATTTTTAACAGTTTACCTAGATTACTTCTGAAAACTGAGATATTAGACACCATCATTTAAAGTTAGTTAATTCCTGGTTAACCATTTTTTTAATAGCCAGTGCACATCAGGTGCTCACCTAAGTAAGTGCCTCAAAGTTAAGTACATAGGTATTTTGACCAGTAACTCAGAAAATTCAGCTAACAACATTAAATTATTCTCATTTGTCAAATAAGTCACACAAACCAAGATCATTTTGTTTTGGCTGGATCAATAGCCTTATAAATGTCTATGACAAGCACTGACATCTCAAATATCTAGGAAAGACAAATATAAAACCCAGACAAAATATATACTGACAATTCTGAAGTCATTTCTCTATTTTCATTTTACCAATAATTTTAAAGCCAGCTTGTTTAGTAAAGATTTACTTAAGTCACATGACTTTGAAAATTGGTTGGACTTATTTACTTAGTTTATGAGCACTCTTTTACTTAGAAGCCAGTTTTGTAGGCACAACATATAACAATATTTGTACATACAAATAAACACATCTAGACATGTATACACACTCACAAAGTTCCAATAGCTTTTAGCTTGGAACTCTAGCCATGAGATAGCAATACGAGCTTACCAGTTTTACTTTGTTTGCCCCAATAGGTAATCCAGTTAAGGCTGTGAACCAAAATTTTGGGTAAAGCAGTTTCAAGTTTGATTTTTAAAGGCCAAACCTCCCCAGACTCAAAAGAACACAGGGGCCTAACAACACCAAAGGAAAACATCGCATAGTAAGCAGGCCTAACCCTGCTTAGAACAGCAGCACAAAAGCCTGGATATATGCAACTCCATCTGTCTTTCCCATTCAATAGCAAACTCCAGAATTCCAAACAATATCGGGGCCAAACAGTATTGCAAAAGAATATCACTTTACCAAATTCTAATTTCTCATGACTATATAAAACACACACAATCACCAGAAGACAATCCAACTTTTGCAGCAACAAATACAAATGTCCAAACTGAAATGGTTGAGATGCTCTCTCTGTTGGTTGGGCTTGATCAACCTGCAAACAATAAATTCCATAGAAATTTCCCAAATTGAGGGAAGCTGATCCTACTGTTTGGTACCCACAGAAGACACTAACTTGTATAGATACAACACACAATTACAAACAAGTCCCCAAGAGTGTCTATACTGAAAGAAACAGTCAGTTGCTTCTCTCTCTCAATCAGTAGAACTTGTTCTACGTATGAATGGAAATTCCTTTAAAATATTCCCAAAGCGAGAGGAGCAGATTCTGCTATCTGGGCTCACAAAGGACACTCACCTATCCCAATGCCAATGTTAAATTTCAAAGGCAGTTCTTCCGAGGCAATCAGGAACATGTTTGGCACCAGCTGAGGCGGGGCCAGAGAGAGATGGAAACTCACCTCCAGCCAAAAGTAGGCAGGCAGCTGCTTAGGAGAGCTTCTGAGACTCCCAGCCCACAGCAACTGAGCCACGAGCAATGCGTTCCTGGTCCGGGAATGAAAATATGTTACCGAAACACTCAGGGATTTGGTCTAGGTCCTGCTACTCACCACACCCAAAGCCAATCACTGAAATGATTAATAAGTATTGCCAAGGAAAACGGCTTTAATAGGGTTTTGCAGCCAAGGAGATGGGGGCTCAAATCCAGTCTCAAATCCATCTCCCTGACTGACTAAAACCAGGGGTTTATATAGCAGGTAGGCAAGAAATGTTAAATGAGTAAGGAAAGAAAAACTTGGGGGTGGGGGCACGGAAGCAATCATTGTGAATGAGGGGTCTAGCATCTGGTGTGGTGATCTGGTTTCAGTTTTTTTATTCTTTTTGTGAGAGGCCTGAAAGTCGTTTCCTGAGGAAGGAACTCAGATACAACAAATATAAGTTTCAAGCTTGAACAGCAGAAATGTCCATTTTTATGTTTATCCAAAAGGAACCATCTATGGGACTCTTGTGTCTCTTGCTTTTATCCAAAAGCAACTGTCTATGGGACACTGAAACAAGCTGTTGGCGAGGAGGTGAAGAAACTGGAAACTACGCATCTCTGATGGCAGTGTAAAATAGTAGAGCCACTTTGGTAAGCATTATGATGGTTTCTTAAAAACTTAAACATAAACTTACTGTACTACCCAGCAATTCCACTCCTGTGTATCTACCCAACAGAATTCACAAAAGCACTTGTACATGAATGTTTAAAGGCGCATATTCATGAAGTCCAAAAATGAGAAACAATCCAAATATTTATTAACTGGTGAATCAGCTAGAAAAAAAGTGATATATTCACTGATTAAATACTATTCAGTAATAAAAATTAACATAGTTCTGAAACAAGCAACAGCATAAATGAACCTAAAAATATCGTGCTATAGGAAAGAAGCAATATACAAAAAATCTACATGTTGTTTGATTTCAGGTATATGAAATACCCAGAAAAAACAAAATATAGTCAAAAATATCAGTAGTTTTCTGGGCTTGACAAGAGAGTGGGAATTAACTACTCATGAACATAAGAGATCATTTCCACATGTTGGAGAAGTTTAAAGAGTAGATTATGGTAATGGTTGCACAATTCCATAAATATACTAAAAATCATATAATGTGCATTCATAATAGGTACTTTTAGTACATATAAACCATAAGATTATAAATGAGAGGTGTTAGTAAAATATATACATATGCACATAAATATAATATACATATATAATATATATATTTTACTGGGACCAATTATATATATGTATTTATTTATTTATTGGCTAAATACATATATACACATATATATTACATATATACATATATACATATACTAGAACAGCCATATATCTATTTATAAATTCTCTCTATATATTTATATATAATGTGTGCCAACAGGAAATCTCATTGATTGCTGTTGGAAATGAATGCAAATTGGTCCGGCCACTTTGGAAGAGATTTTGGCATTTTCTTACGAGAACAACATATATATATATGCGTGTGTGTGTGTGTTGTATGTTATATATATATTCAATTTTTATAAGGTGATACATAAATTATTTAATTACAGATTTCTTTCCCTTTGTGTACTACAATTAACCTTATATTTTTAAAATTAATTTGTATGTGTAGGCTAGACTATGAATTTCATTACAAATAATGAAGAGGGTCTTATAAGAAATTGTTAAAAGAGAGAGGATTGGGTCTGATAGCACTGACAACTGATCTTGCTAGATGACTATATTACAATTGATATTTTGCTCCAAAACCCTACACATAAAACTCCAATTCAAGAAAAGTTGAAGAGATCTCACACAGTTTGAGCTGTAAGAACACTTTTTGTCCAGTGTGTGTGACTGTGAGTGTGCTTGTGAGTATCTAAAAATTGTCTGAAGATAGACGGAAGAATAAGAGGATATAAAGTGTGGGTAGATGCTAATTTTACTATTTTAGATGTGTGGTAAGGGACAGCTTATGTGAGGGAGGTGATTTCTAAAGTATTAAAGAAAATAAAGAAAATATATTTGGAATATGGCATTATTTTATGTTCCTTATTATATCAAAGAAATATATTTTGCCACTAAAACTCTAGATATCATATGATTTTTAGAGTTTTACTTTATAGAATTTTTTGTACTCAATATCTGATAATACTCACAGACTTGAACCTAAATACGTTTTTTTTTTTCAGTTATTTCAAACTTAGATGACAAACTGACTGTTCATATTTAGTCAAGAAGAAGCTTTTTCCATCTGAGAAATAGCCACATGATAGCAGAAATTTGTTTTATAAGACTCACAAAGAAACTTCAGTTTTGTTGCCCAAACAACTTCAAGAATTCATTGTTCTCTGACAGACTATATTAATATATTTGTAAAAGCATCTGTTTGTTTATTTGTACTCTCTGTAATTCTCTACTTGGTAAACCCTTTATTTTCGTATCAGAAAGGAACACATTCCTAATTTATCTATTTTGAAGCATGGGATTTTAAAACCATGAGTAACCAAAGAAGATAAAAAGATAACAAATAAGCATATGAAAAAATACTCCACATCAAATGTAATTATGAAATGCAAATTAAAAATGTGATATCCCTGCACACCTATTAGAATAGCCAAATTTCAGAAAACGGACAATAGAAAATGCTGGCAAGGATGGTAGATGTGAAGCAACAGGACCTCTCCTTGATTGCTGGTGGGAAATAATGCAAATGCCGCTTTGGAAGAGATTTTAGCAGTTTCTTAAGAGAACAAACATACTCTTATCTTATGATGCAGCAATCCCACTTTTTGATATTTACTTAAGTGAGTTGAAAACTTATCACCACAAAAATCCTGCACACAGATGGGTACAGAAGCTTTATAATTGCCAAAACAGAAAAGCAACCAAGATTCCCTTCAATAAGTGAATGGATAAGTAAACAGTAGTATATCCAGACAATGAAATATTTTAAGGTTATACAAGACCCTTTGATAGTTTTTAAAATGCTCTCTTCTTAATTTAGAAAATGGGCACAAGTATATTGTTTAGTCATTCTATATACTTTATATGCAAGATTTAGATATTCTATTGTAGACATGACATCCGTCCTAGTATATATTAAGAAATTAAAGGATTTGAAAACTTTATTTTTTATTTCTTATTTTTATTTTTTCTTTTCAGTTATATTAGTAGTTGTGTATTCTGTAACTGACCTAATACATTTCTATGGTACCTTTTGGGAATGAAATCAAAAGAAACAGAAAATCATTTCTGATTCAATTTTAATGATTCAAGTATAAATGACAAAGTTACTTTTAGAATTTAAAATAAAGTTACCTAGAGATAGAAAATGTGTTATCTCTTGTCACCAGCTGTTTTCAAACTATGATATTTTTAAGTGACCTTTATATTTTACAGTCTGCCAATTTCAAATGTACCCTTTCCAGAATAAAAATGAACATATGGATGCAAAAATATTATGTCTGTCATTAAAATTTCTACTCTAAAATAAAAATGCTTTGAAGAGGTATCATTTCTACAGATTAAAATGAAATTCAAATATATAAATACTGGTTTACCAACAGATGGAAAAGAAAGTTAGTAGATGATGTTAGAAAGCATTAATATAAATGAGAAAAAATTATCCAAACTCACTAAAAAAATTATTCCTCTTATTGAAAACAAATTTTAAAGCTCTAAAGAAGCAGGTAATCATCCAACATATGCTATCCAGAAATGACGAAATAACAAAATTGAGATTTTATTTATTTATTTATTTATGTATTTATGTATTTATGTATTTATTTTTGAGATGGAACTTCGTGCTTATTGCCCAGGCTGGAGTGCAATGGCATGATCACAGCTCACGGCAACCTTTGTCTCCTGGGTTCAAGCGATTCTCCTGCCTCAGCCTCCAGAGTAGCAGGGAATACAGGCATCCGCCACCACACCCGGCTAATTTTGTATTTTTAGTAGAGATGGGGTTTCTCCATGTTGATCAGCCTGGTCTCGAACTCTCAATCTCAGGTGATCCACCCACCTCTGCCTCCCAACGTGCTGGGATTACAGGTGTGGGCCACCATGCCCAGCCTAAAATTGAGATTTTTATATTGCACAGAAAGTTGAATTAGGGATTCTTAAAAATATGTATATTTCAAAACATTGCAGCTTTTATCAAAATATAACATTTAAATGTGATAAATATTTTTTATTAGATTGAATACACTATTATTTAATTGACCTTTGGGTTTTAATAAAGTTACTTTTAGGATTATTATTGTTAGTTTTTAATTTTTTCTTTTAGGTTTAGAGGTACATGTGAAGGTTCGTTACATAAGAAACACGGGTCATGCAGTTTTGCTGTACATATTATTACATTACCCAGGTATTAAGCTCAGTACCCAACAGTAATCTTTTCTGCTCCTCTCCATCCTCCCATTCTCCCCACTCAAGTAGACCCTGGGATCTGTTATTTCCTTCTTTGTGTTCATTAGTTCTTATCATTTAGCTCCCACTTGTAAGTGAGAACATGCGGTATTTTATTTTTTGTTACTGCATTAGTTTGCTAAGAATTATAGCCTCCAGCTCCATCCATGTTCCTGCAAAAGACATGATTTTGTTCTTTTTTATGGCTGCAAAATATTCCATGGTGTATTTGTACTATATTTTCTTTATCCAGTCTGTCATCGATGGGCATTTCAGTTGATTCCATATCTCTGCTATTGTAAATAGTGCTTCAGTGAACATTTGTGTTCATGTGTCTTTATGATAGAATGCTTTATTTTCCTCTGAGTATATACCCAGTAATGGGATTGCTGGGTCGCATGTTAGTTCTGCTTTTAGCTCTTTGAGGAATTGCCATACTGCTTTGTATACGTTTGTATGCTTTGCATATGTTTGTATGTATTCTACCACAATGATAGAACCAATTTATACTCCCACCAACAGTGTATGAGTTCCCCTTTCTCTGCAACTTCACCAGAATCTGTTATTTTTTGACTTGTTAGCAATAGCCATTCTGACTGGTGTGAGATAGTATCTCATTGTGGTTTTGATTTGTATTTCTCTGATGATCAGGGATATTGAGCTTTTTTTAATATGCTTGTTGGCCACATGTGTGTCTTATTCTGACAAGTGTCTGTTCATGTCTTTTGCTCACTTTGTAATGGGGTTGCTTTTCTCTTGTAAGTTTGTTCAAATTCCTTATAGATTCTGGATATTAGACCTTTGTCAGATGGGTAGTTTGCAAATACTTTCTCCCATTCTGTAGGTTTCCTGTTTACTCTGTTGATAGTTTCTTTTGCTATGAAGAAGATCTTAAGTTTAATTAGACCCCATTTGTCAATTTTTGCTTTACTTGCAATTGTTTTTGGTGTCTTTTTCATGAAGTCTAGGTCTACTCTCCTGTTCCTGCTTTTAGGATTATTTAATAGATGTTTGAAACCATTGTGAAGTTTACAGAAATGAAAACAAAATGCCATTTTATTTGTAATATTGTTGCCTCTCATCTTATTCTTTCTATAAATCCTCTAATGCCAAACACTTTCATAACATCTGAGCTAAGAATCTTGAAACTTATACATCTGTTATCAGAAATACAATACTTCAAGTGTATCCCATTTCAAGGTAGCTAAGGAGACAGTTAGTAAATCAAAAATTTGCTAAGCTTCATAATTCCCTTTTATTTAACTTATAGCTCCTAAATAAGGATAACAGTGTACACAGATATTTTCTCTTTAATGCAATGGCTTACATTGAATAAAAGAAAAATTGTTTTATCCTTAAGATAACTAAGCGTACTATCAAAGTTATTAATTTGTGATAGATTGTCTCCAGTTTGACATATAAGAGCTTTCCAATATTTTCTTATTTATTCCAATGACAAAGCTGTAATTTTATCAGTGGTTATATTATAAAGACTAATTTTGAACAAGGCCACTTAATAAAATTATTTTTTCCTTTTGTTTTATATTAGTACATTCATGTAAAAATAAGAATTATTCATGTTATCTATGAACTCCTTTCTATACTATTTTTATTGTTTGGATATAATAGTTAAATATTATTATATCTGGAGCAGTTAAATATTATTATGTCTGGAGAGAAAGGGGAACTCATACACTGTTGGTGGGAGCGTAAATTAGTTTTACCACTTTGGAAAGCAGTATGACAATTCCTCCAAGAGCTAAAAGCAGATATAATATTATTATATCTTATTAACACTCATGCATTTGTGGCAGAAAATGTGTTACTAGCATTTATACAATTATGCATCAAGTATTTATTATTATCTGATAAAAGAAATACTTCAGCCAAATTAAATTTAAAGGAGTTTCACTGAGCAATGAACAACTCATGAATTGGGCAACCCCCAGAATCACAGCAGATTCAGAGAGACTCCAGGGTTGCCTCATGGTCAGAACAAATTTGTAGACAAAAATGTAAAGCGACATACAGGAATCAGAAATGAGGTACAAAAACAGCTAGATTGGTTACAGCTACGTGTCTGCCTTATTTGAACACAGTTTGAACACTCAGCAGTGTATGATTGGTTGAAGTATGGCTGCTGGGATTGGCCATGACTCAGCAATGGTTACAGGTGCATACTCCTAAGTTAGGTTTTCAATCTTGTCTACTTGGTAAATTAGGATGCAGTTCATCCACAGGCACTGAAATATAGAAGCATGGAGACTTTCTCAGGCCATATTTAGTTTGCTTTAACAGGAGTTTGGTTCAAAATTATTGGTGCCCTATTGTAGACTCTCTCTGTGTCTATTAGGACAGGAAAATGAAGGGAGGATGTGTCCTTTTACATACTAAAGATGACTGAATACAATGACACTTTTGTTTGAACAGTGCATCAAACTGTATTTGAAATGACTATAATCAGTAAAATTTCCAGTAACTTTGTGTAAGCACTTAATGTGTTTCATCTCCAAAAGTGCGTGGAAAAATTTATGCTGGTAAATGTCAGGAAAGGTAATTAAAGGTTCATGTTAAAATAGCACATGCCTCAATTAAAGAGAACCCATGAAGTAAATAAGCAATAACGTAGTTTTCATTGCTTTTCATGTGTGAATTGTTCACAAAGTTATCCAATAACTATATGAAATTTAAAGAACATATTCTATAGCCTTTACACAGGATAAACTCTCACACATTGAAGAAGATGCTGTCCACTTAAAAGAGAATTCAAGAATAATCTAATAGTAGCTTTTGTTCTTTTAATTGCTTTATAGTCCTTGCTTATTTTGTCTAATTCAGAATAAACTTAGCCATAATTTTTTTAAAATAACACTCATGATTTTATGAAAGTAAATCATTTTTCATGAAAACTGACAAAATAGAATTCATTCATAATTCAGTAATTTATGTACAACATTTATTAATAAAGTGACTGAAAATTAAGCTAATATTCTAGAGTTGTACCATCTAGTATAATAGCCAGTGGACATAAGTTGCTATTTAAACTTAAATTTACTCTACTTAAATAAACATATAATTGAATTTCTCTGTTACACAGTCACATTTCAGATGCTGAGGTGATACTTATGACTAAGGGCTACCATTCTGGACAGTATAATAATAAAACATATCCAGCATTTGAGAAAGTTCTAGTGAACAGAACTGGCATAGAGTGACATGCCACAGCATAAATTGGCATACAGATATGATAAGCAGTTTATAACGGTTTTCAACTATGTTTTTGCATAAATAGCAGTAAATGTACATTTTGTCAAATATTGGCATACTTAGACCTTTTCGCAGGAAAGTTACTGCATATTTTGGGCCAAATAATTATAAGTAATTGGGTTTTCTATTACATTATTTTACAACAAGCTTCCCAAGAAAATTTATGAATTTAATAAAAGTGTGGTCTTTCATACGTTTTTCTACTGACAGTATGGTTATTTAAAATATTTATTTTCATATTATTTAAATATTGATCAATTCTTCTCTGCCTAATTTTTAATCCTTTTCATAATCCATGACTTTCTTACATTACTAATTTAGACTAATTAGACTTAAGCTGGGTCAAGAAATGTATTACTAAAATCATATAAGTTTGGTTTTCTCTTTCAGACTATAGCATAGAATAAATTCTACAAAAATAAAAAGTAATGAACATAAGGCCTAATATTAACTAGATTATAGACCACTCATTGACTTTGAGTGCAGTTGCATCATTAATATTTAAAATGTTATTGTTTTTAGATGTCATACCAAACAAATTAAATATGGAATACACAAACAACAGAGAGGAAAAACTAATCAAAATTGTGCCATAAGTTCCACAAAATGCAGCTTATATGTAAGTTAAATTCAATTAAACACAATTTAATTAATCCATTTTCTTAATATATGCTTAGTCTCTTATTTTACTCCTTTTTTTTTTCCTGACAATGCCTCCCTCCCTAAAGTTTAGTCAGGAGGTTGTTCTTTTGAAGCTATATTTTGAATAAATAGCAGCATCCTGTGTAAACAGTTGTCCTGTGCTACTTAATTGTCCATAATTATAAAATTTAGCTTTGTGTTTCGTTTTATGAAGCATTTGTTGATGTTTTTATGCAAAGGAAGAAGGATATGTCCAACAATAGACAAAAGTTTTGATGATATAGATGGTAATCATAGCATGTGCTTCCAGACATCTATTAACATCATTGAGTGGTAAAGAGATCTCTTTCTTGGAGGGGTGTTCATAAAATTGGTTTATTCATGAGATATTTAATGAGCTCTATTATGTGACAGGAATTATTCTAGACTTTTTCACACAGTAAGGCTGGTATATTGCTGAGGTCATCAGAGATCAGTAGAAGTATTTGTGTGTGTGTGTGTGTGTGTGTGTGTAATCAAATTAATTTTAAATATTGTTAAAATGGTCATACTACCCAAAGTAATTTATAGATTCAATGCTATTCCCATTAAATTATCATTGGCATTCTTCACAGAACTAGAGAAAACTAATTTAAAATTCATATGAATCCAAAAAAAGAGCCCAACTAGTCAAGGCAATCCTCAGCCAAAAGGACAAAGCTGGAAGCATCACGCTACCCAACTTCAAAATGTACTACAAAGCTACATAACCAAAACACCATGATATTGTTACAAAAACAGACACATAGACCAATGGAACAGAATAGAAAATTCAGAAATAAGACTGTGCACCTACAACCATCTGATCTTTGACAAGTCTGACAAAAACAAACAAAGGGGAAAAGATTCCCTATTCAATAAATGGTGTTAAGATAACTGGCTAGCCATATGCAGAAGTTTGAAACTGGGCCCTTTCCACACA
This sequence comes from Homo sapiens, assembly GCF_000001405.40. Classification (NCBI taxonomy): domain Eukaryota; kingdom Metazoa; phylum Chordata; class Mammalia; order Primates; family Hominidae; genus Homo; species Homo sapiens. The sequence continues at coordinate 194,901,131 of NC_000001.11, forward strand.
GTATACAAAAATTAACTCAGGATGGATTAAAGACTTAAATATAAAACCCAACACTACAAAAACCCTGGAAGACCACCTAGGCAATACCGTTCAGGACATAGGCACTGGCAATGATTTCGTGATGAAGACGCCAGTAGCAATTGCAACAAAAGCAAAAGAGGAGGGTGAGGGTTAAAGCTGAGGGAAAAGGAGAATCTTAGGTCCACTAGCCATCGAGGAGGCGACACTGGCCTTACTGGGCTTACTTTTGGCCAAAAAGCATTTTGTAGCTCAAACATCTTTCTATTTAAAAACAATCTCATAACAGTGGTTTTGTAAGTCATCTGACTTTAAAAAATTGTTTTGTAACATTTTATACTCTGACTTTAGGCAAGAACGGCATTACATTGTTGAAGTAATGTCTTTTTCATAAATTTAGTTTATCTCTCTGAAGCTTCTATAATACCCTCTGATTAGCACTACTTTGAAAATAAATATTCCAGTTAATACTGTTATTAGTTAAATTGAAATGTATTTCATTGCTATTGTTATGTTTATTCAACATTACTGTACTGTCAACTTTGTTAATTCAATGTAAGTAAATAATATTTTGTTAGAATCTACAGTTTCATTGTTTCATGGTGAGAATGATGCTTTACATCTACAATAAATCTTAAAAGTGATACTAATGTCTGTCAGAATGTCACATTGATATGTCTAGCGGAAATAATTAATGGAATCATAAACTGTAGTGAGCTTTGGAAGATCCATTAAACTTTTAAACTCTGGTATTTCCTAGACATGAGCTAACACTTTTGAGGGGTCCATGTCAATTTGTATTAAGAAGGCATAAAGTAAAATAAAGCATTTCATTTTTGAAATGGCAAGCATATTTTGCTGTTTTTTTTCATATTCTGTCACTCTCTGAAGATCATTTGCATATAAACATGTATAATTCATCTCAATAATATAATGGTCATTAATTTACATTATTCTACACGGATTCTTGTTCCAACTCTGCCACCTCTCCACTGTGTGGCCCAGAATACACCACTTACACTCTCCATATTACATATTCTTTTAACTAACAAATAGAGAAAGTAGTATTCATCATATCCTGTTAGAAATTTAAAAAAAAATCATACGTGAACGTTAAACATTTGGCTCTATTTTTACCTTAATTTTTCCCTGTCCCTAAAGGATCTCACTTTCATTATAGTTTATCTCTAACAATACACGAATGTTACCATGAAGGGAATAATTGCTCCTCAGAACTCCCCATGAGGTTCAGACCTGTGCTACCAACTACTGATTACTTCTGCTATTCAACTCTTTATCATTACTCCACAAAATACTTCACAAGGAGCATCTTCATAATCAGGCATCCAGGCATACTAGGTCTGCATTTCTTGTCTCCAATTTCTAACTCCCATTTATCTCTTATTGACTTAAATGAGTTGATTTCTACCTTATTACACCCCTTAAATTCCTTTCCCTAATGACACTAATAATTTTATGGCTTACCTAGCTAAGAAGTAGTCAATTTCATTATTACTTGAACAAAAATGTAATATCCATGACCACTTTTTTTTGGATTATCAAGACTCCACTTTCTCTTGTTTTGTTTGCTTCTCTTATTCTTACTAAATGTATCTTCTCAATCATAATTTGTTCTTCCATTAACTGTCCTATATTTCATGTATTGCTTTATCCAGAATTCAATACATTTAAATTTTTATTCATTATATTATCATATTCCATACATTTATTTCAGTAAGCAATTGTATTCCATTGGTTTCAACATTCACCTGTATATCATTGATTCACAGCATTTGAGTTATTTGTGGCCATATAAAAAAATTATCTCAAAATTTACTTGCTTAACACAATAATAAACATTAATTTTCCTCAGTTTCTAGTAGTCAGGAATTCAGGGGTAGCTTTGCTATGTTTATGGAACAGAGATTCTCATTTGATAGTCATTAAGTTGTCAAATAGGATTGCCATCATCTGAAGTTTTTGTTTTGTTTTGTTTTTGAGACAGAGTCTCACTCTGTCACCCAGGCTTCAGTGCAGTGTTATGATCTCGGCTCACTGCAACCTCCGCCTCCCAGGTTCAAGTGGTTCTCCTCAGCCTCCTGAGTAGCTGGGACTGCAGTTGTGTGCCACCACTCCCGGCTAATTTTTATGTATTTTTAGTAGAGACAGGGTTTCGCCATGTTGGCCAGGCTGGTTTCAAACTCCTGACCTCAGGTGATCCTCCCACCTCGGCCTCCCAAAGTGCTGGGATTACAGGCGTGAGCCACTGCACCCGGCCACCATCATCTGAAGTTTTGAGTGGGGCTGAAGGATCTGTTTCCAAGAGGGGTCACTCACTTGCTTGTCTATTGGTGCTGCCTTCTGGTGGGAGGTTTCAGTTCCCCACCACGTAGTCCTCTCCAAAGGCTTTTTGAGGGTCCTCACAGCATAGTGACTGCCTTCTATAATGGGCAGTGATCAACTACAGCTAATAATTTAAGGGAGTAAGAGCCAGCTGGAAGCTTATCAGTTTAATGACTTAGCCATACAGTCAAAAGATGTCACTTCTGCCACATTATTTTTGAGGAAGTGAGTCATTAAACCCCACCTATAGATGTCTACATATATGTGCACACACAAAGAAGCATAGACACGTACACATTATTCAAATAAATGTGCACTTCACTTACACTCGATAATATATTTATATATTATGTAATTGTGCAATATCTAATTATATACATTCACACGAGTTATATCAAACTGTAATCTCTGTTCTGTACTTTGTTTATTCATTTGTTATATTTTGAGAATAACTTCTTAACAGTTAAAGTACTTTTTTAGCTTTTTTGTTGTATAATCAATATACAATAAAATTCACCTACTTAAAATATACTTAATGAGTGTTGAGTAGTTTACACAGTTAAGAAAATAAATATATCCATCATCATACAAAGTTTATTCATGTCAATTTGTGTCCTAAGATTGGGTTTAACATTGAAATTCAATGAATGTAACTCATCATATAAACAGACAATAAAATAAAACTTATATAATCATAAAATTGATAGAAAAATAAGCATTTGTCAAAATTTATTTTTATGTACACATTTATTTATATATTTATTTTCATAATAGTAAAATCAACATTTATTTTAAATATATTATTTTCATATCTTTCAGAACTGCTACTTTTATTATGAATAAATTCTCAGAATCATTTTGAAATTTTAATTTTGTCTATTAATTTTTTTATAATGATGTATTTTAATTATTTGCATTTTAAAATAAGTTTTATTTATTTTTTATTTTTTATTTTTTTTCCTGGAAATCTTTATTTATTTATTTATTTATTTATTATTATTATACTTTAAGTTTTAGGGTACATGAGCACAATGTGCAGGTTAGTTACATATGTATACATGTGCCATGCTGGTGTGTTAAAATAAGTTTTAAATCCTTCACCTCATTATTCTTCAGCAAAATTGGTTATATTATTCTTGGTTATCAAATCTTCCTAGTAAATTTAGATTTAATTTATCATGTTATCAAAAAATGCATTTGAACATCCATATTAATTAGAAAATAAAGATTGAAATCTGTGACGTCTGCATTTTTTATATTATCTCCCAGAATACAACATAATTCTCAATTATTTTAGTTCAAGGTTGCTTATTACACTTTTGTATTTTTATTTTAATTGGTTTTGCATATCAAAAATAGATTATGCTTCTTTGTTGAAAGGGGATATTTTTATAAATGTTTGAATTGTTTAATATAATTGTATAAGTAGTTATTTACTTCTATCTACTCATTAGGCATTTTACTAAATTCCTTATGACAAAAAATTCCATTTCAACTGATTCATTAGGATTTTCTAGATAGTTAATTTTATTATCTATAAATAAAAATGGAAATTAACATATCTTTTGGAGCACTTACTACATTGTAGGCCCTCCTTTGAAAATTCAATTAGTATATGTAATACAGATTTGTAATTTATTGCTCTTATTACATTGCAGATGTATATAGCATCAAATAATTTTGAATAACAGTGTTGACAACAATTTTTTTAACATTAATGCTGTCTATATATTGCTTGTACTTATTCTTAGGAATTCTGTTAAATGTTTTTCTGTTTACTGGATGTATCAACACTAAAAATTGAACTGTTATAATTCTTCATTTATTGTATCACTAACTATCCAGTTTGAATTATTCTTCAGTAACTTTCCCATAGCAAACTAAATTGGAAATAAAATATAATTCCCTGACTATGTGAACTAAATTTATGTGTTTGTTTCTTAGCAAGGTGTGGATAAATATATTTGATTTCTGTAAAATTATGGCATTTTATGGCAGTAAACATATTCTCTATAGTTATGTCATATGTATGTCACATATATGCACACATAGTCATATGTTGCTTAACAATGGAGATACATTATGAGAAATGTGTAAGGTGTAAGGAAGGGATCCAGTTTCAGCTTTCTACATATAGCTAGCCAGTTTTCCCAGCACCATTTATTAAATAGGGAATCCTTTCCCCATTGCTTGTTTTTCTCAGGTTTGTCAAAGATCAGATAGTTGTAGATATGCGGCGTTATTTCTGAGGGCTCTGTTCTGTTCCATTGATCTATATCTCTGTTTTGGTACCAGTACCATGCTGTTTTGGTTACTGTAGCCTTGTAGTACAGTTTGAAGTCAGGTAGTGTGATGCCTCCAGTTTTGTTCTTTTGGCTTAGGATTGACTTGGCGATGTGGGCTCTTTTTTGGTTCCATATGAACTTTAAAGTAGTTTTTTCCAATTCTGTGAAGAAAGTCATTGGTAGCTTGATGGGGATGGCATTGAATATGTAAATTACCTTGGGCAGTATGGCCATTTTCACAATATTGATTCTTCCTACCCATGAGCATGGAATGTTCTTCCATTTGTTTGTATCCTCTTTTATTTCCTTGAGCAGTGTTTTATAGTTCTCCTTGAAGAGGTCCTTCACATCCCTTGTAAGTTGTATTCCTATGTATTTTTATTCTCTTTGAAGCAATTGTGAATGGGAGTTCACTCATGATTTGGCTCCCTGTTTGTCTGCTGTTGGTGTATAAGAATGCTTGTGATTTTTGTACATTGATTTTGTATCCTGAGACTTTGCTGAAGTTGCTTATCAGCTTAAGGAGATTTTGGGCTGAGACAATGGGGTTTTCTAGATATACCATAATTTCGTCTGCAAACAGGGACAATTTGACTTCCTCTTTTCCTAATTGAATACCATTTATTTCCTTCTCCTGCCTAATTGCCCTGGCCAGAACTTCCAACACTATGTTGAATAGGAGTGGTGAGAGAGGGCATCCCTGTCTTGTGCCAGTTTTCAAATGGAATGCTTCCAGTTTTTGCCCATTCAGTATGATATTGGCTGTGGGTTTGTCATAGATAGCTTATTATTTTGAAATACGTCCCATCAATACCTAATTTATTGAGAGTTTTTAGCATAAAGTGTTGTTGAATTTTGTCAAAGGCTTTTTCTGCATCTATTGAGATAATCATGTGGATTAAAGACTTAAAGGTTAGACCTAAAACCATAAAAACCCTAGAAGAAAACCTAGGCATTACCATTCAGGACATAGGCACGGGCAAGGACTTCATGTCTAAAACACCAAAAGCAATGGCAACAAAAGACAAAATTGACAAATGGGATCTAATTAAACTAAAGAGCTTCTGCACAGCCAAAGAAACTACCATCAGAGTGAACAGGCAACCTACAAAATGGGAGAAAATTTTTGCAACCTACTCATCTGACAAAGGGCTAATATCCAGAATCTACAATGAACTCAAACAAATTTACAAGGAAAAAACAAACAACCCCACCAAAAAGTGGGCGAAGGACATGAACAGACACTTCTCAAAAGAAGACTTTTATGCAGCCAAAAAACACATGAAAAAATGCTCATCATCACTGGCCATCAGAGAAATGCAAATCAAAACCACAATGAGATACCATCTCACACCAGTTAGAATGGCAATCATTACAAAGTCAGGAAACGACAGGTGCTGGAGAGGATGTGGAGAAATAGGAACACTTTTACACTGTTGGTGGAACTGTAAACTAGTTCAACCATTGTGGAAGTCAGTGTGGCGATTCCTCAGGGATCTAGAACTGGAAATACCATTTGACCCAGCCATCCCATTACTGGGTATATACCCAAAGGACTATAAATCATGCTGCTATAAAGACCCATGCACACGTATGTTTATTACGGCATTATTCACAATGGCAAAGACTTGGAACCAACCCAAATGTCCAACAATGATAGACTGGATTAAGAAAATGTGGCACATATACACCATGGAATACTATGCAGCCATAAAAATGATGAGTTCATGTCCTTTGTAGGGACATGGATGAAATTGGAAATCATCATTGTCAGTAACCTATTGCAAGAACAAAAAACCAAACACCGCATATTCTCACTCATAGGTGGGAATTGAACAATGAGATCACCTGGACACAGGAAGGGGAATATCACACTCTGGGGACTGTTGTGGGGTGGGTGGAGGGGGGAGGGATAGCATTGGGAGATATACCTAATGCTAGATGACGAGTTAGTGGGTGCAGCGCAGCAGCATGGCACATGTATACATATGTAACTAACCTGCACAATGTGCACATGTACCCTAGAACTTAAAGTATAATAAAAAATAAATAAATAAATAAAAAGAGAAATGTGTTGTTCAGTGATTTCATCTTAATGCAAAAAGCATAGAGTGTACTTAGACAAACCTAGATAGTATAGCCTACTACACACCTAGGTTACATGGTGTAGCCTGTTGCTCCTAGTATAGATCAGAGCATGTTACTGTACTGAATACTGTAGACAATGGTAAATATTTGTGTATCAATACAGAGAAAAAGTAATGTTAAAGTAGGGGATAAAAATTTTAGAATGGTACACTTTATAGGGCACTTAAAATGAATGAAACTTGCAGGACTGGAAGTTACTCCAGTTGAGTCAGTAAGTGGGGAGTGAATGTAAAGTCATGGGACATTTCTACATGTTACTGTAGACTTTATAAAAACTGTATACTTACACTACCTTAAATTTACAAAGACATTTGTTGTTTCTTCAATAATAAATTACCTTAGTTTACTGAAACTTTTTACTTTATAAGCCCTTTAATGTTTAACTTTTTTACTCTTATAACACTTAGCTTAAAACACAAACACAGTGTACAGCTGTACAAATGTTTTTTCTTTGTATTCTTATTCCATAAGTTATTTTTCTATTTATAAAATTATATATATATATATATATATATATATATATATATATATAAAACAATTTGAAGTTCTTGTTAAAAACTAAGACACACACATTAGCCTAGACCTACATAGGGTTAGGATCATCAATATCACTGTCTTCCACCTCCACATCTTGTCCCACTGAAAGGTCTTCAAGGACAATGAAATGCATAGAGCTGCCATCTTCTGTGATAACAATGCCTTTTTTTAAATACTCCTAAGGGACCTGTCCAAGTTTGTATTACAATTAACATTATTTTAAAAAGTGGAAATAATACACACTAAAATAGCAATGAAAAGTATAATACAGTAAATACATAAAACAGCAAGACTTTATTATTATCAGGCATTATGCACTGTACATAATTGCATGTGGTATACTTTTATATGACTGGAAGTGCAGCAGGTTTGTTTACACCAGAATGACCACAAAGACATGAGAAATGCATTCCACTATGATGGCTGCAACATGACTAGAAAATTTTCAGCTGCCTTATAATCTTATGAGATTACCATTGTGTATGTAGACCTTCCTTAACTGAAATGCCATTATGTGGCACGTGACTATATATATAAAATATATTCTCAATCTTTAATGAACATTTTTGGAAATCCAGTGATAACTGGTAGGTTTCCATATTCCATAGAAAGTTAATAAAGAAAAATTAAAGGTATAGTGACATTGTGTATGGTTTCTCTTCATTTCCGGAAAATGCCAAATTTTATGCTACTTGTCTTTTTAAAAGTCTTAATCTTCTCTCATTATGGTTACCACCAAGAGTTACATTACATGTGCAATTTTGAAACTAATTATAAGAGTTGAAAATCAAGTATAACAAATCAAAACATTAGCTCTGCTAGCGTTTCCTTTCGCAACACCACAGAAGACACATATTCCCCTAGTGTCCAATTTCCTAATATATATGACTGAAGCAATAGCACCCTTGCCAAAACACTCAGTACTCAGGTGATAGACACTACGAGTACTGCTTGATTTGTGAAGCTCTCTCTTAAATTCTTAAGGATGTGCTCTGTAAAAAGATCTTAGGGTTGCAACATCCACATAAACTTCTGGGCCCAACAATGGGAACTGTCAGTTAAAAATATACTTTAAGGGATTGGTATTTTTAAGCTATTTTCTCCCCAGCTGAACATTTTTTCTTCTTCAAGTATGTGGTGAAGAGCCCATTTAAGCCTCTTGGTTAGAGTTATATTTGAAAGATTCGGCTTTCTTTGGATTTAAGAAATCACAGAATGCCAAGAACAAAAGGGGAAAATAAATGGCTGGAAAGCATGGAGAGGTTTTTTTTTGTTGTTTTTTGTTTTGTTTTCTCTGAACATAGATATTCTCTGGAAAGAGAATCCAGAAATATAATAAATGATGCTTTGGGAGTTGTTGTCAACAATCAGAAGTGAAAGACTATTATTGCTCCCTATAAACCTCTATTTTTCAAAAAGTTTTACATATAGTTAAATTCAAAAACAAGTAGGAGCAATGAAAGGCTAAAGTGAAATATGTATTGATTTCAAACACATGGTTTTGAGAAAATATTTTTAAAGTTAGTTGTGATTTTGGGAATCATTACCAAACATTTTTGCCGTCTTCGATTTAATTTTAATTGTCATCATTACTCTTTTATTTATGCTAACATTTTACAAATTTTAATTCAAAATTATATATAATTATAGGTTAAAACAGATTATTAAGAAAACATTTTATGTTTTGTTAGTTAATGTTTTTGCTAGCTGAAAAAAAATATTGACTTCCATTATCTAATTTTATAATGACAGAACACATTTGTAAAATTAAACTTCATAAACTACAAACTTTTCTATAGAACACTGAATGGCATAATTTATTTAAATAAAGCTTGGAAAAAAACATGCTATTTTACTGCCATACAAGCTGAGAGAAGGGAGAAAAATTACAGCATTCCAAGGCACCCGTTTTTATGTGGATGAGAGTTAGTGATTCATTTTATAATATCTTAATATTATCTTAGTATAATATGACAAAATTCCATGGGTGACAATTAAATAGGGGATGTCATTTTCAAACTAATAAAAAGGACAAAAATAATAAGAGAAATCCTAATACCAATACTGATATAATGAATAAGTATAAAATGGGGCTAATGGAATACACAAAATAAGATAGCTGAAATATATCATGATACATCATTAATCACCTTAAATGTGAACTCTTCATGAAGTTACAAATATCTGATGTGCTATAAAACAAATATGTCATAAAGCATAGATTTTAATTGAAAAAGCATCCTTAAGAATAAGGAAATATACAATATTAGGATAAGAGGTTAAATTAATCCTGTGTCTTAATGCAATCAATTTAAAAAGTCAATTGCATTTTGACACAGCAGCAGCATAAAGATATACAATGCACTTTAAGATACAATAAAGAAGCAAAAATATAATTTTAATAGATTCTTTAGTTTTCTTGGAAATAGTCCATTTCTTAATTAATAAAACTTAATATTATCAATTAACACTACACTGTGAAATAAAACTAAGTTTCTCAGTCTCTCCTTCCTCCTTCTGTCAATACTTACCACCAAATATTTTTTTCTATGTATCTTGCTATTTTCCTCTAGGTTACTATGGATAAATATTATCCTTATTATTTTATGTATAATTTTAATATGTTATTTTGTGATTGTAATTATAATTAAATTGATTTAACTTAATTAACTCAATGATATAAATGAGCAGAATAATTGGGACAGCCAATTAATTTTCTCTGACCAATATTATTCTGTTTTCTTAACATCCTTTTTCTTAGTAATTTATTACAGTCTAGACACAACTTCATCCATTTGGTTTTGTGAATATACAATACTACTTATAAATTTTCAATGGATTATTATAGCACACAGTTGCCACATTTCTTATATACAAGGACCAGAATGTTTTACTATGGCCTACCTCCCTGGTCCCATCCACCCCAAGCCTCCTTCATTCACTGTGTTCTTATGTGACAGGGCTTCTATGAGGTACTTAAAACATCCATATTCCTTTAACAACTCCTTTACAACTTTTTCTTATCCCATGCTCTTTCCTATGCCTTGGAGAAAATCAAATAATGGCCCAAAGATACAGATTAAGAACTATGACCTGGAGCTAGAAAACATTTATTGTTAGTCACTAAATTTTTCAGTCATGTCTTAAAGAAAAGGAACAACTCTTAGTCATCGAAAATGTTTTATAACAGAATAACTCCAAAATATCCATGGGAAAAAAAAGGATGAACAGCTGGTTTTTTGGTCCTTATTCTAACTTCAAGGACATTGTAGGATATGATCCTTGGCCAATCTCTCTGACAATATTAACTAAAGGAATTCTTAGAAGTTTTCACATCCAATTTAAGTGAGAATCCGGACAAGAACAGCCTGCTGGATTAAACACCTATTTCCTACTATGAAGATCTAGTGATGAGTATCTCTAGCATTGAGGACGGGCAGCGGATCCAAAGAATGGTCACAGTCTGCTGTGCCTAGGGCCTTATGTGATTTTCAAGCTACCAAAGCCGAAATTACCCAGTACTGACAGCCTCCATGAGGTTGTCTACACAGACTCAGTATTACCTTTCATTACCATGTATGTCTTCAGAGCATAACATCTCTGCCTGGAAATCACAAAACTTCTGTTAGCCTGTTGTTACGTATGGTGTCTTGTTTCCTGTCCTGTATTCTTCTTACAGCTAGGTAAATTTGATATTGGTTGAATCTTCTGGAAAAAGCTTGTTTCTCTTAAGTTGTTAAGCTACTCTGAGTAAAAAGTTGATAGTACTACATATTGGCAATATATTAAAAATTGCACAACTCAGATTGTACGAAAACAATTCTATTAATGCTTCATGCAAACTAAATCTGGTTAATTTTATTGTTTGTTTGTTTGTTTGTTTTGAGATGGAGTTTGCTCTTGTTGTCCAGGCTGGAGTGCAATGGCGCCATCTTGGCTCACTGCAACCTCCACATCCTGGGTTCAAGCAATTCTCCTGCCTCAGCCTCAAGAGTAGCTGGAATTACAGGCATGCACCACATACCTGGCTAATTTTGTATTTTTAGTAGAAACGGGGTTTCACCATGTTGGTCAGGCTGGTCTCGAACTCCTGACCTCAGGTGATCCCCCCACCTTGGCCTCCCAAAGTGCCAGGATTACAGGCATGACCCACGGCACCTGGCCTAATTTTATTGTTAGATAATAATACTATTATGCTCAATAACATTTATATGTGGTTTCCATTATATAATAACATTTGAGAAGTGTGAGTGGGAAAATCTCCCAAAAAAGATAATCATCTAAATTTTCTTTTGCAAGATTTAATTGTATTTTATTATATATATATATTATATATATATATATATAATATATATATATATATATATATAGAGAGAGAGAGAGAGAGAGACAGAGAGACAGAGACAGAGAGAGATACGTATTTTTTTAACTTTTAATTTCAGGGGTACATGTGCAGGTTTGTTACATAGGTAAACTTATGTCGTGGGGGTTTGTTGTACAGATTATTTCATTACCTAGATATTTTGTAAAAAAGCTATTTCTCCACGTTACACTACTATCTGCACTGTTTCCCAATACCACAACCCTGAGGTAGAATTTAATGTATCCAAAAGAGCACAAACCTTTTATTTTTTGAACTCATATGACACATAATAATGTTTAATAGCTATTTCTAAAAAATTTTCTAGTTGTGTATACATAAGTTTATACTGCAGCCACAGTAGTAGAAAACTTTTGTTGAAAATTCAGTACAATAAATCACAGCAAACAGTTGTCCCTTTACCCCTTATATGTAAAAGATTAAATTATGTCTATTCTGAAATTTTGATAAAAAGTTTGTAGTTAGATGTTTATTTTAGTAATGTCTGAAGATTATATTTTATTAATATTCCATATAGTCAATTTGTCTGAGATGGTCACACAAACTAACATTTTGTTATTTAATGCAAATTCTTCATTAAAAATATTTTTTAAGAATATAGACATAATTGGCAAACTCTTTAAAGTAAAAAAGTTATAATCATAAAATTTAAAATAATGGTTACCTCTGTGGAAGACGCAGAGAGATGCAACAAGAAGGAGCAGTCAGAAAACTTTAAAGTAGTGTTGTTGTTCTGGTGATTATGTAACTAGGTCATGACCAAATTGTTGTTAGGCATAAAAATAATCATATGTGATATTGATTATATAATCACATTTGAGAACTATGACTAGAAAAAACCTTGGAACAACATAAGTGTTTTTGCTTCCAAGATGCAAAATAACAGGAAAATTACCATGTGTCTTAAGCAAAAACATCCTTTAGATAATTCTTTTAAGAAGCTTAATCCAAACTATTCTTTAAAATAAAAAAAATCTCCAAAATATACATAGGATCTGTTCATTATATATTTAACGTTATAATAAACTTACAAAATGTTGGAAATGTTGTATTTTCTCTCATAGTATAATCAATATTGATCTTTTGTAATTGGAATTGAATTTGCAGTGATGAAATTACAATATACCATTTCATAATAACAAAATTGCTTGACTTAAAACAGTGAAAGATATGGACAGAGACAGGAGGCAGAAAAATTCTAGGCAGAAAAGGGTGGGGGCCCTGGCAGGGGCCCTACCCCCAAGCCTGGAACAGTGGCCCCACGTGAGAATTTTACATCCTCGTTTTCCCACTTGAATGTTGCTTTCCCAAAACCACTCCTAGCCCACCCCGCCCCCCATCCTGTACCCATAAAAACCCCAGGCTCCATTGGCACAGAGCAGGGAAGGAGAGACAAGAAGAAGCAGCTGGATGTTGGAGAGAAGCAGCTTGACTTCAGAGAGATGGCTTGATGGTGGACCTTAGCAGTAGAGTCTGGCCAGGGACGGCCAGACTCCAGGAGAAGATCACCTTCTTGCTCCTTCCCCTTTCCAGCTCTCCTTCCTACTGAGGGGCACTTTCATCAACAATAAAATCCTCTGCATTCACCACCCTTCAATTTGTTCATGTGACCTCATTCCTCCTGGATGCTGTTCAGGTGCAAAAGGCTGTCACAACTGAAGCCATCCACGATTGGCAAGGCTAAAAGAGCACACTGTAAACCACCTCCCACCCTGGGGCCTCAGGAGTTGTGGGTAGTTCCCTGGACACTGCAACAGGGCTGCATAGAGTTTTGCTCCTGCCGGTGCCCAAAAGTACTTCCTCCGGCCCTGAACCCACTCACCTGTGTGTTTCCCCTCCCACAAGGGGCTGAGATATGTGGGCTGAGTAAGTGAGAAACCTCTGTCATGAGGCCCATGAGGAGTTCAAGGAAAATTTCCCCTTTCAATATTATTATTCTTAAGGGGCATAATACATTTTTAACTATTGCTATGTTACAAAGTACCCCAAAACTTAGTGGAGTAAATTAAGACATTAATTATCTCAAGAGTTTCTGTGGGTGAGGAACTGGGTCTTTCTTAGCTGGGTCCTCTGCTTCACAGTCTCATATGGCTGGAGTCTAAGTGTTAGCCCAGGGTCCACAGTCTCCCAAAGACTCAACCCAGGAAAGATCCCCTTCTAAGCTCACTCAGTGCTTGACAGCAGTCTTCAGGGCTGTAGGCTGGTTGGCTGAAGGCCTAATTTCTAGATTAGCTTTTGCTGGCTAGAGACCACTCTCAGTTTCTTGTACCATGATATCTTAAATGTGACAACTTCCATCAAAGCTACAAGCTGAGAAGGCAGTAGAGGGTCATCTTGTAAGACAGAATTCACAAGCTTTTGTAGCCTAATCTTGGAAGTGACATATTACTTTTGCCATATTCTGTTGGTTCCAGTCCCAACTTAGGGGAAAGGACTACATCATTTCTCATTACCAGAAGGTGATGATCATTGTTGGCTGTCATAGACGTACACCTACCACGCACAGAAGAAACATAAGTCTAAATAATTCAAGTAGTTTGTGTGATTGAAATAAAGCATGCAATTGGAAAGGTGTGATGTGTTTGAATCTCAGAATATAGGATGGTAGCTAACCACATATTTGTAGTTCCAAGCTTACTTGATATTGAAGGTATATTTTTTCTTGAGAGTAGCATTTTACACAATTAAACATAATTTACTTGATTAATGTCCTTTCAGGCAAAGAGTCAGACACAGGAAAGACATAGTCTAAATTATAGTGTTTTAAATAATATAAGTGATTATACCTAACAGAATGCTGAACATGTATATGTTTATATCAGGTTCTATATTATTAATATCAATGTGGTAAATAAATAAACCACCCTTATAAATGTGTTTACATATCCAAGTTTCAATATGAGCAGTATAAATTACTATTTATACTTGCTTTATAAAAACATTAAAATAAGGTGGAATTTTTATATATAACATTATCAGTAATATATGATAAATCCATCCTAAATATAAAAGATGTGAATTTTAAATCAAAATAACAACTCAGTATATAAGTATATATTAAAGAAATGCCAGCTATGTGAATTCTGTAGCAATCACCAATATATTTTTAAGTGTGCTTATGATCAAAACTTTGCCAAATCATTTAGATCTACAGAAAATGTATCAAGGAGTTAACTAAGAATTAATTATATAATAAATATATCACATAAATATTTAAACGTTTTAACAACTTGATAAGCTAGATATGAATATTAGTCCCATAAAGATAATTAGGAAATACAAGCAGACAAATTCATTACCTTGAATGAATGACAAATAGCAGAGCCAAGTTTTCAAATCAAGTGGTCTGGTGTCAGAGTGTTTGCTCCTAACCCACATGCTGGATTTTCTTTTTCTTTTTTTCTTTTTGGATTTTTTTACAAAACACAATTTTTATGTATGAAATTTTCTTGTAAAAACAATTAACAACAACAAATATTTAAGTAAATTATTAAAATAAAAATTGCTTACAAAGGTATATAATTACAAACTTACCCACCTCTGGCAATTTCTAACTATCTTTCCGTATTTAAAAAAAGGGCACATATCACCCTCCATGAGCCTTAATCCGTGACTGAAATACACCAAACTCAAAACTCATTAAGTTCTAAAACTGCCTGTTGATTTTTTTGAAACTCAGTTTAATGCCTTCTTATTTATTAGTACTTGATGTTAAATGTATTCAGACTAGGCCTTTTATCCCTAACACTTTTAACTCACTCAGCTCACTTCCTTGGTAATTTCAAACAAATAAACCTCAGGCAATAACAGTCATTGTCTAAATTCCCTATCATTTTATTATTTTGTTTCTATGACAGGTAAAATTTTGGGATTATCCTAGAATATAAACAGTTTCTCTGTTTGATTTATCTCAATGTTTTTTTGCCTTCCATCCATCCCTGATACTTTTTCTCTTCATTCCTCTGCCTATCTTGTAAAAATCTCCCTAACTTAAAAATATGTCATACATTTGTACAGACACAGTTTATTTGAGTATATTTATTCAATCAATTATGTAAAGCACATTTTTACACATAAAATATAAAATATTAAACATCATAATACATATTTTAATGTATAGGCCTCATCAAAGTGAATAATATATTAACAACAACAAAATGACCCACTAGTGAAAGCAATCTTACTTCTTTTCCTCTTCACATAAAAATATTAAGTATACATTTTCATTGGAATTTAGAAGTTAGAAGGTACTTAGCAATTAATATACAAAATAATCTTAATCCTCTAATTGGGGATCAGAAAGAGCTTTATGAATTAGTACTTTGGGAAGTGCTATATTTTTAAGGAAATTGCCTTAGCCTTCGTGAAGCTGTATATATATATATTCCAACTGAATTTATTAAAGAGTTAGAATATTGATTAGGATTGTATGCACTGAATTTATAAATTTATTTAGAAAGAATAGTTAACTCTACCAATATTGAGGATCTAATATTGCCATTGCATAAGGGAATATGCCTCTTTATTCATGTAAGTATCTTCAATGTAAATTACAGTTTCGTCTTGTAATTGTGTTTACTTGTAGGCATTAAAATTTTTTGTTGCACTTACAGGTGTACTGTCTATACTATTTTCTGATTGCTTATGTCAGGAGCTTAGCTGAGCTGGGAGAGAAAGAGCTGAATTTTCAAGTGTTGGAATAGCTGACTAAAGCAACAAACCAAAAATTAAAGAGTTAATCACTTACTGTGATGGTATAAACAAGAGTCTAAAACCAGAGAGCACTGGCTCTCCCTGTTCCATTTTCCTCTATGGAAGGGCACACTGGTCGAAGGTCAAGTGGATAAGTTCTGACCTGGGGTCATGTCAGTGTTGAAGGAGCACAAATAAAAGGCTCCTGCAGTTTTGTGGACCCTGAAGTGGAGGGCTGGGGCCAATAAGTGGAAAGGACTAGGAGTTGAAAGGTACTGGGTACTGAGTCAGACAGTGGAAAAGTGTCTTCAATGTTTCCCCCTGCTCCCTGCATAAAGAGGCCTCAGATGTCTGAGGAATACCTCTTTCCAAGGCCTCAGATAAAGAGACTCCAGAATGAAGGCACAGTGACTAAGAATGTAAATGTGTGAAAAAGCATGACCGGCCATCCAGGGGGCCTGAGATCGTGACTCTGTACAGACTGTGACGCACGGGCTATACATCAAATCTGCCTCAGGGAGGGCAGCTTTCCCCTGTGAGTCTTGCCAGGTAAAGTCTCTCTAATTGCATAGGTAGGGTCAGGCCTGAAGAATCAACAGTAGAATTTTAAGCAGGAGTCAGTCTCCTCAGTTTAGTGCTGCTATATAGAAAAGTATAGATTTTAATATGGTGGTACAAAATCTACCTACTTTAAAAGACTATTTTTAGATTACATCAATATTGTATCTCAAATTTTCTACATAGCTAATTTTATCTCATACAAAACAATGTACAATGACTTGTGGATAAATAACTTGGATTAGTAACATGATTTAAGGACATCATATTTGACCGAGCTTTTCTGAAAAACAAAGTATTGGAAGAGCCCCATATTGATGCTTTCATACATTAACTTGTTAGAGAGGAGAAATACAGACTGATTAAAAGCACAGGATACGGAGCCAGATTCCCAAGGTATGACCTTAGCTCTGCAACTTAAGAGCTTCATGATTTGGAGAATGTTGATTTTTTGTTTCTGTTTCATCTTGAAAATGGGGATAACAACAATACCTACTTCATAAAAGTTTAAATATATCAATGTATTTATTGTGCCTAGGTTTTGTTTATTTGTTCCCCTTATTAATTCTACAAGATTTTTTTGGACTCCACAAGCCCAATTCTGAATAAACTAAAATCTAGTCCTTCTGAAATACTTCATGTTGCTACCAACTACCTTCAGGTCTCATATATTACATATGCTGAAACCTGCCTTTCTTGCTTCTATTGGAAAATAACTCATTCTAAATCTTTACTTATTTTTATCAGATCAAGATACTACCACTTACCATTTTCAGAGTGATATCAGCACATTCCTCCTGAATAACCATGTTGCAGTAGGCTTACTTATTTTATATACATTTTCATTGTGTTCATAGTTACTTACATTTGTGTTGTTTTTTAACTAGACTGTGAGCTTCTGGATGGCAAAGACTGTGTCTTTCAACCCTGTATACCTGGTTACAGCCACAGTACCTCATCTATGGCATGTAAATGTCAGAGAGAAGGAAAATGGAGATGATGCCTTTTCCATGTGCCTGGTTCTATATGTTCTCTACAAACATTTCTTTAATTCACATTTTAAAGCTAGGAGGCAGCATGTTTACTTCATCTTTCAAATGCGAAAAGTAACTTTTGAGAGAGTTAACTGCTTTACAAAAGATCACACATGCAACAGTAATTATAAAGCAGGGCATGGTTCCTAGACCTGTCTGCTTCTAAAGTTCATGCTCTTTTCACCACCCGCTGCCGGAGTGAAAGATGTGACTTAAGCTGCATTTAAAGAAGGATGCCTGGTGTCACTGTGCATGATGCAAGGACTAGTAAGAGTTGTAGTCCGTCTTAGAGGAAGAAACGGTTACCTAAAAGAAGGCCTTTAGGGAAAGGGTGGCAGTGAGAAGGTAAACTAGCAGTAAAACCAGGAGGCTAAAACCTGGTAATTATGATGCCATTGAAAGTAGGGGAACCAGTAAAGAGTGGGTTCACTAGTGAGGTCACTTCAGGAATTATTATATTCTTTACTTAAAACTAAGTCAGAGTTATTCTATTTATCTAACAGAGTCCAACAAGAGTGTACACACTCACTGACACCAGCTATATAAAAGGAGAATCAATCTTATTACCCTGATCATCAAAATATCAGGGTGAATAGGATTAAGAATACAAAGCCTTTCCATAGTTTTATTATACAATTACAAATTATAAATACTATAATGGTATATGCCTATCAGTTTATGTGATGGTTATTTTTATGTTAACATGACTGGGCCATAGAACACACAGTAATTTTTCAAATATTATTTTTCGTGTGTCAGTGAGGGTGTTTCTGGATACAATTAACATTTGAATCTGTGGATTGGATACAGCAAATTGCCCTCCCTGATGTAGTTGAGGCTCATCCAATCCACTGAAGGCATAAATCTAATAAAAGGCTGAGTAAAAAAAGAATTGTTTCTCGTTGCCTGATTGTCTTCAAACTGGGATATCCATTTTCTCCTACATTTGGACTCAAAGTAAAATGTTGACTCATCCTGAATGTCCAGCCTACTGGCCTTCAGACTGGAAATACACCATTGGCTTTCCTGGATCTCTAGCTTGTTAATTGCATATTTTATTACTTGTTAGCCTCCATAATCATGTGTCATAGAATAAATAATAATAAATATATAATAAATTTATTTTAGAATAAATTTATCTGTCCGTTGATAAAGACACAATTATGGATTTAGATATAAAACCTCTCTCTCTCTCTCTTATTTGTCTGTTTCTTTGGAGAACCTGGACATTGTTAACATATTGCATAAAGGCACACGAAAAATAAAACAATGAAGAATTGAAATGTAAGACATTTCTCATAGTCACTGTCATTAAAAGGCAAGGAGTGCTACCTGCATTTGATGGACGCCAATCCAGGATTCAATCTTTGCAACTTGGAGAAATGGTCACCTTTGGCTTATCTGAAAACACAATAACATGCGATTAAATTTTCATGCACTTCAAAGAATGTCATTATTGTTTTTTGTTTCACAAAACAAAAAAGCAGATCAGAATATCTACAGAATTCAAAAGATTACATACCAAAGTAATAGCAAAAATACCTCATTAAAACAATATTTTGATAAAGCTATTTGTAATCTTGATATGAGAATAAAGAAAGGGAATGCTATAGAATATTTATGTGCTATAGAATATGTGCACACACAAATATATATTTATAAATACACATATATTTGAGAATGTGATGGTTAATACTGGGTGTCAACTTGATTAGATTAAAGGATGCAAGGTACTAAACCTGGGTGTGTCTGTGTGGGTGTTGCCAAAATGATTAACATTTGAATCAGTGGTCTGGGGAAGGCAGATCCACCCTTAATCTGGTGGGCACAATCTAATCAGCTTCCAGCGAATATAAAGGAGGCAGAAAAATGTGAAAAGAAGACATGGGTCTAGCCTCTTGGTGTACATCTTTCTCCCATGCCGGGTACTTCCTGCCCTCAAACAACAGACTCCAAGTTCCTGAGTTCTCCTTGCTCCTCAGACTGGTTCTCCTTGCTCCTCAGCTTGCAGACAGCTTATTGTGGGACCTTGTGATTGTGTAAATTAATGATTAATAAACATATATATATATGTTTATTATATATATATCCTGTAAGTACTTTCCTTCTAGGAGAAACCTGACTAATACATATTTTGGTACCAGGAGTGGTTTTAAAGGAACAGAATATTAAGGGTGGAGTTCTTTCATTGCTTTTGGGGTTTCTGAAGTTGGCTGCTTAATATGATTAGACCCATAAATGCTAAGGACCCTACTTTTAATAGTACAGAGAACACTGATAGTCCTTGGCATGAACTGTTTTAGAGAGACGCAAAATAAATGTGTTTGACACTCCTGTTTCACCGCTCATGAGAGGCAAGGAGTTTAGTAACTCTATACATAATACCTTTGACCATATGTGGAGAACCAAGGAACATAATGAAGCTAGTTGGTTCGTCTTAAGTTCAGTGGACAAAAGTGATGAAAGAAAATGATGAACTCAGGGATTCTGTCTCCTGGCTTCAGAAGCAGATACTGAGCCCCAAATCTGCTAAGATTGCCCTGAGTGAGAGTCTTATCTCCTGTACAGAAAAAGCTGAAATTGTGGAAAAACAGACACAAGCTCGTATCATGCAAGTTGCTGACCTGCAATGAAAGATGCATGCACAGTCTCGCCAGGTGGCTACTGTTAAAGTGAGGGCATTTACTGGAAAGGAATGAGACCCTGCAATTTGGAATGGGGAAGTGTGGAAGGACCCCAGTAAAGCTGGGGACACTGAGTTTGTAAACTCTGATCAACCTTTTTTGCCAGAAGGAATAGCTTCCCCATCCCCAGTAGTGGCAACATCCCCTCCCTGACCCATGCTTCCATCAGCTTTTGTCTCAGGAGATAAACCCTGTGCTGCCTAAGGCAACAGTGATGGCCTCCCTTGAGGCAGTTGCCAGGCAAGATAATGTCAATTCTCCTCAGAAGCCACCCCCAACACCTCTGTTTGCTTCTAGACCTATAACCACACTAAAGTCTCGGCAGAACCCTAGAGGTGAGGTTCAGGGGGTGACCCATGAGGATGTGCACTAAACTCGAAAAGAACTATTTGAGTTCTCTAATTTATTATATAAACAGCAATCTGGAGAACAGGCATGAGAATGGATATTAAAGGCATGGGATAATGGTGGAAGGAACATAGAGTTAGAACAGGCTGAATTTATTGATTTGGGGCCACTAAGTAGGGATTCTGCATTTAATACTGCAGATCAGATAATTAAAAAAGGTTCTAATAGTTTATTTGCTTGATTAGCTGAAATATGGATTAAAAGATGGCCCCCTGTGAGTGAGCTGGAAATGCCTTATCTCCCTTGGTTTAATGTAGAGGAAGGGATCCAAAGGCTTAGGGAGATTGAGATGGTGGAGTGGATTAGTCACTTTAGCCTTACTCCTCCCAGCTAAGAGGGTCCAGAAGACATATCCTTGACAAATGCCTTGTGAAATAGACTTGTGAGGGCATCACCTGCATCTTTGAAGAGCACTGTAATTACTCCTCTTTATAGGTCAGATCTAACTGTGAGAACTGCCGTCACTCAACTACAAAATTTACATACGATGGATCCCGAGATGGCAGGGCCAAGTGGCAACACTCAACCCATCAAAGGCAAGGTGGGTGTAACTACCATATGAACAGCATAGGCAAAGTGGCGATCAGAATAGTCTGACTCACATAGAGCTCTGGCATTAGCTAATTAATCACGGTGTTCCTAGAACTGAAATTGGTAAGAAGCCTAATGCATTTCCATTAAATTTATATAAGGAGAAAACCTCTAGGTCAAATGGTCAGAAGACTAATTTGAGTTATAAAAATAGAGAATCACGTCCCCTCAATTGATTTCCAGACTTGAGCCAATTTACAGACCTAGAACCTCTTGAATGAAGGGGAGGCCAGCTCCCCTTGAGGAAAGACTCCACTACATTACTGACAATCTATGCAGTGAATCCTTCTCCCATCCTTCCCCAAGAAGACCTCCAGCCTTTTATCAGGGTAACTGTGCACTGGGGAAGGGGAAATGATCAGACATTTTGGGGACTACTGGACACTGGCTCTGAACTGACATTGATTCCAGGGGAACCAAAATGTCACTGTGGTCCTCCAGTTAAAGTTGGGGCTTATGGAGGTCAGGTAATCAATGGAGTTTTAGCTCATGTCCAACTTACAGCAGGTCCAGTGGGTCGGCAAACTCATCCTGTGATCATTTCCCCAGTGCCAGAATGCATAATTGGCATAGACATACTTAGCAGCTGGCAGAACCCCCACATTGGCTCACTGACTGTTACGGTGAGGGCTATTATGGTGGGAAAGGCCAAATGGAAGCCATTGACTTGGCAAATGCCTTTTTCTCCATTCCTGTCCATAAGGCCCACCAGAAGCAATTTGCCTTCAGCTGGCAAGGCCAGCAATATTCCTTCACTGTCCTACCTCAGGGATATATCAACTCTCTAGCTTACTGTCATAACATTATTCAGAGAGAACTTGACACCTTTTCACTTCAGAAAATATCACACTGGTCCATTACATCGATGAAATTATGCAGATTACATCCAATGAGCAAGAAGTAGCAAACACACTGGACTTACTGGTGAGACATGTGTGTGCAGGAGGATGGGAAATAAATACGATTAAGATTCAGGGAGCTTCTACCTCAGTAAAATTTCTAGGGATCCATTGGTGTGGGGCCTGTGGAAATACTCCTTCTAAGAAAGGGTAAGTTGCTGCATTTGGCCCCTCCTACAACCAAGAAAGAGGCACAATGCCTATTGGGCCTATTTGGATTTTGGAGGCAACACATTCCTCATTTGGGTGTGTTACTCCAGCCCATTTATAGGGTGACCTGAAAGGCTGCCAGTTTTGAGTGGGGTCCAGAACAGGAGAAGGCTCTGCAACAGGTCCAGGCTGCTGTGCAAGCTGCTCTGCTGCTTGGGCCACATGACCCAGCAGATCCAATAGTGGTTGAGGTGTCAGTGGCAGATAGGGATGCTGTTTGGAGCCTCTGGCAGGCCCCCATAGGTGAATCACAGTGGAGGCCTCTAGGATTTTGGAGCAAGGAACTGCCATCTTCTGCAGATAACTACTCTCCTTTTGAGAGACAGCTATTGGCCTGTTAATGGGCATTGGTGAAAACTGAACGTTTGACTATGGGTCATCAAGTCATCCTGTGACCTGAACTGTCTATCATGAACTGGGTGCATTCTGACCCACCTAGCCATAAAGTGGGTCATGCACAGCAGCATTCCATCATCAAATGGAAGTGCTATATACGTGATTGGGCTCGACCAAGTCCTGAAGGCTGAAGTTACATGAGGAAGTGGTTCAAAAGCCCATGGTCTCCACTCCTGCCACTCTGCCTTCTCTCCCTTTGCTTGCAACCAATGGCCTCACGGGGAGTTCCCTGTGATCAGTTGACAGAGGAAGAGAAGACTAGGGCCTGGTTCACAGGTGGCTCTGCACCATATGCAGGCACCAGCTGAAAGTGGACAGCTACAGCACTACAGCCCCTTTCTACGAAATCCCTGAAGGACAGCAGTGAAGGGAAATCTTCCCAGTGGGCAGAACTTTGAGCAGTGCACCTGGTTGTGCACTGTGCAGGGAAGGAGAATTGGCTGGATGTCTGATTACACACTGATTCATGGGTTGTAGCCAATGCTTTACCTGGATGCTCAGGGACTTGGAAGAAGCAAGACTGGAAAATTGGTTGACAAAAAAATTTGGAGAAGAGGTATGTGGATGGACCTCTCTGAGTGGTCAAAAACTGTGAAGATATTTGTATCCCACCCATGTGAGTGTTCAGCAACAGGTGACCTCAGTGAAGAAGTTTAATAATCAAGTGGATAGGATGACCTGTTTTGTAAACACAACTCAGCCTCTGTCCCTAGCCACACCTGTCATCACCCAATGAGCCCATGAACAAAGTGGCCATGGTGGCAGTGATGGAGGTTATGCATGGGCTCAGCAACATGGAATTCCACTCACCAAGGCTGACCTGGCTACATCCACTGCTGAGTGCCAAATTTCCCAGCAGCAGAGACCAACACTGAGCCCTTGATATGGCACCATTCCCTGGGGTGATCAGCCAGCTATCTGGTGGCAGGTTGATTATATTTCCGTCATGGAAAAGGCAGAGGTTTGCCCTCATTGGAATAGACACTTACTCTGAATGTGTGTTTGCCTATCCTGCACAAAATGCTCTTGCCAGGACTACCATATGTGGACTCAAGGAATGCCTTATCCACCATCATGGTATCCCACACAGCATTGCCTCTGACCAATGCACTCACTTTATGGATAAAGAAGTGTGGCAGTGGGCTCATGCTCATGGAATTCAGTGGACTTTCTATGTTCTCCATCATCCTGAAGCAGCTGGATTGATAGAACAGTGGAATGGCATTTTGGAGTCACAATTACAATGCCAACAAGGTGACAATACTTTGCAGGGCTGGGGAAAAGTTCTCCAGAGGGCTGTTTATGCTCTGAATCAGCATCCAATATATGGTAATGTTTCTCCCATAGCCAGGATTCATGGGTCCATGAATCAAGGGATGGAAGTAGAAGTGGCACCACTCACCATTACCCGTAGTAAATCACTAGCAAAATTTTTGCTTCTTGTTCCCATAACATTACATTCTGCTGGCTTAGAGGTCTTAGTTCCAGAGGGAAGAAACTTGCCACCAGGAGACATGACAACAATTTCATTAAACTGGAGGTTAAGACTGGTACCTGGACACTTTGGGCTCCTCCTACCTTTAGGTCAACAGGCTAAGAAGGGAGTTACAGTGTTGGCTGGGGTGACTGACCCAGACTATAAAGACGAAATCAGTCTACTACTGCACAATGGAAGTAAAGAAGAGTATGCAGCCAGGCGCAGTGGCTGACACCTGTAATCCCAGCACTTTAGGAGGCCGAGGATCACCTGAGGTCAGGAGTTTGAGACCAGCCTGGCCAACATGGTGAAACCGCGTCTCTACTAAAAATTACAAAAATTAACTGGGCATGGTGGTGAGCACCTGTAATCCCAGCTACTTAGGAGGCTGAGGCAGGAGAATCACTTGAACCTAGGAGGCGGAGGTTGCAGTGAGCCGAGAATGCGCCATTGCACTCCAGCCTGGGTGACAGAGTGAAAACTTTGTCTCAAAAAAAAAAAAAAAAAGAACAGTATGCATGGAATTCAGGAATTCAGGAATTCAGGAGATCCATTAGGGTGTCTCTTAGTATTTCCATGCCCTGTGATTAAGGTCAATGGGAAACTACAACAGTCCAATCTAGGGAGGACCGAGACCCTTCAGAAATGAAGGTTTTGGTCACCCCACCAGGAAAAAAATTGGGACCTGCTGAGGTGCTTGCTGAAGGCAAAGGGAATACAGAATGGGTAGTAGAAGAAGGTAGGCATCAATACTAGTTACAAACACATGACCAACTGCAGAAATCAGGACTGTAATTGTCATGAGTATGTCCTCCTTCTTTTGTTAAAAACACGTTTGTGCATGTATACACTTGTACTAATAAAATATCTTCATGTTATTCCCTTTTCCTTTATCATGTGACATAAGATTTATTGACTTCATATCAGCATGTAAGTATTGTTAACTTTACGTAATAAAGTTAAAGAAATGTTTCTAATCTGACTGTAATTTCACCTGATGTTTTATTTTCTGATTTTATTATTTCAATAGTTGAAGATGTAAACATATCAAAGTCTTAGAAAAAAACATTTTAACACTTTTATATCATTAAATGACTTGTGCAAATATTGGTGGTAATAGGACCCTTGAACCTATTACAGTGCTTAACAAATTTAAATTATAAAAATGTGTGTTCCATATAAGTATTTTTTAATAATTTTGTATTTGACATCCAAAGTAATATTATTTATCATAATATTTGGTGAAATTTGTTTCTTAATTTTTGTTGTAACATTTTCATTAAGATGTTCTGAAGTATTTTTTTAAATATTAATTCCTATTATAGTACATTTTAAACATATTGCTTGCTATTATTTGTTCTAATATGATAATTCTGGATCTATTTATACTGTGCTTATTTTAATAGTAGATTGAACAGTATTTTAGGTTTTTTTGAAGTTTTACTATCTCAATCAATCTTTACATACAGCGCTATGTTAACAACTATTTTTTTTACTTTATCTTTAAAGTTATCTGATAGATAAATTATGCAATACATAGGTATCCAAAGTTAAAGAGGTTTTGAGTTGCAAAGATAAAAATGCAAAATGAACTTTAGAAAACATTCTTAAGTACCTCTTTATCATGTTAAGTACATTTGTGGCAAACAATAGCTATAAAGAGAGAGATATTATATATACCTATCAAGCTATACTATAAATAATGGTCAATATCAGTGGAGTATGAGTATCAGATATACATATGTCTTGAATATCACAAGGACATATATTTAGCATGACATTTATTTCCCTTTCTAATTCTCTATATTATGAACTGGATGTCTATCATAAACTGGATGCTTTCTGACCCATCTAGCCATAAATTGGGTCATGCACAGCAGCATTCCATCATCAAATGGAAGTGCTATGTACGTGATTGGGCTCAAGCAGGCCTTGAAGGCACAAGTTACATGAGGAAGTGGTTCAAATGCCCCTGGTCTCCACTAAAATTCTAAAATTTTTCTAAAATTTTTATTCTAAATTTTTTTCCTAAAATTTTAATTTCTGAATATAATTTTAGGTTCTTGTTTTGATCACCAATTGCAATGTATTTAATCAGGCTTTAATAGGGGTAATAGGGGTGGAAGTGGAAGTGGCACCACTCACCATCACCCCTAGTGATCCACGAGCAGAAGTTTTGCTTCCTTTTCCCACAACATTACGTTCTGCTGGCCTAGATGTCTTAATTGCAGAGGGCAGAAACCTGCCACCAGGAGACACAATAAAATTGTCTATTTAGTTTTAAAAGATAATAAACTTTTAATTTTAAATAATATTCTTCCATTTGGGGTGTCAAAAAATTAGCATTCTAATTCACTTTTTTTGGTAAGAACTGTAATGTAGTATGTCTTACTAAAGAAAGTCTCTAGTTCTGAAAACTGTAATGTAGTCTATCTTATTAAAAAATGTCTCTGGTTCTAATTAAATGTCTAAATTAATGAAAGTCGCATGATGTGTCCTGTGATCCTCCTAAAAAAAATGGACCTTGCCATGAAATATAATTATTAATATATTTATATTTAATGAACTTATATAAATAATTAAACTTTCTTTCACAGAGTATAAAGTTAAAATTTGATAGAAATAAGAATTTAGTTTTTCAATAAATAAACATAAATATCTATATAAAAGGATACCATTTATATTATAAATATTGATAACACATATCATTGGATAATCAATAAAACTACACATTCAGGTATCAAAATATGAGAGTAACAGGAAATGAGGGCAAAATATGAAATAGAACAATGGTAATAGGCTAGAGATCTCCAAAATGTGTTTCATATGAAAAATGACAAAGGCTAAAGGACTTTCAGGAGCAGAATTATAGAGTGAAAGGGTTTTCTTGTTTCATAATAAGTCTGGGTAATGCTGCATGCTCTATAGTCTTCTTGGAGTTTAAAACACTTATAATCATATGAAAAAATATGGAAAAGCTCTGTCTTAATAAATCTTGTTTTTTAAAACTCATTTCATAAACATATTTAGTTTTATAACATTTGTTTATCATATCTTTGCAAATCTATTAATGTTTTCTGAATACTTTATTGTATAAAATACAACTTGGGAAATGTTATAATATTTGCATTTACAGCCTCGTACACTGCTGCTATATAAACTGAACACAGTAAACATTAAAAAAAATTTTTTCCACCAAATACAATTATGCCCAACATTATCTTTAAAGTAAAAAATATGTGTACTGGATGTATAATTGTAAACAGCCTTGTCACCTTTAAAAAGTTAACAAGATTATAAATCTAGCATAAAGTGAAATTTGATAATACTTATAACAATAATTACATAATAATGCAATAATATGCAATTTTTTTGGAAAAAATGTTTCAAGAACATGTATGAAAAGGCTATTAAAATGCTATGCGCATAAAAAGCTATGATTTATAATCATATATATCTGGAAATAGTTGTCTTTTGTTTGTTTGTTTATCTTGTTGAATGAAAGAATCAGTAGTATTAGGGAAACTTTTGTCCATAATCCATGAAGCTTATCTTTGTTGCTAAAACACATGAAGAAACAAACATGATATAAGGGGAAAGACTGGATTGTCTTGATATTATTGAGTTGACAGAGAGGCAAATATTGCATATGTCTGTAAGGAGTTTATGTAAATGAATGTAATAGAGAAAATCTAGGCAAGGGTTTGATTTATGAATATAAGCATATGACTTAAGCTTCCAAGCATGAAAACAGTACCCACACTTGATTTTATCAGCTGCAGTGGTAGTGAAATTACAAGTAACCTAAGGGATTATGTGTCTGTGTTGCCTCATGTCTCTTGCCTTTTGGTATTATTACATGGATGAAACTCCAGAGTAAGAGAAGTGACACTCATTTTCCAAGAGGCTTTTGTAAAGTGATTTTGGTTGTTAATTTGTGACAACCTGGTTCTGGAATGATCCTCCTGACATTTGCTGCCACCAAAGTGAATAATGCTGACCAAAACAGCAGGAAATTGTAAGAACATATTTAAATGGTTTATTTTCAGAGGTGAATCACTAAGAAGAAAAGGGGACTAATAATTAATTTTTAAAAATACTTTGTGATTAATCCTGAGAGTAAAAAGGAAAAAAGAAATTAGTTTTCTTTGTTGTGGGTACTTCTTAAAACCTTCCTTCTGAAAGCTATCTCAGTCACAGTTTTTAATTCTATTGTCTAATTTTCCAATCTACTTTTTTCTTATCTCCTCTGAACTCTTTGTGCCGAAGGGCGTTAATGGCCAGATTTTTTAGGATTTCCTATCATCCAGTATTTTGTTTTAGGTTTAAACTTTTCTCTAAAATTATATCTCATTTTCTGAATATTCAATACTGGCTACTGAGCAATATCTTTAACACAAATAATGAATGTTAACTAGAAATGTTTACTTTTCATACTGGCCTACGGTGAAGGTTAGCAAATTTCAAGAAAATCTTTTACTATACAACATGATTAATCTCTACTCAATTCCAAGTAGATGATGTAAAGCAATAGCTTTGAAGTTGTGCAACAGAATGAACCATAGAGCTTGTTACAGTCTTATTCCTAGCTCCCACCCTTAATAAATAAGGTAAATCAGGGTGGAGCCCAGGAGTTCAAGTTTATAACAAGTGACCTAGGTTACCCAGACAGAGGTGGTCACTGTGCCACAATTTTTGAAACACTGGTTTGAAAGGTGCAAGTTAGACTGCTTGCGTCCAGTGAGAAGTTGATGCATTATAAAATTTGCATTTTGAGTTTGAGTATGTCTAATTCTCTTTCATCTCAGTTTGCCACAGATGACAAGTGGTAAGTAATAATATGAAGTCCTCAAAGAAAAAGGAACACTGTAAACAGAGAAAGATAAAAAATAGTAACTTAACATTTATTCAAATCCTGGTATATCCTGAGATTCTTTACTGAGCTTAACAAAAAAGTAACTTAAAAATAATATAGGAATTAAGGAGAAGTGCTCTTAGTAAAAAATAATTTAACTCTGCAATCTGGGGTTAGTGTTGGAATTTTGTTGCATAGAGCACTTGATGAGCCATAAAGTAGAAAGAAATCATTCTTAAAGCAAACAGACTAGCTTGATATAGTAGCTGCCAGAAAACATTACGAGGAACTCTTGGTATATTTTGGTGCCCTGATGGAATGAAACTTAAAATTCAGGGAGTTCTTAAAGCAAAATAGACCTTCTAAATTTCTAAAGACAACTATGATCCTTCTCATCCACTTCACTCATTTCAGGTTCCCCACTCCCAAGTATCCTTTCAATAATGCCTACCACAACCCTCATATTAAAAACTGAAAACTTACCTCACATTTTTGTGATCCATCTTTCTTGCTGCATTTTGTTTTTGTTTTTCCTTATTACTTAACAAGCTCATTTACTTGTTCCATTTATGGATTGCTGCACAACAAATGACCTAAAATTCAGTGGTTAAGAAGGTAATACTCTTCTTTGTTAACACTCATGGGTTTTATAAATCATAAATTCAGGAAAAGCCATGTAGGTGGTTCTGGCTCAGGCTTTCTATTGTGCAATAGCTAGAGTTGGAGCATCTGGAGGTTGGTCAGGAATTTCTCTCTTTGGGAAGTCTTACAGCTTTGCCATGGTGCCTCTCAGCCAGGGCTGGTTTAATCTTTCCTACAGTATAGAGGACTTAGGGCTATCAGATTTCTTACATGACACTACAGGGCTTCAGGAAAGAAAACAGCTCCTTCACCTATTATCACCTATGCTTGGAAGACGTACAACATTACATGTTTCTGACTACAAAGGAGTTACAACTTTGCCCACATTCAAGCAGAGAGGTCCTGGGCCCCACTTCTTCACTGAAGGAATGTCAGATGACATTACACAATAGCACACGGGCACGGGAGACACTGGCGAGCTGTCTTCAGAAAATACAATCTGAAACATTCATTTATTATATTTATGTCTATACCACCGCAACATACAAACACGTGAGAATGTAAATTTTATGAGGGCAGAGCCATTTATGTGTTGTGCTTATCTGTTCATTTATGAAGTTATTAACTTGTATCTTCAAATCAGGCACCTTACTAAACTCATGAAATAATGTTTCAGTTATCATCAGTAGTGTTGCCACTTGGAATATCTTGTAGTACTTACTATATGGTAGACATTCTTAAATATGATGTATATATTCATGTGATATATAGATTTGTAATTTATTTTTCTTATCTCATTGTACTGTGGTATATACTATTAAAATAATGTTGAATAGCAGAGATGGCAACCATATTTTTTTGTAACATCAGTGATGTCCCTATAATCAACAGTATGCACTGTACAAGTTATACTTTTTTTTTTCTTTTTTTTTAAATGGAGCCTCGCTCTGTCGCCAGGCTGGAGTACAGTGGCGCGATCTCGGTTCACTGCAACCTGTGCCTCCCTGGTTCAAGCAATTCTCCTGACTCAGCCTCCTGAGTAGCTGGGACTACAGGTGCCCACCACCATGCCCGGCTAATTTTTGTATTTTTAGTAGAGACAGGGCTTCACCATGTTGGCCAGGATGGTCTCAATCTCTTGACCTCGTGACCTGCCTGCCTCGGTCTCCCAAAGTTCTGGGATTACAGGTTTGACCCGCCATGCCCTTCCCCATTGATACTATTTTATCCCCTCTTTTTAAATGGTCTGGTACAAATGAATCACTTTGAAATATTTTTACATTTATTTTATATTGATGAATTTATCACTTACTCATGTCGACTTTAAAATAGATATCTGTGAGCAGAGGAATAGGGTGCCCTGAGTTCTTCAAATTTGTATAAGTATATTTAAAGCTTTATACATTAAATATAATAATACATATTAACTGCTTATTAAGTTGCCTGTTACATAAGAAATAGATGATTTATAAAAACCATTGTTCTTTTTTCTTCCTGTATTATCTGCAATTTGTATTCAAAATGTGTCAACTGTTCTAGGAACTTAATATCAATGAACAAAGCAAACATGCCTGTACTTATATAGCCAAGAAATTAATACAATTTAAAAGTTTATTTGCATAGAATGTAAGTGCAACAATTTAAACTAGAATGCTATTTGATATTTTCAGAGATCCCACATTTTTATATAATATGCTAGTAAACAAAATTGTTTCATTTTAAAGATGTTTTCTTTATCTGTATATATTTTATTCTTGAAAATATAAAGATAATGGATGTTAAGGCTCTTAGCCCAAAAATAATAACTATGTGAGGTAAAGCTTTTGTGAATTAACTAGATTTAACCATTTCACAACTTATATGTACCTTAAAACATCATGATGTACATGATGGAAACATACAAGGTCATTTGTCAATTACAAAATAAACTACAACCATCTGCTCTTCAACAAGGTTGACAAGAACAAGCAATGGGGAGAAGACACTCTGTTCAATAAATGTTGCTGAAATAACTGACTAGCAGAAGAATGAAATTGGACCCTTGCCTTTCACCATATATGAAACTTAACTCAAAATGGATTAATGGTTTAAATATAAGACCTTAAACTATAAAAAATCCTTGAAGACAACCTAGGAAATACTCTTCTCAACATTTCTCCTTGCAAAGAATTTTGGCTAAGTCCCCAAAGTAAACTTCAATGAAAGCAAAAACAAACAAGTGGGACTTAATTAAACTGAAGAGCTTCTGCACAGCAAAAGAAACCTACAACAGAGTAAACACACAACCTACAGGATGGGAGAAGATATTAGCAAACTATGCATATGATAAAGACCTAATATTGAGAATATATAGAGAAGTTAAACAAATCAACAAGCAAAAACCAAATAAATCAATTTTTAAAATGGTCAAAGAATATGAACAGACACCTCTCAAAAGAAGACACACAAGTGGCCAACAAACATGAAAAAAATGAAACAATGCTCAGCATCATTCATAATAAGAGAAATGCAAATTAATACCACAGTAAGATATAATCTCACACCAGTCAGAATAGCTATTAAAAAGTTGAAAAACAACAGATACTACTGAGGCAGTGGAGAAAAGGGAAAGCTTATAAATTATTGGTGGGCATGTAAATTAGTCCAGCCACTGTGGAAGGCAGCCTAGAGATTTCTCAAAGAACTTAAAACAGAGCTGGGAATGTACTCAAAGAAAATAAATAATTCTGCCAAAAAGACACCTGCACTCATATGTTCAACGCTGTACTACTCACAATAGCAAACACATGGAATCAACCTAGGAGTCCATCTATGGTAGATTGGATAAAGAAAATGTGGTACATATGCACCACGAAATACTACACAGTCATTAAAAAAAGAATAAAATCATGTCATTTGCAGCAAAATGGATGGAGGTGGAGGCCATAATCCAAAGCGAATTAACACAGGAACAGAAAACCAAATACTGCATCTTCTCACTTGTAAGTGGGAGTTAAACATTGAGCACACATGGACAAAAATATGGGATGAGTAGACACTGTGAACTACTAAAGGATGGGGTATTGATTAAGAAACTACTTATAAGACACAATGCTCATTACCTGGGTGATGGGATCCATACTCCAACCTTGAGAATCACAGAATATTCCTATGTAAAAACATGCACATTTTTCCCCATATCTAAAGTAAAAGTTGAAATAAAAATAAATAAATAAATGTTTTATGTAAGATAAAAAATTAATTAATTAAAAAGTTATAAATGTGTTATAGGTGATGTAATAAATGTTACATAGTAAATTAAAATAAACTTTTACATTGTCATTTACATTATCTAGTATTATAGCACTTAAAATAATATTTTTCATAAAATATAGCTTTTTCCTTATAGGATGCTATATAAATTTTATTATTTTAATAGGAATAATATAAAAGATTATAGAAATAGTAATATGAAGAAATTGAAAACAAATGTTAGAGTATGATATGGTTTGGCTGTGTCCCTACCCAAATCTCGTCTTGAACTCCCACATGTTGTGGGAGGGACCTGGTGGGAGGTAATTGAATTATGGAGGCAGGTCTTTCCCGTGGTGTTCTCATGATAGTGAATAAGTCTCATGAGATCTGATGGTCCTATAAGGGGGTGTTTCCCTGCCCAAGCTCTCTTCTCTTATCTGCCACCATGTGAGACTTGCCTTCCACTTTCTGCCATGATTGTGAGTCCTCCACAGAGACGTTGAACTGTAAATCCATTAAACCTCTTTCTTTCATAAATTGCCCAGTCTCTGGTATATCTTTATCAGCAGCATGAAAATGGATGAATACAGTAAATTTTTACCAGTAGAGTGGGGTAGTGCTGAAAAGATACCTGAAAATGTGGAAACAGCATTGGAACTGGGTAACAGGCAATGGTTGGAACAGTTAGCATGGCTCAGAAGAAGATAATAAAATGTGGGAGAGTTTGGAAATTACTGGAGACCAGTTGAATGGCTTTGACAAAAATCCTGATAGTGATATGAACAATAAGGTTCGGGCAGAGATGGTCTCAGATGGAGATGAGGAACTAGTTGGGAACTGGAGCAAAGGTGACTCCTGTTATGTTTTGGCAAAGAGACTGGTGGCATTTT
This sequence comes from Homo sapiens, assembly GCF_000001405.40. Taxonomy (NCBI): domain Eukaryota; kingdom Metazoa; phylum Chordata; class Mammalia; order Primates; family Hominidae; genus Homo; species Homo sapiens. Next base: position 194,935,353 of record NC_000001.11, read on the forward strand.
GCCACTGCCCTAAAGATTTGTGGAACTTTGAACTAGAGAGAGATGATTTAGGGTATCTGACAGAATAAATTTCTAAGCAAAAAAGCATTCATGATGTGACTTGGATGCTGTTAAACCATTCAGTTTTAAAAGGGAAACGGCATAAAAGTCTGGAAAAATTGCCGCCTGACAATGTGATAAAAAAGAAAATCCTATTTCTGAAGAAAAATTCAAGGTGACCACAGAAATCTGCATAAATAATGAGGAGCCGAATGGTAATCCCCAAGACTATGAAGACAATGTCTCCAGGACATGTCAGATGTCTTCAGGGCAGCCCCGCCCATCACAAGCTCAGAGGCCTAGGCGTAAAAAGTTGTTTCTTGGGCTGGGCTCAGGGTCCCTGTACTGTGCACAGCCTAGCTGTGTCCCAGCCACTCCAGCCATGGCTGAAAGCATCCAGCATAGAGCTTGGGCCATGGCTTCAGAGGGTGCAGTGCAATCCAAAAGCCTTGGCAGCTTCCATGTGGTGTTGAGCCTGCAAGTAAACCAAAGTCAAGAACTGTGGTTTGGAAACTTCTGTCTACATTTCAGAGGATGTATGGAAATGCCTGGATGTCCAGGAAGAATTTTGCTGCAGGGGTGGAACCCTCACGGAGAACATCTGCTAGGGCAGTGCAAAAGAGAAATGTGGGCTCAGAGCCCCCACAGAGAGTCCCTAGTGGGCGCCACCTACTGGAGCTGTGGAAAGAGGGCAGCTGCCCTCCAGACCCCAGAATGGTAGATACACTGACAAGTTGCACCATTTGACTGGAAAAGCCATACCATGCCAACCCATGAAATAGCCATGAAGGGGGCTATACCCTGCATAGCTAAAGGGGAAGCTGCCCAAGGCCATGGGCGCTATCTCTTGCATCAGCATGACCTAGATGTAAGACATGGAATCAAGGACATGATTTTGAAGCTTTAAGATTTGACTACGCCATTGGATTTCAGACTTGTATGTGGCCTGTAGCCCCTTTGTTTTGGCCAATTTTACTCATTTGGAATGACTGTATTTACCCAATGCCTGTACCTTCATTGTATGTAGGAAGTAACCAACTTGCTTTTGATTTTGCAGCCTCATAGGCAGAAGGGACTTTCCTTGTGTCAGATGAGACTTTGGATTATGGACTTTTGAGTTAATGCTGAAATGAGTTAAGACTTTGGGGGACTGTTGGGAAGGCATGATTGGTTTTGAAATGTGACGATATGAAATGGAGGGGTCAGGGGTGGTATAAGATGGTTTGGCTGTGTCCCCACCCAAATCTCATCTTGAATTTCCACATGTTGTGGGAAGGACCTGGTAGGAAGTAACTGAATTACCGGGCCAGGTCTTTCCCATGCTGTTCTTGTGATATAAGTCCCATGAGATCTGATGGTTCTATGAAAGAAAGTTTCCCTATGCAAACTCTCTTGTCTTGTCTGCCATCATGTGAGACGTGCCTTTCACCTTCCCCCATGATTTTGATCCCTCTCCAGGGCTGTAGGTCCATTAAATGGTAATTCCATTAAACCCCTTTCTTTTGTAAATTGCCAAGTCTCCAGTATGTCTTTATCAGCAGCATGAAAACAGACTAATACAGACTATAAAATTAAATGTATTATAAAATAAATAACTAGATCTCTTCCCATTGTTTCCATTCAATAAATATTTAAAAAGTGCCTACTTTATCCTAGATATCATGTGAGGCAATGTTGAAAATATGATGAAAAGAACAGATTTTCAATGACATAATAAGGCTTATCATAGAGCAGAAGAAAGCTGAAATACACAAAAAAATGAAAAATCATGTTAAAAACTTGTGCAAAAGTGTTGATATTAAAATATAATACTAAAATGGAGAATAATAAAAAGAATATATGTTAAATAGAATGGCAGAGATTACTTGATATTTCACAAATATATTTCCATTTCCTTCTTTGCAGTAGAACTCCTAGAGATTAGATGAACATGTGAGCACTCAGAATAAAGACTGACTTTATATATTTTCTTTGACATTCATAGTGGCCAACTTGACCAACTTCTAGCAGAGGAAGAGAAAGACAAGTTTCTCTCCTTTATCTTCTACCTCCCATGTGATTGTGATGTTAGATCTGAAGCAATCATCTTGAATCATGAAATGGGAGCCATATGTTGAAAAAGAAGATAAAGAGGAAAAGGGTTAGGTCATGGATGACTGTGAAGCTACTAAGTTCCCCCAGGACCCCCTGTCAGGAGTTTTATATGAGAAAGAAATAATCCCTCAAAGTTAAATCATAGGACATCAAAAAGAACTAGTCTAGTTAAAAATATATATGTATGTTGTGATGGAGTAACAAGAACAAGGAGAAATAAGACATACAAAGGCATGAAAGAGCTTTGCCTTAAAGGAAAGAAAATTGAGTGGATCAAACTCAGTGTATTAGGGAGAAGGGATTAAAATATGCAATTTTAAAAAATGTTAGGAAGATGCACACAATTCATTCATCAATGATATATTTATTCAACACCTACTTTGTATTTGCTGTTTTAAGTTTAGGAATATGATGCTGAACAAGCCAGAAAGATACCTTTTTTGTCACTGTACTCTCCCCCTTTAGAAGAAGAGTAAATGATAAATAAATAAATATTATACAGGCTAAACATGTTTGATTTCTAGGATACAGGGGTTCTTGTTTCAAGTACTTAAAGAAGCTCTGTTTAAGAAACTAGATTTAAGCAGAGACTTACATGAAAAGAGTAAAACAGCCATGTCAAAAGGAGTAAGAGCAGAGGTTTAAAAACTGGGTTGGGAATAAACGGCAACTGGTGGTATATGAACTATATAGGGATCAGATAGGATTGTCTATCAGGGCAAGAGATTTTAGAATTCAATGTGAAATAATTTGAGAGTGCTAACAGTGAACTGATATTATTTGAAATATCAATCTACTTCTTACCTGGAGAATAGAATAAAGAGCATAAAGATACATAGTAGAGGATGCATTGTACCATGATGAAAGATGTTTGTTTGGGACAGAAAATTGATTGTAAATATAGAGATAAAATACATAAATTCAAGATGTATTTGGATTAAAAAACAGGACATGCTGCCTTTGATTTCAGCAGTGACTTGCAAAGTGCTTAGAAGTTAGTCCTGACCTTACAATAAGAAATAGACTGACTTTCAGAATAAATATTGGTATCAGTAGTGGCCACATGAAAACTAAATATCAACAAACCTTATTCGATGCATAAGAGAATGAGATTGCAGAGTAAATCACTAACCCCAAATCTTGAGAGTTGGATCTATCCAGACAGTCACAGCTGAGATCTTCTTATATAGCACAGAAGCCACCATTTGCCATAAACTGGTAGGAATATTAGCAGTATATTGACAAGTTACTGGAAGCTGAATGCAGACTAACATGAGACTGAAAAACTCGTGGGATCTGTATTCCTGGTGATTTCCTACATACTTGCAGATTTTTTTTTTCATGTATCTGACCAGGTTTTCAAGGGGATCAGAGAAAGCTCCCCAGGTAGAATCACCAAGAAAAAGAAAAAAGCAGCCATTATGAAACCTACCCAGACTCTTCACCCTAACAAAAGCCTGACTTCCAGGAGAAAGTACTTCACCACAGTGGAATCTGAAAACTTTAACCTAGTAGAGTAACAAACTTCCACACCAAACCAGTTATCTCTAGCCTTCCTGTCTCACCTAAGACAAATATAAATAAATACAAGCCATAGTCAACAGGGAAGAGGGCTTTGAAGAAAGAGTCTGCAAACAGTATTACCCAAGAAGAGACTAGGGGGCAGGAAGGGGGAAAAAAGGGACGAGATACTTCTGAAGGGCACAGCCCCGGAAGACAGGCCCACTAAATAAAATAAAATTTATATAGATAGTTCTATAATGTCTCCCTAAGCCACCAAAACAATTCAAACTTCTGGTGCCTACAATGACAATAAACTTTAAACACCTTTCAACTTCTAGAAAGAATCATATAAAATCTTGCTCTTTAGAGGTTTCAGCCTATTTATCTCAATAAATATTACCCTATACAACATGTTTGATTTTTCACAAAAAAATTACAAGGCATTTCAAAAGGCAAGAGAAAAAAATATGTCTGAAGAGGCAAAACTATCATCTGAAACACATTTAGATATGACACAGGTGTTGGAAATATCAGACAGAGAATTTAAAAGAACTATGATTAATATGTCACAGCATCAGTGATAAGTCAAAATAATAGCACCTATTCTTTATCTGTGGCATTGAAAATGACACTTCACCTTTGTGGTCTTCCTCTCCAAACCCAAAAATCCAGTGTAACCATGAGAAAAACATCAGACAAATCCCTTTCCCACTATTTCAATAGTGCTCTAACCTCAAACACAAGAGTTAGAAATAAAAATGTTGAATCTGTGAGAAAATAAAAGAAAACAAAACAGCAGGAGATTATTCTAAGCATAATTAGAGCTTTCTTATCTACATTTGCCTAAAAAGAAAATGCAGGTTTTGGATATACCATGGACTCTTCTTCTGAGGCTGTCAAGGGCTCAGCCGAGCTGGAAATGGGGGAGAGAGACTGAGAAGGAAAAAAAAAAAAAAAAAAAGCGTGTCAGAAGTGCTGAGCTGTCTGGTGTCAGAGTAGCCAATTAAAGCAACACCAAAAAAAATAAATAAATAAAAAAATAAAGAACTTAGCCTTTAATCACTTACTGGAATGATCTAAGCATATTTTAAAGCAGGAAAAGGTGCTGACTCCCTGTTCCATGTTCCTCCATAGAAAAACATACCAGTGGAGGGTCAGGTGGATTAACAGAGATGTAGAGGTTATCTCATTGAGGAAGAACCCTCACCCTGAAATTAAAAAAAAAAAAAAAAAGGCTCAGGCAGTTGCGTGGACCTTGGTGGATTATGAGTGGTCATGGAGTGGAAAAGTACTGGGTAGTGGAGTGCTAGAAGTGAAAATGTCAGAGTCGGGAGAAACATCTTTTAGGTTTTCCCTTCTACCTACACCCTCCTACCCTGTAAGAAGGCTTCAGTACAGAAGCCTGAAGAAGACCTCTGCCAAATCTCAAATAAAGAGAGCTGGAAATGAAAACTAATAGGCTAGGAATACAGCTATGGGAAAATCATGACCTGTCAGATTGTCTGAGTCCTTGACTATAACTCCTTCCAAAGAATGCAGTGCACTGGCTGTGCAACATGTCTGGTGTGGGGAAGACAGCTTTCCCCTGTGAGTCCTGCCAGGTAACGCCTTTGTAAATTGCCTGTGGTTGGGCTTGTAAAATCAGTCATGGATTTTTAATCAGGAGCCAGACTACTTACAACCTAACTACTTTAATGTAGTTAGATTAAGGAAAAGGGGATTCAACCAGGATCAGAGGCAGGAGCACACACAAAAAGTTTTAATCCTATTTTATATAGAGCATATATTAAATCCACTCCATGATTTAAACATTACTTAGTAGTGACATTCAACTGTTGGATTGCCATATGTTGTGAAATGTCTATGTGTAGCTAAAATATAACTGAAACTTGACTGTGGAAGCTGAAAAAAAAATAGAACAGAATGTTATATTGGCAAAAATATAATGAAGATTTCCTAATTAGAAGTGTTCAAGGAGACACGCATAATTATATAATTTTAGATTTGGAAGTGATCTGATATATCAAAGCCAATCTATTGATTTTAAGCATATATATATATACTTAAAAAGTAGAATTTTCAAAGTTGGTCTAACCTCACATAATTAATAATGACATATCTAGAGTTAAAACCTACAGCTATTGATTTACAATCGTATGGTATTCTACCACACATAATTCTAAAGTCAAGGCCCATATTATGCATTATAGAAATAGTATGAAATAATACTTAACACTAGCAGAGTGTAGAGTACAAATTTTGGAAAACAATATTTTAACTTTTACCTAGAAAAAGCTAGTTAAGAGGATAACAATATTAACACACGATACCCAGTCATAGCTGGCATACTCAATTAAGCAGATTTCTAAGAAACCATTACTATTTTAGTTTGTATGTGTCCTTATTTTATATGTATTTATTGAGGGATTGTTACTGTATTAATCTGCTAGGGCTGCCATAACAAACGTCCATAAACTGTGTGTCTCAAACAACAGAAATTTATTTCTCACCCTCTTAGAAACAGAAAGTCAAAATTTAAGGTCCAGCAGGATTCAGTCTGGTGAGGGCATTCTTCCTGGCTTGGAGGTGGATACTTTCTCATTATATCATCACAATTCCTTTCCTGTATGCAGGGGAAAGAGAGCTAGAAAGAGAGACAGAGAGAGATCTCTCTGTTTTCTCTTCTTTTTAAAATAAAGTCATGAATCCTATCTGATCAGGACCCTATCCTTATGACCTCATTTAACATTAATTGCCTCCTATGGGCCTGTCTAAATACAGCCACATGGGGGGTTAAGGCTTCAACATGAATAAATTTTGAGAGGACAAAATTCAGTTCAGAGTAGTCACTGATAGTAAAATTAATGGAGAGAGCCATTTAAATATGGTACCTCTACTTGGCAAAACAAAACTGCCCAAACCCTCAGGCTTAAGCAAATATATTTTGGTTTTGAAAACTTACTCTACATTAAAAACCAATGTATAGAGTTATACTTACAAGTACAGAAATAGAGTGAATTAAAAAGTTTAACTATTTCTTTTATTTTCTCTGATTTCAGTCCTTTAAATTTTATATTCATTAACATCTCCCTTCATTTTTCCATACATTTTATTTTAACATTTAGATACTGCAGTTCTTCTACTTACTTTATCCCTTCTCTTATTCTTACTGACATTTTACATTTAACTAAATTAGTCATACCTAAAAAACCATAGACCTAAGCTTAGTTAGAGCCCACCTCAGAATATACTCTTACTCAGATAACACTTAACCAAAATATTGCTGAAAAGAACATCTCTTACCTATAGGGAAACAAAGGTAAGAATTACATCAGATTCTCTTGAGAAATCATGAAAGCAAAATGGAGTGAAATATTTAAGGTCCTGAATGACAAATAAAAACAAAACTGGAATTGTGTATTGCGTATCTAGAAAATTATCCTTCAAAATGAAGGAGAAATAAAGACATCCTCAGACAAATAAAAAATTGATTAAATTTGTAACCATTGGACTTACCTTGTGAGAAATGTTGAAAAATTCTTCAGAGAGAAAGAAATCATAAAAGCCAGAGTCTCAGATCTACATAATGTGAGTGAGTGTCTGCACTGGACATTAAATGAAGCTAAAATAAAATCTTTTGTTTTCCCATTCTTTATTGATCTAACAGATAACAGCTTTTTCCCAAATAACAATACCAGCAATATGTGACATCATTACAAGTTATGATAAGAAAAATAAGTGACAATTTTATAAGTGGTAGGAGGGAGGTATTGGGACACTGTGTTTTATGATATCTTCACTACCCATGAAGCAGTATGGTTTTCATAAGAGTAGACTTGAATCAATTGTAAATCTACACTGCAAATATTAGGGCAACCAGTACAGTTTTTATTTTAATTTTTAAAATTGATTTATTTTAAAAAAATATAAAGTTTTAAAAACATTGCTCTATTAGTAATTGTCAGATTCAACAAGCAGAAAATCACTAAGGAAATAGTGAAAATCAATTCTCTACCATTTCTTTCAGATATGGATAGTAAAAGGAATACTTCCTAACTCCTCTATGAAACCAGCATTAGCCTTATACCAAAACTAGGTAGAAGCATTGCAAGGAAGAAAAGCTATAGAACAGTATCTCTTCTGAACATAACTACAAATATTCTCAACAAATCATTAGCAAATCAAATATAACAACATTATATATCACAACCAAGTGGGATATATTGATTCCATCCATGCAAGATTAGTTTAACATTTTAAAAACAATAAATATTATTAATCATATTTACAGACTAAAGTGGAAAATCATCTGATCATATACATAGATGCAAAAAAAATTTGATAAAATTCAATACCTATTCATGATAAAACAAACAATCAAAAACACTCAGTAACTAGGAACAGGAGAATTTATAGAATTGTTAAAGAACATATGCAATATACATTCAGCTAACATCATAATGATGAGAATTGGGATATTTTTCAGTTTTAAGGATATGCTTTTTCATTAACTATAATCAACATGATCCTGGAAGTCCTAGAAGTCAATAAGAAGATAAAAGGAAATAAAAGATATACAGATTGAGAAAGATGAAATAAAACTTTTTTTCACCAATAATATGATTGTCTATGTAGAAAATCATAAAAAAAAATTGTCAAGAATCTCCTGGAATGAATTAGTGGTTAAAGCAAAGTGGCCATTTCTAATGTTAATATAAAAAATTCAATTGTTTGCTTATATAGCAGCATGAATAATTAGAGTTTTAAGTTAAAAACACAATAATTTTTTTTTTTTTTTGAGACGGAGTCTCACTCTATCGCCAAGGCTGGAGTGCAGTGGTATGATCTCGGCTCACTGCAAACTCCGCCTCCCGGGTTCACACCATTTTCCTGCCTCAGCCTCCCGAGTAGCTGGGACTACAGGTTCCTGCCACTGCATCCGGCTAATTTTTTGTATTTTATTTTATTTTTTTTAGTAGAGATGGGGTTTCACTGTGTTAGCCAAGATGGTCTCGATCTCCTAACCTCGTGATCCACCCGCCTTGGCCTCCCAAAGTGCTGGGAAAAACACAAAACCTTTCATATTAAAACAAAAAGTTGAAATATTTAGTAATCTAATAAAATATGTATCAGATCTATATGAGAAAAACTATGACCTCTGATAAAAGAAATCAAAAGGAGCTAAATATATATTTTATATTCACAGTAAGAAAATTAAACATTGTTAAGTATCATTTCTCTCCATCTGTTTTTCATGTATAGATTAAATATCATGTCAATTAAAATATCTGCTAGATATTGTGTGGATATCGACAAAATGCTGATAAATTTTATTTGGACAAAAACTAGAATAGGCAACACAGTACTGAAGAACAAGTTGAAGAACTGAAACTACCCTATTTCAAGACTTTCTATAAAGCTACACTCATCAAGAGATAATGATATTGACTAAATAATAGAAACAAAAGATGAATAAAACAGAATAGATATATCAGAAATGTACTCACGAATATATTCAACTGATCTTTGACAAAGAAGAAAAGAAAATTTAGTGGAGAAAGGACAGTCTTTTCAACAAATGAAGATGGAGTAGCTAGAATTCTACATGGTGACAAGGTGAATTTAGACAGAGATTACACTTTTCACAAAAATAAAATAAAAATAGATCATAGTCCTAAAATGTAAACAGTGAAACTTTGAGAAGATAGCATGGATGAAAAATTAGGTGACCTTGGTTTTGTTAATGGGTTTAGATAAATATGAAAAGCAAGATTCATGAAAGAAAAATTAATACGTCAAACTTCATTAAAATTAAAAAGTTCTGCTGTGTGAAAGACAGTATTAAGAGAATGAAAAGACAAGCCACAGATTGGGAAGAAATGTTTGCAAAATACGTGTCTGATAAAAGACTATCCAAAATATACAAAGAAAACTTGAAAGTCAACAACAGAAAAACAATCCACCCAATTTAAAAATGAGCAAAAAATCTGAACAGACATCTCACCAAAGAAGATATAAAGATGGAATATAATCATATGAAAATATGCTCATCATCATATGTCATTAGGGAAGTGCAAATTAAAACAAGCTACCACCATACACCTATTAGAATGGCTAAAGTTCTGAACTGATAATAACATATTCTGACAAGGATGTTCAATAAACAGGAATTCTCATCCATTACTGGCAAGAAGGTATCACTACTTTGGAAGACAATCTGGCAGTTTCTTTCAAAGCTAAACACAGTCTTACCATATGGTCTAGCAAACCCACTCCTTGGAATTTACTGAAATAAGTTAAAACCTTATGGCCACACAAAAACCTGCACACAAATGTTTACAGCAATTTTATACATAATTGCCAAAAACTGAAAGCAACAAAGAGGCACCTCAAAAGGTGAATAAATAAGGAAACTGTGGGATCCATACAAAGGAATATTATTTAGTGACAAAAAAGAATATCAAGACACAAAAATACATGGATAAATTTTAAATGATTAATGGTGAGGGAAAGAAGCCAATCTAAAAATTCTAGATTCTGTATGATTCCAACTATACGATATTTTGGGAAATGCAAGTCTATAGAGACAGTAAACAGTCAGTGTTTGGGGGCAGGGGAGGAAGAACTAACAAATAAGTGAAGCACAGGGCGTTTTTAGGGCAGTAACACTATTTTGAATGACCTTTGGCCTGGGGTATAGAGACCTCTAAGTAAGCACAGAATTAACACTGACAAAGTTTGCAAAGTGAATGTCCCTTTTTTGTATGTGTGTTGTCATGTTAGATGATCCTTGATTAGATTCTTCTGTTTTGTTTTTTATCTATGGTAATACATTTAACCAGAATGACTCAGGTAGGGTAACTGCAACACCCTCGGTCTTATACTGATGTGTTGTTTTTGCAATTTTTACCCTAGGAAGGCAGTATAATTTTCCTGTTTTTCAATGATTTTGCATAGTTTGAAAGTATTTGAAAAATATTTTCAATTATTTTGCATATTTCAAGGTAGTTTCCATTAATGATGGTACATACATCCTATAGGTCTAATCATTTGATTAAATTATAGCCTCCTAATTGGTAAAATCATTGTCTTATTTAGCTTTGCACTTCCAAAGGTAGCACACATTCTACAAAGTAGATGATGTGCCATTAGTGTTTTTAAATCAAAGTTAAAATTGGAAAAAATAATTAACATTAAAGTGAGCAAAAAATATAATCAGTTGATGAATTCTTTGACAAGGCTAAAAGATAATTGATATTATACAAGTTATTGAGAAATATATTTTTAAAATTTATTTATTTTTGTTGAAGGACCACTTAGATAAAATGATCATTCTTCAATAGTACTGTCAGAATGACTGTGTACAAACTAATATTTTAGTCCCCACAAGCAAAAATTAAATTTTGCAAGGTAAAAAAGACTTGGGGTTAATAAATAAATTTAATACTAATTAATCTAAAAACTATCATATTGAATTTTTCTCATCTCTTCTAGAAGGCATTCAGCCAGACTCCTTCATGGGAAAGGGAATGGGCAGCAGTCATTTCAGGTGGCAAATGGCTAGCACCTAATAACTATTTTGGGAATTACTTTAGACAAGAAAAATACAGTAACTATACAACTAGGTTAAAACTAAACCCCTTGAAAGGGGTCAAAATAACTAGATAAGCATTACACAAAGTCTCCTGAAATGATAATTTAATGCTATAATTTCCAACTGATTCTCTATGCTTTACTCTGGTATAATCTCACACAGAGTTCTTCCAAGAATCTACTGAAAACAACGTTTTGATAGTATTTCATTAATTAATTCATAAGCGCCTTCCCCTTCCCCCGAAAAGAACAAAGTCATTCATTTGAATCCTTACTTCAGTAGTTTTCAATAGAGGAAGCTACATGGAGGATACATGGGAATTTTCTGTGCTACTATACAACTTCTTGCAAGTCTAAAATTATTTTCAAATAAAAGTTAAAAAAATGGAATTAATCCTAAATTGCTACAAAGTTATCAAGAGCTCAAATTTTAATTTACCTAACATGAAAGGGAAACAACTGTTACATAAGTAAATAAATAAATACCTGTTTGGAGTTGTAATGTATTCTGCATATTTTTCTTCTTCTAGGTTAGCAAAATGCATGTTTTCAATAGGTTCTTTTGTTTTGTTAAAGTGTAGAAGAGCTTGCCGTGTGTGTGTGTGTGTGTGTGTGTGTGTGTGTGTGTGTGTAGATTATGATGATGATGATGTTTTAATTACAATTACCCAAATATAATCTTACGTTTTAATTGTCACATACTAAAAGTCAAGTTCTTATTTTTTCCATTAATGTCCTCCTTTTTAAAAAACAAAATTTGCTTATGAATGTATAATAAATTTTCATTATATGTACATTTTAAAACAAAATTATTTGTGATGAAACTCAAATCTTTCCACAACTTATCCAAAGATTTTAAAAATGCATTTCTATAGCAACATTATAAATGGTAACTAATGAGAGGCATCAAATTTGTTTAATATATTAAAATTGCTATTTTATAAATATTCATGTACAGACCAAGAACTGGGTAATATGACTACCTTAATCGAATATTCTGCACTAAAACACTGTAATAACTGTTTAAACAACAGTTTAGTAATAATTTGATTCGTCATAGTATTTCTTTCTCTGGACGGAAAGTAGTCCCCAAGTCTTATTTTATTTTTCATAGTCACAGATGAAATACACAGCTGCTGAAAAGCAAATGTCAGTGACATTCACTAACTGAGATATTTCATGCACAAAAGAGGCTTATGAAATTCCCTCAGTATAATTTTACCAACAGTTGGTGATCCAATCCTCAGGAAAAGTGAATACTTTAGTGAGCATTGATGGCTTTCAATCACCATATTTCGTTCCTCTAAAACTTTCACTAGGTCATTTACCTTGAGAAAGATATTTTTGTCGTATTGTTTTATTTTGACAGTCACCTGGGTTTCCTTGAATCTGATAAACTGTGAGAAAGACTCTCTCCACTCTTAAATCGCTCCGTGTGTGATGTAATATAGTTACTTTTGTTCAGAAATTCCTAAATTGCTAATATATATGTATGAGTGTGTGTGTGTGTGTGTGTAAAACAAGCGCAGATCACCTGAAATACATTTAACTAAATTGATGTAAACATCAATAATATAATTTTGTTCACTTTAAAATCATTATTTATTGGAAAAATTTAGTATATAATTGTTTTTAATTCAATATACCTCTTAACCTGAACGTTATTGTTGGTCACCTCTAGACTGCACCTACAAGAAATGCTCAAATTAGTTCTAAACATGAGAACAAACATATGAAACTTACCACCAGGAAACATTAGTGCAAAGCTCGCAGATCCTATAATTACACAATTGAAACCCCAAGGCAACTAGCTAACAACACTATGACACTAGCAAAACCTCACATATCAATATTTAATCTTTATTGTAAATGACCTAAATGCCCCACTTATACTTACACATGCATGTTTATAGCAACACCATTTGCAATTTCAAAAATATGGAACCATCCCAAATGCTCACCAATCAACGAGTGGATAAATAAAACTTTTTATATAAATATATACACACACACACACCATGGAATACTACTCAGCCATAAAAAGGAACAAAATAATGGCATTCAAAGCAACGTGGATGGAATTGGAGATGAGTATTCTAAGTGAAGTAACTCAGGATTGGAAAACCAAACATTCCATGTTCTCACTCACAAGTGGGAGCAAAGCTTATGCCTTTATGAGGACACAAAGGCATAAGAATTATACAGTGGACTTTGGGAACTCAGGGGAAAGGGTTGAAGGGGGGATGAGGGATAAAAGACTACACATTGAGTGGAGTGTACACTGCTTGGGTGATAGGTACATCAAAACCTCAGAAATAACCGCTAAATAAATTCAAGTAACCAAACACCACTTGTTCCCCAAAAACCTATTGAAATAATAATTTTATAAAGATACAGAGTGGCAAATTGGATGAAAACTCAAGGCTGAAACTATCTGCTGCCAACAAGAGACCTACCTACTGGCCAAAAACAGCTGCAGAATGAAAGTAAAGGAGTGGGAAAAGATACATCATGCAAATTACAAAAAAAAAAAAAATGAGTAGGAGTAGATATCCTCATAGCAGATGAAACTGACGTCAAAAGAAAAACAGTGAAAAAAAAGGCAAAGGACATTATATAAGAATATGGTTCAATAAAACATATATAACTATCTTAAATACATAGGCATCCAAAACTCGAGCACTCAGTTTTATAAAACAAATTCTATTTTATTTTATTTTTGTTTGTTTGTTTGTTTTTGTTGAGATGGAGTCTCTCTCTGTCACCCAGGCTGGGGTGCAATAGCATGATCTCAGCTCACTGCAACCTCCGCCTCCCAGGGTCCAGCAATTCTCCTGCCTCAGCCTCCTAAGTAGCTGGGATTACAGGTGCACACCCTGTAAAACAAATTCTACTAGATCTATGAAAATATTTATACTGATACAATAATAGTGAGAGACTTCAACACCTCCACTGACATCACTAGACAGATCATCAAGGCAGAAAATCAATATAGAAACTTTGGACTTAAACTGAACTGTAGACCAAATGGATCTAATAGAATATACATTAATAGACCATTTAATCCAACAACTACAGATTATACATTCTTCCCTTTTCTGAATGGAACATTCTTCATATGTTTGGCCATAAAGCAAGTCTCAATAAATTAAAAAAAAAATTAAAATTATACCAACTATCCTCTTGAACCACAGTGAAATAAAATTAGAAATTAATACCAATAGGAAAGAAAAAAACTACCCAAATACATGGAAACTAAAAAAATTATTCAATAATGACCTTGTGCAAGCAATGAAATTAAGGTGGAAATAAAAACAATTTACAAGACAAATGAAAACAGAGACACAATATATACAACCCTCTGGATTACAGCAAAAGCAAGTTCTAAGAGAAAAAAATTATAGAATTAAATGCCTATATTAAAAAAGATAGGAATATCTTAAGTGAACAACCTAATGTCATATCTGAAGGAACTAGAATATCAAGAATAATCCAAACCCTAAGCTAGCCGAAGAAAATAACAAAGAGGGGAGGAGAACTAAATGAGAGTGAGATGACAAAATGCATGCGAAGCATCGATGAAACAAAAAGTTGGTTCCTAGAAAGGATAAACAAAATTGACAGACTTCTAGTTAGATTAAATAAGAAAAAAAGAGAGAAGATTCAAATACATATTATCAGAAATGACAAAGGTGACATTACAATGGATACCACAGAAATACAAAAGATCATCAGCATCTACTATGAACCTCTATGCACACAAGCTAAAATTCTAGAGGAAATTAATAAATTCCTGAAAACATACACCTTCCTAAAACTGAACCAGGAAGAAATAGGAATCTCAAACAGACCAATAAAGAGTAATGAAATTGAATCAGTAGCCAAAAAGAAAAAGGACATCTAGGACCAGTGATATTCACAGCTCAATTTTACTGGACATACAAGAAAGAGCCGGTACCAATCTTACTGAAATAATTTTTAAAAATCAAGGAGGAGGGATCCTTCTTTAGTTTAGACTACAAAACCATTATCATAGAATGGTATCATGCTAATATCAAAGTCAAGCAATGAAAAAACAATAAAAGAAAACTACAGGTCAATATTTTTGATGAACATAGATGAAAAATCCTCAACAAAATACTGGCAAAATGAATCCAATAGCATATCACAATGATATTACATCATGATCGAGTGACATTTATTCCAGGAATGCAAGGATATTTCAACATACACAAATCAATAAATATGATTCAGCACATAAACAGAACTAAAACTGAACACCATATGGTCATCTCAGTAGATGTAGAAAAGGCATTCAATAAAATCCAACATTGCATTGTGATAAAAATCCTCAACAAATAGGCAGGAACATACTTTAAAATAATAAAAGACATATATGAAAAAGTCACAACCCACATCGTGAAGAGTGGGGGAAAGTTGAAAACACTCTCAGCACTCCTATTCAACATAGTACAGTAAGTCTGAGCCAGAGCAATCAGGCAAGGGAAAGAAATACAAGACATCCAAATTGGAAGAGGGAGTCAAATTATCTGTATACTAATGATATAATCATATACCTATAAAACCCCAAAAACTCCTCCAATAGACACCTAGACTTGATAAACAACTTCAGTAAAGCTTTAGGGTACAAAATCAACATACAAAATCAGTAGCACTTCTATACATCAGTATCATTCAAGACAAGAGCTAATATTCAAGACCTCAATCCCATTTACAGTGGCTACCAAAAATTAAAATACCTAGAAATACATTTAGCCAAAGAGGTGAAATATCTCTGCAAGTAGAACCACAAAACACTGATGAAAGGAATCATAGATGACACAAACAGAAAAGCATCCCATATTCATAGAGTGGAAGAATTAACATCATTGAAATGACCATATTGCTTAAAGCAATCTACAGATTCAACACAACCCCTATCAAATTCACAGTCATTTTTAAACATGCATTTATTTATTGTTTGTTTTTTGAGATAGGGTCTGGCTCTGTCACCCATGCTGGAGTGCACTGGTGCCATCACTGCTCACTGAGATCTAGATCTCCTGGGCTCAAGCGATTGTCCCACATTAGCCTCGTCAGTAGCTAGGACTATAAGCATGTGCCACCATGCCTGGCTAATTTTTAAAATTTTTACTAGAAACAAGGCCTTGCTTTATTGCCCAGTCTGGTCTAGAACTCCTGGGCTTAAGAAATCTTCCCACCTTAACCTCCCAAAATGCTAGGAATATAGGTGTGAGTCACCACACTCAAGCCTATTTTTTACAGATTAAGAAAAAACAATCGTAAAGTTCACATGGAACCAAAAAATAATCTGAAGAGGCAAAGCAATTCTAACCAAAAAGAACAAACCTGGAAACATCACATTGCCTGACTTCAAATTATACCAGAAGCCTAAAGTAATGAAAACAGCACGGTATTGAAGTGGCTACGTTGTCTTGGGTAAATACCCAGGGTTTGTTTTCTCGTGTCGAGAAAATTTAGGACGAGGAGTTTAGGAATGGAGGTTTAATAGGCAAAAGAAAGAGAAAGAAAGAGAAGGGAAAACAGCTTTCTTTGTCTAGTGAGAAAGAGCGGACTTCCTAGAGGAAAAGGCCAGCTGTCAGTGGATGTGCTGGATTTTGTAGTCCTGCTTGAGGAGGTGGTGTCTGATTTACATAAGGCTCACAGATTGTTTCAATCAAGTATGACGTTTACATGGTGCACAGGGAAGGCTGGTTGTCCTACCCTAATCATATTATGCAAATAAACTTCCTCCTTGGAGGGTGCAATCTTGTCTGCTCCTTACCGGACATGTGGCTGACAAAGAGAAAGGAAGATGGAGCCGCCATGTTGAACATGATTGGCACAACTGCTGGCGTCTGTGTCTGCAGCTCAATTTTACAGGCTGTTCTTTGTTAGAAAATGATTTACAGCTGTTTTTCATTAAAAGGAAACCCTTACAGAGGACTTCCGTACCCTCATTATCTGCCTAAGTAATTTCTTCTTAACTCCTGTATCATTGTTTGTACAAAAACAGAAACACAGAGCAATGGAATAGAGAACCCAGAAATGAAGCCAAATACCTAAAACCAACTGATTTGTGACAAAGTTGATAAAAATAAACATTGGAGCAAAAACATCCTATTCAATAAATGGTACTGGGATAACTAGCTTGCCATATGCATAAGACTGAAACTAGACCTTTATCTGTGATCATACACAAAAATTAACTCAAGATGGGTTAAAAACTTAAATATAATATTTAAAACTATAAAAATCCAGAAATAATAAAACAAGAAAAACTCTTCATTGTGTTGGCCTAGGCAAATAATTTATGATAAAGACCTCGAAAGCAAATGCAACAAAAACAAAAATAGACAAATGGGACCTAATTAAACTACAGAGTTTCTGTAAAGCAAAAGAAATAATCAAGAGTAAACATACAACCTACAGAATGGGAGGAAATATTTGCAAATTATGCCCACAACAAAGGACTAATATCCAGAATCTACAAGGAACTCAACTCAATAAGAAAAAAAAAAAATCTACCAAGTGAAAAACTGGGCAAAAGACAGACATTTCTCAAAAGAAGAAATAGAAGTAAACAACAAACACATGAAAAAATGTTCAACATCACTAATCATCATAGAAATGCAAATTAAAACCACACTGAGATGTAATTTTATACCAGTCAGAATGATTCTTATTAAAAAGTGAAAAAAACAACAGATGTTGGCATGCATGTGACGAAAAAGGAATGCTTATACACTGATGTTGAGAATGTAAATTAGTTCAACCTCCATGGCAAACAGTATGGAGATTTCTCAAAAAAACTAAAAATGGAACTAACATTTGGCTCAGTATCCCACTACTGGGTATTTCCCCAAAGTATTACAAATCATTATTAAAAAAAGACACCTGCATGTGTGTGGTTATCACTGCACTAATTCACAATAGCAAAGACATGGAAACAACCCAGTTCCCCACCAATGGTAGACTAGATAAAGAAAATGTGGTATATATATATATATATATATATATATATATATATATATACCATGGAATATTATGCAGCCATAAAAAAGAATGAAATCCTGTCTTTTACAGCAACATGAGTGGAGCTGGAAGCCATTGTCCTAAGTGAACTAACTTAGAAACAGAAAATCAAATATCACATGTCACTTACAAGTGGGAGCTAAACAATGGGTACACATGGACATAAAGAGAAAAATAATAGACACTCTAGGACTGCAAAATGGGGGAGCATGGGAAGGGGCAAGTATTCAAGTATTGAAATAATACCTATAGAGTACAATGTTCACTATTTGGGTAATGGGAACACTAGAAACCCAATCCCCACCATTGCACGTGAAATGAAACAAGCCTACCCATGTACTCTCTGAATCTAAAATAAAATAATTTAAAAAAATTCCAAATTCAAGCATTCTCCTGTGGAATTTGTAATTTCTGTCATTCTTATTTTCATCTTTATTTCTTCAAAAGATGTTCAACATATTTTCCTTTTATATTAATTTAATTTCCCCAACTCTGTGACTTAGATTCATTTCTCGTTGCTTTGTTCCACTAATAACACATTTCCTGATTTGCATCATACTATGGAAATATTCTAAATTTATATGCTTTCAGTTGTTTCTATTGGATTTGGTAAAAGAAAATAAGGAAACGTATTCATTTACTAATCATGTGCTAGATTTCTGTTCTTCATTTGAAAGACATTTTAATGGAAAAGAAAGTATTATAATTATACATAAAATTATGTATGTTTAACTATGATTATGCAAGTTAGTCTGACAGGTGCCAAAGAAATTATGTCATCTTTAAAGGTACCAAGAATTAGGAGCATAATTGTTAAAATTAATTTCATATCTGTTATTAGCAGCAGCATGACACTAAAGCAAAAGAGCGATATCTAAAGGGTCACTAGGGTGAATAATTTTGTGTCAGAGTAATGCTCTCATACCGTATTGTAGAAATTACCCCATGTCTTGTTTTTCCAGTTCCACTGAAGCAAACCCATGAGTTAAATATGAAAAGTAATATTCTCACTCACTGATAGTCTTTATGTACTTGATTTTTGTCCTGCTTGTATTTGTGTTCTTGTTTGTTGGTTTTTTGTTAAATTGACCTAAAAGGAAGTTAAAAAGAATTTTCTTAGTGTTTGTGATTTAGTATTCAAATATGGTATTAATTGGCCATTATGTTACCAAGCTGAAGACAAGGCTCCTAGAGAACTCTGCTTTCCAGTAATCAAGGGATGAACATATACTGGCAGAAGTAGCATCTCACACAGTGAAGGCTATTTTTACGGACACTAGGTGCCAAGATCTTTCCTGAAACATGATCAGACCTGATATTTTAAAAACTTCTGTAACCATCCTCATGGAGTCACATTTTAAATGGAGGAGAGAATTCATTTCTCTGCTGTGAATTCAGTTGTTGAAGACCATGAACCACAACGTGAGCTGTCTTTTTCAGACACTCATAAGGCCTATAGAACTAATGTACAATGCTAATGAGACTGAAAATTTATTTCAAAGTACACTATGTTGTTCTTCTTGCTCTCCTTGTTTAGTTCAGTCTTTAATTGGATTTCATTTAATCTAGGAGAAAATAAGTGGAGGATCATTCTGATATATGAAGCATATTTGCCACAATAGGACATTCTATGAATCTTTCATTTCAGAAATTATGCTTACTGAGAACAAAACAACAAATCAATGCCCACTTTCTCACTGTTCCTGGACACAGCCGTTACATTGCTGTATTCAGTTGCTTTCTCAACTCATTTGACATGATTTATCAGTAGTTTTTGAGATAGTTGAAGTTTTCT
Organism: Homo sapiens; assembly: GCF_000001405.40. Classification (NCBI taxonomy): domain Eukaryota; kingdom Metazoa; phylum Chordata; class Mammalia; order Primates; family Hominidae; genus Homo; species Homo sapiens. Next base: position 194,955,433 of record NC_000001.11, read on the forward strand.
TCACCCTTAACATATTTTTCCCATTTGACTTGTTGGAGAAAACTTTCTTTTCCCTTACTGGTTGCTCCCTCTCTCCTTTCCTTATTCTGGTCTTCCCCTAAACTTCTAAACTTGGAGGCCCCAGAGCTCTCAATCCTTGGGTCTCTTCTATCTATGGTCATCTAGCCTTGTGGTTGAAAATAGCATGTAGATACTCAGCACTCACAAATTTGTATCTCCAACACCAGCCTCTTTCCTGTAATTAATAGTGTATATCCAAATTTCTATCGTATATTTCTTCTTGTATATTTTAAAGCATCACAAACTCAACTGATCTGATTTTTTCTGAAACTTACTATTTCCACATTACTCCTCATTACCTGGACTCCATTTCTTAATTTGTTCAGGCCAAACATTTTGAATCCATCCTTGACTAATCATTGCCCACTTCCTCATTGTTCTTGGACATAGTCATTACATCACTGATTAGGATTCTTTGAATTCAAGATGGTTTTCCCTCAATTCCTAACCAGTTGGGTGAAATAAGACTAAACACATGGGTCACTTGTATTGCCTTGAAGTTGCTGCTCAAATGTCACCTTTTAAACAATAGCTACCTAAACCATCCAAATTTCCATTTCTATCTCAAGTACTTGTTACCTACTAAAAATATCAATACTTTATTTGTTTTAATTTTCCCACTACTTTTACTTTCTAAGCTCGTATTATATAATTTTTAAGATTTATTTATTTCCCCATTAAAATTAGTTCTTCTGATAAGAAAAAAAATTCGTTGATTTATTCCAATGTCTAGAATAGTGACTGTAACATATTTGTTAAGTGATTTATGAAGGAGTAAATAAACTACACTTAACTATTCAGTGCCTACTATTATTTTTATTCTTCATAAATTTGCTCACCTGAAATAATCTGCTTAATCTCTTATTTCTTACTAAATTTTAGCCAAATTCAAAAATAAATATATATGGCAAGTGTATTTTTTGTTTTATCTTTTACTGTTAACATACTCCAGACCTTAAGTGACATTTTTTTAATTACTTAAGTGATAATGAATTTTTAAATTGATGAATTCTGACATAGAATTTTACAACTTCAATAGCCCTGTGAAATTATCATAGTGGGGTTAGGGTAGTAACAATACTGTAGAAATCTCTCTAATCCTTTTGTCCGGTCATTACTTCCTCAAAGTAAACCTCTATTTTGACCTATGACATCATAAATTAGTTTTCTTCTTTTAGAAATTTATATACATAAATTTTATATACTTTTTAAAATATATTGCTTCGTCCTATCTATTAAGATCATGTTAGTGATAATCATTAATATTACTGCATATAATTATTGTTCTTTTGATTGACCCAGGGTAATTGATTATAAATTTTGTACATTTTGTTCAAAATAATTCAAGCTTTATAGTGTATTTTGAAGTCAAGTAGGATGATGTCGCCAGCGTTGTTCTTTTTATTCAGGATCATTTGGCTATTCATGCTCTTTTTGTGGTTCTATATAAATTTTAAGGTTTTTTTCTATTTCTGTGAAGAATGTCATTCGTATTTTGATAGAAATTGCATTCAATCTGTACATTGTTTTGGGTAGTATGGACATTTAAATAATATTGATTCTTCCAATTCATTAATATGAAATATATTTCCATTTTTTTGTGTGTGTCCTGTTCAATTTCTTTTTTCTTCTTATAGTTTTCATTGTGGAGCTATTTCACTTCTTTGTTTAATTTTAGTCCCAGTTACTTTATATTCCTTGTAACTATCATAATTGGGATAGTTTTCTTGTTGTTGTTGTTTTTCTTCCCCAATTGTTCGCTGTTGGCAAATAGAAATGTTACTTATTTCTGTATGTTGATTTTGTGTCATTTTAAAGATTTCAACTTTACTGAATTAATCAGTTCTAATAGGTTTTTTGGTAGAGTCCATTTTAAAATATATTTTATATATAATATATTGCAAATAACATACATATTGGGCAATATGTAATGTAAAATATGACACAATATACAATATAGTGTATAATATATTCTATATCATGTATAATATATTATGTGCAATATTATATGCACTATATTTAAATATTTTGTAGTTCTTATGTTTTAGAACCCTTATTTTGCTAATTATATACAGATTTATCATGTAAATCATATTATAAGTAAATCATTTTATTGCTTCTTGCACTTTGGCTAAGCTCAAGTGCAGTATATGTAAACCAATTATGTAGATATTTTATTTAAATCATGATATACAGTATACATATATTATGTATTATAATTATTAAGGGTTAATTGTTATATATTATATACTATAACATATTAAATGCTTCTACTATTTCAATAAAATTCATATGCATTTTCCTGCTTTTTAAATTTTTTTCTTCTTTTTATTAAATCTAGTTATTTTACTGAACTAACATCTAATGTACTCATCCTTTTTTCTACTGTGTCTAATTTGCTGTCAAAATTCATTTTTTAAATTATTTACTGAGTTTATTTTTAACATGTTTCAAATATTTTATATTGTGATGTAATTTTTTTCTTAGTTCTTAGTATAAAAATGTTGTTAAAAAACCCAAATGTGCTTGTTTATATTGTTCATTTAAAAATTTTTCATATTGTTTCTGTCAACTTTTTGAGACTTTATACATACTTAGGACATGCTATTGTGTACATCAATTAACTATTAATATATCTTCTTTCTGAACTGACCCATTAAAAAAAGCTTTATCTCTAATAATGCATCTTGCCCTAACATTTACTCTTCCATATTAATAAACACACACCTTTTTTATTTAGCGTTTTTGTCTTAGTCTTACGTGTTTGAATGTGTTTTTATATATATAAAATCACGTTTTTACTTTCTGCTTTTCAATATCTTCTATTTAAAGAATGTTTCTTGTAAGGGGCCTACTTTGAGTTTAATCTGCTATTACTGTCATTTTTACCTTTTTATGATCTTTTTTTTTTTTTTTTTTTGAGATGGAGTCTCGCTCAGTTGCCCAGGCTGGAGTGCAGTGGCGCGATCTCAGCTCACTGCGAGCTCCGTCTCCCGGGTTCACCCCATTCTCCTGCCTCAGGCTCCCGAGTAGCTGGGACTACAGGCACCCGCCACCACGCCTGGCTAATTTTTTGTGTTTTTAGTAGAGACGGGGTTTCACTGTGTTAGCCAGGAAAAAAAAAAAAAAGCCATTTTTATGGAGTTCATTTACACTGAACATAATCATTTCTATATTTTCCTCTTTTTTATGTCTTTTCTGTTTTGTTTGTATTTGTCTTAATTTTTACCTCCTTTAAGATCAATTATTTTTGTTGAGATGTTTTCCTTTAACTTATTAGTGGTTATTTATATTTCTCAGGGCTTGCTTAGTGATTAAATTGGATGTCCTACTTGCAGTCAACTTTAAATATGTACTTTCATCACTAACAAGAAAATGCAAGGACCTTACACAACTTTCACTTAACCACATTCCACATTCTTTCCATTGTTTTTATAAATTTCAGTTTTGCATATATTTTAGTCTCCAGATCTCCAAAAGCTATTGTTTTATTTAGTGATGCTTTACATTTCTTCTTATATATTGGTTTAATTACTTTAAAATTATTTACCTCAGTTTGTTTTATTATTTCTTTTAGTTCAGAATTGGTGTCAGAAAAATGTCTTTATATTTGTCAGAATTAAAAAGAAAAATATTTTCAGTAGCTACAGAATTCTAGAATTTTATTTCATCACTAAAAGTTATCATTTCTTTGCTTTCATGCTTACAAGGTTTCTTTTGAGAATTCAGTAGTTACTTTTAACTGCTCCTGTGAAAGGAAAGTGTATTTTTTTTTCTGATTACAGTTGTTAATATTTTTGTTTGTCTAATTTTCAGCAGATTGCCAGGATGTGCTCAATTTTGTTTTAATTTTTCATGATTGGATTTTATAGAAACTTTAGAATCTGTAAATTAATACTTTTCAAAAGATTTAGAAAATTATCTACTAAAGTTACTCTTCTCCTGTAACTTAAATTATATATGTATTATGTTTTTCACTATGTTCCATAAATTTCCTCTTCTGTTTTAATCTGGGTATTTTCTACTGAGATAACTAAATTCCATTTTACTAATCCTCTCTTCTGCTGTTTCTACTCTACTATTTATCATTTATATAATACTTAATGTATGCATATATTAACTGATATATACATATATAAATACTTTAGCATAGTTATGTTGTTTTTCAGTTCTAGATGTTCTTGCTTAGTAGATGCAAGTTTTCTTGTAAAATTCTTCTTTTTTATCCACTATCCTTAAGATATTAATCATAGCTATTATAGTGATTATGCTTAATATCACCCTTACCAGTATCAGTTATGAGTTGGCTGTGTTACCTGGTTTTTTATTTTGATTTTTATGCTATTTGGTACTCTTTCCTAGTACTCCAGGTAATTTTTAATGATCTGCCAGTCATTACACATGATAGATGGTACAGTCTTTGGATATCCTGCAGAAAGTATTTAATGTTTATTTAGCTAACCCACATGCTGTAAGATACAGCTTTCTCTCAGTCCTCCATGCCTCTGCCACACCACAGCTAATGTTGTAACCAGAAAACACGTGTCTCAGTATCAGTTTTATTTCATTGAACTTGCCTTTTAGCTGGGATCTTGACACACTATATCATAGCTTATTTGGTTTATGTCCAATGTTTTAAATGGTTCATTTTGTGTTTTATGCATTTTGCACAGTTGTATTTAATGCATAGAGAAGCTTAATATCCACTATCCAGCCGTATTTTTATATACAGAAGTTGAAATCACACTCAATTTAAATGTTTTTTGATGTCATTTGAATTTTATCTTAATCATTTCTGTATTTTAAAGACATCTACTTGTCAAAGAGTTATCATACATTTATTAGCCTTAATTTATTTTATATTCTTAAACACACAGAACACTTTTTAGAAACATGTATCTTTTTATCTTATATGTCATGTTCAGCAGTACACTACTTAACCATGTTAAAACCATGGGATTTTGAGTCAGCTTAAAGCAATGTATTAATCTGACCATACCCTGCAGGTTATAAAATGACTATCTAATGCAGATTATATCTACTTCCCAGGTTTCTTGGAAGATGTATGATATACTGTGCATAAATCTCAGCACTTTTCTTCAGACATAATGTCTTGATAAATAGTAATTAGCATTATCACCACTTCTATGATGACAATTATCATTATCACAATACTTATCATTATTGCAAAGAACTTTAACTCTGATGAAGTTTTTACTCTTTGCAAATACCCTGTGTAAACCTCAATTGAATCATTTTTAAAATACAAATAATGATACAGTAGTAGACCCTTTTTATCTGTGGAGGATACATTCCAAGACCTCCTGTAGATGCCTGAAACTGCTGTTTTTTCCTATACACACACATCTTTAATAAATTTTAATTTATAAATTAGGCATAGTAAGAGATTAACAATAATAATTAGCAATAACAACTAATAATAAAATAGAACAAATATAACAATATAATAAAATTTATTTGAATGTGATGCCTCTGCCTCTCAACCTTTCTTTTCCCTTTCAAAATATCTTACTGTACTTTTCAGTCTTTGATTGACCACAAATAACTGAAACTATGAGAATAAAACTGTGTGTAAGAGGAGACTACTGGACTTCTACAGTGAACATTTAGTACTTATCAGTGACCATCATTTTCTACTGTTTATTCTGGTTATTTAACTTGTTTCTTTGAGCAGTTGATGCACTTTGATCCCAAATATATAGCACCTCAACCAGAAACAGGACCACTATAACCATTTACTTACATTTTTAAATCATAAATTTATTACAAATGTGTATTAAAATTTACTTCATTTTATTAAATATGTGTCATATCAAGTATGTTCATCAAAAATCAAATTTTTTGCTATTTGTTTAAATTTGAAGAGTAAATCTAATATATCACAAACACCTTAGTACTGCACATCAAAATACAGTGGCATTTGTGCTACTAATTGATGAAATATTGGATATTTAATTCAAACCTGATAAACACATGTAAGCCTGGATCCTTATCTGAAGTGCACGAGAATTCTCAGGTTTTATTATTGTGTTGACAGCCACCTCCCTTCCCTGACATTTTCCTATTTCAAGAGAAGAGGCAGAATGTAATTTCTTAGAACCAGTTAAAATTGAAAGGGCAAAGTTCTACAAAATAAAATTTAGGAAATAAATCTATCCCAATAAAGTATTAATACAGAGATTTATTTGAAGTAAAATATTTTGTAGGAGCAGATATAAAATTGCTTTGACCTTTCACGCACAATACAGAGCAAGCATTTGCATTTTCATCAATAAAATGCTTATCCATATACGACAGAATTGTCTGGAAATAGGAAGAAATCTCAATTGAAGTTTTAAGATCTGAATTCTAAATTCTAATTATAAATTAATGTTAAAGTCATTATGCATTAACTATATATTATATGTATTACTATTCTTTATCTAAAATAGGAGACATTTCTGATACCGATTTAATAAAAAGAAGCAAAATTATATCCCTTCTATTCAATTGTTGAATTTACAATTATAGAGGAAATATTAGTATGGTATTTCATATTTAATTAACAATTAGCAATTAGTGATCAAAAGAAAATTTGTTTTCTATTTAATATAATAAATGAGTAGCTACAGAGAGAAAACCAAAAATATAAACCACAATACTTTTGGCAGGACCTCTGAATTCAGTAACTGTGTAGATCACATTTAAAGAAAAAAATTAACGCACAAAAAATTAGATTAACAAAAGGAATACACATTTTTTTCTTTTTATTCTTTACTTTGTGAAATAAAAATTACTGTAAAAACAAAATACAAAATAGAAAAAGTGTTAAATAATTGGGTAAGTGGGTTTGATACAGCTTAATAAGTTATGCATAGGGACTTTGGACCTGTATTGATTTTTTGGAATAAAACAACAACTCTATTTAAGCATTTATGATCTTATCATATCAATATTACATTTCAATATCAATTTTCATATCAATATTACATTTTCATATCAATATTACATTTAAGGGTATGCATTTTCAACAAAGCTTCATTTATCTGGTTGATTTTTGTTTGGTTTATAAATAATACTACTGTTTTCCTTAATGTACTGAATTTTCTTTGGAAATATATATTTTCCTTGAATACCCTTGCCACATTGATAAATAACAAATAAAAACTAAAAATCAGCATAAGTCAACTTTGAAATGGTTTGCTATTTTTTTGAAATCCATAATTACTGACAGCAGACTTTGCTGCCTCTCTATAAATTTGTGTGTGTGCATGTGTGTGTGCGTGTAGATGTACATCTGTATGTGTACTTTTAAATGGTGTTTGGTGTTCATGGACCTGTATAGTTGTAGCTGTATAGAAGTAGGATGCTATACCTTAGGTTTACCACTTGAAAACAATCTTAATAATATTAGGGGTCAACTAAGGATTGACCTTTGTATTTTTGACATTTTGAAATCATTGTAAATGAGCAAGGTGGAAATATCAACATTTGAATTAAAACATTTACTGCAACATAGAACCACTGAAACTTACCCACGAGCCCTAAAGCCTTTTGTCAATTACAGAAAGCCTAATAATTTGCATTTTAGTTTATAAATCTCATTTTTTAAAGAAGATTAAAATTTACTTAGTAACTTTCTTCGAAAATAAATCAACAAATAAACAAAAAGTCAGTATCCTCTTACCATTTGTTTCACATATTTGATGTTGTTACTACAGGAAATACATAGTTAATACAGTAGGCTCTCCATATATGTGTGTTCTGCATCCATGGATTCCACAATTGGATCAAAAATACTTAGGAAAAAATTTGAGTCTCTACTGAACATGTACAGATATTATTTCGTTGTCATTATTCCTAAAACAATACAGTATAATGACTACTTTCATAACTTTTATGCTGTATTTTTTTTTTTTTTTTGAGACGGAGTCTCGCTTTGTCGCTCAGGCTGGAGTGCAACGGCGCCATCTCAGCTAACTGCAACCTCCGCCTCCCAGGCTCAAGTCATTCTCCTGCCTCAGCCTCCTGAGTAGCTGGGATCACAGGTGTGTGCCACCACGCCTGGCTAATTTCTGTGTTTTTAGTAGAGACGGGGTTTTACCATGTTGGTCAGGCTGGTCTCGAACCCCTGACCTCCTGATCCGCCCTCCTCAGCCTCCCAAAGTGCTGGGATTACAGGTGTGAGCCACCACGCCTGGCTGCTGTATTAAGTATTACATGTAATCTAAAGATGACTTAAGGTAGATGGGAGGATATGCATAGGTTATATACAAATACTACACCATTTTATATAAGAGATTGAGCATGCATGAACTTTGGTATCTGCAGGGAATCTTGGAACCAATCAATGCCTCATGGATACCGAGGGACAACTGCGTTTGCTTATTTGATTTTTGCTTTTTATCTGAAACCTCTTCTATTTTAAGTATAACTACTTTAATTAAATATTAAAAAGAATAAATTAATAAAATGAAGAGACAACCCACAAACTGGGAGAAAATATTTGAAAATCACACATTTGTTACTTACACAAAATATGTAAGTAAGTCAACTCTACAGAAAGAAAACAACCAGATTGAAAAATCAGCAAAGGACTTGAAAAGACATTTCTCAAAAGAAGACATACAAATGACCAACAGATACGTGAAAACTACTCAACATCACTAATCATCAGGGAAATGCAAGCTAAAACCACAATGAGATATCATCTCAGACTTGTAAGAAGGGCTATCATCAAAAAGATGAAAGATAACAGTTGGAGAAGATGTGAAGAAAAGAGGAGACTTGCATATTATTGGTAGAAATGTAAATTAGTATAGACATTATGAAAGACAATATAGAGGTTCCTTAAAAAAGGAAAAAAAATAGAACTACCATGTGATCCAGCAATCCCACTACTGAGTATATATACAAAAGGTAAAAAATCAGCAGGTGAAAGAGACATTTGCACTTCCATGTTCATTGCAGCATTATTTATAATATTTAAGATTTGGAAACTACCTAAGTGCCCATAGATGGATGAATAGAATAAAAATGTGGAGTATATGTCCATACAACAGAAAAGTATTCAGCCTTGTAAAAGAATAAATTCTGTCATTACCAAAACATGGATGAACCCAGAAGGCAGTATGCTAAGTGAAAAGAGCCAGACACAGAAAGACAAATACTGTAAGATCTTACTTTTATGTGGAATCTAAGTAAATCAAACTCATAATTCTAGACAGTAGAATGGTAGTTACCAGAGGCACTGGGATGGGAGGGAAGGGGGAAAAGAAAATATTAATCAAAGAATACAAAGTTTCACCTAGATATGAAGCATAAACTGTAGTGATATGTTGCACAGAATAGTGTCAATAACTAATAATAATGTATTGTATTAAAATTGTTTAAAAATTAAATTTAAAATGTCTTCACCACAAAAGTTAATAAGTATGTGACGTAATGGATATGTTTGTTAGTTTGATTGACTCATTCCACAAAGTAAACACATATCAAAATATCACATTGTACCTCATAAATATATACAATTATTTGTCAATTAAAAGTAAAAGAAAATTTTCAAAAATAAAAACAATCATTCTTCCTCATTCAATGCATTCAATTTCATAGACTCAATACCCTGTATTTGAAAGTAAGGTATATTTGGACTATGATTAGAAGTCTGTACTATTTCTATCTTCTCTAATATTTTTACACAAACTTGCACCTTAAATTTGTATTATGGAAAGCATACCAGAGTAATCAAGAATTTTGAATATAATGTTTAGAGATGAGCTCCATTTCCATGGAAATTCATAGTTATGAGAAGAGGTGCTGAACTAAACCCTATGTAAGATAATCCAAGAAATTAACATTATGAGGAAAGATATATGGGAGTTAAAGAATGGTTCATTTCTATGATTATAACTGAATCCTGAGCAGCAAAATAACGGTTCTTCTCAGTAATTTGGCTCTATCTAAGGACTCTTCCAACACTTCATAATTCCTGTTCCACTGTTATATCATATATAGCTATATACTTTTAAGTTAAACTAAATTTACAACTATTAGATAACAAAAAAGAGGATACATGACATAATGATAAGAATAATTACAAGCCTAATATATAAATATGTTTTTCTGACTACTCTAAGGAAGCTGTTGTCTTCTGAGGTTTGGAGTTGAATGAAAGTTAATGTGAAGATCGCATATATTGTTTTCCTTTAAATCTCATAATGTATTAATTAGAGGAGGAAATGCTGTAGTTTGTTTTTGATGGTGTTTAGTTTTCTTTTTATTTTTGTTTGTTAATAGTTCAGTCTTTCTCCAATAACACTGAGTTAATTGTTCGTAAAAATAAGGAAATCTGTATTTCTTTCATTTCAAATTTCCTTCGAATTAAAAGCTACTTGACCTGTTAAATAAACATGCCTCATTCAAAGTGACTTTTTTTTTTTTAATTTTGACAAGCTATAATAAAAGCAAAGTGGAAGATCTAGGTCGAATGTTAATTCACATCACACATTTTTGGAAATGCAGACTATGGATGCAAAATGATAAATATTTTAATAAAGATCGAAAAGAAATTATTACTTAGATTAAAAAAAAAAGAACTTTTCTAGCTGAGGAGACTGCCCCTCCTGGGTCTAGCCAGTTCTTACACAGTAAAGGGGTCAGATGGAGCCTGCCTGTGATGTGCAATCTAGCCAATCCAGAGGTGTATCTCCTTTATGTGACCACTATACCCCAGAAGGCAATATTTCTTTGATTTACTCACCTTTAAATGATATTTTGCTATTTGTATAATGCCTCCACTAAATGTAACAAATCCACAAGTATAGGATGAGGCTTTAAGGCTAAGCAAATTTTAATTATATTAAGTTGATATTTAATATCTTTTTTTGGTATGTTTCGAATTCCCAATCATAAATGGTAGAAGGGAAGAGCTACTATTCCTTTTAAAATAACAATAAACTTTTACTACCACCAAATAGAGGCAAAATTACTATGGCCAATGTTCCTTCTGAAAATGAAAGGAAACTTTAGTCCCCCGACTCTTATTATTCTTCCACCATTATCAGTCTTGGAAACTAAATAGAGTAAGGCATCCATAAATTAACATGATGACAATACAAACTTACATATATTACTATATTTTATTTTTTTCTTCAAAGACGATATTAACGTTTTACTCCAAAATTGTCCTAAATATTAATATATTTTATAATCATGTTAATAAATGAAAAATAAAATATATATTGGTAATTTATAAAACCTTTTCACTGGTCTTTTATTTGTTTTACGTTTGCAATGGGAAAAAATACATATACATTTTTCTCTCGACAATATTCTGGCTAACTAGAACCTCCAGAAATGACTGAGAGATATGAATATTGTATAAAGATACTTTTAAACCTTGTATATACAGAGCTAAAGAGTTCTTAGTACTGATTATTCTTTACAAGCTTTTCTCCATAAGAGAGATCCACATGATGTTATGTTCTACATAATGTTATGAATATGCTGCTGAAAGCAATTTGCTATAGGGTTACAAGTACTTGATTTTGCAAATAGAACACAGAAATAGTAAAATTTAAGTCTAACTCTGTCGTCGGTCACCAAAATGTGAAGGATTATTCTTATATTTTTGAAATATTTCTTTTAACATCACTTATAATTAAAACACCAATAAAGTTATCTCCTCATCAAACTGTGAGGTGACAAACAAACTCAAAATGTTTAGAGATTTATAAACAAGAAAAATACAGTAGCCCATAGCCAGGCTGTTCACTATGAATCTTCTAGAAAATGCTTTCCTCACCCTGTATGTTTCCATCTATTTCTCTAATGAGCTTATGTCTGAATTTCTGGAGCATTCAGTGTTGCATAAACAGGCATTCAAGATTTGCTTATTCTTAAAGTATTAAGCATAGCTATACTGAAATTTCTATTAATGCATTGACAACATGATTGAAATGTTTGAAATAATTAAGACATAACTACTTAATATTTTATTAGATGACGTTCTGATCTGAAATTTTTAAAAATGTATATACATTTTAGATACTTGAATAAAATTATCTTAGATCAGACATAAAACTGGTAATATACAACATTTTGATCTGTCTTACACAGAAAAATATTCAGAAATAAATGTTTACCTGAACTGGCTGTAGTAACTACATCTTTGGATATTATAACATAAGGACTATATTATAGTACTAGGTATTGTATGCTAAATGTTTTCTTGACTAGGTTGGTTTTCTTACAAATTGTCTTTAAGATATTAAGTAGCCTTCACAGTAATAAATGAAAAAATACAATTACTAATTTTTCAGAATTTTCTATTATGTGTGAAGTTTATTTTTAGGTTAATGAATTTCTATGTTGGTAATTTTTGTAGAATGTGATCTTGAGAACAACTGAATAAAGTCCTATGTCAGGTCAAGAAAGAAGACACAAACAGGGCTGCCCCGCAAAAGCAACCATCTAAGCCAATGTTCTATGTACTTTTTTTTTTGTTTTTACATTGAATAAAGACCATATTTTATAACAGATAAAATATGGTCTTTAAAAATGTAACCAATGAAGCATTTGTATTTTATACAGAACAAATAAATGATTTTGAAGAAAGATTAACAGTCCAATCTCCTAAGTTTCTAATATCCAGTTCCATTAGTTCTGGTGTGCCAACTTTTATGACGATGCCCTGGGTGTGACTCATTCTGAAAATTAATATCCTGAAGAATCCAAACTCCCAAAAATAGGCAAAGTGGCTATATAGAAAATCTCATTCAAAAAAATTTTAAAGGCTAAATTTGGGTAAGAACTGGAATGTTACAGCATTTTAAATTTAGGAGAAATATTTTTATACCTCTGAGCAAGGAATAGATATTTGGGTTCAGGAAATGTTTCTGAGATGTTCAATGAAGAAGATATACTGAACAGGCTTAAGACATTCTCTGCCACTCTTCTCAGAAAACAAAAGCCCTACATAAATTATAACATTCACAAGTAATCTCCAGCTACTAAGATTAGAATGGAATCTGTAACTACAGGTTACCTCTCTTTGGTTTTGTTCTTTCTTCTAGCACAGTGACATGTATACAGCACACAAGCAAACAGATATTTGTGGATAAGTAATGTAATGCAGAGACCCTGTTTCCTTATTGATAGGGGTGTAGGAAGAAGAAAAATAATAAAATAGAGCCTCAAGTATTTTTCTGCTCTATTACTCTCTGTAATATTCTGTAAGTTATTATAGTTTTCCACAGCTAAAAATAAAGTACATTGACCAATGTATTAATATTCATTTGTGCACTTATTTTAAAATTTACATTTGAAGAAAGTGGGTATTTAATTAAATCCTACTAAAGTTTTTATTCTCTCGGCTTATCCTCTTCTCTTACAAAATCTTAAGAAAAATCTACCTTCGAGTAAGGGGAATTTTAATCCTCATTTCATCCTATGAATCTTAATGTCTGGTCATATTCCAGCATTAATTGCTTTATCTCCACACTAATGAGCTAATTTGCATTTTTTACAACAAGAACTTGCTGTCAAAACATCCATATGAAACTGAAATTTAGTCAATCATCCGTATATGTGTTCTCATGCTTCCAAACATCTGGCTGTTTTGAAACTGCAGGGTGTTAGAAATAACATTTTAGCATTCTTCTGGAGTATTTTTTATACACTTTTGGAGTCAAAGGACTGTTTGGCAATAGATGATAGCTATCAGCCTAATTGCCTGGGGAAAATTGCTTATTCACACACTTGCAAGATTTTGCATGCAATTTCAGACTAATGTCATTTGAAGTCTGTCCATAATCTCAAGGCTAATTATCCATGATCTTGAAGTTTACCATTTTATAGTCAATATTTTTGGATGGATTATTTTGATGATACCAAAGTTTTATCTCCATAGTTCCTGGTACTCCAATCATTATAAGTATCTATAATACATCATATGTCTAAGAATATCCTTGTGTCATTATTTGCTTAATATCTACCTTCTCCACTAATGTGCTTCTGAGGTGAAGGATTGTTAATATTGCTCATCAATTTACAATCAGCACATAAGACGTTTCGTAGCCCAGCAGAGTGTTTGTTAAACTAATCAAGTGTATTAGTCCACTCTCACACTGCTATAAAGAACTACTTGAGACTGGGTATTTTACACAGAAAAGAGGTTTAATTGACTCACAATTCTGCAGGCCGTACATGGCTGGGGATGCCTCAGGAAACTTACAATATGGTGAAAGGCAAAGCAGGAGCCAGCACTTCATACACGGCAGAAGCAGGAGGAAGAGAGAGAGCTAGGGGAGGTGCTATACACTTTTGAACTCTATCATGAGACAGTAGGGCTAAACCATTAGAAATCATACCCATGATCCAATCACCTCCCACCAGGCCCCACCTCCAACATTTGGGATTACCATTGAACATGAAATTTGGGTGGGAACAGAGAGCCAAATCATATCACCATGCTTATGACTGAGTTATTTATTCACAGTTGAGAAGAATTTTAGGCATCATTTTCACTGTAGGAAAAAAAAAATCACTCTCTCTCAATATACATTTTGAAACTAAGTCTTATGCCTATCCCAAAATATTAGCCATTACTCAAATTCTGTTTTTGAGAATATGAAGAATAAAAAAAATTACAGTTTAAGAGGATGTAAATTTTTCTAAAAAGATTCTGATTTAAGAATTCAGAAAAATCCACTGCCTCTGGGTAGGGTAGATTAACTTTACCTGTACAGACACCATCTAGCTAAATTAACACATGAGAGGAAAGCACCCCAATCCAAATACAGGTTAATCTAACCAAATACAGGTTAATCTAAGTTTTTTATTTGTTCATTTGAAATAGTGCATTACTCCTTCCTTCTTGATGTTATTCATTCACTTGGGTTTTTGAATCTTGTATCTTTGTCTCTTCCTCCTCTTATCCATGGCCAGGCTTAATGTTGACAAGCATCACAGCTCAATTCTTATTCTTTTTCTCTTCTTGTTTACACTGATTTGTGTGGTGATTTCTTCCTACCCAAGAGCTTTAAATAATAATTACATGCAAACAAATCCAAAATGTATATGTGAATAGTCAAGATATCAAATGTAATGTGTTCAAAATTAAATTCCTAATTTTGTCTTAGTTTCTCTCAGTTTCATCCATTCTCTCTCTTGGTGGTAACTCCATCAGGCCAAAAATCTTGGATTATTCCAGGACTATTCTTAACTTATATTCCATACCCTAAAATCTATACCCATTGCATCATGGAAAAACTATTGGTTCTACCTTAATAATATATCCAGAATTAAATGCCTTTCATTGACTCCCATAATCTCTAACTCGGATTGCTAGAATGTGTAGTTTCCTGCTTTATCTCAGAAAGTTTACTCTTAATACTGGAGGCACAACTATTCTTTTAAAATAAAAATAACACAATGCCATCCCATTACTTTAATCCTGCATAACTTAAATAAGTGCCAAAAATATCTAAACAATGGCTATAAATCCTCATATGACATGGCATCCCACCCCTTCTCTGAATTCTTCTTTTACTTTTAAAAGTTTGTGGAGAGGTCCGGGTGCGGTGGCTCACGCCTGTAATCCCAGCACTTTGGGAGGCCGAGGTGGGTGGATCACAAGGTCATGAGATCGAGAACATTCTGGTTAACATGGTAAAAACCCGTCTCTACTAAAAAAATACAAAAAATTAGCCAGGCTTGGTGGCAGGCACCTGTAGTCCCAGCTACTCGGGAGGCTGAGGCAGGAGAATGGTGTGAACCTGGGAGGCAGAGCTTGCAGTGAGCCGAGATGGCACCACTGCACTCCAGCCTGGTCGACAGAGTGAGACTCCATCTCAAAAAAAAAAAAAAAAAAAGAAAGAAAAAAAAAGAAAAGTTTGTGGAGAATGTAATTGTTTAACAAATAACACAATTATATTTTATCTAAAGTTTTTTTTGTTTATTTAAATAATTCGCACAAATATCTACTTGGCATAACAAAGAATGGAAAACATAACATTTTCCAAAAATAAATGACATTTTATTTGGAGTTGGTATAGCTTTGTCAAATCTGAAGCTCAATAGATGACAGAGAATCTTTGTCAATTTTTTAGGGGGTTTCACAAGTAGTCATTGAGTGTAAAGATATTACACACAGTCTTTTGTCATTTAATTGATCACTAAAACTTATCAAGGATTTCTCAATTTCTCTTTTCCATTGTCAGTGCTTTATGTACTTAATGATAGATCATGGCTTACGTTATGGGTTGAATTGAGTTCTCTAGGAGGATATGTGGAGATCCTAACCTCTGCCACTGTGAATAGGAACTTACGGGGTAATAATCTTTGCAGATATAATTGAGATATACATGTAAATTATAATGAGTTCATACAGGAATAAGTGGATCCTTGATCTAATATGACTACTTTCTTTAAGAGAAGAGGCAAAGAGAAAGGGACAGTTGCACACGCAGCAGAAATGCCACCTGACAACATAGGCAGAAATTGAAGTGATGGATCTACAAGCCAAAGATCAAGGATTCCCAGCCAAGCCTAAAGCTTAGAAAAAGGCATGGAAATGATCATCACCTAGAGCCTTCTGAGTGCATGGAAATGGCAATTCTTGATTTTAGACACCTAACCTCCAGAGATAATTGTTGTTTTGAGCCACAAGTTTGTGGTAATAAGTCAAGGCAGCCCCAAGAAAATGAAGTTTCCCAGACAGAAAAGGTCATTTCCATTCAAGATGATAAGTAAACGCATGCATTTTCCTGTTAGAACCTTTAAATTGTAGACTACATTTAGGTGGATTGGTACACTCAGTGCATAATCACCAAAACCTATATATTGTAGACTCTGAAGCTTAGTTTTAACAGCTGACAATGTATTTTAAAAGACACAGGCTCATATTAAGCATGTAACCAAATATAGGCTGATACCACAGGCACCAACTTACTAATCAACAAAAGATATAGATAGCTACACTGGGAGCAGAAACATTTATGTTCAACATAGTCAAATTTTGTACAGATGTTTTCTTTGAAAAATATAATTATCAGATGATCACTAGAATGATTAAGTCCGCAATAGCAACAAGAACAAAAATTGACAGTAGGATCTGATTAAACTAAAAGCTGCACAGCAAAGGAAACTATCAATGGAGTAAATGAATAACCCACAGAATGAGAGAAAATATTTGCAAACTATGCATCTGACAAAAATCTAATATCCAGAATCTATAAGGAACTTAAATAATTCAACAAACCAAAAGCAAATAACTCCATTAAACAGTGGGCAAGAAAGGTGAACATGAATGTCTTGAAAGAAGACACACAAGTGGCCAAAAAACATGAACAAGTGCTTAACATCATAAATCATCAGAGAAAAGCAAATCACAACTACAACGAGATACCATTTTACAAAAGTCACATGGTCATTATTAATATGTCAAAAAACAACAGATGCCAGTGAGGCTGTGGAGAAAAGGAAATGCTTATACATTGTTGGAGGAAACGTAAATTGATTCAGCCACTGTAGGAAGCAGTTTGGAGATTTCTCACAAAACTTAAAACTGAATTGACGTTTGACCCAGTAACCCATTGCTGGGTATATATCCAAAAGAAAATAAATCATTCTACCAAAAAGACACATGTGCTTATATGTTTATCACTGCACTATTCACAATAGCAAAGACAAAAAGTCATCCTAGGTGCCCATCAATAAAAAGAATCCATTCATAAAAAGAATGAAATCAGGTCCTCTTCACCAACATGTATGCAACTGGGTGCCATTATCCTCTAGGAATTAATGCAGAAACAGAAAATCAAATATCGTTTGTTCTCACTTATTAGAAGGGACTGAACATTGGCTACTCATGGACATAAAGATGTCAACAATAAACAGTTGAGGCTATTAGAGGGAAGGAGTAGGGAAGGGGGAAACTGTTGAAAAACTACCTATTGGTATTATCCTCAGTACCTGGATGACAGGATGATTCATATCCCAAACCTCAGCATCATGTAGTATATGCATTCAACAAACCTGTATATATATCCACAAATCTAAAATAAAAGTTAAATTATAGAAAACAAAACAAATAAGCAAAACTTTCAATCACAGTCAGTAGTGTACTCATGTTAAGTCTTTTTTTGCATGCAGTGATCAATCTGTCAAAAGGGCTAGAAAATTTGCCTTCATTTATTCATGGAATTACAATGAGAACTTCCTAATGCCATTTTTCTGATTTTAAATGCCCCAAAACCACCACTCTTAAGTTTAGACGATGTATTTATCATCACATGCACATACACAGACCTCCCACACACACAAAAAAAATTATTTTATTTCTTAATGTTTAAATAAAGCAAGATATCAATGCTTAAATTTAGGCTGTTTGTCAATGGTAAAATAGTCATATATTTTCAGGATTTATGGTTTGTGCTGCCAAAAGATCCACAACATACAATAAGGAGGCCTTGGGAGAGAAATTTTTACAAAAGCAGAAGTGACCAAGAATGCGATTTCCAGAATGGCTAACTAAGAAGCTTACCAAAACCTTTTTCTCTATGCAGCAATAAGATGGATCAAAATTATTGAAAACAACAAATCAGAAGTCTGGAAATTGACCAGAGGCACACACAAAATTAAGTTTTTATTTAAGAAAAAAAAACTGAACCTTAGTAAGAACAGTGGGAGTCTTTGATATTTTAGGCTGGGGCTGATATGACTCCTATTCCCAATACCTCCATGCATGAGTTCTATCATGGCAGGGAAAGCCAGGAAGAGTACAGCTTCAGTGCCCAAATGGATGACTTGATGTGAATAGAGTTGAAAAAAAAAAGAAAAAAATCATGACCATGTATGTTGTCCAAAACAATATATTTCTCATTAAAAACAACTAAGGAAGTCCAATATTAAAGTGAGTTTAGCATTATGCTATAGACTGGGATGAGCAATACACAAACCAGAATTAAACAAGAAGAACCAGGGGAAAAAGACAGTCACAATGGACTTTAGTGCGTTTCTGTAATAATCTGGAAGGCTGCACTGATGGCCAAAGAGGTAGGTACACTCAGGAGACACTAGAAAGGGCTGAACTATCAATACTAGCTTAACATAAGGCCTTGCAAAGGGAGAAAGTAAAAGTTGGGCCAACATGTAAACTGACATATTGAATGTGTTCAAACTACTTACAGACCTAGTGACAAACAGCCGAAGGCTTGCAGGGTCAAGATGTTTAAGTGCAACTTCTGACTACTTATTGGCAGACACTAAACTATGGTGACCCAAAGTGACTCAAGCTTAAAAACCATAAACAAAACTGCAACAACAAGAAAATATTCATAGATATAACTGGCCATACCCTGCTAGTATGTCATATCATCAGGGAGACAAACCATACAGAATTTTTCTAGTGAGTTAACTAAGCAAATACATAAACAAAAAAGCAGCAATAATAATTCCCGGGGGAAGGGAGTCAGTATCCAGAATCAATACAATGTAAAACCAAAAATGTCAGGTTATAATAAATAATTATGAGATATGCTGAGATACACAAAAGTATTATCTATACAAAAGATAATAATGCACAGGGCACAGTGGTTTATGCCTGTAATTCCATCACCATGGAGGGCTGAGGTGGGTGGATTGCTTGAGCCTAAGAGTTTCAGAGCAGCCTGGGCAACATGGAGAAACCCCATCTCTACAAAATTACAAAAATTAGCTGGTTGCTGGTGGATACCGGTAGTTCCAGCTACTCAGCAGACTGAGGTGGAAGAATCTCTTGAGCCCAGGAGGTGGAGGTTGCAACTAGCTGAGATCACACCACTACACTCCAGCCTGAGTGATAAAGCAAAAACTTGTCTGAAAAAAAAAAAAGAATTGAAAAAAAAAAATAATTGAATAGGTGACCTCTTACTGACCTTTCTGATTTTCAAATTAAGAAAAAAACAATAGATACTGCTTCTGAAAGGGTCTAGATATTGGACTTAACACAGACTTCTCAGGAATAATAACTATGTTTTAAAAACAACTATAGAAAGCTGTGTTTAAAGAATTAAAGGAAAATATGACAGTAATGGCTCATCAAATAGACATTATAAAGTAATAGTAATTATATTTTAAATAATACAAATTCTAGAGTCAAAAATACAATAATTGAAATACTTTTTAAAAATCACTGGAGTGGCTCGACAGCAGATATTAGCTGGAAGAATAAAGAATCAGGAAATGGAAAGATAGATCAATACATATTATCCAATCTAAAGAAAATACAGGAAGAAAAGCCATTATATTTAAATAGAGACTTGGAAACCTATGGGACACCATTGAGCCCACCAACATTTACATAATAATGATATCAGAAGAAAAGGGGAGAGAAAGAGGAAGAAAAAATATTTGAAGATAAAAAGGCCAGAAACTTTTCAAATAAGATGAAAGTGTTGATGTTTACATCCAAGCAACTGAACATACTCTAAGTAGGATAAATGCAAACAGAATCATGCTTACACTAATTATAATTAAACTCTTGAAGACAATGACAGGGCGCAATCTTTAAAGGAGCAAAATTAAAATGACTCATCACAAACAAGGGCTATTTGCTTATGAGGCATGGAGAATGACTCAAAAGTGACAAGAAAACTTTCTGGTGACTTGGAATCCTTCCATATCCTGATTCATTTGGGTCTTTGATACATGAGCATATACATGAGCACATACATTTGTCAAAACTCATAGAATGACACTTTTAAAATATCAACATTTCTTGTACATTAATATACCTCAGTGAAAAACAGGCAAACAGTAAGAAAAACAGATTTGGTGGAAACTAAATGTGAGTTGACTGAATATGTTTCATATATCATGATCCACAAGGGAGGAATATCCTAAATGCTCAAAGAATCAATCTGGGAAATTAAAAACTTGATAAGACATGACTCTTTTAGTTGTCAATATAGTTGTAATGGCAGAATGCAAAATGATCACTGAATTAATTTTGAATAAAGTGGTTTATGAAAGAATATGCTAATAGAAGACTATGTGATCTGATGAACAACCTGACATAGGGATCTTGATGATGGCCCCTGTTGTCACTATTTCCTTAGAAGTCAGTCTGCTTTGCATAGTTTCTCTTCAAGTTCTGGATGCTTAACTGGAATACACAAGCATATAGACAGTTTAAACTTACTATACTGTGCTTACAACTCACTGTCTTTAGGTATTGTGAATGTCCCTGTTGTTTCCTTATTTGCAGCCAAGTTTATACTTTGACTTTGATTTATCTTTGAATTTCCTTCTGTCATCTCCCTCAGATATTCTAGGTGCTTAGGGTCCTACAGAAGAATCACCACATAATTTTTTCTGATATAGAAGCAGCTGATCTTTTCATTTCCTCTCCAAGTTCTATGATATAAAGTAGTATATTTGGATCTTGAATAAAAAAGTTCATCCAGGGTATTGCCCAAACTGTAACATTTTATACAAAAATGTACACTAGAATGCTCACCCAGAATGTGCACCATAATATTCTCATAATATAGAACAATTTTAGATCGTATTAACAACTTTGCTAAAAAGTTTCACGTTTGCAATTTCTCAATGCACTTTTCATATAAAACTCTGCAAATAATGTCTAGAAGACATACCATGAACCCGATTTCTCCTAAGCCAAGCAGTGATATTCTGTGTTTCTGGTAAAAGTATAAGCTAAAGAAACACTATTTACCTAGAGAAAATAAACAAATAAAAATAATGAGTCTATAATGATAACAGGTGTTTCCTGGCTAGCATCTGTACCACATGTCTATTGATGAAGTGACTGACATCATGCAGTAGGTTAGTTTTGTATTGCTTTTTCTTTTCCTTTTCTTTAAAAAACCTTTATTTTAGGTTCAGAGGCATCTGTGCAGGTTTGTTATATAGGTAAATTGTATGTCACAGGTGTCTAGGGTAGAGATTATTTTATCACCCAGGTAATAAGCATAGTGCCCAATAGGTAGTTTTTCCATTCTCACCCTCCTCCCACTCTTCTCCCTCAAGTAGGGCCCATTGTCTGTTGTTCCCTTCTTTGTATCCATGTATATTCAATATTTAGCTACCACTTATAGGTGAGAACATGCAATATTTGGTTTTTGTTCCTGTGATAGTTTGCTTAGTATATTGGCCTCCAGATCTATCCATGTTGCTGCAAAGGACAGGATCTCATTCATTTTATGATTTTCATAGTATTCCATGGTGTATAGGTACCACATTTTATTTATCTAGTCTACTGTTGATGGGCACTTAAGTTGATTCCACGTCTTTGCTATTGTAATAGTACTGCAATGAATATATGCATGTGTGTATTTTTTTTTTTTTTTTTTTTTGAGACCGAGTCTCGCTCTGTCACCCAGGCTGGAGTGCAGTGGTGCGATCTCGGCTCACTGCAAGCTCCACCTCCCAGGTTCACGCCATTCTCCTGCCTCAGCCTCCCGAGTAGCTGGAACTACAGGCGCCCGCCACCACACCCAGCTAATTTTTTGTATTTTTAGTAGAGACGGGGTTTCACCGTGGTCTCGGTATCCTGACCTCGCGATCCGCCCGCCTCAGCCTCCCAAAGTGCTGGGGTTACAGTGGTGAGCCACCACGCCCAGCCGCATATGTGTATTTTTATGGCAGAATAATTTATATTCCTTCTGGTACATGCCCAATAATGGGATTGCTGGGTCAAAGGGTTGTTCTGTCTTAAGTTATTTGAGAAATTATCAAACTACTTTTCACAATGGGTAAATTAATTTATATTTCTACCAGCAGTGTATAAGCATTCCCTTTTCTCTGTAGCCTCACTAGCATCTGTTATTTTTTGTCTTTTTTCTGACTGGTGTGAGATAGTATCTCATTGTGGTTTGGACTTGCATTTCAATAATGATTAGTAATGTTGAGCACTTTTTAATATGCTTGTTGGCTGCATGTCTGTCTTTTTTTGAAAAGTGTTTGTTCATATCCTTTGCCTACTTTTTAATGTGGTTGTTTGGATATTAGATATTTGACAGATGCATAGTTTTCAAATATTTCCTCCTTTTCTGTAGGTTGTCTGTTTGCTCCATTGATAGTTTCTTTTGCTGTGTAGAAGCTGTTTAATTTATTTAGGTCCCAATTGTCAATTTTGGGTTTTTTTGTAATTACTTTTGATGTCTTTGTCATGAAATTTTTGCCAGAGCCTATGTCCAGAATCATATTTCCTAGTTTATTTTCCAAGGTTTTTATAGTTTTAGGTTTTACATTTAAGTACTTAATCCATCTTGATTTGATGTTTGTATATGGTATAAGAAAGGGGCCCCACTTCAATCTTAGGCATATGTGCATATGGCTAACCAGTTATGCCAGCACCTTTTATTAAATAGGGAACCTTTTCTCCATTGTTATTATTATTATTATTATTATTTTACTTTCTTGAAGATTAGATAGTTGTAAGTGTGTGGCTTTATTTCTGGGATCTCTATCTTATTCCATTCACCTATGTGTTGGTTTTTGTACAAAAGCAAGTACCATGCTGTTTCTCTTACTGTATACTGTAGCCTTTTAGTGTAGTTTGAAGCCAAGTAATGTGATGCCTTCAGTTTTCTAGTCTAGAATTATATTGTCTGCAAACAGGGATAGTTTGACTTCCTCACTTTCTATTTATATGTCTTTTATTATTATTTTTTTTTCTTGCATGATTGCTGTGGCTAGGACTTCCAGTACTATGTTGAATAAGAGTGGTGAGAAACATCATTCTTGTCTTGTTGCCATTTTCAAGGGAAATGCTTCTAGCTTTTGCCCATTCAGTATGATGCTGGCTGTGGGTTTTTCATAGATGGCTGTTTTTATTTTGAAGTACGTTCCTTCAATGCCTACTTTGTTGAGGACTTTTTAGCAGAAAGAGATGTTAAATTTTATCAAAAGCCTTTTCTGCATCTGTTGAGATGATCATGTAGTTTTTGTTAGTTGTGTTTATGTGATGAATCACATTGATTAATATGCATATGTTGAGCCAACCTTGCAACCCAGGGATAAAGCTTACTTCATCATGGTGGATTAGCTTTGTAATGTGCTGCTGGATTTGGTTTGCTAGTATTTTGTTGAGAATTTTGTATCTATGTTCATCATGTGTATTGGCCTGAAAGTGTTTTTTGTTGCTATTGTGTCCCTGCCAGGTTTTGGTATCGGGATACTGCTAGCCTCATAGAATGAGTTAAGGAGGAATTTCTCCGCCTCAATTTTTGGAGTAGTTGGAGTAGTGTCAGTAGGAATGTTACCAGCTCTTATTTATACATCTGGTAAATTTTGGCTGTGAATCTATCTGGTCATGGGCTTTTTCTGGTTGGTAGTTTTAAAATTCTGATTCTATTTCAGAACTCTTTATTGGTCTGTTGAGGAATTCAATAACTTCCTGGTTTAATCTTGGAAATTTGTACATTTCCAGGAATTTATTCACTTCTTTTAGGTTTTCTGGCTTATATGCATAGAGGTGTACATAGTTGTCTCTGAGGGTTTTTAAAATTTCTGTGGAGTCAGCGGCAATGTTCTCTTTGTCATTTCTGGTGGTGTTTTTCTGGATCTTCTGCCTTTTTTTCTTTATTAATCTAGCTAGTAGTCTATCAATCTTATTTGTTGTTTGAAAAAACTAACTCCTAGACTTGTTGATCTTTTGTATGGATTTTAATGCCTCAATTTCCTTCAGTTCAGCTTTTATTTTTGTTATTTCCTGCCTTCTCCTAGCCTATGGGGTTACTTTACTCTTGCTTCTCTAGTTCCTCTAGGTGTGATGTTAGGTTGTTAATTTAAGATATTTCTAACTTTTTGATGTTGGAGTTTGGTACTATAAACTGCCCTCTTAACACTGCTTTAGCTGTATAGAAATGTTAGTATGTTGTATGTTTTTTTTCTCATTCATTTCAAAAATATCTTTTTTTAAATAACTAATTTCGTTGTTTACCCAAAGATTACTCGGGAGCTGGTTGTTTAATTTTCACATAATTGTATGGTTTTTGAGTGATTTTCTTAGTATTAATTTCCATTGTTACAGCACTGTGATCCAAGAGTGAAAGTGGTGTGATTTTGATTTTTTGAATAGGCTGAGGATTGTTTTATGGCTGATTATGTGGATGTTTTTAGAGCATGTCTTATGTGCAGACAAGAAGAATGTATATTCTGTTGTTTTGGGGTGAAGAGTTCTGGAGATTTCTATTAGGTCAGTTTGATCAAGTGTATAGTTAAAGTCTCAAATATCTTTGTTAGCTTTATGCCTCGATGATCTGTCAAATACTGTCAGTGTGGTTTTGGTATCTCCCACTATTATAGTGTGGTTATTGAAGCCTCTTCATAGTTCTGTGATAACTTGCTTTATGAATCTGAGTGTTCCTGATCTGGGAGCACATATATTTAGGATAGTTAGATCTTCTTGTTGAATGCAATGCCCTTTTTTGTCTGTTTTGATCCTTGATCATTTAGTCCATTTTGTCTAAAATTTGAATTTTAAAAACTCTGCTTTTATCTGTTTTCCATTGGTTGGAAGATTTTTCTCCATCCCTATACTTTGAGCCTATGTGTGTCATTGCGTGTTCGATGGGTCTCTTACAGAGAGCATACTATTGAGTCCTGCTGCTTCATCCACATTGACACTCTGTGCCTTTTAATTTGTGAATTTAGCTCATTTGCATACAAGGTTAATGTTGATATGTGCTGATTTGATCCTGTCATCGTGTTGTTAGCTGGTTATTATGCAGATTTCTTTGTGTGGTTGCTTTATAGTGTCCAATGGTCTATGTACCTAAGTGTGATTTTGTGGAGGCTAGTAATGGTGTTTCCTTTGCATATTTAGCACTCCACACAGAACCTTTTATAAGTAAGGTCTGCTGGTAATGAATTCCTGTATCATTTACTTGTCTGTAATGGATCTTATTTCTCCTTTGCTCATAAAGCTTAGTTTGGCTGGATGTGAAATTCTTGATTGGAGATTTCTTTTTTTTTTCAGAATGTTGTATATTGACCCCCAATTTCGTCTGACTTGTAGCGTTTCTGATGAAAGGTTCACTATTAACCTAATGGTATTCCCTTTGCAGGTGACCTTCCCCTTCTCTCTAGCTGCATTTAAAATTTTTTATTTCAAATCAACCTTGAAAAATCTGATGATTATGTGTCTTGGGGTTACTTCTCTTGTATAGTATCTTGGAGATATTCTCTGTATTTCCTGAATTTGAATGTTGGCTTCTCTAGCTAGGCTGGAGAAATTTTCATGGAGTATACCCTGACATATGTTTTCTAAGTTGTCTTCTTTCTCTTCTCTTTTAGGAATGCCAATGAAGCATAGATTTTGGTCTCTTTATATACTCCCATATCTCTCAGAAGTTTTGCTAATTCTTCTTTAATCTTTTTTTCTTCATTTTTGTATGACTGAGTTATTTTGGAGAACAAGTTTAGCTCTGAGATAATTTCCTCCATTTGATTGATTCTGCTGTTAGTACTTGTGATTGTATTCTGAAATTCTTAAAGTAAGTTATTTTGCTCTGAGATCAGTTTCCTTCTTTCTTAAAATGATCATTTCATGTTTCATCTCCTTTATCATTTTATTGTATTTCTTGGAATCCTTGGATTCAGTTTTGACTTTCTCCTGAATCTTGATGATCTTTGTTTCTATCCATATTCTGAATTCTGTTTCTGTTATTTTAGTCATTTCAGCTTGATTAATAATCACTGCGGGGAACAAGTTCAGTCTCTTCGAGACAAAAAGACACTCTGGCTTTTTGTGTTGTTTGAGTTCTTGTGCTAATTCTTTCTCATCTGTGTAGGCTGACATTCCTTCAACCTTTGATATTTCTGTGGTTTCAATTGATAGTTTTTCCTTATACCTTCTTTGATGCCCTTACAGTTTTGATTGTATTATAAGGTGGGTTCAGTTGATTGGCTTTGTTTTCCTTCCCCAGGAGTCCTTGAGGACCAGGAATGAGTCCTGGTACATTATAGCTCAGTGCAGGGTTCTCAGCTTCCTCTCACTTCAGCCCAGGGTCCATGTCCCCACCCCATTTACTCACAATGCCTTCCCCTCAAAGATCTGCTCAGAATGCACCAGTTTGTACATGGTCTATTGTCACTTATACAAAATCATTTTTAATCAATATGGTTTTAATCAAAACATGTTGATGAATCTGTGAGTGGGTTTAGTGGAGGCAACAAGTAAAAGGGATATAATGCAAAAAAAGTAAAAGGTTAAAATATACTCAATATAAATTTCATGATGTATTTTCTTTCATTTATTTTTCCTTTTTTGACATTGGGTTCTAATGATCATTTTAACTTTAGAGAAAAATATACTAATCTCATCATTGTACTGTGATTAAATAGTAAGCATGAGGATTACTTTCATAACTTATTACTAGATGGCTACAAGCATGGAAACTTTTCATAAAAATGCAAGACTATGCTTTGGATTTGCCAAAGAGCCATGCATGTTGTGAAAAGCGAGGGCTCTTCCTCCTCACCAAGCTGACAAACAGCAGCATTTCAGGAGGCCTTTCTAGTCAGCTGCAATGAGCAGAAACAACTAATTCCACTGAACACATGATAGATGAGGCAGACTCTCTGCTCATGGATGTCACCTACTAAAATGGGCAGCTTCATAACCAGCTGATAAGAGAATGCTCTTAACGATTCCTCTGCTCAGAGAAGGAGTGTACCTTCCCGATATGGAATATGACCATCTATTTTGAGTCTAAGTTGACAAGGATTTTGGGGGTAATTTGTTGTGGCTGGTGGAACTACCTGGGAAAGAGAAGCAACAAGATGATTTTTGTTTTCCTGCCTTTCTCTTGAGTTCATTATGATCCCACACAGTGAGCTCATCCTATATGAAACCCACTTTTCTTCAGACCCTTTTCTCACAGCCTCCTCTACCATCATCTTTATCCTAACCTGCTTCTTCAAGGTCCCCAACAAATGAATGTATCCCCAGCCTGTGGGAGAAATTTATTTAACAAGTTTGTAGGACAAAGGGCTTTGTAAAGCTCAAATTAAAACCTAAAAGCCATCACAAGAGAGATAATAAATTCAATAACATTGAGAATATTTAAGAAGGAGAAAAGCAAAATAATATGAAAAGGCATATGACAAACTAGGAAGAAAAATATTGTATCTCAAAAAGCAAAAGACTAGCTACAATAATACAGTAAGCAAGAGCTCCTATAAATCAGCAAGAAAAAACATCCAAGAAGGTGAAATATGAATAAGCAAGGTATTTGAATAGAAAATTTACATATAAGAAAATATTAGTGGGCCCTAAAAACATTAAAACATGCTAATCTCACTGATAATATGATAAATGTAAATTAAAATTTCAATAGGAAGTTATTATTTTCCAAACACATTGGATATACTATAAGTTTGATAATTCACTATATTGAGAGGGATATGAAGAAACAGGAACTCTTACACTGGTAGAAATATCAATCAGTGCAACTTGGCAATATCTATGAATATTTTAAATGCAAATACTGTGTAAACTGCAATTCTACTTCTAGGAATTTAATCTTACATATGTTCTCAAACATGTATAAAATGATATTAGTACAATATTTTAATGACCATATTGCTTATAGTAGAAAAAGATTGAAAATAACCTACGCGTCCAACAACAGGAGACTGGTTAAACAAATCATGACTATCCAAAATTCACAATGGAGCCCAATGTAGCTATTATAAACAATAAGAAATCTCTTTATGTACTGGTTTGGAATGATCAACAAAATATGTCATTAGGTTATGAAAAAAGTAAAGTACTGAGGTGTATATAAAAATGTGATTTGCATAAAAGCAAAAATGCCCTATATATATTCATATATGTATATATGGAGTGTATAAATTTCTTACATTTGTGAATATACATTCTTATAAAATACCTATGAGAGGGAGACCCCAAAATTGGAAACAGTGTCTACATCTGAGAAATGGAAATGGTGGTTGCAGGTTAAGAAGGACTTAATTTTTAATGTATATCTTTTTGTACTTTTAAAATTTTGTATTATGTGCCAAATAGGAATAAAAAAGAGTTATCAATGGTTCTTCTTTTACATGACAAGTGCTTCTTCTGAAGTATGCCCAGAGTGTTATGGGGCCCCAGAGAAAGAACACCTCATCTGAGTGTTTAGGAAGGTATGAGAAATGATCATCCTAGGTTGCCAAAGAATGTTGACTCTTGAGCTGAGTTTTGCAGGATGAGCAGACATGAGTTAGGTAGACTAAATTCTTTTGTGTTCCAGGAAGCCAAGGGAATTTGGGGAGCTACATACAATTTACTATATATTGTTGCATGTTCATTATTTTGAGTACCCATCTTTGTATTGCTCAGTGTCAGGCACTTTTTAGGTACCTAATATTTGCTGAATCTGACTGGGTATACGAAAAAAGAATATAGGGCAAGAGATGCAGGACCTATCCTTATAGGATACACTTAATAAGGAGTAGTTGTGATGGTAACGAGCAGGAGGAAGAGGCAGTGGAAGTGAAGAAGGACTTCAGAAAGACTATACTAATTGTTCATTCTTAAAAAGTGAGGTCCTGCCATTTGCTACTACATGGATGGAACTGGAGGACATTAGGCTAAGTGAAATAAGCCAGATACAGAAAAAACATATTGCATGATCTCACTTATATGTGAATATATATTTTTAAGAAGAATTCAAATACACAGAGATAGAGAATGAAATAGTGGTGATGTGGTTTGGCTGTGTCCCCACCCAAATCTCATCTTGAATCCCACGTGTTGTCAGAGGGACCTGGTGGGAGGTAATTGAATCATAGAGGCAAGTCTTTTCCATGATGTTCTTGTGAAGTGAATAAGTCTCATGAGATCTGACGATTTTAAAAATGTGAGCTTTTGTGCACAAACTCTCTTTTATTTTTTTTGCCTGCCACCATCCATGTAATACGTGACTTGCTTCTCCTTGCCATGTGGAACTGTGAGTCCATTAAACCTCTTTTTCTTCCAAGTCTCAGGTACATCTTTATCAGCAGCATGAAAATGGACTAATACTAGTGGTTACTACAAATGAGGAAAGGGAAGAAAAAAATGAGGAATATAGGTTAAAGGATACAAAATAGCAGATATATTGGAAGAACAGGTTCAGAGATCTAATGTATAAGGTGAAGACTGAAATTAATAAAATGGTATTGTAATAGAAATTGTCATTAAATAAGATTTTAGTTGCTCTTTTCACAGAAAAGTAGCTATATGAGATGATAGATATGTTAATCTGATTCAATATTGTAATTTTTTACTATCTATATGTATCTTATAACATCATGTTGTAAACTTCAAATATATAAACATTATTAAAAAGGAATTAAAAGTCTTATGAGTATATTATAGAATAACATAAAAATAGTAGAAAATA
This sequence comes from Homo sapiens, assembly GCF_000001405.40. Lineage (NCBI taxonomy): Eukaryota > Metazoa > Chordata > Mammalia > Primates > Hominidae > Homo > Homo sapiens. The sequence goes on from NC_000001.11 coordinate 194,985,891, forward strand.
CATTTCCTATGGTATTGTCTAAAGTATATTTCCTTTGACTTGAATTTCTTTTGAGTGAGCAAAATGATAGACTAGAAAAGAAATATATTTAATATGAATTTCATTTTCATAAGATTTGGTTCATAAAAAGTGATATAGTATTATGCGTGGCCTATATTTAACGAAAACAACATACGTCAATTTAAAAATTAAGTGATTTAAATAGATATTTTAAAATATTTCTTTCTATTTTATCTCTCACAATTGAATAGCTAAATCTCCTTTAAAAATGGTAATTTAGATAAATGCTAGAGTTACTAAATTTACTGAACAGTAAGCCTTCAAATCAAGGTTAAAGAACTGGAAAGTTTACTAGATATTGTAAATATGAGTCTGCATAGGGAGAAAACACATAAATCCTACTGATGTATAAACATAACTTCAATATATTTTACCCTTGGCTGAGGGATAAATTAAAATACAATTAAAAGTGTTGGTTTGTTTATATGGCATTTGGCATTCAAGTCAACAACTCAAAGGTACTCTGAACTGATTTAGCTAACTTTTTATTTCTTGTTCTTTTGGATGAAGTAATATATAGTAATGCAACATACCTAGTGTTAAATATTCAATATTTCTATGAAAATTTTTCTGCTTCAGTATTCTAGGAGGCAGGTGACTCATGTGTATATGTATATATATATATATATATATATACACACACACATATATATACACACATATATATATACACATATATACACATATAAAATATATAAAATTTGAGTTTAAAATATATATATTTTATATTAAATTTTGTGACTAAATTTGCACTCTACTCACCCTTCCCACACAAAGTCCTGAATACATTTTGAGAATGTAAGAAAAAGAAAGCAATCTTATATTTATAAATTTAAAGGTTGCTAACATTTCTTAAGTAAAAAAAGAAAGTCCTTGAGTCCCTTTTAAAAGATCTCCAAAAGGAAGGTGAGAGGGGGAATAGAGATGAGAAATTACCTATTGGGTACAATGTATGCTATTTGGGTGATAGTTACACTGCAAGTCCAGACTTTACCCCTTTGCAATATATCCATGTAACAAAACTGCGTTTGTACTCTCTAAATCTATTTTTAAAAAAGATCTGAAAGAACGATTGCCAAACTAATCAAAAGTTAAAACAAAGAGCGGGCAAAAAGTATCATTATTTTGGACAAAGGCAAAACATATACGTGGTGCATTCTTCACTAGTCAACTAAATTGTACATACATTAAATGTATTTTTAAAAATTTATAATATAAAAGTTCACACACACACACACACACACACACACACACACACACAGGCAATATTTTTCTTCAGTAGCAAAAGTGGCCAACATTTGTTGATAATCTACTATACTCTTAACTTTGTAGAGATGGTACTCATTTTTCCCTTAAGGCATAAAAGTTAATTAAGTAAGTTGCCCAAGGCAAATTAGGCCTCAAAGTGCATCTTGATGACAAATGTTTTATACTGCCAGTTGCTGTTTTTACACTGCCTTTCTTTTTTTTTTTTTTGAGACAGAGTCTCACTCTGTCGCCCAGGCTTTAGTGCAGTGGCACGATCTCGGCTCACTGCAAGCTCCGCTTCCTGGGTTCACTCCATTCTCCTGCCTCAGCCTCCCGAGTTGCTAGGACTACAGGCGCCTGCTACCAAGCCCGGCTAATTTTTTTTCTTTTTTTTTCTTTTTTTTTTTTTTTTTGTATTTTTAGTAGAGACGGGATTTCACCGTGTTAGCCAGTGTGGTCTCGATCTCCTGACCTCGTGATCCGCCCGCCTCAGCCTCCCTAAATGCTGGGATTACAGGCTTGAGACACAGCACCTGGCCGACACTGCTTTCAATACAACAAGATGATGCCACATATTTCAAAATTAATAAATTATGAAGACATTAAAAGAAAATAGAACACATAGAATCTGTACGTGTTAAATTAGCATTTGCTATAATATTTTGGATGTTTTTAGTATGTTATTGTGATTAAAAAATAATTGAATGCTAATTATTTTCTAAAATTCATTACACCTCATTCCTATGATCCAATTAAACAGGAAGGACTAGGAAATGCATGGACATCATCCTGGCTTCTGAATTAAAGAGTTGGTCAAACCAATTTCTAATCGAATTCTATTTAAAGAAAATAGCTTTAAAAATACATCTGAATTATTTTTAATGCATCTGAATAAATTCACATGAACTGTGGCAAAAATATACCATATTTTTAAAAATTTAATGACTTTTATTTGTAAAAGCATGTCAGATTCAATTGTATTTGTATACCTAGGCCTACCCGTCTATCCTTTAGAAAGTGTTCTTTCATGTGTTTAATTTCTACTCTTTCATGTATCAAATCAATGATAATTTATTGAGCAACAGTGATTAGCCAGGCATCATAGAAGGGGCTGGAGATCTAGTAGGGAACAAAAGAGACCCTGCTCCCATAGCCGAAATAAGATCAACGATGCACAAAGCTAATAAGTAAAGTGTGTGTGTGATGTTGGGGTAAGTCGTTGCATTTTTAAAAAAATAACATCATAATTTTTTTCTCTTTTTTGGGGGGGGGAATGGGATCTCACCCTTTTGGTCTCCCCAGTAGCTAGGGCTACAAGTGCACCCCACTATATTCATCTAGTAGATGCAATTTTAAATAGGAAGGTGGAAAGGCTTCACCTATAACATTTTATTTTGAATGTTGCAAATATAGAACTTTGTATTTTTAAAGTACATAAAAACTGTTTCTTCATGTGGCTTTACGTCACTGTTTGATTGCAGTCTAACAATTTATTTACACTGTTTCACATATGAAGACTTTTGGTTAGATTCCATAAATCTTCATTTTATAATAATTATAGTTTCTTGGAAGATAAGTCACTAGGTCAAATTTTGAGAAAAAAAATTCAAAGTGATTAAGGTGATTCACTAAATTGATCATCAAAAGAGTTGTCTGATTTACCATTAATTTTGCTTGTAAAGTGTTAGTTTTATTTTACAATATCCTCAACTATATTTAGAGCAATAGCCTCAATATTGTCAGAAAATATTAAAGTACTGCCTTATTGTAGTATGTGTTTTTCAATAGAAAGCTTGAACTTTATCCCAAATATTTTCATACTTATAATTCTGTTTTTAAAATATAATAAATCCTGTAATCATTAGCTAAGTATTGTTTTCTACTTTATACATTTCAAATAAAATTTTAAATAAAATAAATAAAATTTGTTATTTTACAGATACTCATCCTATTACATCAGAAAATTTTTCTTTTATATCGGAGATTTTTATTTATAGAGCATTTCAATTTTTAGAAAGTCTTGTCACCAGTCGTCTTTATTGATTTTTCCCCCTACCGATTCTAAACACAAGCAACTTTCTTCTTCATTGCTTGGTTAGGTAATAGGTTTTCCCCTTTTCTGAGTTTGTGTGTGTGTATGTGATCGCTGCTGTTGTCTACTTCTAACTTCTTTGGGCCTTTGAAATGAGGTAGCAGTCTAGTGGTTTTCTTTTCTATAATTGCTAAACAGCACCATTTTATGGTTACATTTGAGCTTTCTTAGCTGAGAAACCTAATTTCATTCTTGACTCTGAATTTCATCACAAATATCACTAAAATATGATGCTGTAATGATTAGAAAATGGGCTCAAAGCATAATCACTAAAATTAGTTGATCAGAAGTTCTGCAATTTTGAGTAGTTTTAGTAGTTGGTCCCCCTCATCAACTTTTTTATTCCATATCACATCTCTGAATTCATTTTGACAATGCTTCTTGATTTCAATCTCCTCATTAGATTTGCCTTTGCCTCAATATATTCATTAGTTTCCTTATAAAGTCTTACTTTTAAATGTGTTTCCTATCGAACTGAAATGATATGTTTTCAATATGAAACTCACACAGGTACTTATTCAAATTTAATATTGCCTTGAGGACTTTAATTCAATAACTTAGTTGATTGATTTTTCTAAAAGTATAGGATTATACAGTATCATATTGTTAATGTATTATTCTCATATCAGTATATAAAAAAACCATGAGCAAAAGCACACTCTACTCAATCTAATTACATTTCAAGGATTAATAGCTTATGATCAAATGAGTTCCTAAATATATTGATGATAAAAATGTCACTCTCACTTAACGGAATTTGTATGGAGAGCAAGAATAAAAATGTGCTCTCAAGACTTTACAATGCCTGTTTCATATTATAATCACAATATAAGTTGAGTTACATTGTGAACGTTACATTTACTTGATTGTTCAGCATTTTTCTCAAAGAAGGGCAAACTTTGATTGACCTGTTATTAACACATATCTGGGGACTCTTCTGTAATCTACTCTGTATTACCCATTTCATCATCAACTTATCCTTGGCAACTATCATGTGTAACTTTTGGCTTCTCTCCAATACTGTATAGGACAGTCTAACTAGTAACCAGATTATTATTCATCTCCCCCACTCCTTTCCCTGGAATTTTCTTTATCTTGCTTGAGTATGTTGAGTAGGAAGATTTCTGGAGAAATCATTAAAATGTTGAAACCTAAAAGGTTCTTTATACTTTCTTACAATGAAAACTTATTTTCAAAAAAAATTAACTTTTTATATGTGGGATAATTTGTTATTTCCTGGCTCTTTAATGCAAGTTAACACAATGAGATTAACTGCTAGCTCAGGTCAAGATTAGAATGAATGATATTTCTAATTGGTAAATCAGAAAAAGGAAAGGAAATGAGGACATATTTTGAGGACATATTTCACCTAAGAAAGTCTTGCGAAAGAGCAAGCCTCGGTGATCAATTAATGAAGATTGACAGAACAAAGGTTCTCCATTGGAATAAGTAAGATTATGGTAGAGGACATAAAGTGTAAACATGTTTAATAGAACTTTATTGTTAGCTAAGATGTCTTTTAAAATGTGATGTCTATAAACTTCAAATTATGTTATTAATAGTTCAAACCTGTGTCTCTAAATCTTGAGAATTCTTATGTGTGACAAAGAAGGAAGCCCTTTTAGCTGACTGGGCTTGAGGATCATACAAACTCGTTTTTCAGAAGAGTTGACAGTTTTATCTATTCTCACAGACATACTTAAAAATATATCTTTTTAAATTCTCAAATGTGCCAGTCATTAATGGTGAGTGAAAAGTAGTTAGAAATGGCATCTTTTTTCTTACAGCTTCATTATGAGCACTTTTGTGTAACTCCTACTGGTCTACAAGTTTCAGAGGGACATAGGGACCTTATTTTTAAAACCTACATGTCTTCATCTGTCTAAAGCTGTATAAACAATAATGAAGATCAATACTGAAACACGAGAATATGTGTTTTGGAAAAATGAAAAATTATTCTGTATGTTGCAATAGAGAGTAAGCTCCTACTGTTCAAAGTGAATGTGTGTGTATATGTGTGTAAACATATGAAGATCTGATCCTTTTCTGAGCATATCATTCTCAAAAGCACCATAGCTTAGTCAGTGAAAGTACATGGCCTTAGATTCTGACAGCCCCGCCAGCAAACCTCAACTCATTTGACAATTTTTGTTCCTAGTCGATTGCTATAAATTTTTATAAATTTGTAGTTGATTGCTATAAATTTTCAAGGCAATGCTACTTATTTGCACAATGGTAATATTTGTACTTCCTGAACAGAGTACTGGCATGCTATAAAATTAATATGATATAGATAGTACATGGTAGTTGCTCAACTGATGAAAGGAATTATTAAATATTACTTCAATGCCATAGGAAATACAGTAAATATCATAGTTGATGACATTTACAAATATGTTTATGGTTGTTTCACTCATATGTAAAATCTGTCCTCATTAAGATAACATTCTAAATGATAATACTTACTTCAAAAGTGTGTTGATAATTCAAATTGATCAAAATATCCACTCGTATGTTCTACCAGACACTGTACTATGTACTGGAATAATGTGAATATACAAACTAACATTCATGTGCTCTAAGTTTAAGTAATATAATTTGAGATATTCAAATACAGAAAAAATAAATCACTGAGAGAACCTGAAGAAGATAGTCATCCAGATAATGTGAATTTGGACCTAGAAGATGAGCATTTATGGTAGATCTTTAAAGATGAGAAAAATCATATTTGGTTTAGAATGGCAACAATTCAACATTTTAATATGGCCGGTATCAAAACGACAGTTCTAAATACATTTAAGATGAATGCCACTTATGAATTTATCAAAACTCTCCACATTTTACAATTTAGATACATGATGTATGATATATATTACAAATGCATATAGAAACAAAAGACTCTATTACTTCAAAAATATTTATCTGCATTAAAATTTGCCCATGGCATATAGTGGTTTACTCATTTTGATAAAGTTCTATATTATATAATTCTGACATCTATTAAACTTACAAAAACAAAGAGAAACATTGATCTAGTGCATATAACTATTGTGTGTGCATTTCTGTGCTCATATACCAGCATTAGGTACTATGAACTATCTGAAATCATGAGCATATTTATTTCTAATTCTTGTCACATATAAGGTCATTTTGACTGGGAGATTTTTTTTACCTCTCCCTATAAACCAGAGACATCAAAATGATCAAAGGATCAAAGAACATAACACCTAAGAGGTCACTGTGGCACAATTATGATTTTCTTTTAGAGGTGGCGTTTAAAATACTGTATTGCAATGACAAGAACCTCTTTTGACAGGGGAAGAAAATGCATAACACTAAGCAATTTTTGTGACAGCAACTTTAGCTAGAATATGAAGTCATTTTTTTTTCATTCTTAAGGTTACAATAACACATAGTTTTATTTGTAGAAATAAAAGCAAACTACCCAGGAATAGTTGGAAAGGTATGGGGAATGGAGTTCATAGACTTCCACCTAGCAGATAACAATTTTTTTGGTTGTTTATTTTAATGCAATTGGTTGTAATAAACTGCTACATTAAATGTGGGTTAAGTATAAACTAAGACAATACTTACTGCAATTTGATATACAACATCAGTGTAATAATATTCAAAATCAATAGCAGTGTAATAATATTCAAAATCAAATACTAGGTATTTAAAAGTAATTAAAATCAAATAATCTGCAAACTATCATAATTTAAATGAATTTAACAAGGCCACTCACTAGATAACAAAGTCAACATACTTTTGTAGCAACAGAACCTCTATATATTAGCAAAAAACAAATACAAAAAACACCTAAGAATAAATCTTATGAAAGACGTGCAAGAACACTTTGCTGAAAACCACAAAAATAGCTATAATAAACTTAACAAAAAACTTAAATGAAGAAATATACCATGTTAATGAATAGGAAGATTCAATATTGTAAAGATGTCAAGTGGCCTCCTGATTGGTCTACATATTTAATGAAATCTAATCAAACTCTAGCACTTTATTTCATTGAAATTGACTAGCTGACTCTAAAATGTTTTTTATTTCTTCCTTTCTCAATCTTTATGCCCTATTTCTTGCCAAATTGCTGTGGCTGCGCAATTCTATTAGGTCGTTCTCACACAGTTAATAAAGACATACCTGAGACTGGGTAATTTATAAAGGAAAAAAAGTAATTAAAATCATATTGTAATGTCAGAATTATCTTAAAATTTTATGAGGCAGTATGTTAGTATATAAAATATTGGATTTGCATTTATAAACGCCTAAGGATTTATTAGTATTTTTAAATAATATGTTTCTTGGTAAGTATTATTCATCAACATAAAATCTTCTGAATAGCCATAAAGGAGATGTATTTTGTTAATTGGAGAAAAAAAAAGCAAACAGCTGAGATTAGTAACTCTCACAGCATTTCACAAAAAGAAGAGGAATATAATTTTCCTTTTTGATAATAAACTAGTAACTAATTGGCACAAAAAATGAAAACAGTCTGGGGACCTGGTTACTTGTGGCAACAGAAAGTCATTCCATTCATATTTTCTGACAGCTGTGTAAACTACAGCTTTTATCACAAATACTGAAGAAAACATGAGACTACACAAAAGGCTCAGACTCTCTTTAAATCATTTAAATATTATTACCTCTTTGAAGCTTATGACCCACTTTGCTTTGTAAAACAGAACATGTTTGTGTAACAGAGAGAGAAAGAAAGAGAAAGAGAGCTTCATTGTCATAGATAGTTGTCATAGGATTACTACTCTAAATCTTCACCTGTTAACATACCTATGTCCTACGCCATGTGATGTGACCCTGGAGTTCCTTCCACTAGAGACTGGATTTACTTCCCACCACTTGACTTCAAACCCACTGAGGTAACGTGCTTTATCCATTGAAATATTAGCAAAACTGTAACAAGCATATTTTAAGGCAGGTTTTTGTTGTATCTTCCTGCTCTTGCCATGAGAATGAAACAGCTTGGAACACCACTTCTACAAGAAGAATGAAAATCATAAGGAGTAGATGTAAATCAACACCGAGAATCATCTATATCACCCAAACACAAGCCAAACAAAGTATGTGTGAGCAACATAAATAATTGCTGATTATTTTTTAGGCTATAGAGTTTTGTTCTGATTTTGTTGTGACGTATTACGGCAATAGCGAACTGAGATATAAACAAATTAATATATATACAGAAATAATCGCCAGAAAATAGAAATTATTTTTATGCCTTACCTTTTCAAACAGCTTGAGATTTAATCCACACAGCACCCAATTCAACCAGTTAAAGTGTGAAATTTAATGGCTTTTAGCATATTCATAGAGTTGTGCCATCTTCACCACAACCAATATTTGAACATTTTCAACACGTCCCAAAATATTGTGTGTCTTCACACTCACTCCTCTTTTCTGCCCCAATCTTATCCACCTCAACCATAAGGAACTACTAATCTATATTCATTGCAACTCTGCAATAGATGTAAATAAATTTCGTATTTTATCAGACTTCTCTTGTCCTTTAAATAAAAAGTCACTCTATTGAGAGATACTTCAGATACCATAGAATTCAGACATTTAATGTGTAAAATTCTATGGTCTTTAGTAGAGTCACAAAGTTGTGCAATTCCCACCATAATCTATTTCTGGAAAATTGTTATTGCCCCCAAATGAAACCATGTGATTAATTAGAAGCCACTGTTTATTTGCCTATTCTGAACATTTCCTATAAATACATCACACAATATGTTGTATTTGGGGTATTTGGTGACTCTTTTCTGTTACTTGGCACACACTTTCAAGGTTTATCCATTTTACTGCATGTATCAGTATTTCAACATTTTTATTGCCAGTAATATTCCATTGTATGGATATACAGCATTTTATTTATCCATTTGAATATTCATTGAACAATGGAGTTTAATATATTTTATATACTAAATCAATAAAGTTAAAATCAACCCACAGAATGGGTGATTTGTAAATCATATATATGATAAGTAACATATCTAGATTATATAAAATATTCTTTTTTTTTATTTTATTTTATTTTTTTTTGAGACGGAGTCTCGCTCTGTCGCCCAGGCTGGAGTGCAGTGGCGGGATCTCGGCTCACTGCAAGCTCCGCCTCCCGGGTTCACGCCATTCTCCTGCCTCAGCCTCCCAAGTAGCTGGGACCACAGGCGCCCGCCACTACGCCCGGCTAATTTTTTGTATTTTTAGTAGAGACGGGGTTTCACCGTTTTAGCCGGGATGGTCTCGATCTCCTGACCTCGTGATCCGCCCGCCTCGGCCTCCCAAAGTGCTGGGATTACAGGCGTGAGCCACCGCGCCCGGCCTATAAAATATTCTTATAACTCAATAATAAAAAAGACAAATAGACTGGGCGCAGTGTCTCATCCCTGTAATCCCAGTACTTTGGGAGGCCGAGTTGGGCAGATCACGAGGTCAGGAGACCGAGACCATCCTGGCCAACATGGTGGAACCCCGTCACTACTAAAATACAAAAAATTAGCCAGCCGTGGTCGTGTGCGCCTGTAGTCCCAGCTACTCCGGAGGCTGAGGCAGGAGAATCGCTTGAACAGGGGAGGCAGAGATTGCAATGAGCCGAGATGGCGCCACTGCATTCCAGCCTGGCGACAGAGCGAGACTCTGTCTCAGGAGGAAAAAAAAAAAAAAAAAAGGACAAATAACCTACTTATTTACTTATTAGGATAAATAATTGAATTTAGCAATAATTAATAATAATTATCTGTAGATTCCTTCGTATTTTCTGTATACACAATCATATTTCTAGAAATAATAGCACATATGTCTTTCTAACCATTATTTATTTTATTTCCTCTTCTAGACTGATATTGTGAGCTAGATCCTCTAACACCATGATGACTAGAACTGGTAATTGACTTTTCTTGTTTGCAATTTCAGTATTCCACAATTCTGTAGAGAGTGGCAGCAAATCTTATTGAATTAATTTCCATTGTCTTCTAAATGAGCATTGGGCTTTTCAAATACTTAGTACATTGATAATATCACATTATTTTTCTACCTCATTTAATGTGGCAAATTCTATATAATACTTATAAAATGCTAAAACAAATATACTTTTTTAGCAAAAATGTAATTTGGTTAAGAGGGATCTTCCTTCCTAAACAATGTTTGATTCAATTGGTTGACTGTTTTCAAGACATTCACATCTATATTTATGAGAGATATCAATCTATAATTGTTTTATCAAAATATTCTTGCCTGACTCACTTGAAGAATATAATTGTCATTTTTTATAATAGAAAATGTAGAAGCATATGAGAAGTTTCTTTGTAGGCTTCTTAAGTCAAAGATTATTTCCCATCCAAGGGATTATGTCAAGTAGACAATTGTAAGGATGAGTCTGAAGTTCAGTCATGACCAGGCTTCATTGTTTGAAATTGCTTTGGAGTATACGGGATGGGTAGATATTTATAGTGTTTAAAACCAGAAGACTCAGTTCACTCACCTAAAGAAGAAGCATAGAAAGAAAATACAGCTAAAGATACATCCCTAATACTATCAAATTTAAAGTTTAATGAAAGGAAGAGGAACAATAAAAGGAATTGCCAGTATTCCCCTGAAAACAGAGAGAGAATGGAGACCTGGAAGCCAAAGGAAGAAAGAGGCACATGCTTCTGAGAGGCCCATTTGCTTGAGAACTGAGGACTGCAAATTGCTCGGGGAACTGGCAGTATCCAGGTGAGTGATAAATGTGAAGAAAGCTGTTGAAATGCAGTGGTAGAGAGTAGAGCAGAACATCCAATTAGATTTTGGTCTAAGGGATGTTAGAGAGAAACTAAAGAAATTGGGTACACAAAATATTTTGGAGGAGTTTTCCTTTACAGTTGAGGAGCGAAATGTGAGATACCTGGAGGAGGATCTGGAGATAACGATGGCTTTGATTTGGTTTTTGTTTTTATGACTTCAGTTAACATAACATATATGTATCTGTATGCCAGTGATTCAGTACACTGGGAAAACTGCGTGAGTGGGGAAAGAGGGGCAATTTTTAGTATGACATCTTTGAGTACTAAAGAGTAGATGGGATATAGAGAAAGCGGTAAGTAAAAAGTCAGTTTTACATAGTATTCAACTCATTCCTAAATTCTACATTATCTGAGCTGTGCTTGATATTATATCCTAAATTCAGTCAGAGACAGCCTGTGAAACATCTCTGTAATTTCTGTTTCTGCTGAAGACATTGACGATGGTATGTCTCACTTCTTTCTGTATGTGACCTATATTTATTCCAAAATTTATTATTGAAAGGAAAAGTTTTGAATAATTTGTTTGTCCTTATTTTTCTCTGAAATCTTCGAAGAAAAGCTTATTATATGTGAGATCATATTTTTAAAAAACTGTCAAAATAAATAATATTTAATTTATTTATTTTAATAGATTTTATTCTTTTATATTTTAATAGATTAAATTAGACAGATATATTTTAAGCACATGTAAGCTGTATAATTAAATACATGGTGAGGTAGAATTCTATTGAATAGTATTATCTAATTAGAGAACAAAATGAAATATGATACAGATACTTTACTATCAAGAAATAATTTTACCATTTTCTCAAATTGACCTTATATTTATAAATATGTTTCCTAATGACTATAAATGAGTGAATTATTGTTTTTATGTTCATTATAACAATCATTGTTACCCAGTCATTACTGTCATGGGTAATATGGGATAGTCATGAGATTGTCATTATTGTCATGGGATGGGTAGACATTTATAGTGTTTAAAGCCGGAAGACTTAGTTCACTCACCTAACGAAGAAGCATAGAAAGAAAATACAACTAAAGATGCATCCTTAATACTATAAAATTTAAAGTTTAATGAAAGGAAGAGGAACAATGAAAGGAATTGCCAGTATTCCCCTGAAAACAGAGAGAGAATGGAGCTTATTGTCATGGGGCTTACAGTCCAATGGATTCTTCCATGGACTGTTACAAGGACATTCCATGGAATGTTATAGGGACAGTGATAGTGGCATGTACAAAACCCTAAGGGAGCACAGGGCAGACTAATATATATTACTCTGCGTTGGATAAGGGAAGGCTTCCAAGATAAGTGCTTATAAGCCTACATTTTGAAGAATGAGTGTACAATAATTTAAGTAAATAAGGTAATGTAAGAGCAAGTGACAAAGAGAATGTTTTTATATTTTCTAAAAATAACAATTGCATAAATAAAAACATTTTAACCAAATTACTCATAAGTAAAGAAATAAAAGAACCTCAAATTAATGCTATGAAATTTTAAATATATATGATTTTATTTTCATGATCAGAAAGTGCATAGAAATTGCAAGGAAAAAGTTGGAGAATCATATACCCCCTAAAAGAATGCAGGCACTATATAGGAAGAGAACACTAAAGTTTGGCAGTATTAAATACGTTATGTGTATTTAATAGAAATTATTTCTCCTTATAAAAACTCATTCAGTTTTACCCAGAGATTTCTAAAACTTATTTTAAAATAAAAAGTTTTATATTTATCTTGTTTAAATAAGAGAGAACTTTTTAATGTTTCATCTTATGCAAACTTTCTATTATAATTTATTTGTTATAATAATTTGTTGGGTACTCTATAATTCAAGTCAGGTAATATGCTAGATGTTCAAAGAATATAGAAATGAGTAACAGACAACTGCTATTAAGGAGTTTAAAAAGTGTGTGTTTTTGTGTGTGTGTGTGTGTCTGCACACACACACACACACAGAAAATTCACAGGTATATATTATATTCATTAATTCTTCCAAGCTAGGCTACGAATAGGCTTTTTTAACCCACATTACTTTGTGCATTTATAGAATAATGTAGGGAAATCCAGAAGAGGCTTCATAAAGAAAAGACAATTTAAGACTGATCTTGCAGATTTGATTTTGACAAGCAATGACTGGGGTTGGGGTAGAGGAAAGGGCATTCTGTTGATTGGATTCATGCGATTAAAGTCACAATGATGGGGTGGGGCAGATGTCTTCTGTAACCAGAAAGTCAAATTTTGCTAGTAATTAAATCATGTGGATTGTCAAGTATGTAATCTCTATGCCAAATATGTTGTATTGTTTCTATACTTCTATTCACTCATTAATTCCACAAACATTTATTGATCTTCTATTACATTCCAGAAAGGACAGCACAATTTATGGATACAAAAGTAAAGGAAACATAACCTATAGCAAATAAATATATTTTAATAGGAAAAATGACACATAAACAACTGCAGTATCATGTGATAATTAGTATACAATAACAATATTGCAAGTGAAAGTAGCACATAATTAGAGGAATGGGGAAGGTGGTATGGGAAAACCCATCCTGAGTTTTGGTTCTGAAATTTAAATACCACCTTATTGATAGAATAAACGTTTCTCTGTTAACTACAGGACTATACTGGAAAACAGGTTGAACTGGTCAAAAATCTACAATTTAAATTCTGGCTTGTTTATTTATTATTTCCTAAATGAACTCAGCCAACAGAGCTGACTGACAGATGAAGCGGTCCAAGAGTTTTGATTTTCTTAAGTCAGTAATTGGAATCTTAGCAGTATGTGGTTAACAAAACCACACATTATCCAAAGTAGGTAGATTTACCTGTTCACAGAATCTCTGAGGGCATTGTAAATATTATCCAGAAACGTCCACTACCTTTAATTGCATCACACATGACATTTATGGTTTCAAAAGTTTTGGAGCAGCATTAATTTTAATCTCTATGGTTTGAAATTGCACGAGAAAATCAATAGAGCTTGTTTTATGACAGTTCAAATATTGCAGTTTTGGACATTGAATATTAGGTCTGTTTTAAATATTCTTTTCATATTAATTAATACTAAAAATTATACTTGTTTTTCTGTCAATGCCATAATATTGTAACAACATTTTTATTAGTTTTTAGGAGCTTAAATATTAATGCAAATGAATTCATTTAAAATTGTATATGATAATATACTATAAAATAATTAAGTTATAATATACTTCGACTAATTTTATATTTCTAATTCATGTCCTAGAAATATCCTTTTATGGAGTCACTTTGTATTGAAAAACTTTCTACATTTATATCTATTATGAGCCTGTAATATCTATATTTTATCTCAAAAATGTTATATTAAAAATTACATTTTTATGTTTGAAAACCTATAGAATATGTTTTGTCTCCAAGGCATCACTTCTATTATGCATATTTTAATATTCATCACTTAAATTTATGCAAGTTATTTTCTCACTACACTTTACAACTCATTAATACTGACTTTAAAATAAATAGAAATAGGAAATTACCAAGATAGCCTCAGAATAAGTATATTCACAAAATATTACAATTAGCACTATATCTCACTAACTTATGCAAAATATAATGTATTTATTGTTAGTATTTCATTGTTTTTAGTAATATAATGATGAATTACACAAACTTCTATCAAAACAAATTTTGTTTTGTCATTGTTACTCCTAAAAGATAAATCCTCCCAGTTAGATCTTTATAAATTGGTGGATTATTTTACTGTTTTTTAGTACATTTCTGCAAAGGAGGCACATTTTAACTGACTGCCTCTTACTTTCAAAGTTTTCTACCTACTAAAAAAAGTTTACATCTCTCTGTTTTGGTACAAATGTCCCTGGAGATCCCCTGCAACATTTGATCAGCTTGGTCCCTAACCAAAAGGTGACATGAAGGACATTTGTGTCGTTACTTCACTTTTTCACCCATGGGGCATAAAAAGAGCAATACAAATCCAATTTCCAACCGTATTCAATTGTGAGAATAAAGTGAAATAATATTTGAAAGTGCTTTGAAAACTATAAAGCACTGTGACAATATAAAGCATTGTTATTGGTATTAGGTAAAGGACATTTTTCAGTCTTTGTTACATTTCCCTTCATCCTGAAAGTTGTTACTTTACATTGTATTCTCACTACCTCTGATTTCTATTCCTCACTAAAACTGTTCATCAAATTCAGGGCAAGTTTCAGAGAAACAACCACAATCATTGGGCTCCTTTAATTTCAGTTTTAGATGCAGAATTTACAGAAGTTCTGCATATATCCATAGACAAATTTGAGCAGAGATTCAATGGACTTTACTCAATTTGATTCAATGATCAATTTGACTTGGCAGGCGCAACAGAATGTATGTAGCAGTATCACCTGGGTGTTTGCTATAACAGCTTCCTGGTGCCCCTACTAAATCTAAAATCTAGTAAATCGAAATTTTAGGAGATGAGGCCAAATAATGTACATTTCTTTTCTTTTTTTAGATGGATGGAGTCTTGCTCTGTCACTAGGCTGGAGTGCAGTGGTGCGATCTCGGCTCACTGCAACCTCCACCTCCCAGGTTCAAGCAATTCTCCTGCCTCAGCCTCCCGAGTAGCTGGAACTGCAGGCACACGCCCAGCTAATTTTTGTATTTTTAGTGGAGATGGGGTTTCACCATTTGGCCAGGATGGTCTTGATCTCCTCACCTCGTAATCTGCCCACTTCAGCTTCCCAAAGTGCTGGGATTACAGGCGTGAGCCACAGTGCCCAGTCAATAATCCAATAATGTATATTTCTTAAGGTCCCTACGTGATGTTTATTATACTAAGTATAAGAACGCTTGTTCTGTGGAAAGCTAGTATAGGATAGTATGATAATAGTGTGTAGTACAAGCCCAGATTTTAAGTAAATTGTAGCTATATTCTGGTTTTATACATATATATATATATATATATATATATATATATATAAATTTTTTTTTTTAGATGGATTCTCGCTCTGCAGCTCAGGCTGGAGTGCAGCGGCGCGATCTCGGCTCACTGCAACCTCCGCCTCCCGGGTTCACGTCATTCTCCTGCCTCAGCCTCCTGAGTAGCTGTGACTACAGGCGCCCAGCAGCACGCCAGACTAATTTTTGTATTTTTAGTAGAGATGGGGTTTCACCGTGTTAGTCAGGATGGTCTCGGTCAAACATATTTTTAAGGAAAAAATATATTATACATTTTTTGGTTTCATGATTAAAGGGCTCAAAGCTTTTTCATTGAAATCATATTTTAACATTAATTAAATGAGTTACAAATTTATCCAGTTTTTCTTATTTTTCTTATTTGAAACATAGGTGATGTACCAATTTATATTTGAGTGCCATATTTTAAATGTTACCTAATAACAGTGGATATAGAATAGGTGAATAGTAAAAGCCTAAGATGCTACAGCCAGATAGATGTGGAGTATCATTTTAGTAGTAGTATCCAATACCTATGTCTACTCATGATATAGATTAAACCTGGAAATCATTTTTCCTCACAAAAGCTAGAGCAGAAGGAATCTGTGTGTTTTCCACCCTGCCTCAACACCCAGCAGAGATACACGATGACAAAATTCAGGAATTAGGTGCTATAGACAATTAGTGAGAAAGCTTAAAATTCAAGGCATTAGTTGAGGTGTGGTTACAGAATCAGAACCACTTAAAATGATAAGGAATAAGAAATCTACTGGAGGTACGATACCCTATATCATTGTAGGGTCTGTTCAAGTAGTCTGTATAAAGATGTTGCTTTTTGGTCGGTTGTTGGGTCTGAAACAAGCAGGACCAACAGCTGAGAAGTTGAACATAAAACGTTGAATAATAAGGACTCACTGGCCCTAACGATGACAATCTGAAACTGAAAAGAACAAACTGAAATATGCATCTGTTACCATCTACAATTTCAGTGGCATAGTTGATCCATGAATTAAATTGGCACTCTTCACCAAGGAGTCACCATTGTGTTTGGCCCATGATTTTAGAAGAGTTGAAGAAGGAGATCTGGTGGGAGTTATGGAGTTATGAACATGGCTGCTACTCCACAGCAAGTCACTCAGCGGATGAATGACAATGCGTGGGAACTGCAATAGCACTTGGCTTTCACTAACCCTCAGAAAGTAAAAATGCACTACTTCACTTCTGCCTTTCCAAATCTTATGTAAACTGCTGTTTGATCAATTCTAATTTAGAGCCATGTGAGGAAGAAAAATCACATTTATGTTTAACACGATGCTATTCACCTACATATAACCACAAACACAAACACCCCTCCCAAGAATAATACAAATTCCTATTTTTTCCCTAAATGATAATAAAATGTTCACTCTTCTGCTAGCTGAATTACCTTCTCTCTTGTAATAACCTGTAACTTAAATGGTAGATATAAAATTACCTGAAAATTACATTTATTAACTAGTAGAACAAAACAAAAGATAAATAGAAAGTAGTATATTAGTATATATACAAATACATTCTGATCAAAATAAGGAAGATATATTCATAGCAATTGCATTCCTCATTTCTGCAACTGGACACATTGTCACAGTTTATATTTTTAAAGGTGTCCGTTATTAACTACTCAATACACATTTCTTTCCCCTTAGCAAGTAATTCAGGTGGTCATGGATGCTTGCTTGGTGGACTTGCCCAAAGCTTCGGTCCTGAGGAACCTGGGTCATTATCTGCACTCTTAACTTTGGGTTGTTGTAGATTTCCATTTTCTGTAATCACAGGACATGGTAGTATTTATTAGTTTGGTGCAAAAGTGATTGTGGTTTTCACTATTACTTTTTATTTTTGGCGAGGAGGGGGACAGAGTCTCACTCTGTCACCCAGGCTGGAATGCAGTGGTACAATTTCGGCTCACTGCAACCTCTGCCTCCAGGGTTCAAGCGATTCTCGTGTCTCAGGCTCCCGAGTAGCTAGGACTACAAGCGCATGCCACCACACCCGGCTAATTTTTATGTTTTTAGTAGAGACGGGGTTACCCCAAGTTGTCCAGGCTGGTCTCCAGCTCCTGATCGCAGGTGATCCACCAGCTTCGGCCTCCCGAAGTGCTGGGATTACAGACGTGAGCCACCATACCAGACCGGTTTTTGCAATTACTTTTGCACTAGTAATAGGGCAGATCACAAGGTAAGGAGATCGAGACCAGACTGGCCAATAGGGTGAAACCCCTTCTTTACTAAAAATACAAAAATTAGCTGGGAGTAATGGTGGGAGCCTGTAGTCCTGGCTACTCGGGAGGCTGAGGCAGGAGAATCGCTAATCACTTGAACTTGTGAGGCAGAGGTTGCAGTGAACTGAAATCGCACCACTCAGCCTGGGCAATAGAGCGAGAATCTGTCTAAAAAAAAAAAAGAATAAAAGAAATACTGAATGGATCTTCTGAATGCCAGACGTAGTCCTCCTCACCTCCACTGAGCAGTCACAACCCAGTTTTCACTTTAGTTGGGATAAGTCACTCTATCTATGCTGAGGTAATCATTTTGCCTGTTGATGCATTGGAATGGGGAGGCAAAAGTGGCCAGATATAGTGTCTTGACTTCAAGTTTAATGGAACCCTTGCTGGACCCATTGATGGGACAATTTCTTTTTTGAAACTTAGATCTTTAGAGTGACAGACTTGAGGTGAGATCAATAAGGCCAATGGTAAAAGAAAGTACTCCAATTTCTACTCCTGATACATGGACATCTGAATCTTGGCTCTAGGATAAACAGTGCTTATATTGGGACTAATTTTGAATATCATCCTGGAGGGCATTAGCTCATTTCAGCCAGTTTTAGCCACCCTGCTTGTGTATAATTAATATGAAAAATGGCAGTCCGCCGTTTTACTGGGACAGTTACCTTATGGTAATGGGAACATTGTAAAACCAGTGAACAACATAATTATCAAGTTTATTGTCACACTTCACCTGATGAGATATTAATTCTTTGATCAGAAATTTTGCTGTGTGTAATACTAAGATATTGAATGAGGTGTTTTGTAAGTCCAATAACTGGTTTTAACAGAAAGTTTGGGTCAGAGGAGGCACATCCAAGAGCAAAGTAATTGCCTATTCCAGAGAGAATGATCCGCTGTCCCTTCTGTGATAGAGTTGCTCTACCAGGATCAACCTGCCAAGAGGAAGCTGGCTGACCCCACTTGATAATAGTATGATATGGACTCAGTCAGGGTTGTTTCCTGATACTGACAAGCTGAGCACAGATCAGTGGATTTAGCTAGGGAGGCCTTGAAGATTATAAGGCATTTTGCTCAGTCTATATATAACGTTTACCTCTGACAGCATGGCTATTTTGTGTCTGAACCAATTAGGCAATAAAAGAGAGGACCGGAAAAAGTCTGATTGTCATCCCCAGGGTGATTTATCTTGTTTATTTGTTCTTCCTTCTCTGCTGAAGTCATTCTTTCCTGAGTATTTACACAGAACACAAATATTTGGATAGTCTGCACCCATTCTGAATGGTATGTGCCCATTCCTCTTTACTAGATCGTCTTTTTACCAAGTATTCTCTCTAAGTCATTGCCCATCAATTAGATCTACACCTCTGGCCATCTTTCCTTCCAGGTAAAATGTGCAACCAGATATACTGACCAAACTTCTGTCTTCTGAGAGGGATAAGCTGGTGCCCATCATTATGGAGCCATGCACAGGCCTGGCTCAGAGTTCACATATGCTGATAAAGAATATCTGGCAGTTCAGGAGAATTTGCAGACCAGCTGCTGCCCTACACCAACAAGGATGGCTAGCAGATCAGTGATAATGTGTAAGTCAAAGGCACTTGGCATAACACTTACCTTTAGAGCATAAAGTGACTGCTTTTCCAGTTCTGCCTTGGAAATTTCAGAAATTTATCTCATGGAAAACTTCTCTTGGAAATATTCAGGGAAGATAATTCTGGGAAATTCAGGTAAAGTTCAGTGCCTTGCCAGTATAGAATTGGAAGCTTCAGTTTCTTGCTTGTTACAGGTCAGAGGCTGTCCTCAGCTCCAAGAGGCTGCTCACATTTTGTTTGCTAAGGTATGTTCCCAAACATAGGCATTTGCTTATGTAAAGCCCATAAGGGAGAGAGAGCAAGATAGTGAGAAAGTAAGACAGAGAGAGAGACTCTCCAGTAAAACGGGCATTACATTCTTTCTCATGTAACATAATCAAATCACACAAACACACACACACACACACACACACACACACACACACACACATAATTATGTATATTCTGCCATATTCTGTTGTAAGGAGTGGGGATCACAGAAGGGCATCAATACCAGGAGTGAGAGATCATCAGTCCTCCGTCAGAGTGTGTCTGCCACATCAAGGTAGTTCCACTATTGTATAATAATAACTAAAGACCACCATGACTCAACTGTTATACAAATTTGAAGACCACTAATAACATTCTTAGGTGCTCAAACCAAAATATTAAATCTTTAATCCTGAAGAAGTGCTTCCATATCAGTAAATATAGCCCAATGAAGCTTTATATTTGATCTGTTGTGATGCTATACCCTTCGACTCTGCCCCCACACACAGACATTCCAGACTTTTCCCGTTACTGTCAGGGGAAGTATTTTACATGTTGTGTGAATAAACATAAAAACAGGTAAGGCTACTCAAGCATATGGGACTATTTGATACAGAGACTATCTTCCCCTGGAGCAGGCCATAGACTTTCTTGACTGAGCTGTGCTAATAACTAACTCTTGTTATAGGTAGGTCTGAGCACAAAGGGAAATAGTGAAGTTCAATTTTGAAGAAATTTAGCATCAGCTTGTGAAGGTATCTGTCCTAGGGTTACCTTTGAGATAATTTTATTAATTTGTTTAAGTAGCAGGTAAGTAATCAATTAATATGTTTGTTTTAATTAATGTCAGAGATATTTAAAACTAAAATAATATACAGAAAATGGCTTCCTTTCCCACTAGGGTGTTCAGTGATATTTGTTGATTGAAACTTCTCAATTATGTGTCTCTCATTTGAGAACTCTATTCTTTACTGCTACTGTCTCTATGTTGCCTGGAAATGTTAAGATATAATTCTGTGATTCTCAAAATTAAGTTTTAGACTTTGTAATCACTCACTTTTTTTGGTAAATATTAGAAATGTTTGCACTTTTACATTTTTTATTATTTCTTATATTTTTTTTGGCCGGGGGGACAGGGTCTTTCTCTGCTGCACAGGCTGGAGTGCAGTGGCATGATCTTGGCTTACTGCAGCCTCAGCCTCCCAGGCTCAAGTAATCCTCCCACCTCAGCCTCCCGGGTAGCTGGGATAACAGGCATCCACTACCACAGCAGGGTAATTTTTGTATTTTTTGTAGAGTTGGAGTTGTGCCATGTTGCCCAGGCTGGTCTCAAACACGTGAGCTCAAGTGATCTGCCTACCTCAGCCTCCCAAGGTGTTGGCATTACAGGCATGAGCCACTGCGCCTGGCCAGGATGCACTTTTTAAAAAGTGCCATGGAAGCTTTCTGATTTTTCTTTTACTCTGATTTCTGCATTCAGATTTCAGTGTTTCCTTTTATTTCTAAGGCAATTAGAAGAAACAAACTGATGACAAAGTCTTCATCAAGTCTGTTTTAGTGTTGTCTCCACGTACTAGAACCATTTTTTCTATTAAGACCCTGCCTTCAATCTGGATTTTATCATACAACAGCGTAGACAAACAGTTTTAGGAACCTTGATATTACTGAATGACACAGATTACTGGAATTTTATTTACAGATAGCAAGGAGGTTTTTCCATGTCAATCAAAATTTTTAAATTGCATTTCAAAGACATGTTTTTCAAAGTCAATTCTTGCATTACCATGATTGCTTCAGAAAAGAAGCACATACTGAAATTGAAAAGGTAAAGAGTTTAAGAAAGAGATAATTTACATAGCTGTGGAAATCTTTAAGGACACCAAAAAAAAGCTCAGAAAAATAGTGTCACTATCAGAGAGGAAGTATTACCATCCCTAGGCCTAGAACAGTTCTCAAAAGAGAGGATTTTGCCTGGATGAGACATGTAGTATCTAGACATTTTTTAATGTACAGTTGGTGGGGAGGATTGTACTACTGAAGTATGATCTGTAATGGCCAAGGATGTTGCTAAACATCCTACAACGCACAGAACAGCTTCTCCCAGAGCAAAGAATTACCTGTTCAAAAATGTCAATAATGCCAAGTTTGAGATAACGTGGCATAAGAAGATAAAAGTTAGGGAAGCCTAATTTAAGAAATTTGAGAAGAGTACCTCTAGCAAGGAATGCCTGAAATTATGCAAGTATTTCAAAATTAACTGGCAGAACAAGAGTGAAGGGAATAAAATCTCGATACATTTTTTCCATTGCTTTTCTATTCCTTGCCTATGACTCCAGATAGGAGAACTCAATTGTATATTATATAACAAGGAAGCTGTGTTGACATTGTTCATAGAGTTTAGCCTCTTGAGAAACAGATGATAATGAGGTCAGGTGGAGGATGAATCTGGAGTGGCAAAATGGAAGAAATTTACTTTATTAATATGGCTTTAGAGTATACATATCTATCGAGGAAAGGAGTATAAATAGAAAAACAAATAGATGACAGGATAAGATTTTGAGGAATAATATATAAGTGGAGAGTAAACTGAACTTTACAAAATATCAAATAGTTAAGCGAAGATATGCAAGGAAATCCAAAATACTTTTTCTAATGCCAAAACCACAAATCTAGATGGGTAGTCCAAATGAAAAACAACATGTTTCACTTTTCTTTCTTTTTTTGCCTTTTTTTTCTTAAATTTGGCTGTGTGTATACACTACCCAACACCCTCAGACATTTTGCCTTGCGTAGACATTTGGTTTCCTATAAATCAGTAGCTTTCAAATTGTTTTCACTGGATAGCAAAACACTCTTTACGGAATACTCAAATCACATTCCCCCAAAAACAAATGAAAGCAAAATCAGCATAAAGAAAATATATCTTTAGGCTAAATATTTTTTAAATAGAGCACTCACATTATTTTCATTTTTCTCTCCTTGGCCAAGAGTTTTAAAAACATGGAGAATCATCATATGAATGACATCTAAGTAGAACACTTGCGGCTTTTGAGTCTTATCTCTTTGGAAGCACTGAATGTGCCATGAATATATGATGAAGGGAAATAACTGTTTGCAAAACAAATTTTCTTTCTATATGCACACTTTGAGAGTAATAAAGCAACTATGAAAACTAAAAATATGAGGACCTTAGGTCATTAAAAAATGCTGTGACAATAACATAAACACATGTTTTCAATAACCCAAAATTACAGGCACTATTTCAAAATCAACTTTATTAATGTTTCAGTATATCAGTTTTGTGTTATGTGCACACACTTTGCATTTGCTTATGACATTGAGCAATTTTAGTTAAATCATTTCATTTATATGCATGTCCACCATTTACTTGCAAATGTGAACTGAGGTGTCTTATGAACATCTGAAGTCTGTATTTAGGGAAAAATAACATCTGTTTAAAAGAGAAGCTTCACAAATGCTTCAAGGGATTTAAGATTAGACCATTTTGTGGTCTTTGCAGAGTCAACAGTTAAAATATATGCGTGCATATGTGGGATATTTTGTATCTTGTTTTAATGTCAAAGAAGGAGAGCGCAAGAGAAAGAGACAGAGAAGCTCTTGAAAAAAGGAAAAATTATATTTGTTTGCAGATTCTGGTTTGTTATTCATAATGTATACATAATGGTAACTAGGAAGCACTGAGACATAAAAAGAATACTTAGATTTACACAATTAACAGTTATTAGAAATTATTTAAGACTTCATATTTGTAGATATCTTTAATGAGACTAATTCACCAAGGAACACACCCTTATCATTTTGATTGTGCTGTTAATTTAGGGTGTCTCTATAAACTCAACTATAGTAAATTTTTCCAGGAATTCTTGCTCAGGAAGAATAAACTGTAAACCAGTAAATAACTTCATTGCTTGTGTTGGAAACTGCTTAAAAGTCAATTTATCTAACTGTTCAAATAGCCACATGCTTATGACAACAGATTGATGGTGTGGAAAAACAGCATACATCTCATAATAACAGATCTTTTAACTGGGCAAACCTTTTACTGATCAAAACCAGTTTACACATCAAGATTCACTTTAAGCTTCTCTCAGCACTGTGTCCACTCATCATAGACTCTTACTAGGAATTTTTGGCCAACCATAATCAGATCCCCAAATTAGAACACTTGACTAAAACCACTCTTACACAGAACCCCAAACTCTGTAATACATGTTGATATTCCCTTTCTGAGTCACTGAAACACTCCATTTAGGTGATGCTCGTCTTTATTGCAGGAGGCAAGAAACCCAGTTTTGCTTGATCAATAGGTTATTCTAGTCATCTCTTGGGGATTCAATAGTTGAAACAGACAAGGTAGTGTATTATACTATAGAGCAGAGTTTACACATATTTTCTATATGGCTATCTATTTTTTGTTTTTTGGTTATCAATGCTTTTCATAGACATTAGAAAACCATCAGTTACACATCATTGAATTATTAATTTAAAAATTAGGAATAAATTCTACCCATCTTCAGTAGATTTCAAAATTGGGAAAATCATGCATATGTTTGCATTTTCCTTAGGGAAGTCAAACAAATGTTACTTACATTTAGGTACAATTAAATTATAAAACTTGAAAAATGGTCACAAGAAATTCTGGTGTATTATGACCCATTTAAGGTTCAGTGGGAAATAGTCACCACTGTCAAGCATGTAGGAAACTCTGCTTCACACCTAGTTTCTGGGAAACAACATGAAGATCCAAGAAACAGAAAAAAAAAAGTATGAATATATAGGCATTAAAGCCACCTTTACAAAGAATGAACTTTAGAGAAGCAATTTGGCATGCATAAATGGCCTTGGGTCAGGTTTGAAGTGATCAAATTACACTTAAAATGTGTGTTAACAATGTGAGATTATAGGATGCCCCATGACATTTGACCAGGGCAGCCTAGTATTTCTGTGAGCATGACTTAACTTTACTGTTCTTTTCCTGAATAAGGTCCTCTACCTCCCTTTCCTTAGAGCACTAACTTTAGATAATTTTGAGCTGTAACTTTTTTCTTTTCTGCTTTGTGATGTAAATCTACTTCTAGCTTCTGGTCAATTTCAAAACCCAGGAATGTCTTTCTCAAGGGCCTGAGAACCATCCCTGTGAAATGTAATCAGCAAGGCTATCTCCAGCTTTCTATGGTTGGATAGAAGCCCAATTTCTGTAAGCAACAATTGGCAATTACTAATGAGCCAGGCACAGAGAAAAACATTGGTAAACTCAGAATTAATGGCGAAATTAACAGCAAATCAGTGTTTTTCTTTTGCTTATAAAATTCTGTAAGAGGAGACTTTTGAAAACACATGTAAACAGTAGAAAATCAAAGCTGTTTTATGCATCATAGAACATTAAAAAAATCTCAAACTCCATTAAATTCTAAAAAAACTGTTTACTCATGAATCAATAGATCCAATAGATCAATAGGAGATAGTAGATGGAGGGCTTGAATTGTATAACATTACATACAATTTTGCTGTGAATATATTTCCCTCTTTCCAAATTTCCCCTGAATGTCCCATATTCTTCTTTGACTGTCCTGAAGGTCATTCTCTCAATTCTCTCTTTCCAGGATCTGTTTCTCACACCTATACTCATTACCCTCATCTTCTTAAGAATAATTATTGAAGGAGTTCTAGTTCTTTCTTATGTAAATTTAAGAGTTAGCCATATTGCCTTTTCTTTATTTTACTGATCAGACCAACGATGGTGTAAGAGTAAGATACACAAAACAACCATGTAAGGAAGACTTTGGACTCACAACACTGTGAATAATTGTTCTTAATATTTTTTAGTTATCAAATAAACAATTCCTTTTTATTGAATATTCATTTAATAGGTTCTCATAAATAGAATATTCACATTTATGATGCTAAATGTATGATTTACAATTGTAACATATCTTCCTTTGATAGTATAGTGAAAATAAAGAGGTGCCAAAATTGTGAACAAATTTTGTCAGTAAGAAAATAATTGAGATAATACAGCAATGAGAAAATAAATATGGACAAGTTTGGGTGCTACATATTTTACTAGAAAAGACACTTATTGATTATAAGTGTTACCTAAGTTTCTAATTGTGCCACTTCCACAAGTTTCTCCTCATTGTAAAGCATCTTATACATTCCTGCCAGTGATGTTAACAAAGCAGAACTCAGATACCATGATATCCCATTTCAAAAAATTGGTGTGATGCATCAAGATAATAAAATGCTATAAAATACTTGAAAATCCACATTTAATAGTATGAGTAATAAAATGACACATGCTACTAATATAATTTAAGTAACTAAAAACATCAAGATAAAAATAATATATTTACACGATCTCATTTTGCATTGCAAGAAATGTCTGTAAAAATACATAAAAATAACTAGCATTTACCTGTGTTCAGTAAAATTTTAAGTAATATTTACTTTACTCATTATTCTTAAATGTGCTTTCAAATGTTGTACAATGATCATGTCTTTTATTGCCACAATTTTTTTTTTCTTTTTAGACAATAAATATTACTATTAAAATGAAGGGAAACTACAACAAACTAAACAAACCAAACTAAACAAAAATTATGGTGACAATGAGAACACAAATATTAAATAATAGATTTTATTTGTATTTTCACAGAATGTATACTCCAAAGTTATATTTTTTAAGCCCTCCAAATAACACTGGATATAAATGGGGCTATGTCAACAACATGTGTGTGTGTGTATGTGTTATGAAAATAAAAAAGAAGACTCAAATTAGGACAAACAGAAATTGTTTTTTCAGAGTTTGCTACAGCAAGAGAGTTGGCTACAGCCACTGTCCTTTGAATTAGGAAAGAGATTAAAAATCATGCAGGGAGTGTATTTGTTCGTTTTTACACTGCTGATAAAGACATACCCAAGACTGGCGAGAAAAAGAGTTTATTGGACTCACGGTTCCACATGGCCAAGGAGAACTCACAATCATGGCAGAAGGTAAGGAGGAGCAAGTCACGTCATACATGGATGGCAGCAGGCAAAAAGAGAGCTTGTGCAGGGAAACTCCATCTGAAAAAAAGTCAAGTCTCATGAGACTTACTCACTGCCAGGAGAACAGCATGAGAAAGACCTGCTCCTATGATACAATTACCTCCTGCCGGGTCCCTCCCACAACATGAGGGAATTCAAGATGAGATTTGATGGAAACACAGCCAAATTATATCATTCTGCCCCTTGCCCCTCTCAAATCTCATGTCCTCACATTTCAAAACCAATCATGCCTTCCCAACAGTCCCCCAAAGTCTTAACTCGTTTCAGCCTTAAAAAGTTCACAGTCCAAAGCTCATCTGAGACACGGCAAGTCCCTTCTGCCTATGAGCTTATAAAATCAGAAGCAAGTTACTTACTTCCTAGGTACAATGGGGCTACAGACATTGGGTAAATACAGTCATCCTAAATGGGAGAAATTGGCCAAAACAAAGGGGTTACAGGCCCCAGTCTGAAATCTAGCAGGGCAGTCAAATCTTAAAGTTCCCAAATGATCTCCTTTGACTCCATGTCCCACAACCAGGTCATGCTGATAGAGAAGGGGTTTTCATGGTCCTGAGCAGGTCTGCCCCTGTGACATTGCAGGGTACAGCCCCCCTCCTAGCTGTTTTCATGGGCTGGCATTGAATATCTGCAGCTTTTCCAGGTACACGGTGCAAGATATCAGCGGATCTACTATCCTGGGCTCTGTAAAATGGTGGCCTTCTTCTTACAGCTCCACTAGGCAGTGCCCCAGCAGGGACTCTTTGTGTGGGTGCCCATTCCACATTTCCCTTTTGCACTGTCCTAGCAGAGGTTCTCCATGAGCAACTGTCCCTGCAGCAAACTTCTGCCTGGACATCCAGGTATTTCCATACATCCTCTGAAATCTAGGCAGAGGTTCCCAAACCCCAATTCTTGACTTTTGTGCACCCGAAGGTTAAACACCACATAGAAGCTGCCAAGGCTTGAGGCTTGCACCCTCTGAAGCCACTGCCTAAACTATACCTTGGCCCCTTTTAGTAATGGCTAGAATGGCTGGGACGCAGGACACCAAGTCTCTAGACTGCACACAGCAGAGGGACCCTGAGCCCAGCATATGACACCATTTTTTTCCTCCTAGGCCTCTGGGCCTGTGATGGGAAGGCCTGCTGCAAAAGTATCTCAAATGCCCTGGAGATATTTTCACCATTGTCTTGGTAACTAACCAACATTACCCTCTGTGTTACTTAGGCAAATTTCTGCATCTGGCTTGAATTTCTCCTCATAAAATGGTAATTTCTTTTCTATTCCATTGTTAGGCAGCAGATTTTCTGAACTTTTATGCTCTGTTTCTCTTTTAAAGCTGAATGCCTTTAATAGTACTCAAGTCACCTGTTGAATGCTTTGCTGCTTAGAAATGTTTTCCACCAGATACTCTAAATCATTTCTCTCAAGTTCAAAGTTCCACAAAATCCTAGGGCAGGGCAAAATGCCACCAGTCTCTTTCCTAAAACATAACAAGAGTCACCTTTGCTCCAGTTTCCAACAAATTCCTCATCTCCATCTGAGACCACCTCAGCCAGAATTTCATTGTCCATATCATCATCAGCATTTTGGTCAAAGCTATTCAACAAGTCTCTTGGGAGTTCCAAACTTTTCAGATTTTCCTGTCCTCTGAGTTTTTCAAACTGTTCCAACCCCTACCTGTTACCCAGGTCTGAAGTCAATTCCCTATTTTTGGTTATCTACAGCAGCACCCCAATCCCAGTACCAATTTACTATATTAGTCCATTTTCATGCTGTTGATAAAGACATACTTGAAACTGGGAAGAAAAAGAGGTTTAATGAGCTTACAATTCTATGTGGCTGGAGAGGCCTCACAATCATGGTGGAAGGCAAGGGGAAGCAAGTCACATCTTACATGGATGGCAACAAGCAAAAAGAGAGCATCTGCAGGTAAACTTCCCCTTTAAAACCATCAGCTCTCATGAGACTTATTCACTATCATGAGAAAAACAAGGGAAAGACCTACCCCCATGATTCAATTACCTTCCACCAGGTTCCTCTTACAACACATGAGAATTCAAGATGAGAATTGGGTGGGGACACAGCCAAACCATATCACAGGATAATTTTTAAAAAGGGATGGTTTTAGGTATACTCTGAGTAGAGGTTATTGGCATAGGGAAGTCAAGGGTGGACTAATTAGAAGTGTGGATCTTATTTAATTAATTTGGTAATCCTATTTGACTTTTTCTGGTGGGCCTTAAGTTGGATACAGGTGCAATACAAAAGAGAAACTGGCAGTCATTAATCGTTTCCTCATCATTTCAGTCAATGGCTACAGAGGTAGTGGATCAGAGTTCTATTGTTGTATATCATCTGCCATTTTTAATTTGTGTGTTGAGTCTCTTGGTCACCCCTTTTGATAATTCTCTCTCTTATGAGTTGCTTATCAGTGCAAAGATGGCCAGCATAAAATTCTGTCTCTTGTTTGACTGCACTCTAACTTATGATTTATAAAAGGGTAATAAGAAATTTTTGATAATGTACTCTGAATAAGTTAATATTATTAGATTTCATGTATCAATGGAACAAGGGAATACAAGCTACAGTGTTCTCAACATAATTTTTATGCCTAATCAATTGAATATAAAATAGACTGATGGTTTAGCAAAATTGTACAAAATGAATTTTAAAAGGAGGTATTAGATTCTTGAATTTTTTTAACAACTCGTATTTTAATAAGAATTCCTAATTAGATATAAATGCTCTCAAAAGAAGGGTTATAGGTACTCAATTGTCCTTAAATATTCTGCTTTGAGGTTAGGGGGCTATACTAATATCTCATCTTTTCCCTTTCATCTATCTGTTCCCTTGTGTAGATAATGATCTGCCTTATTTTTGTCCTAGAAAACACAAATTCTTCTTTACACCTTACTAATTGATGATCTGTAGGTAGAATGTGTGAAAACACAGAACTTAGCAAGGAGGAAAGGGAAAGAGGAGAGTATAAATATGAGTCATCCCAATGATCACCTCCACCCCATAACCAGCATCATCTGGCATCTTGTGTACCATTCTTAGCTTGAGAGGCATCTTAAATTTGTATCTGTATATAAATATTCACAGCAAACTCATTGACAGTAAATACTCTCTTAAATATAGATGAATCTTACCTTTTTTATTTATAATTAAATGCAATATGATCACCAATGTGTACTTTTTCCTTTAGCGTTCAAAATACATAAAACAGAAGCAGATATGAGTATGAGATTAAAATGTTTTCTTGTCTGTGTATTGTATATGCAGCCCTAACCTCTTCCATAAGCTCAATAGCCATAAAAAACTCACTCCTTGACGTCTTCATCATGTTGGCTAAGATGTTTCTCAATATCTACATGTCCAAATTTGAGTTTCCTAAAAGGATACTTCTAAATTTTCCCTTTCCACTAGACAGTGCCTTCATTCACCCAATATTTAAGCTAACATTTGTGAATTACACTTGAGTTCCCCTTTCATCTTCTCTCTTATATCCAGAAATATTTAGCAAGAATAGCAGGGACACCGAATAATAAGAAACTATGCTGACGTTTCTGATGATCAAGACGTTAATACTGCATTGGTGATGTGTTGAGATATCTGGAGTGTTCTGGGGAGAAAACTGAATGTGACGAGGGGAGGTACTTGAGAAACTAAAGAGTGATTATTTACCAATTGGTACATATAAATGTTCCTATTTTTTTAAAACCTATCATAACTGATGACAAGTACTGGGTGAATATTGTTATTGGTATTCATTTCTCAAAAGTTTTTCTGGCTGGAATTGTATAAGACATCTTAAATCTCCACTTCTCCCATCATTATGGACACCACCCTGCTCAACCCAATTATTGTCTCTCATAGTCAGCTTCAATCCCTGCTGACCTTGTGGACATCTACCACAGAGTAGAGAGAGTAGTTTGTTAAAACTGTAAATCAGGTTATATCAGTCTCCTGACTGAAGGCACTCTATGACTTTTCTTTGAAGCCAGAATAAAATAAAAACTTTTACTTTGCCAGCACATTCCTGCATAATGTCAATCTGGTTTTGTTCCAAATTTTACATTCTATCATTGCCCTCTTGCTCACTATTATTCAGCCACACTAATCTTATTTCTCTTCTTAGATCAAAACAAATTTATTCCTATTTCATGACTTTTTGCACTTCCTTGTTTCCTTCAATGAACTGTTTCTCTACTTTCAAGGCTTACCCAAAATGTACAACTCAAGAAAACATCATTTGGAGCAACCCATGAGTTATTTTCTATCATATTATTGTTTGTTCCTTCATGTCATTTATCAAAATTTGAAATTATTATTTTACTTTTGTATTTTTATTTTTTAGTATCTATGTTTCTTAAGGGAGAATATAGACAAATTTAAGTGGGGGAACTTATATTATTCTTCACAACTCTACTCACAATGTATCCACACAGTAGAACCCCAATAAATTCTTGTTTAATAAAGATATGTTCCTTGTTCATAGCAGAAAAAAACAAATCTTCTCACAACCTCCAAAATAAATTATGGTTTCTTCTTAGTGGATAGTAAAGGTTGTTATCTTTTTTATTTCCACTTCCAGTACAAATTTTAGCAAGATTTTAGCATGATAAAATTACACTTGTGAGAAACAATTGAACAGATATTAGCAGGGACAAGTGAGATAAAAATTAGGACACCTGGAATCTATACACAACATTGATTTTTAAATGGTGCCTAAACTACATGCAATTCTCCTTCAAAGAATAATTATTCAGATTGAGTGACTATTCTGTGAATCAAAGTCTGTTCATCTGTCCCAAACGCATTGACTTTAGAAATGATTTTGAACATAGTTACGGAGAGTTATGAAGAAAAAGACAGCAAGGTTTCTGTCATAATGTTTAAAGCATTTGTAGCTCTATCCCTTTCTCCTCCATGCTGGATTTAAAAAGAAAAGAAAAAAGCCTCACCGGGTTGGAAATATACGGCTTTATTATTCTACAACCCAGTGAAACATTTAAAAATCAATTATGGTTCTTTTTTTTTAGCACAAGAGAAGTTGATACATTTTATAGATTGCCTTCTGTATTGCTTTTGAATAATTCACAGTGGCCATGTGTGGTAGAGCCACCTATACTTAGAGCTTACTCTGGGCCACTAATTGTTCTCATTTAATCTTGATAATTATTTCACGACATTGATTAGAATAGTCAGTTGTACAAATGAGAGCTTGAGGTGCAGAAAGTTAGTTAAATCATTTAATGTATACAGCTCTGAGTAATAGAGATGCATTTTTTTCTGACTTTTGTCTGACTATAAATGCTGTGTCTTATTCATAAAAAATTGCTTATTTTTTCACCTATAGGTATATGGTAACATGGCCTTTAGTACTTATTTATTAACTTTTTCTCTCTTTTTAATACTAAGCATCACTAGTCATCCTGTTATTTTAAAAAGAGTTATCATTGTTAAGTTTTACAAGCATTTATTTCAGAATAAAATAATGTTAGCACTGAAAATGGACCTTTAAGAGAGTATAATTATAGTCCAGTAAAGGGAGTATATATTTGTAGGATATAATTTAAAAACAGTGTTCTAGAAACTATAAAATATATTCCTTATTGTAGGATATCTACTTCTAGAAATATAATCTGAAAGAAAAATTTTAGGGACAAATTAAGTGTAATGATTTTATTGTATTACTACAGAAGAAAAATTTATGAAAATTTAAGTATAACCCACTAGTCAATAATCAATATAGGATTTGTTAAGTGAATGATTGAATGTTGGGTAGTCTTGGAAAGTGTGCTTTTGAAGAGTACCTATTTACATGAAAAAAAATTAACATAATTTTTTAATTAATTATTTCAAATTTTACTTTAAGTTCCGGGATACATGTGCAGAACATGCAGGTTTGTTACACAGGTATACATGTGCCATGATGGTTTGCTGCACCTATCATTGGGAATACAACATTGAACATCCTATAGTAATAAAATCCTAATTTATCACTATGCATTAAACTATACATTAGAATGAAATGAATGAATGAGGAATATAATTATTATATGTCTAGTTAAAGATAATTTTTGTGGTTCAATACCAAAGTCTAAAATGATGAATAGTTTTTGTGTTTCTTTCCTTGATGAGTGAACAAACATTTACACAGAATCACAGACTGACAGAGTTTGAAAAAGCAGATGTAGTCTTTAATGTTGCCTTAAGTACACTGAGAAAAAGTGGGGAAGACTTGGGGTGAGTCATCTGCCAAAGATGAGAGTCAAGATATTAATTCTTTCTATACCAAACAGATTCTGGTGGTCACCTACTGCTGAGATGAGTGGATTAGGCACTGGTGCTATTGAAGTTACATGAGTATCATTGGAATGATAATGATCACTCTGGTTAAACAAAGGACAGGAATGCCCATTAGGACATCTAGCAGACCTCGTATTAGGTTGGTGCCAAAATAATTGTGGCTTTTGCCATTGAAAGTAATGGCTAATTCAGATAAAAGGGAAAAGCACTGTGTCCTCATTCCATTCTCACACTTTCCCCAACACAGAGGAAATGAACTAAATGGATCAGCTCAATGTGCTCTGACCCGTTCCGTAATATGCAGGCATTTGGCATTAGCGGGTGCACACCTTGATCTTATATAGGATGACGGGTAAGGTACGTATAAATATAACATCAGAGCCTGTATCTCTGTTTCTATGTTTTTTTTTTTGGATGGGAAGGGGGTTCTGATGGTGGCAGGACATAACTCAATTGCCCCAGCATAAATAAAAGACAAATGACTTATTACTCACAGGTCTGGAGAATAAAAGGCTTCCACACAGGGCCTCATAGGGTATTGCTCCAAGGAAAAGATAAAAACAAGTGGAGCTGTAGGAGGTAGCTTCTATATGGCAAACTGGCTTCCTGTGGATTGGGTATTTTGATTAATTCCACAAGCCTAAGGAAGAAGCACCTGTCTCTAGACGTTTGGCATCTGGGACTTCTGGCAGCTTGGTATATATGTTGTAATTCAGGAGTGTTCAATCCAGGTAAGGGAAGAATTAAGAGTTTTTAGCCATAAAGTCAAAACTGGGTCAAGATAGCACCTATAAGTATAATATTACAGTCTCTCTAGGTAACAATAACTTTTAAAACATAGGCAATAATATACAAACCATAGCTTTGATTCCTACATTCAAACTGTTTTATTGCAACTAAGCTGTATCAGTAAAAGGTTAATATACGTGTGTACAGATGTTGAGTGACTATGTGTGTATACAGTCCTTCAGTCTTTAACTGCTTTAGAGGCAATTATCACAAGAAAGCAACTTGTATTTCAAAGCAGCTTTTGGGAAGAAACAAGGTAGGCCCTGGAAATGGATTATTCCAAAGCCTCTTTAATAAGACATTCACTCATATTGTAAAACCGTTACCATTTGCTATCTTACACCATTTTTAGTTTCTTTTTATATGTACTTATTTTATAACTTTTCTTCAATGTGCATGTTTAGCTTTTGTAATGAGCCAAAATAATTATTATATAAAATATCATCCAGTTTAAAGATTATCATATTTAGATATACCGTAAGTAAAGAATATGCTGAATATTAGCTTTCTGAGATCACATTAAAATATTAATGTTTTCTGAAAAACTATGCTCAATTTACATGAGATTATTTGACATTTCCATCCTGCTCATTATCATACTCTTTATTAAACATTCTCTACTGTCAAAAACCCAGTTCACATGGAGAGAAAATAAAAATACCTTATTGAAGCTTACTTTCAAAGAGCTTTGACCTTTATTTTTTAATGAAAGATTTTATTTATCACTTGGACTTTTCATGTTATTTTTCAGTTGATATGATTGTGGGATGACCTTTAAGATTTTGTTGATTATAAATCTAGCTCATCACCAATTCATGTGCTTCTGTTTCCCAGGAGAAGCACTAATATAAGCAATGAAATAGGAAATAGAGAATAGAGATAGTATTAATTGTAAGTTTTTGTATCTACTTGCAATAAAGAGGGAAGAAGATCTAAGATGAGTAGGTGATTGGAAAATGAGGCAAATTTGAGTTCAACATAGAATTTGAAACGCAGAATGGATTGATTTGAAGAATTGTAAGCTCTTACACACACACACATACACACGTAGAAGTTGTTTTTTTAGGTATATTTCAAATATTATTTTTAGAAGGTGAGTCAGATAATTTTCAATATTAATTCCAATAATGCTCTTCAGTAATTTTAATATTTTAGAGAGGTAAAATATTTTTCTGTAGAAAACAATGACCCTTTTATTAAGACATAAACAATGATTAAGCTATCTGGGCCATTTGTCTTTTAATATTTTAACCCTAATTATAACTGAGATTATATGATGTATATAGATATTCTGAGGAGTAACAGTATCACATTGTTAATTTTTTTCTTTGAAAACCTATTAGAAATAGTAAAATTAGTAAAGATGCAGAATACAAAATCAACATATGAAAACCCATTGCATCTGCTGTACAGAAGTTTTTAGTTTGATGTAGTCCCATTTATTTATTTTTATTTTTGTAACCTAAGCTTTTTGCATGATATTTGTAAAGCATTGTTTAGGTCAATCTTCTTTTCTAGGAGAAAAAGAAACCTACAGATTTATAAAATTATCTGTAAATTATATATCTGATAAGGGCTTAATATTAAAAATTTAGAAATAACTCATACAACTCAAAAGTGTAAAAACATAACCCAACCTAAAAAGGTGCGCAGGAATTGATAAACATTTATGCATAGAAGACATAAAAATGGCCAACAGGTATATGAAAATATGCTCAACATCACTAATTATCAGGGAAATTCATGTCAAACCCATTATGAAATAATTATCTCATGCCTGTTGGGATAGCTACTATGAAAAAGATAAGAGATAAGAGAATACTTGTACACTGTTGGTGAGAATGTAGATTGGTACAGCCATTATGTAAAACAGCATGGAGATTCCTAAAGAAATTTAAAATATAACTACAATATGAATCAGCAATCCCTCTGTCGGGTCTATACCAAAGGGAAATTAAATAATCACCTTATAAAGATATCAGTACTCCTGTATTTATTTCAGCATTATTCTCAATAGCCAACATATGAAAACAACGTGTCTATTGACTGATAAATGGATAAAGAAACTGTGATATCTATACATATATGAATATTAGTCAGCATTTAAAAAGTGGAGATCCTGTCATTTAGCATGTGGTTAAACCGAAATAATATTATGCTAAGTGAAATAAGCCAGAAAGAAAAGCATTGCATGATCTCACTAATTTGTGGAATATCAAAAATAAAAAATTCAAATATAAAAATATAGAGACTAAACAGTGGTTACCAGGAGTAGTGTTGGGAAAGACGAGGGAAGATATAATCTGAAGAAGGCAAAGTAGCAGAAAGTAGAATGAACACGTCTAATATATATATATATGTAAATATTTAGGAATACATATATATATATGCATATATATACTAGATGTGTTCATTCTACTTTTATTCTACTTTATATATTTTTAGTTTTTTTATATTTATACTTTTTTATTTTTTTATATTTATACTTTTATTCTACTTTATATATATATATTCTACTATATATATATTCTACTATATATATATAGTACTTTTAAATATGTAAATTAGAAAGTAGAATCATCATGTCAAAATAGATTTAATGTACAACCTGAGGACTATAGTTAATTGTATTGTATTCAGTATTTTTTATAAATGAGTATTTTGTAACAAACAAAAATGGGTAACTACATGAGATGATAAGCATGGTAATTTGCTTCAATATAGTAACTGTCTGTATGTATATCAAACGTTATGTTGTATATCTTAAATATATACAACAACATTTATTTTAAAGTTAATAGAAAAAAGGAATGTAAAACATATCATTAGTAGTTATTTTCTACTGACTACCTGCTGAAATAGTAGTATGTTTGATATATTGGGCTAAATAAATAAAATCTCTTGATATATTGGGTTTAATAAATAGAATCTTAAAACTTTAAAAAATCTGTTTTCTTACACTAACAATGAATTATTTGAAAAATAAATCAAGAAAACTATCCAATTTACACTATCACAAAAAGAATGAAATATTTAGGAATAAACTCTATTTAGGAGGTTAAAGACTTGCTTACTAAAAACTACAAAACTCCAATGAAAGAAATAAAACAAGGTACAAATAAATGGAAAGATATCTCATATTCACCAATTTGGAAGAAAATATTGTTAAAGCGTGAATACTACCCAAAGCAATCTAAATATTCAATGCAACCCCTATCAGAGACCCAATGACATTTTTTAGAGAATTTGAAAAAACAATTACAACACTCACATAAAACCACAAAAGACGGCAAATAAGCAAATCAATCTTGATAAAGAAGAACAAAGCTAGAGGCATCATATTTCCTGATTTCAAATTATACTGCAATTCTAAGCAATCAAAACAGTTTGGTACTAATATAAAGACAGATATACAGACAAATAGAACACAGGGCCCAGAAATAAATCCATGCATATATGGCCAGCTGATCTTTGAAATATACGCCAAGAATACACAATAGAGAAAAGATTGTCTCTTCAACAGAAGATGTTAGAGAACTAGATATTCACATGCAAAAGGATAAAATTGGACACTCATATCATACTACAAGTAAACCCAATATGAATTAAAGGCTTAAACATAAGATCTGAAATATAAAAAAATGGGGAAAAGATTTATGACGTTTTTTTGCAATGATTATTGGATACAACACCAAGAGCACAGTCAACAAAACCAAAAATAAACAAACAAAACTACTTCAAATTTAAAAATTTCTGCGCAGCAGTGAAAACAATGAGTAGTGAAAACACAGCCTATGGAATGGGCCAAAGTATTTGCAAACCAGATAGCTGATAAGAGGTTAATCTTCAAAACATATAAGCAACTCCTAAAACACAATAGTAACCCAACCAACCCAAATTAATAACTCAATTAAAAAAACAGTCAAAGGATCTGAAAATTTTCCAAGGAAGACACGCAAATAACCAAGAGGTATATAAGAAATGTTCAATGTTACTAATCATCAGATAGATGCAAAGCAAAACGACAATGACACATCATATCACACCTGTCTAGATGGCCACAACTATAGACTAGAGCAAGAGACTCAAGGCCAAAAGGATAGGAAATTTTTTTTCTCTGGCACTACCAGCAATAGTTTTTCTTACAAGGTAAAATTCCTTGCACAACCATTGGTGTGCAGTGATAGAGTTTACATCAAACTCAGCTGTGCAAACTGTTCTTTGTAGTTCTTCCTAATTCGTGGTAAAAGTTTCCACATTATACCAGTTCTGTGGAAGGTACTGTTCATGAGGAAGCCATGATACACTGAAGAAGCAGTTTTCAATTTATATTTTCCCCACCATAGACAATTCCTTTTACATTAATTTTTGCTTGTATATTTTAATTGTATTGTGTGGAGGGTTTTATTCTTATCATTTTATTGAGGCTATTAATCATTTGGGATTGCATGTATTTCAATTCTCATCTTTTAGTCTGTGACTATTATGGTGTCTTTTGACTCACAGAAGCTGTGTTTCATTTTTTAATTCATAGTTTTCTTAATGATATGTTTTATGTCATGCTTTAAAAAGTCCTTCCTTCCCTAAAAGTCATAAATATATTCGCCTATATATTTTAAGTATTTGAAAAACTCTTTTTTTTGCATTTAGATCGTTAATACAAACAATTAATACTGGTGTGTGGAGAAGGAAGTTTATTTTCCATGTGGATAATCACTTGCTTCAATTAGTAAACTGTCTACTCATGCCCATTTATCTGCAATGACAAATTTGTAATATACCAAGTTTCCATAAAAGCATATGTTAATTTCTAAGTTCCCCATTTCATTCTGTTAGTCCATTTATTACATCTGTTTCAATACTAGGTTGTGTTATTTTTCATAATACTCATAAGATGTTTTGAAATCTGGTAAGTCAGTATGCACACTTTTTCTTCTTCACAATTTTCTTGGATATATTTGCCCTCGTGCTTTTTCACATAGACGTATTTTGTCATGTGACTTATTTTATTATGGTTTTGTTTTCCATAATAAAAGCCTCTAACCAGGAGTGGTGGGCTTGCCTGTAGAACCAGCTGTTCAGGATGCTGAGGTGGGAGGATCTGGAGCTCAGGAATTTGAGTTCAAGGCTGCAGTGTGTGATGATTGTGCCACTGCACACCAGCTTGGGTGTCAGAGTGAGACCTTGTCTCTAAATAAATACATAGTCCTATCCATAGTCAAGGATAAGAGAATTATACAAAGGTGTATACACAAGGGACCAAGAGTCTTGAGGTCCAATGTAGAATCTGTTATTACAACATTCCTTGCTAAATTAATATTATCTTTTTTCAATTCTTCATTTCTCCTACTTTTAAATATATTTATGTTTATATTTATTACTCAATAATAAAAACTATAAGGCCATACCCTTAAAGTAAATCTTGAAATCAGACAATATAAATTCTTTAAATTTGTTATTTTTCAAATTTGTTTTGAACACTCTTTTTTTTGCATTTTCACATACATTTTGGCTGTGATTGACTATTTTTTATAGATATCTTGTATTTTCTGACTTTATTAAACATTATTTCTAGCATCTTTATAGTGGGATTATTAGGATTTTCTATGTACACAATCAAGTTGTCTGAGAATAAAGACAGCTTTTCATTTTCTTTTCCAATGTGCATGTCTTTTGTTCATTTTCCCATTTAGTAAATTGTTTAGGTTTTCCATTGTTGATTAGAAGAAGTGATGGTAGAAATCCTTCTCTTCTGCAAGATCATAGAGAAAAATAAAATTAGTTTTTCACCTGTAAAGAAGTTATTGGTACATTTTTGTAATCATCCTCTGCATCAGATTAAGGAATTTCCTTTCTAATCCTAGCTTCATGAGAGCTTTTAGCACAAATAATGCTGAATTTAGCCATATGTAATTTTCTGCATCTATTGGGAGGGATTATTATGTTTTTGTTTCCTTTCTTCTGCACATAAAATAAATTATAGTTTTACTTTTGAATGTTAAAGCAATCTAGCAGTCCTGTTATAAAATCCATTTCATCATGTTATATTGCCTTTTAATATATTATTGAATTATATTTGCTACATTTGTTAAAATATATTGCATTACTGCATCTGTTTGGGATGAATATTTGACTGTAGTTTTCTTATTTCTTGTTTGGTCATGTAACACTGTTTTCATCAAATGGCTTGGAAGTATTTATACCTTGGCAATTTCTTTAAACAGTTTGTATTAAATTGGTGTTGTTTTCTCTTTAAATCTTTGGTAAAATTTACCAGTGAAGTCATCTAGGCTCGGTAACAATACACTTAGAAACTGAAGTAGGTTTTCATTCAATTTTGCTGTATTGATTATATTTGATTAGAGTAAATAATAATTTATTGCAGTTCCTTTTTGAGGATTCTAATATATTCAGACAAATGAAAGGGGTAGATTTTGTACTTTAGGGAGGCTATGATTTTGTTGGACTTATAATCAATATTTTTGGGTTTAATCGCATAATCAATAATCACATTTTATGATTAAAAAATGAAATGATTAGGGATCAGATACCGTGTCTCAAGCCTTTAATCCCAGCATTTTTGGGAGGCCAAGGTGGGCGGATCACTTGAGTCCAGGAGTTTGAGACCAGCCTGGCCAACAGGGTGAAACACCCTCTCTACTAAAATACAAAATTAGCTGGGCATGTTGGTACACGCTTGCAATCCCAGATACTTGGGAGGCTGAGGCATGAGGATTGCATAAACCTGGCAGGGGAATATTGTGTTGAGCCAAGATCGTCCCACAGCACTCTAGCCTGGGCGAAAGAGCAAAATCTCTGTCTCAAAAAAAAATAATAATAATAAAAAAAAAATTAAAAAATATAAATGAAACTATTAGGAAGATAACAGTTAGCAGAATATTGATAATTGAGGCTAAGTTTACAGGTAAAGGGATAACCAAAGTTTTAGAACTGAGAAAGCACAGAGAATATACAGATGAAAGAAAGTAAATATGTTTCTAGGAGTGATAAGTTCTTAAAGATTAGTGTTTCCTACATACAGTCAGATAACTGTGTATCACGTTAAATAAGCAACCATATTTTCATAACAACTGTATCAAAATTTAATTAATAGTTTTCTTTAATCAACTATTTTCTAATTACATAAATTGTATAAATATATTAAATTTATTTAACATGTACACATCGGTGTGTGTGTATGTGCATGTGTATGTGTGTGTATGAAAAGGTTTATCTGAACATAACCCAAAATTATTGTACATATTACCAGTGCCATTACTCATGGCAGCTTGATGACACATTGTGAAATGCTAACAATGTTTATTAGTGAAAAACCTGAAGTGCATTATAGTGACAATGTATACAACCTCAAATCCCATATTAAAGAACTATTTCTTATTTCAGCAATTGATGTGGATCCACCAAATTTTCTCTACGGCAGTTTGGCATAAACAGAAGTATGCTTTAGAATGATGGATCTTGAGAGGATAGATCAGAAGAATGACTGGATGGTGAGAATTCTGCCAGGCATGCTGGTAGGAAACTACTAAAAAAACTTTTGTTCTTTTATGACACAGATTTAAGTTAATATGCTGATTATAATGTCAGTAAAAACTATTGGCTTAGATTTAGTTTTGTTTACTTCAAGACAAGAAATTTAATAGTGAAATATATTGTTTCTATAGTACCCATGATAGATTTAACACATGACTTAAGGGAGAAAATGTGTTGTTAAAATAGATATTTTTATATTGAAAATCCTCAGAAAGTCAATTTTATGTGAATTTTCTTAAAGGCAAGAGGAAATGTGCCTGCTAAAATAATTCGCATTTTGTCAAGGAATTTTTTTTTTTTTTTTTTTTTGAGATAGAGTCTTGCTCTATCACCCAGGCTGGAGCGCAGTGGCATGATCGCAGCTCAATGCAACCTCACCCAGGCTGGAGCGCAGTGGCATGATCTCAGCTCAACGCAACCTCTGTCTCCTGGGTTCAAGCGATTCTCCTGTCACAGCCTCCCAAACAGCTGGGACTACAGGCGCCCACCACCACGCCCGGCTAATTTTTGTATTTTTAGTAAGGACAGGGTTTCACCATGTTGGCGATGCTGGTCTCGAATTCCTGATCTCAGGTGGTCCTCTGGCCTCGGCTTCCCAAAGTGGTGGGATTACAGGCATGTGCCACCATGCCCGGCTGTGAAAGAATATTTTTAAAACTATGGTTATATGTCATTTCTATAATTTTGAAAACTTAATATAATAAAAATCTTTGTGATTTGAAAGACATGTACTTGAGTAAATAAGTTACGGTAAAAGGTAATTTAGCAAATGACTGGGAACAATTTTTAATACATATGCAACATCTATATAAAGAAACTAGAGACTTTTGCAGAGGATCTTGATTTGAATAATCACATTTTGGGATTTAAAAATGAAACTATTCTAAAGATGTCATTTACTCTTAATTAAGATATAAATTTAATGAAATTCCAATAAGAATGCTAAGCAGAAATTTTTCTTGAAAGTGTAATAATTCATAGGAACATTTTATCCTAGGTATTTTGAGGCATTCTAAAGCAAAATTTGCATAATTAAAACCATGTGTTACTGGCAACATGACAAAGTACAAGTTTCAGTAATGAGGCAAAATTACATGTAATAATTTATTAAAGTAGCATGTAAAATCAGTAGAAATAAGTAAAATTTGCTGTATCTCATATTGATATAAGAGGTTAAGCTTTAGAGAGAGTATTGTATTCATATATCATTTCATTAGTCAAAATAAATTTCAATAGAAAAAATGCTACACGTAAAAAATAAAACCATAATAGCACAAGACATTATATCAAGGTGAATACCCTTGTAATGAAGGGCTCCATGCTTTATAAAGGCAGAAACAAAATAAAACAATGTGGATAAAAATGAATGTGACTGACAAAAAACTTACAAAATAAATAATCAAACAGCAGACAAAAAACATAGGAAGAGTATCTGTGGCATACATCACAGGTAAGTCAAGAATAAAATTGATACATATTAAGGATAATAAACAATGGTTAAGAAGGAACATTTTTTGGTAAGAAAGTGCTGGCA
Source organism: Homo sapiens (assembly GCF_000001405.40). Lineage (NCBI taxonomy): Eukaryota > Metazoa > Chordata > Mammalia > Primates > Hominidae > Homo > Homo sapiens. Next base: position 195,029,405 of record NC_000001.11, read on the forward strand.
CAGGCAGGGCACAGTGGCTCATGCCTATAAAGCCAGCACTTTGGGCGGCCAAGGCGGGTGAATCACAAGGTCAGGAGTTCGAGACCAGCCTGACCAACATGGTGAAACCCTGTCTCTACTAAAAATACAAAAATTAGCCACGTGTAGCAGCATGCACCTGTAATCCCAGCTACTCTGGATGAGGAGACAGGAGAATTGCTTGAACCCAGGAGGTGGAGGTTGCAGTGAGCCGAGATTGCACCACTGCACTCCAGCCTGGGCAATAGAGCAAGACTCCGTCTCAAAAAAAAAAGGAAAAAAAAGAAAGAAAGTGCTGGGACATATGCTAACAACACAACTTTGACTTTGAGTAATTTAATTTCTCTGTGCTTTATTTTTATCTTCTAATAATTAGAGATTATAATAACTATGTTACAATATTGATATATATACACACACACATGTTTGTGTGTGTGTGGGTGTGTGCACGTGTGTATAGTTTGTGTGTACATATGTCATGGGATCCTTGGGCACCTTTGTCTGGACAAGGAGAACATGGCGGTGCCCAGAAGCTTGGAGATGCCAGGAACCACAGAACCCCAAAGAGGGTGTCACAGCCTCGGTGTAGGGAACTCTTATATCTGGGCACCCTGAAGGGCTGCAACTCTTTTCTTCTCATTGCTCACAATGTGGCTAGCAGGAGTTGGGGGAATGTTTGAGCCCTGTTAGTGTTACAGTTCTTTAAATCCTGCCATTCCATGGTTCCCTACTTCTTTTCCCACATCCAGGAAGAATGAGGTATGCAAAGAACTGAAGGGTGAATAAGATGGAGAGGAGCTTCATTGAACAACAGAAAAGCTCTCAGTGGACCAGCAATGGGTAGCTCCTTTCCACAGGCAGTTCATCCCAACAAGTGTCCAGCTCTCAGGAGAGAGAAGGCCCACACTGGGTAGCTCCTCTCCACAGACAGATCATCTCAATGACTGTTCAACCCTCAGCAGAGAGGAAACCTGCAGTGGGTAGCTCCTTTCCACAGGCAGGTTGTCCTGATGTCTGTTTGAGACTGGCTGAGTCCAGGGATTTTATGTGCTCAGAAGGGAGAAAGTATGTGATGATTGGTCCATGGGTGGCCATGGGTAGGCCTGAAAAAAGCACCCTAAGTTCTCACTCCAGGCCACAGACTCCAGCTGGAACTGGCAGCCTGGACCCCAGGCTTCAGGTTGTCCTTGGCTTAAAGGTGGGGCTTCACCTGGGACCTGCCCCTTTTTGTCCAGAGCCTGTCTGCCTCCTGCCACCATGAACATGGTGGCGCCCAATTGTTTGTTCTGAGGGGTACCTGCAGGGCTGCACCCAGCCACCCTCAGTGCCACCCACCCCTCCTGTGCTTGTCTGCACCCAAAGTCTGAATGGGGCTCAGGCAGCAGGGTGCTAGTGTGTCTGTGCTGCCCTGAGTGCATGCACAACTGGGTGGGTCGCAACAGCGCCCAGTTTCAGCCACAAATTTTCTCTGCACCGAGCAAGTGCCAGGAGCAAGGAGAGGCCAGGGAGTGGGAGCAGGCACTTTCAAGCCTGTCTGGCCAGGGGGAGGTTCCTGGGCCCCTGAGAGCACAGGGATGCCTAAGGCCAGAGTCGTGGCTGGGCAGCTGTAGCTGTGCCCAGGAGCACAGGGGTCCCACCCTGCCAACTCAATAGGGAGCAGGACTCTTGCCTATTCTCAGCCCATGCAAGAATCTTCAGAGCATGCAGCCCCAGCTTCTCTTGATGGGCCACTGCCACCATCATATACATATACACGTGTGTGTGTGTGTGTGTGTGTGTGTGTGTATAAAGGGATATATATGTGTGGGTGTATGTGTATGTGTGTATACACACACACACGCTACCCAATACCTATTTTTAATCATCACCCCCTCCCACTTCCCTCCTTCTGAGACTCCAATATCTATTATGCCACTTTGTATGCCTCTACATACCCATAGCTTAGCTCTCCCTTATAAATGAGATATGTGGTAATTGATTTTCCATTTCTGAGTTAATTCACTTAGAAAAATGGCCTCCAGATCCATCCAAGTTACTGCGGTAGACATTATTTCATTCTTTTTTATGGCTGAGTAGTATACCATGGTGTATATATACCACATTTTCTTTATCAGGGAGTTATGGGCAGTTAGGTTTATTATATATATTTGCAATGGTGAATTGTGCTTCAACAAACATATGCATGGAGGTGTCTTTTTGATACAGTTCCTTATATTCCTTTGAGTAGATATCCAGTAGTGGGATGGCTGGATTCAATGGCAGATCTACTTTTAGTTCTTTCAGAAATCTCCATACTGTTTTTCATAGAGGTGTACTTATTCACATTCACATCAACAGTGTTTAAGCATTCCCTTTTCGCCACATCCATGCCAACATCTATTGTTTTTTGACTTTTTAATAATAGCCATTCTGACTGGGATAAAGTGGTATCCCATTTAAGTTTTAATTTGCATGTTCCTATTGATTAGTGTTGTTGAGTATTTTTTCATATATTTGTTGGCTTTTTGTATATCTTCATTTCAGAAGTGTCTACTCATGTTATTTGCTCAGTTTTGATGGGAATATTTTTTCTTGCTAATTTGTTTGAGGTCCTGGTACTTTCTTGACATTAGTCCTTTGCCAGATGCATAGTTTGCAAATACTTGCCCCCATTTTGTGAGTTGTGTGTTTATTCTGTTTATTATTTATTTCACTGTGCAGAAGCTTTTTAGTTTAATTAGGTCCCATTTATTTATTTTTGTTTCTGTTGCATTTGCTTTTGGGGTCTTAGTCATAAATATTTGGTAGGCCAAGGTACAGAAGAGTTTTTCCTAGGTTTTCTTCTAGAATTTATATGGTTTCAGGTCTCAGATTTAAGTCTTTAATCTATCTTGAGTTAATTTTTGTATATGGTAAGAGTTAGGGATCCAGTTTCATTCTTCTACATGCGGTTATCCAGTTTTCCCAGTATCACTTATTGAATAGAGTGTTCTTTCACCAATTTATTCTTTTGCATGCTTTGCCAAAGGTCACTTTATTGTATGTATTTGGAATTTATTTCTGGGTTCTCTATTCTTTTCCATTGCTCTATGTATCTACTTTTATGCCAGTACGATGCTGTTTTGGTAACTATAGCCTTCTAGTGTAATAAAGTTATGCAATGTGATGCCTCCAGATTTGTTCATTTTGCTTAGGATTACTTTGGCTATTCATGCTCTTTTTAAATTCCAAATGAATTTTAGGATTTTTTTTCTCTAATACTGTGAAAAATGATGTTGGTATTCTGATAGCAATTGCATTGAATCTGTAGATTGTTTTGGGCATGATGATCATTTTTATTATATTGATTCCAACAAATCATGAGCATGGAATGTACTTGTATTTGTTTGTGTCATCTATGACTTCTTTCAGCAGTGTTTTGTGGTTCTCCTTGTAGAGATCTTTACCCTCCTTGGTTAAGAATATTCTTAGTTTTTTTGTTTGTTTGTTTTTGCAGTTATTGTAAAAGGAATTGAGTTCTTGGTTCGATTCTCAGGTTGGTTGTTGGTGTATGGCAGTGCTACTAATTTGTGTGCATTGATTTTGTAAGTGAGATTTTACAAAATTTATTTATAAAATCTGAGAGTCATTTGGAGGAGTCTTTAGGGTTTTCTAGAGATTTGATTGTATCATCAGCAAACAGAGATAGTTTAACCCCCTCTTTTCCCATTTGAATGCCCTTTATTTCTTTTTCTTGACTGATTGTTGTGCCTAGAACTTCCAATACTATGGTGAATAGGAGTAATAAAAGTGGGCAACCTTGTCTTGTTCCAGTTCTTCAAGGAAATGCTTTCACCTTTACCCATTCAGTATAATGTTGGCTGTGGGTTTGTCATAGATGGCTATTATTATTCTGTAGATGTTCCTTCTACACCTAGTTTTTTTTTTATCATAAAGGGATGCTGGATTCTATTGAATGCTTTTTCTGCACTATTGAAATGATCATATGGTTCTTTTTTAAAATTGTGTTTATGTGGTGAATCACATTTATTGACTTGTGTATGTTGAGCCATCCTTGCCTCCCTAGGATGAAATCCACTTGACCATGGTGAATTACAATTTTAATGTGCTGTTGGATTATATTTGCTGGTATTTTGTTGAGGATTTTTGCGTGTATACTCATCAGGGATATTGGTCTCTACTTTCCACTTTTCTATGTCCTTTCCTGACTTTGGTGTCAAAGTGATACTGATTTCACAGCTATGTTAGGGAAGATTCCCTTTTTTTCAATCTTTTGGGATAATTTAATAGGATTAATACCATTAAATTTTGAAGGTCTGGTATAATTCAGCTGTGAATCTGCCTAGACCTGGGCTTTTGGTTTTTGGCAATTTTTAAATTACTGATTTGATCTCACTGTTTGTTTCTGCCTTGACCACAGTTTGTTACTGGTCTATTCTGGATTTCTAGCTTTTCCTGAGTTAAGCTAAGAGAAGTGTGTGTTTCCAGGAATTTATTCATTTCCTCTAGAGTTTTTAGTTTGCATGCATAAAAGTGTTCATAGTAGTTTCAAATGATCTTTTGTATTTCTGTGGTGTCAGAATGTCTCCATTTTCATTTTTAATTGAGCTTATTTGTATTTTTTCTCTTCCTTTCTTTGTTAATCTAGCTAACAGTCTATCACATTTGTTCATGTTTTCAAAGAACCAACTTTTTGTTTCACTGATCTTTTGTATCTTTTTGTTTCAATTTCATTTAGTTTTCCTCTGATCCTTGTTATTTCTTTTCTTCAGCTAGCCTTGGGTTTGGTTTGTTCTTGTTTCTCTAGTTCCTTGAAATGTGACATTAGATTGTCAATGTGTGATCTTTCAGATGTTTTGATGTAGGCATTTAGCACTATAAAGTTTCCTGTCAGCATTTTTTTGCTGTATTTCAGTGGTTTTGATAATTTGTGTCACTATTATCACTCATTTCAAAGAATTTTTACATTTCTATCTTGATTTTATTTTTAATTTAAAAGTCATTCAGGAGCAGAACGTTTAATATCCATGTGTTTGCAAAGTTTTGAGGGTTCATTTTTGGATTTGATTTCTAGTTTTATTCCACTGTGGTCTGAGGGGATACTTGACATAATTTTGATTTTTTTTTAATGTATTGAGACTTTTCTGGGTTATCATATGGAATGTTCCAAGTCATGATGATAAGAGTGTATATTTCAGAGCTGTTGGGTGTAATAATTGTGGGATAAATGTTCTGTAAATATATGTTAGGTCAATTTGTTCTAGAGTGCAGTTTAAGTCCATTGTTTCATTGTCGACTTTCTCCCTCAATGATCCCTCTACTGCTGTCAGTGGAATGTTGGAATCCCCCACTACAATTGTGTAGCTGTCTCTCTTTTCTTAGGTCTAGTAGTAATTGATTTCTGAATCTGGAAGCTCCAGAGTTTGGTGAATATTTATTTAGTATTATAATGTTTTCTAGTTGATTTGGTCCTTTTATTTATCTAATGACCTTGTCTTTAATTTTTTTTTTTTTACTGTTGTTGCTTTAATGTCTGTTTTATCTTATATAAGAATAGCTACTCCTGCTCACATTTGGTTTCCATTTGTCTAGAATATCCTTTTCCCACCCCTTTACCATGAGTCTGTAAGAATCCTCACATGTTAGTTGAGTCTCTTAAAGACATCAGATATTTGGTTTGTAATTTTTTATTAATTCAGCCAATCTGTATATTTTAAGTGGAGCATTTAGATCATTTACATTCAATGTTAATATTGAGATATAAGTTATTATTTCAGTCATCATGTTGATTGTTATCTAGATACTTTGTTTTCTTCATTGTGTTGTTGTTTTATATGCTCTGTTTTATGCTTTCAAAAGTTCTATTGTGGTACATATCAACCTTTTGTTTCAAGATATAGAACTTATTTTTTTATTTCTTATAGGGCTGGTCTGGTACTAACAAATTCCCTCAGTATTTGCTTGTCTGCAAAATACTTTATTGGTCAGGAATGGTGGCTCACGCTTGTAATGCCAGCATTTTGGGAGGCTAAGGTGGGACTGTATTTTGGAATTTGAGACCAGTCTGGGCAACATAGTGAAACTCATCTCTACTATAAATTCAAAAAAAAAAAAAGAAAGAAAGAAAGAAAGAAAGAAAAATTGCCCAGCATGGTGGCAAGTACTTGTATTCCCAGCTAACTGAGAGGCTGAATTGAGAGGATTACTTGATCCTAGGAGATATTATACTTCAGAGATATTATAATTCAGCAACAGACAGTGGTATCCTTTGGGAGTTGTTTTGATAGTGCTATGGTCTCCAGAATGGAGATCTGTCCCAAAGCCTATCTCATATATGCCCTCATGTCTGGAACAAAGAGGCGAGGACAGAGTCCAATTGATTTAACTGTAGTACAAAGACAGTTAATTTATCATTGTTTTATAAGAAAGCCCTCCTTCCGCTTTAAAGTTTTGTAACCTGGCTGACCATACAGGAATGATAGGAGAAGGACTTGATTGGCATCAGGGGTGAATCAAGGCCTCAGTTCAAAAGAGGAGAGAATCGTATATTTTCAGGAAAAAACAAACAAACAAACAAAAAAAACAAGGGCAAGAATGCTGCCTTTTGTTTCACTGTGGCAACTCCAGTTTTCCCAAAATATGTTTAGGCAGACTCAGATAGTGCCCTCAAGGTAACTGTGCTTTCTTACTTACATCTTCCTGGACTGTATACGCTTGTGAACCACAGAATTGCCCGAGAGTTATTTAGAAATAATTAGAATTGAAATAAACATAAACTGAATATTGAAAGGCTTAGAACTGAGTGGGAAAATTAAAGCATAGAGGGGGCCTTGCCTGAGGAGGATTTCATATTCCCAAAGGACTTTGAGCTAAGGAGTCAGTGGCAAGTAGGGATAGTGGGTATTTAAATAGATTTCTTTATAAAGTCAGATATTTTAGGTAACCACCTCATTTACTTACAAGGCTAGTCAAGATCACACTTACATGATGTAAAATCAGAAAAGAAATATGAAACTAAATTTTCGTAAATACTTCTATTTTAATTCTTATTCATCAACTTTCCCTCTCTGTGAATCATATTTATTTGTTTTTGTTTTTCATTAGCATTTTAATTCTTCCCTTCCTAAAGTGGTCTATGTTGAATTGAAAAGTGTGAGTGCTGAAAATACGTTGACTTTGAAAGTATTTCTAGCTCTACCACTAATGGGCTTTGTGATCTATACTAATAGCACTTAAACTTCCTAAGCATCAGTTTCATTACCTTTAAAATGAAAGAATTGTACTTGTTATGTCTTAAAATATGTGGAACACTTATAATCAGTCCTTACAGAGAAGATGCTAGCAAATGAAACAAGGAAAAATTGTGTGGTGGATGTTATTCCAGCAAACTTATAAGTCAATCAGTGAAACACATATAAAACAAAAAGTCTTAATTATTCAAATTATTAAATATAATCTTTCTACATATTGATTTTTGAATAATAAGTTATCCAAAAGTGATAAAATACTATATGACATGTTTAAGAATAATTTCAAAAGTAAAATTATATAACTTTCCATTCAAAATGTAAAACTGAAACTGTAAATATGGTATCACAAGTTATACTGTGTTCCCAGGGGAGCATTATATGTTATAAACTCACAAATTGAGCTCTGATATTCACTAATTAAAATGAATATTAAGGAAGACAATATCAAATATCTGTAATATATTTAAATTACAATATTAACTCATAAAGTGTATTTGTTTGTGATATACCTTTGACCAATTTATTATACAGATATTTCCCTGTATCTATTGAGATTAGTTACTAATGTATTCTAAAACAGAGTAGGAGTACTCAAGACTCGATTATTTAAATAATAATAATGTACCAGGTTCTCATAGTATATTCTGAATATGTTACATTTTAAAATAATTGTGATTTTTTAAATGTAACATTGTGTTAATATTCAATTATCCATAGCTCATTAGTTGATATTTTCTTTTATTGAATCTTTTGCTTGTGTATATTTTAACATCAGTGACAATGTTATTGGAGTAATCAAAATCTAATTCACTACATAATTTTAATTTCCATTGTAATGGATGAAACATAAATGAACTGTAAAGGGGACATCGCATAACTGACCCTGTTTAATGTCCTTTAAAAGTTTTTAGAGTATCAGTATAAGTAGTGGGTGTATGGAAAGGGTAGATATCAGTACAAATGGATTTAAACCTAATTATAAGTTTTTCCTTTTACATCAAGCCTCAGGATTAATCTTCATTGTCTAATGGAAAGTTTTCCATTATGGAGTATGTTACTATTTAATTACTTGCATTTTATAGTATCCTGAAAATAGAATGGAGGCTTATGGGAGCACATTAAAAATCAAATTTAAAATGATGAATTTACTTTTCTTACTCTTTTTTAATAGAAAACATTTTCCAACCACATGAAATGCCTGGGAATGTATTCAGAACTTTGAACATAAACAAAGCTCTTAACCAATTTTCACACAGAAAGGACTTAAAGAATGTGATCACAGTTCTGTAACACATTAATCAGAAATATCCTACTTTATTCTAACAAAAAAAGGAGAAAATTAGACAAAATATTTTGATTCTTTAAATGAATATCATATATCAAGCCTTTTTATATTGATTTTAAAATATAAAATTAGCTGGTATTTTAAATGATCACTTATACATTTTCAAAGCGAAAAATTGGGTGTCTAGATAATCTGCTAAGGAAGTAACAATAAATCTCTGCAACCAAGGCATTCCTTCAAAGAGAATTTTTGGAAAAGATTTCCTTCTCTTGGGAAATGAGGAGAAGTCTTAAATTTTTTAATAATGAAATCAAAGCGAAGCATAAAATTTAAGCAACATGTTCATGGAAATAATGTAGAGAAAAAAATCGTATTTGTTAAAGAGTGAGATGTTTCAATGTTTTTATTTAGCATGAAAAATCGTGGGTTTTTGCTTTTAAAGGCATCACTTCCTTTCTCAATAAGTATCATATTCTGGGTGTTTGAAATGTAGAAGAGAAAACAAATGGCTTTCAAATAATTTTAAACCATAAATTTTATGAGCTTGGCAGTAAATTAGTGTACTTTTTAAACCTTATTAAAGTATAGTAAAGTATATAATATGAAAACATTATTTTGACCTCCCCATCTCTTAATATGTGAATATATACCATTCTAAGTCACTTCAATGATAAATCTCAATTTGCAAAAAGTGCTCATTATATAATATAAATAATAAAATAATATAGCATTGCTCATATCTATGAGGAAATAAAAACAAAATTCATCGTTATTTGTATTTGACTACTGCTGTATTGGCTGAGCAATGTATAGACAAACACTTCAAAATGTTTACCTACCAGGCTACTGGTTTATCACTTAAGTCAAACAAAGTTTTCTTATAGAAGAGTTCATGCAATACTCTTCTAGTCTTGCATTCAAATGGCCATAACACATTCTCTTAATATAATAACACATGATCCATATTTTAGGTGTGTGTGAGAGATTACAATGTGTGTTTCATGTTTAAGTTCCATGCACTACATATGCAAAAATAAGTGTTAAGGGGGCCATAATGTGTTAACCTGATTCAACTCACTTGGATTTGCACTCTTTCAGGCATTTGCATTGTACATCTGTTTTTCAGAAGTCCTTGGTACAACTCTAGTTTCTAGCTAAACTTTATTCATCTAGAACAATGGAATATTCTTCATATATATTTTGATTTCATCGGTGCATATTAAAACTCTTGTTTCATTCATTATTTGGTAAGTTTAAGAAAATATTCATATGTTTCAGGGCATAGCCAGTGAGACATATCACCTCACTTTTATATACTTTATTTTGCAATTGGCCTGTGTAGTTTTACAACAGTTCTAATTGAATATGTTAGTCACTTCATTTTTAGATATGGTCATATGTGTGTAGCAGATTACCAGTCTCAAACAGGTGTTAAGAAACATAACACCTGTTACTAATCTCTTAACACTGATTTGTTACTGATTTTTCTCTCCAGAGTGGCTTAGTTTCCATTTTTGCTAACCAGTTTGTATACAAAATTTGAGAGAGAATGCATGCAACTGTTAAATTTATTTTTATTGAACCTATGACTAATTTTATTCATGCGGCGGATTAATCTGCTCTTGGCGAGCAAAGCAGATATAATCATTTCAATGCTCCTTTGCTTTGTGTTACAGACACCTTCCTGACTGCTACAATGGAGTGGAAGATAGGGAGAAATATAAATATTAAATACATATTCATAAATAATAGATATATATGGAATATTACACATATGTATGTATATGTTTGTGTGTGTGTGTCTGTGTATATGCCAGTGTTCTTTTATCTTTTTTTTTGTTTTGTTTATTTTGAGACAGAGTTTTAGGCTGTTGCCCAGGCTGTAGTCTAGTCATGGAACCACAGCTCACTGCAAACTTGACCTCCCAGGCTCAAGTGATCCTCCCACCTCAGCCTCCCAAGTAGCTGGGACTACAGGTGTGTGCCACCATGCTTAGCAATTTTTTTTTTTTTTTTTTTTTTTTTTTTGTAGAAAGGAGGTCTCATTATGTTGCCAGGGTTGTTCTCAAGCAATCCTCCCGCTTATCTCTCAAAGTGCTGGGATTGCAGTAATAAGCCATGTGCCCATCCCTCTCTTTATTTTGAAATCAACTTAGGCCTAAAGTGAAAGCCCATTTCACTGTTATTTCAGCCTAAATTAAATAACATGCCCTATGTACTTAGTCAATGTACATGGCAAGGGTACTTTATAGGATATTGTACAATTGTGTCTTCTTGGCCAACTAAATACCAGAAAACAACAACAACAAAGTTTTAAATAGATGTTAATATTTCCTCAATAGAATATTAAAAGTAGATATGAAATATCACAGAGTTTTAATCTTATCAGAATAAATGATATTATTATTTGCATTGGGAAATTTATGTTTGTATTAGGATGGTCTTTTGAAGTGAAGAACATCTGGAAAATCATCAGCTCAAACAAAATTATTTTGTTTCCTTTGGTCTGCTAATGTATGAGCAATAACTGGGCCAGTTTATGCTATGTTGAAATCCTAAAATCATCTTTTCCTTTCTTTAAAGCTATATAATTGATCCTCAGTCCTGACAGTGGAGCTCTGAACCATACTTGTAATCTTTTTCCTCCAATGTACCATCATTAATGTAGTTAAATTCAAGTTTTGTCCATCTTTTCATAATGCAATCTTAGTAACTTCTAACCTTTTATCTATTTTCCATTTTCTAGTCCTTCATTATATATTCTACATGTTAAAACATTGTAGTAGACTCTCTAGCATCAGTTTGTATTTGCTGTGTATCAAACCACCCCCAAAACGTGGTGGCTTAGAAGGAGCATTGACTTAGTTATACTTCTTTGGATTGGCTGAGCACTTTATCTGATCTGGACATGCTCAGTTGAACATTTCGTCTTCTTTCCTTCACCTGTTGTCAGGTGGTAGGTCAGCTGGTAACTGCAAGATTTAGAATAGCCTCACTTACTTGTCTGGCATTGGGCAGGCTATCTTGGGCTTTATTTCATGATGTCAGTCACAAAATCACAAGAACAACTCAGACAGCTATATCTATTGTGCAAACATATTTAAATCTCTGCTTGTAAAACTTTTGCTAATATTGTTTTGGCCAAAATGAGTTCACATGGCTAACCTTGATACAAAGGGTAGGAAATATAATAGATGATGCTAAATCTTGATGAAAGAGGAAGAACTTGTGAGCATAGTTGCAGTTCACACCAAGTTCCTGGATGAAAAACATTGAATGCCTCTTCATAACAGACAGCTCCAAACTCTTAAGCATGACACATAAAGACGTTTTATCTTGGGGTCCCACACTTAGCCATACCACACCTCTTCCAGAGCCTTGTGCTGCACTACACATGTGCTTTGTCTATCAAAGAGGATTTATGATCCCATGAAGGGCTTATTCTTCTATTAACATCCTATTCACACCTACTTCCTTTTCTAAATAACTGACTCTTTTTATTCAGGATCATGTCCCTTTCTCCAAACAATCTTCTTTAAAGTTGCAATAATGCTTCCAGTGAAGTTGATTAACTTCAATTTTGCAGATCTTTATATTAAAAAAATCATATAGTATCAGAGTTATTTTCTTACTTTAACATTTCTCTCACTGTCTCTTCACTGTAACAACCTGAGGTCTGAATTATGAAGTATTTAGGACAGGGATGTTAATGTTGTTTTATCTTTTTGTCCTTAGAGCCTGGAATAGTACCTCTCATATAAATATAATTTATTGGGTTATTATTAATCCTGTGTATGTTATAACCACAAATGATTATATGCTACCTATGATTTATTTTTTTGAAATGGAGTCATATATGTTACATATGCATTTCATTTATATAACTTTTTCTGTCATAACGCTGCACATTCCTTCAAGGGAAATGTACATATTTATTTTTTTGTATGGTTTAATGTCTTTTGGAAAAAAGGCAGACAATCTAACAATAGGTTTTGAATTGAGAGTTAAAATTTCCATCTTGAAAACTAAAATTATATGTTAAATATCAAATTAATTTCTATATTTGGTTGATAATTCAATGTATTGGATTTTTAAAATTGTAAAAAGAATTTTATTTTCTCAATTATAAATATTGCACTTTTGCTCTATCAAATTTATAAAAGTTTGTGGAGTTCAAACATTTATGAAAACTCTAAGTATATTTATTTTTTAAAAAAGAGATAAATATGCAGTAAAAAACATTTACAAAGCTGTTTATTTTACAATTTCTTGTTGCTCATAGTCTGATTACAAGATTGATAAAAAAATCTCAGTTCAGTTTATTTAAAGAAACAGCTGTAGTCTAGACATTTTGAATAAATGCTTGCTTTTGTAAAACTTTTATTTAAGTCCTTGACCTTATTTATTCAGCTAACACTTGTGAAGCATTTAGTTGCTTAGATCAACAACTTCTGAGGAAAAAAACAATAATGTATTTTGGTTGAGTGAACTTTGAGCTGAGAAATAACATAAGACATGACAGGACTTCTGATTGTTTAACTACTTCTCTGTTCCTATTCCATACTGCTGCCTTAGTCTTTTCTGCCCTTATAATATTTGACTTTCAAACCTTCTCTTATGATGGATTATATCATTTATTTTGTATTATCTCCAATAAATAATAGGTCAGCATAAACATATGTACATGTCCCTACCACTGCAAAGTTTTCAGCAGTAAAGATGCTGATCATCGATATGTTATTCAAATATATATATAAAAAAACAAAAAACACATGAAAAAATGCTGATCATCACTGGCCATCAGAGAAATGCAAATCAAAACCACAATGAGGTACCATCTCACACCAGTTAGAATGGTGATCATTAAAAAGTCAGGAAACAACAGGTGCTGGAGAGGATGTGGAGAAATAGGAATACTTTTACACTGTTGGTGGGACTGTAAACTAGTTCAACCATTGTGGAAGTCAGTGTGGCGATTCCTCAGGGATCTAGAACTAGAAATAGCATTTGACCCAGCCATCCCATTACTGGGTATATACCCAAAGGATTATAAATCATGCTGCTATAAAGACACATGCACACATATGTTTATTGCGGCACTATTCACAATAGCAAAGACTTGGAACCAAGCCAAATGTCCATCAATGGTAGACTGGATTAAGAAAATGTGGCACATATACACCATGGAATACCATGCAGCCATAAAAAATGATGAGTTCATGTCCTTTGTAGGGACATGGATGAAGCTGGAAACCATCATTCTCAGCAAACTATCACAAGGACAAAAAACCAAACACCACATGTTCTCACTCATAGGTGGAAATTGAACAATGAGAACACATGGACACAGGAAGGGGAACATCACACACCGGGGACTGTTGTGGGGTGGAGGGAGGGGGGAGGGATAGCATTAGGAGATATGCCTAATGCTAAATGACGAGTTAATGGGTGCAGCATACCAACATGGCACATGTATACATATGTAACAAACCTGAACATTGTGCACATGTATCCTAAAACTTAAAGTATAACAATAATTAAAAAAAAAAAAGAAAAGAAAAATACTTGTGTAATTCTTAGTTTTGACCCATGGTGGAAAGGTCAACTCCTAACAGATAATGCAAATAATATGTGCTCTTCCTGGTCAAAGTATTGTAATCATTATAATGAGCCATATCCATGGTGGTCAATATTATTTTGATGCGTTCAACAGCTTAACCCTGGAATTGGTTAAATTGAATTGCTTGTGTCTCAATTGAAAGTAAAAACCTTTTGCAAATCAATTGTAAGTTCAGTAATCTATATAAGCTACATCCAATCTCAGACTTATATTGAAAAATCACTGTTTTTTGTTCTACTTTAGTACACATAGAATAAATTTAGGAGTCAAATATCTCACATCTGTAATGCTGCAATTTAGGCTGTTAAAAGGATGATTTTTTTTAAATTTTTTAAGTGCCTTCTTGGTCCCCTAAACGAATTTTAGAAAGTCTTCTAATCTATCCTAATCTAAATTTAAATAAGAATAATACAAATATTCACAAAATATTTTGTTAATATCTTCATGTATTTTCAACCTCTCTAAAAAGAGATTCTGTATTTCTGAAATGCTTCCTCAAAGTATTCAATGAATATACATTATTTATATGATTTATCATGTTGAAAGTCATACCAACTCAAATATATAATTTCTCACTTGATGAAAATCCTGTCCTAAGTTTCTCTCACCCTGGAGAATGACTGCCCATTTCTACGATGTGTTTTACAGGAGACACAAATTGAAACTTGCCACTGTCACATGACCTATATTTTAAGCAAAATCTTCTTAAACTTAACCTTCAAAATGGTTTCAGATGAATCTAGGTATTTGCATGGAATGTAGAGGGAAATTTACTTTTATCTATTTAATGGTTTAATCAGTTTTGTTTTAGGTTATTGTCCCAATTTGGAGTTTAAGCCTAAAAAGTATTAAAAATCCACACATTACCTAAGGAGATCAGGTTACATTATAAGAACACACACAAAAGTAAGAAGAAAAAAGGCACTGGCTAAGTTACACATGCAGTTCACATGAAAAGGTGGTATCTCACACCATTCAGAAAGCAACTGTTAGATTACCTAGACTCTGGCAATTCTAGGGAAAAAAAAATTAAAAAGAGTATTCCTCATGGCCCAGCTATCTCTTTGTCCCTCAATGGTTCCTAATCTAGTTCCTCTCTAGTATACATATACTATATATATACTTATATATATATAATATATATAGTATATATACTATATATATTATATATATACTATATATATTATATATAGTGTGTATACTATATATATTATATATAGTGTGTATATATATATACACACACACACAAAGAGAGACTCTGACTGTGGCCACATATCCTAGTGAATTTCAGTACTATACATTTCAAGTTCCCAAGCCAAGTAGCTAAAGGCCTATCTTATGTTTTACATTTATTCTAGAGATAATTCATTGTGAACAAGGTCATAGGATTTCATATTTCAAAGGATAGTCATGTATCCTTTGAATTCATGTATCCTTTGAATAGTCATGTATTCTATAAAAAGGAAATTTGGGTACAAGAAATATTTAAGAGTCTTATAGATTTCTATGCAGGGCCAAAAATGATTACTAACCATAATCATTATAATGTCTTTATTGTAATAATTGCCTATTCTGTTATAGGTATTAGGCAAAGTGCTCTAAATAACATTTTTCAAATACTACTCACAACCTATAAGCTAGGTATAATCTCTATTTTAGATTTGTTGAAATCAATCTGAGTGATCAAACATATTGTCCAAAGTTCACATGGTTAATCAGAAACTACGTTGGAATTTTAACACAGGTCTTTTGCCCTTTTAACTTTGTATGTACTTTCTTCAGTTTACCGCAATATGTATTTTTGGAATTTTCTCTAAATATGCAAATTAAAAATATATTAAAATACTTAAAAATATGCTTGAAACAAATTTTTCTCTCTCTTTAGAATGGGGGAAAATAAATATTCCAAAATAGATGAATGCTTGAAATGTTAAACCATTTGGAAATATTTTAATATTCTTACTGATACATATTAAAAAGTGGAAAGTCATAAAAGTCGGTACTGTAGCATATACAATTTATTGTAACATACAAATCCTGGAAATAAGACAGAAATTGCTTAGAGATAGCCTTATGAAGCTCTTATATTTTATATATCATGCTCTTGGGATTTTTAAATGTATGCCTTCAATTATGAAATTGTCATAAGGGTTGTACATGTATGTTATTAAATTTTCTCACACACGTTACTACCTCAAATCTGAATTTTTTTTCCTTTGTCCTGGAAAATATTTTCTCACCTCTTCTCTTGCCCTCCTTCCTTTCTTCCCTATTTTTCTTTTCTTTTCTTTTTTTTTTTTTTTTTGAGACAGAGTTTCGCTCTCGTTGCCCTGGCTGAAGTGCAATGGTGCGATCTCAGCTCACTGCAACCTCCACCTCCAGAGTTCAAGCCATTATCTCACCTCAGCCTCCCAAGTAGCTGGGATTACAGGCACCCACCACCACGCCCAGCTAATTTTTGTATTTTTAGTAGAGATGCAGTTTCACCACGTTGGCCAGTCGGGTCTCAAACTCCTGACCTCAGGCGATCTGCCCGCCTTGGCCTCCCAAAGTGCTAGGATTACAAGTGTGAGCCACTGCGCCTGGGTCTCCCTCTTTCTTGACTTATATTTCAACTGTTTGAAATCCTGAATTTCTTTCTATTTATTTTTTATTTGTATAAATTAATGAGGTATAAGCAAAATTTTGCTACACTTCTTTCAGTGCATCCATCACCTGAATAATGTACACTTCTACCCATTAAGTAATTTCTCATCATCCACTCCCCAACCTCTCCACTGTTCTGAGTCTCCATTGTCTATCATTCCACATTCTATGTCCACGTGTGCATATTACTTAGCTCCCACTTGTGAGAACATGTGATATTTGTCTTTTTGCTTCTGAGTTGCTTCGCTTAAGAGAATGGCCTCCGGTTCCATCTAAGTAGCTGCAAAAAAACATGAATATATCCTTTTGATGGCTTAATAGTATTGCATTGTGTAGATATACCACATTTTATCCAGTCTTCAGTTGATGGACACTTAGGATGATTCTATATCATTGATACTGTGAATAATTCTGTAATAAACATAGAAGTGCATGTTTCTTTTCAATATAATGATTTATTTCCTTGGATATACATCTAGTAGTGTGACTGCTGGATTGAAAGTTAGTTCTATTTTTAGTTATTTGAGAAATCTCCAAACTGGTTTCCATAGTTTGTACTAATTTACAATCTCATCCACACTGTATACGCATTCTCTTTTCTCTGCGTTCTTGACAACATCTATTATTTTCGGCCTCATAATAATTGCCATTCTGACTAGGTTAGGTTGCTATCTAATTATGCTATTAATTTGCATTTCTCTGATGATTCCTATTGTTACACATTTTTTCACAGGCTTGTAGACTATTTGTATACATTCTTTTGAAAAATGTTTATTCAAGACTTTTGCTCACTTTTTAATGAAATCATTTTTATTGTTAATGAGTTGTTTGAGTTCCTTGTATATTCTGAGCATTAGTCCCCTATCAGATGCATAGTCAAACAATTTTCCATTAAAATTTTTTTTCCCTTACATTCTCCATTCTCTATGTTATCATTTCTGGAGATATGACTAAAATTTCTCCTCTATTCTACTGAAAGTTTATTTTCTTTTTGTATGATTTGTATTCATAATTTCCAAGACTTTTTTTTTGCTTTTCAAAATATATTTTGTTATTGTTTATATTATCTGTATTTGAGGAAATGCATATATCAAATTGCCTAATTTAGTCATTCTACAATGTACACATATAGCAAAATATCATTTGCACACCATAAATATTTACAATCTATAGTTGTTAATTAAAAATAAAATTTAAAAAGTGCATTTGGAACACTTGATTTGTGTATGTATGTGTATGATTAAATTATAGTGTCTTACAGATCTCATGAGCTCCAAATTTATTGTTATTTTGGAAAAAAACTTAGCTTTATATTTATGCTTCTATGTTTTATCTCCCATTTATTTTAATATTGTTCTGATAAAATGACACATTTAAGGATGGAATATATTAATCCATAGATCTTAAAATATCATAAATTCATTAACTCATTTTGCATGCTGTGTTAACAATTGAACCAAATATCTTGAAGAGCACAGTACATTTTGATTAAATAATGTGAATATTTTTAGAACTTTATAATGTAATCAACAATAAAATTATCTATATTGCACTTTTAGTTGCTTTACAAAATATTGTCTAAAAGCAAAAGGAGGTACATGTTACAAATAAAACTCATCTTTTTGGAATTTAAAAACAAGCTAAATGCTATTATGCAATAGAATTTAAAGTCAGGATAAATATGCAGCCTTGACTGCTTTCAACTCATGTTGGAACTGTTTCACATTACTCCTGTCTGTCATTGATGGAGTAGTTGGCAAACGCTTCAATATGTATGGACAAACTCATTGACAAGAGCATGACATTGACAGTTAAATGCATTTTTAGTGGCTTTTCTATGCCCATCCATGTTAAACACGTCTTTTTTTAAAATCACAGCTTTAACATTTTTTCAGGAATTTGAGTGATTTGTACAAAATCAAAAATATTTTATTTCTATGAAGAACTTTCCTTTATTTGATTTTACATATCACATGCATGCCACCATCACCATCACTACCACCAACACTAGAAATCCAATAATGTTTTTATGTTTGAGTTTTTCTAATTTAAACTTTATTAGCAGATTTGTTTCCAATATAGTTCAGAAAGTGTTATATGGCTTTTCCTATCTCCTAGATTCCTATTTGTAACAAAAAAAGAGAAAATTTATGAAAATTTTGATGTTGAATTATTTGTGGAAGCTTTCAGAGATGTAATAGAGGTTTAGAAAACAAGTAGAGACAAGTTTTTCTGTTTTGTTTTGTTTTCTGATACACAGTAAAGGCAAAAGAAGAGCTATTCCATTGACTAGCTATCACTGCCAGCTACCATTTAATATTGGCTTCCGTACCCTGGATTATCATACCATCAGTAGCCAACTCTGGATATTGCCATTTTCCTGTGCTACTTTGCTTCTGGTATGGGTGTGACAACCTTGCCATTACAACAATCCTTAGTTCCAGGTTCAAAAACCTTTGTACATATCTCTTACTGTTTAGCACCACCAACGTAATAGGTGTAGCTGAGCTTCTCTTAGAGCAGACCAAAAACACATATGTTTTTCACCCTTGGGAGTACAAAGTAGGCTCCTTTTCCCACAGAGATGTCCAATTTGTGTCAATATCTAGTCAAGAAAAAGGGCATACAAATCCTCACAGATGAAGTGACGACCTATCTGCCTCTATTACCATATTCATATGATAGATGCCCAAATGGAGAAACTTTAAAATACATTCAATCTATCTCAAAGTGTCCAAAATCTCAATCTATTCCACAATCAACTCAAGGTTCAAAATATTATCTAAATATCAGATAAGCTATCCCAAATATCACCATTCTCAGTCATCTCAGTCAGGTATGGATAAGTCTATGGGTATGATCTGTACTGGGACAAAATTTGTCTCCACTTGTGGATCTGTAAAACTAGAAAATAAGTTGTCCACTTCCAAAACACAATGAGGAGGCAGGCATAGAATGAAGTTATCCCCAAAATTAAAAAATAGAAGAAAGAAAGAAGTCACTTGACTAAAACAATTTTAAAGTCCAGCAGGAAAAAACAATTATTAAGTTACAAGGCCTAGAAAAAATCCTTAGCTTCATGTTCTGTTTTTTGGTCCCACCGGGAATATGAGGATGAGCATTGTACAGAGAGGACAGATCCCAGAGAGAAATTGTTATAATTTGGGAGATATCTTTGAACATGACCACCACAAAACAAAAGGTTGGTAATCTTTAAAAATATTCGAAAAATTATATTGGATACTCTATATTTGTTTTACCAGAGAAAATGCCAATAAAGCATACAAGTTGAATGTCTTTCAAATCTAGACCTGTTGACAAACTCGTACATAAGCAATTGGGCCACTATATTCTGATCTGTCTTACTGGTATATTTTTGTACAGAATCAGTGCATTTATAAAAGTAAATTTTATATATGTGTGAGATACCAAGAAAAGAAGTTTAATGAAAAACTAAAGATAAACCAAAGATATCTAGGGTGGTCTGATACCAAGGATAGGAGGTTTTCACTAAACTATCTTATCCTTGGTATCACCCTGGCCTGACTTCAACTAGAATTCTTCTTGAGTTGGCCTAGCAAGATTTCTTCTTATCCCTGATGTTTCTTCTTAGTAATTTTCCATCAACTGACCCGGACCCCCACTCCTTAGCTCTAAATTTCCCAGGTTTTTGTTGGAGTCGTAGTTCAGTCCAACATCTCTTTTCCTCTGTAAAACCCAAATACAGTTCTCTCTAAACATATCTCCATGGCCCACCTTTGATAAAGTCTGCCTCACTATCTTTAACAAGTGTCATGAATTTTTTTTTGTTTAAACAAAGGTGTTTCCTAAAATAATGGCATTTTTAAAAATTTATCACAGCTTTGTTTGTCTTTTTTATAATAAAATATATTTCTTCCTCTCTATTTAAAATCCACTCATGTATACATGCCTTTATAAAGTGACAAATAGAGTCTCTTGCAGTGAAAAGAACTTAAGCTACCAAATAGTGTGTCAAACCCTACTTTTCTTGTAACTTTGCATTTGCAACACTGCCAAGTTAATGATATGAAAAAAAAAAAATGTTCCGCTGCCCCATTTGATGCTGGGTGAAATGAAACAACATCGTTGTACTTCACTGCATTTAGGCCCAACAACATGTCAAATTCTTTTGAGATAAACTGCAAACCATTAACTGATCTCTTTTATTTCTCCTCACAAACCTTACTTCAAAAACAATTTCTTGATACATTCTACTTTTCTGAGAGGAGAGACAACTTTTTCTCATCAAAATAATTTCGTGAGTGTAGATGCAAAACTGCCATTTTCTAGCATATTACCTGTTTATTTTTGTTTTATTTGTTTATTTTTAGCATCTAATAATACTAAGCATTATTGTTTATTTAGCACACACTGTGTATCAGGGGCTATATTAAATATTTGATTTTTACCACTATAAAGAAAGTAATTTTACGGCAGGCAAAAATTTACCTCTACTCTTTTAGGTTCTTTTTATTTAATGGATAGTCCTGAGTATTAAAATGTCTTAAGACAAATCAGTAAGAGAAAGGCAAACAAATTTGCTTAAAACAAGTTTTACCAGCCCATGAACCTTCATAAGGAAATGAAGACCAAAAGAAACAATTACAATTGAATACTTATATGCTGAATTGCACAGAGTAGTAAACTGTGAAAATGTGACAAGGAGAAAGGGCTCGGGCAAAGGTACTAATTGGGTGCAGGAGTAGCTAGGAAGATAAGGGTTAGTAAACAGCTTTGTTTGTACAGATTTTCCTTGCTCTCAACTTCTCATTCATGATGACACAAATGGCGCTTTCCTTCCCGTATAGGTAAGACTGCTTTCACATGGGAATTTTATTTCCTGCTTTTAAGAAACAAAAGGAAGTTCAGGGTAATCTTGCATCTACTGTTTTTCAAGAGACTTAAACTCAAAGTAGTCAATATGCCAAAGTGGTATATTTTGGCATGACTTGTTCTTAACTCCTCATAATGTTATCTCCCATTATCAGATAATAAAATTGAAGCTGAGAAAATAATTTACATAAAGCCATGCTGTGACTAATGGCAATCAAATATAAAATATTTTATTTCACTGGCTTCAAAGTCTATGATCCTTCCATTATAATCCATGGCCTTTGCGACAACAGGTAATTACAGAAATGGACTGTTTATCCGCATTTTCACCTCCATTTCTTATCTATGACAATATAAATTCAAGCCAAGAGTGAACTTTAAGGGGTGAATGGAAGGGTCATTCTTTTGGATCATTAGTTTGTATTTTTTTGTACAGCAGGAAAACGGTAACCTTTGTCTTGGGGTATAATAAAATCATTAAATGCAGTCACGAAAACATAATCAATGGTACTCTTGTGACTCTTGGTCATTGTCTACTAGCCAGATCATAACCCCGGTCTGTAGATATGAAACTAATTCAACTCTCTGACAAGGCACTAATGGGAAGCGATTGCAAAATACTCCTTAAGGACTGAAAGACCTGAAAGTAGATTGCCCTGGAACGTTTTTGCGTTGGAACAGACAATTCCTTCACTAATTAACTTCACTCTCCCTAAATATCATGGGTTTCTAGCTACCATTTGCAACTACTGTTATTCTCTGCAGTCCTTTCAGTATTTCTATGACCAAACTCTGCTCCAATGTTTTCCTCTTGAGCTTTTCACAACTTACCCAAGAGGTAACGACATACTTCTTTAAGCACATGAGAATACACAGGTCCCCAAAATCAGTTTACAAGTTGTCTTGTTTTGGCTGAGTCTGGGACAGAAGCATTCCTACTAATGCATGATGGTCATATTTGGGGTCACATCAATCCCCAAATAATCCAGAAACCCTTGATTTAACTTAATAGCACTTTTTGTCTCACCACCTCCCTGACATAGTTTCTACACTCATATATTTCAACTTGCTTTCTACTTACTAGTTTTCCCTTAGGTTGGCTTTTTACAATTAGTTCTTTCTCACTGTTTTGCAGTTGTATGTATAAAACAAATCTAATATAGTTGTTTCAAGTAAAAGACAGTCATAGTAAAAGGAAAACCAACTGTTGAAAATATAGGTACTTGAATGATCAAATTTTAAAGAAAAATACCCAGTATAATACAAAGTTTATCAATAAACTTTTTTTTTATATACAAGCACAGTATTTACCTAACAGAGTTAGGTAAATTACGTAACTTATAAAAATCTCCATATCTAAAATAAGGCTTTAAAATAGATAATGTTATTATATCCATGATTATTTCAACAATTATGTCAATTATCTAAACTAGCAGCCACATATTGGCATCCTTAAGTCAAGAAACCACAGGCATTGTGTAGACAATAATAACCTTTCAAGAACCCCTTGGTTTGAAGAAAATCTTTTGTTATTGTTTATGAAAATCAATGGCAACATCAGCAAGTGGTGTTTTCAAGATCAAGATACTTCATTCTTAAAGTTCTTGTTCTCTTTAACTTCCATTTTCTGAATCAATTTACTGGCAGCAAATATTTTTCATCAAATCACTCAGTCAGCCACCATCAGATGCGGCAATTACAGCATCCTCCGTTAAGAAACATAGTTTATCTTATTACAACTATCAAGCATATCAATTATTAAGTATATACTGTTTTATTCTAATTGTTTGTTATTGAAATAGTTGGAATTTAAAAAATTATTAAAATTGTCTGATTTTGAAAGTAACACAAGTGCCAGGTCAAAACAGAAAATGTATATATGTATAAAATAAATTTAAAATATCTGTTTTCATAAGAGCCAGTTTTAGCATTTTCATGCATTTCTTCCTGGGCATATTTTAATAGATATTTAAATAAAATTTTCTTTCTAACTCCAACAGTTAAAAATTCAAAATAATGGCCGGGTGCGGTGGCTCACGTCTGTAATCCCAGCACATTGGGAGGCGGAGGTAGGCGGATCACAAGGTCAGGAGATCAAGACCATCCTGGCTACCATGGTGAAACCCCGTCTCTACTAAAAACACAAAAAATTAGCTGGCGTGGTGGCAGGCCCCTGTAGTCTCAGCTACTGGGGAGGCTGAGGCAGGAGAATGGTGTGAACCCTGGAGGCGGAGCTTGCAGTGAGCCAAGATCCTGCCATTGCACTCCAGCCTAGGTGACAGAGCAAGACTCTGTCTCAAACAAACAAACAAAAAACAAAACAAAACAAAACAAAAAAATTCAAAATAATATATTAAATGTTAATCTAATTTTGTAAAAAAAAAAAGTATGTGTTAACAACTACTATCCTCTTCCTTTGCAATGACAGTCTTATAATCTATAGAAAGGAAAAAAATGTAATGTGACGAATTTGGGAGCATTTTTAACGTTTAACTTTGAGTCTTCATGCTGTTGACAGTTAAGAAGAAACTTTATCCAAGTATTGTAATCAAAGTGTCTGTAAATGGAGAAGTGGGCCAAGATAAATGATGAGGTTGTAAGAAAATGAAAGCATTCAGTTCAGCATAATAGGTAAAAGCATGAGCCTTAAAGCTGAGCTGCAAATTTAGTTTCACTTTCTACTCAAGGAAGCATAATGGCTAAACTGTTTGGCATCTCTGAGCCTCAGTTTCCTCATAGTAAAATGGGAATTATAATAGGACCTAACTAAATACAATTTTTTGAGATTCAAGAGTTAATTTATGTATTTACTCAATGAATGCTAGTCCATATTATTTTTATTATATTTGAATGCTTTAGAATAAGTTTTTTATTCAAAATTAATAAATCAGGCAGTTTTTCTGACAGCTTGCCATTCCAATTGGTTGGAAAGCTAGAAATGTTTAAAATTGAAAAAGAAAAACAGACCTAATAAAAACTTCTATAAATCATGATAGAGTTTTATTCTTAGATTTCTATTTATTAAGAGTTTTTATATTTTTAGGGAGAGGGACTGCTGTATTTCAATATCATAAGGCATTCTGCATCATATTGAGAGGTGACAGCATGCTGGCAGCCCTCACTCGCTCTGGGCGCCTCCTCAGCCTTGGCGCCCACTCTGGCCATGCTTGAGGAGAGCTTCAGCCCGCCGCTGCACCGTGGGAGCCCCTTTCTGGGCTGACCAAGGCCGGAGCCGGCTGCCTCAGCTTGCAGGGAGGTGTGGAGGGAGAGGCGCAGGAGGGAAACGGGGCTGCACAGGGCGCTCGCGGGCCAGCACGAGTTCTGGGTGGGTGTGGGCTCTGGGGGCCCGCACTCGGAAGCGGCTGGCCAGCAGGGCCCCACGCAGTGAGGGGCTTAGCACCTGGGCCAGCAGCTGCTGTGCTCCATTTCTCGCCAGGCCTTAGCTGCCTCCCCGCGGGGCAGGGCTTGGGACTCGCAGCCCGTCGTGCCTGATCCTGAGCCTTTGCCGCCCACCCCCTCCTGTGTGGCCTGAGCCTCCCCGACGAGCACGGCCCCCTGCTCCACAGCACCCAGTCCCATCGACCACCCAAGGGCTGAGGAATGCAGGCGCATGGCACAGGACTGGCAGGCAGCTCCACCTGCAGCCCCAGTAAGGGATCCACTGGGTGAAGCCAGCTGGGCTCCTGAGTCTGGTGGGGACTTGGAGAATCTTTATGTCTAGCTAAGGGATTGTAAATACACCAATCAGCACTCTGTATCTAGCTCAAGGTTTGTAAACACACCAATCAGCACCCTGTGTCTAGCTCAGGGTTTGTCAGTGCACCAACTGGCACTCTGTATCTAGTTAATCTGGTGGGGACTTGGAGAATCTTTATGTCTAGCTAAGGGATTGTAAACACACCAATCAGCACCCTGTGTCTAGCTCAGGGTTTGTGAATGCACCAATCGGCACTCTGTATCTAGTTAGTCTGGTGGGGACTTAGAGAATCTTTATGTCTAGCTAAGGGATTGTGAATGCACCAATTGGCACTCTGTGTCTAGCTCAGGGTTTGTAAATAAACCAAACGACACTCTGTATCTAGCTAATCTAGTGGGGACATGGAGAACTTTTGTGTCTAGCTCAGGGATTGTAAACACACCTATCAGTGCCCTGTCAAAATGGACCAATCAGCTCTCTGTAAAACAGACCAATCAGCTCTCTGTAAAATGCACCAATCAGCAGGATATGGGTGGGGCCAGATAAGAGAATAAAAGCAGGCTGCCAGAGCCAGCGGTGGCAACCCACTGGGGTCCCTTTTTAGACTGTGGAAGGTTTGTTCTTTCGCTCTTTGCAATAAATCTTGCTACTGCTTACTCTTTGGGTCCACACTGCCCTTATGAGCTGTAACACTCACCACGAAGGACTGCAGCTTCACTCCTGAGCCAGCGAGGCCATGAACCCACCAGAAGGAAGAAACTCCGAACACATCTGAACATTAGAAGGAACAAACTCCAGCCACGCCACCTTTAAGAACTATAACACTCACCGCAAGGGTCTGCGGCTTCATTCTTGAAGTCAGTGAGACCAAGAACCCACCAATTCCGGACACAATAGCATATGTCAAATTAGTAATTTAAACGTGTTGAGTATTATGTGTCTAAAAATTATTTTTAGGTTTTAAATGGTATATTTATTTTTAACTAAGAATAAACAACCAGGAAATTTTAAATATACTAAGATTTGATAAATTTTATATAGTTCATAATACAGTATTTTCCATTATATCTATTTAAAATAGGTTACAAATTGTTTAACAACAAATTCCTATTTTTATTTACTTTAAAGTTAGAAATATTGGCAATCATCTTGTCAATTTGCTTTCTGTGAATAAAACTGTTATCATCATACTTATTTTCTCTGTTTTGATAGTTTTAATGGCACCCACCTTAAAACTAATTTTAAGTAAAAATGAGTGAGAGTTTCCTCTTAGATCTTTATAAGATCACTTTGACCACCACACTGCTGCAAATATTATAACATTTATTTTGGCTCTACCGAACAATGAAATAGATTCATGAATACAAATCAGTTATTTAATGCTTGCTTAACAGGTAGTAAATACATATATATATTTATATATTAGTTTGCAAACTTCAAGTCCATAACTTATTACATTTTTCATATAATCCCATCTCTATTTACATAATCACAGTTTAGTCATTTATTTTGTTTGTACATTACCTAATCACATGTTTATGAAGGAAAGCTATTCAACCATTTCAAATTTGTTTTTTTCTTCACAGGATACAAAATGCAATATCAGATTGATTATTATGGTAAGCATTATAGCCACAGTCAGTGTCCCAGGCTCGTCCAATCAACACTTGCTTTTATAACTTCACAGAATATGATGATATTATTATTATTATTAATGTGTGTGCAGACCCCTGTGCTAGGAATGGTATATTTTCAGCAGACTCTGTTATTGATTAATTTATTTCTCTTTGTAACTTATTTTCTTCTCCTATCTAATTCTATTTTTGCTTACATCTGTGCTTATTATCTCTAGGCATAACATTTAACAAAACGTAGCATCTATTTTCTAGCATAAATACTGGACAAATGAGTTTCTATTTGCATTTCAAAAGGAAAAAATGCAGTAAGATAGAAACCCACTTTATTAGGAATGTTTTAATTTATTCTTTATCGAAAAGACCTCTTTTCCTAATATCCCAAAAGGCCTTGGTGCTTGTTAGTAAAAACTATACCCTTTTCATTTAGAGTACGCACCATCTTAAGTTTCATAAATTCATGAATACTTTTACAACAATGAAATATCATTTCTTCCCTTAATTTTAAAGTCAAAATAAAATTGTATCCTGAATGAAAACAAATCAAGACAATCAGATTAACCTTAGTTTGCTTTCAAACCATAGTTTTCATTGTTTAAACTTTTCTATTACTGAAAATGACTGTGAGATACCTGTGTTATTTTTATACAAAATGCATCAGCTTAAGTGAGGTTTCAGAAAACTTAGCATAATATATATATATATATATAAAACCATTATATTACTGATGTCCATTAAGTTTATGTGAACTCTCAAATGGGTTAAAAATATGGGGAAGAGAATCCAGGCTCAAACAGGAAACAATAACAGGAAGTAAGGTCATGATGGTCAAATATGTTTTTCAAATTCAAGGTCAGTATTTAATAAAATGGTTGAGAGGCCGAGGCAGGCGGATCGCGAGGTCAGCAGATGGAGACCATCTTGGCTAACACGGTGAAACCCCGTCTCTACTAAAAATACAAAGAAATTAGGTGGGCACAGTGGCAAGTGCCTGTAGTCCCAGCTACTCAGGAGGCTGAGGCAGGAGAATGGTGTGAACCCAGGAGGCGGAGCTTGCAGTGAGCCCAGACCGAGCCACTGCATTCCAGCCTGGGCCGTTAACAGAGAGAGACTCCGTCTCAAAAAAATAAAAAAAATAAAAAATAAAATAAAATGGGATGAGACATCCCTATGGCATCATAGGATAATCATAAATTTCCTAATATATCTTTATCACTTATCAAATGGAATTTTAAAATGCATCTAGAATTCCAATTGTAGGAGACTACATCATTGGTCTCCTGCCACTAAAAGGCCCGCTGTATATTAAGAAATCCTAATTACTAATCCATAAACTACACCTTAAGTTTTTTTCATAACAGTATTTCTTAAGACACTGTCAGTGCAATCCATTAAAATTCAACTCAGATGTAGCATCCGCCATGATCATTTACCTGCTCTTGGCAGGGGCATGATGATTTCAACCTTCCTTGTCTTAAAATATTTGATTTGTATAACTCACAAGGTAACCATAAGTCAATGCTTTGTTGGACTGATACTTGTACATGTGTATGGATAGATTCTTCTACTACTATAGTCTAAAATAGGAGACTAAATACCAAGCAGGTATATATAAGTCATCCTCACTCACAGCACAGATTTCAGTGCCCTAAATATAATACATTCTCAGCAAATATCTTTAAGCTTAATAGATTTTTAACTGCACCATAATCCTAAACTACCAAATCAGAAAATATGTACTTTGAAGATTGTAGTTGAAAGGAAGATATTTACACAAATGTTTCCAGAGGATAGTTATGTTCTAGTCATTTTCCTTCTCCACATGCAAGTCACTCTAAAGAAAAAATTTAGTGCCCTGCTGTTTTTTTCAGTCTTTTATAAATCTTTCCTAATTTAAGAATTTGATAATCAGTTCTATCCTGATTTAAGAATTAGATAATCCAGGCTTCATATCAGTCTGATTTCAATATCATTCTGACAAATGTGAAAAAATTTGAACAATAAAACATAAAGCTTTTCAGTATTCAAACTTAAGGGAGTTGTACTCTTAAGGAGAAAAAGTAAACACCAATCCCTTTCCAGATTAGAAGCTATATATGGAATCAGAAAGGAAAAGAAATGGCATGGGAGTCAAAAGGTCTTGGATTTAGGAATCTGTAATAATTTAGAAATGAATTTAAAAGTTGGAGATACTCTATCCATAGCTATAAAATAAAGAAATTAGATTATGATTGGCCAAACCCATTGACAGTTTCAATGTCTACCAGTCAATATATAAGATGTTCAAGTTTCTTTTGGCAAGTGCCTAACTTCATGAGGGGAGAAACTATAATTGACTTGTTCATTTTTATGTTGGACAGAGTGCCTTACAAATGATAAGTGCTTGATAAATGTGTTGCGAGCAAATGAGTCAACAGAATATGAATTAACAATATAGTGCTCCTGCAACAGAAAACTAATAGTGCTAAGATGATATAAAACTCTATGTCTTAAAGGACGATTCCTCTATTCCGTGTTCTCCATTTTTACCATAACAGTGCATCCATTTCGGATTTTGAAATGATATAGTGAAAATAAATATCAAAGGAGACAATTGGGAAAATTCTGGTTTGTATTAAAACCACATTTTAAATTGTTTATGCTTTCATATTTTTGGAGATCAAATAATGAAAAATACAAGTGAGCCAAAAATGCATGCTGAACAAATTGGAAAAATAAATAAATGACAATGTTTAACGTTTTTATTTCATTGTATTCTCTTACAAATAGCTACATTTAAAGCAAACTTGAAATCTATCATCAAGTTTAGACTCAAAACACTCTGGTTTGGCAGGGCGCAGTGGCTTACACTTGTAATCCCAGCACTTTGGGAGGCTGAGGCGGGTGGATCACCTGAGGTTAGGAGTTCGAGACTAGCCTGGCCAACTTGGCAAAACCCCATCTCTACTAAAAATACAAAAGTTAGCCAAGCATGGTGGCGGACTCCTATAATCCCAGCTACTCGGGCGGCTGAGGGAGAAGAATCACCTGAACCTAGGAGGCGAAGGTTGCAGTGAGCTGAGATGACTCCACTGCACTCTCCAGCCTGGGTGACAGAGCGAAATGCTGTCACTCACACACACACACACACACACACACACACACACACACACACACGTTTGACAGTTTCTAAAACACAAAGTTAAAAGGACATTATGTACTTAGCAACTTTGAGCTTTGGAATGAGTTTTGTATTCTTTCATAGGATAGTCACTCAGGTACATTCATAGAGAGGCTCAATAAAAAAGCAAAATGTATTATACTCAGGTTCTAGAGACAGGAAGTAAGACATGCCATACAGGGCCACATGGTTAAGACTCCAGGATGGTCATGAGGCAGAAGACAGGAATGAGGGGAAGAGTTGGGCCACTAGCTTACTAAGATTTCCAACATAAAGGCAAGACAGGGAAGGGTGAACAATTTAGGATTCGCTAATTTGAATAATTTTGGTGGTACTGGTTTATAGGAATGGTACTTAGTTCCCTGGTTCCTGACTCTGAGATAATTATGGCAGAGGAATACTGCATAAAGAGGTATTCTGGCCAGATAAAGCAGGCATGGCTCTGGATTGATTAGTTTGCTATCAAAGAGAAGCTCCAGGCTGGGCCCTTTGTTGTCTTTTAAAAATTGGTTAGTCCAGGGCAGGACAGTCTCTCTCCAGCCAGAAAAATGTAAGATGGCAAAATGGCATAATACACAGAAAATAAAAAAAATTTACAATGTAGTCAGTAATTGTTTTTAAGTGCTTGATTTATCTATTGAAGTGTCATAGTAGTTGCTTGTTAACTTGCTTGAGTCATTGAAGATGTTTGGTTAGCCCAAAATCATTACTAGTCTATATTAAGAAACAATTTATAAGTGAGACAATGTAGATATGAAGAACCACAGATCTCTGCTAAATGAGACAGATACAATTGATCACTATTACAACAGGCATTTTAATAAGGTATTACCACTCATTTGTTGCATAGACAAGATGCCTTCTAATTAAAGTGCTCATATATTGAGAAAATGGAATAGATGTTAATTAAACAGAATAAAGAAGTATCATATAATACAATCTTTTTTTTTTTTTTTTGAGATAGAGTCTCGCTCTGTCACCTAGCCTGGAGTGCAGTGGCGCAATCTAAGCTCAATGCAACCTCTGCCCCCAGGATCAAGTGATTCTCCTGCCTCAGCCTCCTGAGTAGCTGGGATTATAGGCATGCAACCCACACGTGGCTAATTTTTGTATTTTTAGTAGAAACGGGGTTTCACCATGTTGGTCAGGCTTGTCTGGAACTCTTGACTTTGTGATCCCCCCACCTTGGCTTCCCAAAGTGCTGGGATTATAGGTGTGAGCCACCACGTCTGGCCAATACAATCCTTTTTAAAAATTATATTTAGGGATAAGATTTTATTTTTCTGTAGATTTCAATGATATCCCAGAAAAATCCTAATGGCATTTTTTAAAATTATACTTTAAGTTTTAGGGTGCATGTGAACAATGTGCAGGTTTGTTACATATGTATACATGTGCCATGTTGGTGTGCTGCACCCATTAACTCGTCATTTAACATTAGGTATATCTCCTAATGCTATCCCTCCCCCCTCCCCCCACCCCACAACATAGCTACATAGTATTCCATGGTGTATATATGCCACGTAATCCAATCTATCATTGTTGGACCTCTGGTTTGGTTCCAAGTCTTTGCTATTGTTAATAGTGCTACAGTAAACATATACGTGCATGTGTCTTTATAGCAGTATGATTTATAATCCTTTGGGTATATACCCAGTAATGGGATTGCTGGGTCAAATCGTATTTCTAGTTCTAGATTCCTGAGGAATCACCACAAGATTAACTTTGTAAAATTTTTTTGTTTGTCTGTATTCACAAAAGTACTTGAATTTTTTTTTTTTAAGAAATTATGGTATAGCATGGTGGCAGGTGCCTGTAGTCCCAGCTACTTGGGAGGCTGAGGGAGGCGAATGGCCTGAACCTGGGAGGTGGAGCTTGCAGTGAGCCGAGATCGTGCCACTGCACTCCAGCCTGGGCGACAGAGTGAGACTCCGTCTCAAAAAAAAAAAAAAAAAAATTATGGTATAGCATTCTGAGAATATAATATTAATACCAGTAATTTCATAATGGAAAACAGTCCGTTTTATAATGGCATGGATATAGATATAGATATATAGGCAGTTAGATTTGAGAGACAGATAGTAGATAGTTGTATAGATTTCTTCTCTTTTTATCCTCTATTAATACTTTGTTTGGAAACAGCTTGTTCTTTGTAACTCATGTTTATGGTCTCTATCTTAAATAGAAAAATTAGTTTGGCATTCAATTAGTTTCAAATAGTATAATAACCAATAATTGAAAAGTTAAAAGAGATTAATGAGTGTTAAAGATAATACAAATTCTTGTTTTTTTTTTTACTTTTAAAATATTGCTTTAAATCTTTTATTTTTGATTGTTCTGAGTAACCATGGGAACGCACTTTAGTTTCATTCTAGTTAGAATATAATATGGCATACTTGATACAGATGTGATGATATTGGTCAACTTTTTGGGGATGAGGGCTATACATTTTGGGATGACTACTGTTTATAGTTCTTATCTGTTGTTAAGAAAATTACCCCAGAGATACAATCTGATAAATTAAGATATCCTGTATTTATTCAAATGGCATAAAAAGCAAAACAGTATAGTTCATAATATAATAACATGTAGAAAAAATTATTTTCACATTTTACTATCTGTCTCTCAGGGCATGATCTTAGAATATGAAGAATTTTCAAGTAGTTTAGGTATCATCACAGTGTAAATACAACACATTAAAGAAACCCCCAACTCTTTTTGGACCTTTATTGTTCACTTTATTGGAATTAATTTTGCCTACATTTGAGGTAATCTCTACAGATATAAGTCTGAGAAATTAATACACAAACAAATATCTTTAGTAAGTGTTATTAAATCACAATGCCTGTTTGGCAGAAGGAAAAATAAATTAAAATATGGAAAATAAAATGAAAAAATACTATTCAAAATGTCTTCAAGAAATGTTTAGTAATAAAGGACTCCACAAACCATAATGTTTCAAATAAAATTTTAGGTTAAAAATGGTCTTGATTTTCTGAGACTATGTGTCCTTGTCTATGACCAAGTTGAAGGACTCTTTTCCTGGAGGGCTGACAAATGCTCCAGAGATAGTGAATAGCATACTATTTTAGGCAGAAGGAAATACATTCTTTTAGAGTTAGGATTTAAACCTTTGTTTTTCTCCCCAAAAGGTCTTTGTGAAATATGCATAGTATCTTACCGTATTATTTTATGCACATGTATTATGAATGCCCAAATTCTTAAACATAAGAATCTTCTTTTGCACTTCAATGCATATAGACAAAAATATATATAATAAAATGCATGAAGCATGAAATAATTTTCTATATTTAGAGTGTTGAAAGA
Organism: Homo sapiens; assembly: GCF_000001405.40. NCBI lineage: Eukaryota > Metazoa > Chordata > Mammalia > Primates > Hominidae > Homo > Homo sapiens. The sequence goes on from NC_000001.11 coordinate 195,062,875, forward strand.
ATTCCATTGTTCAATATAATAAAAGCATTTTCTCTCAGAGTACAGAATATTACTGCAATAATTGTTTGTCATTCAAGTATGAACTGACTTGCACAATTAGTATCAGACGTACAAGATAATATATTTAGCATTTAATTTACTAACAGTTACTTTTATAGTGACCCATATACTGCTCCTGCTCTACTTATTTCTCCATTTCCTCCTCCACCTCCTCCTCCTCCTCTTGCTCTTCTCCTCCTCCTTCTCCTCCTTGTCTTCTTCTTTATCAACTTAGTATAGATAAAATTTGCATAACGATCACATACAAAAATAGTAAGATTCAATAGTACAGTTTAATTCATTTTTACCAAATGTATATATGGTTGTCAGCAACACCAAAACACTGCTAAGAACTTTTGAGTTGCTATGAAACTGCCAAACTCTCATGGAAAGATGGTTTATGTATTAGTTTGTTTTCACACTGTATTAGTTTGTTTTCACACTCAGTAATGATACTACCTGAGACGGGCTAATTTATAAGGAAATTAGGTTTGAAAGGAAAGAGGTTCATTTGACTCACATTTCCACATGTAGCTCAGGAGGCCTCAGGAAACTTATAATCATGGCAGAAGGTGAAGAGGAAGCAGGCACCTTCTTCCAAGGTGGCAGGAGAGAGAGCGCGAGCAAAGCGGAAACTGCCAAACACTTTTAAAACCATAAATTCTCGTGAGAACTCACTATCACGAGAACAGCAAGGGGGAAACCGCCCCCATGATCCAATCACTTCCCACCAGGTCCCTCTCTTGACACATCAGGATTAAATTTCCACATACGATTTGCGGGGAGACACACAGCAAAATCATATTGGTATATGTGAAAATTTTGATGGCAAAGAAGCAGTGTTAAAATTGCTCCTCATTCTCAACACCATTTGAAGTTTTCACTCTCTAAATCTTACCATTCTAATGGCTGTGTAAACATTATCACATCATAGTTTAAACTTATTTTTCCTAATAATATATGATCGTCAGTTCATTTCCATGTGTTTATTGGCCATTCATATATCTTATATATCATTCTTTGTGAAGAATCAATTTTAGTCCACTTTGACTATTTGCAGTTGGATTGTTTATCCATTTTTCTTCTCATTATTAACATTTATATCCACATACATATTAGGAGTGCTGAACTTACAACTAAAATAGTTCATTTGTCTACTTATTTTAGTCCTATTAGAATTTACTTCAAGTATTTTGAGTTCTGTTATAAAGTAAAAACATACTGATAATTGCTATCTTTTTTTAAAATTGGACCCTTTCATCTTTATGAAATTCTCCTTGTTATGGGTTGAATATTGTATTTCAAAACAATACATGGAAGTCTTAACCCCTAGTACCTCAGAATGTGACCTTTTTTTGAAATCTGGTATTTAAAGAAATAATCACATAAAAATGAGGTCATGGGGGCAAACCCTAATGCAATACGATTGGTGTTCTTATAAAAAGAAGAAATGTTGACACAGAGAGAGAAACAAAGGCAGAAGGAAAAACATGTAGAAACACAGGATGAATATCATTTGAAGATTAAAACTATGCTGTCACAAGCCAAGGAATGCTAAAGATGGCCAGCAAACTACAAGAAGCTAGGAGAAAAGGCATGGAACAGGTTCTTATTTCCAGCCCGCAAAAGGAACAAATACTGCTGACACCTCTATTTCAGACTTGTGGCTTCAAGAACTGTGTAACAATACAATTCTGTTGTTTCAGTCACCTAGTTTTGTGGTTGTTTGTTGTGGCAGCATTAGGAATCTAATATTATATATATATATACACATACACACACATATATGTTATACATATGTGTGTATATATATATATCTGATAACCTTTCTTGCTCTGAATTCTATTTTGTCTCATATTAATATAGTTACTGTAGTTTAAGATTATCGCAGTTACCTTTGTCCATCTTTTTACTTTTAATCAGTCTGTTCATTTACATTTGAAATGTACTTGAAATGTTTTATGAACAACACATAGATGTGTTTTAGTTATATAAGTGCACTGATATTCTCTGACTTTGAAGGTTGAAATCATTTATATTTAATATAATTATTAATATGGTTACATTTAAATCTACCATCTTGCTATTTGTTTTCTAATTTTTCTATCTGTTCTTCCTCTTAACTTACCCTTTATTTACCATAAAGTTTTAATGGAAGATTTTTTTAAAAAAATGCTTAATGACTGAGGGGACAGAGCAAAATGGTGGAACAGAAAGCTCCGCTAATCATACCCCCGTAATGACAACAATTTAACGGCTATCTACACACGAGAAAGCACCTTCATAAGAACCAAAAATCAGGTGAGCACTCATAATACCTGGTTTTCCCTTTATACTGATGAAAGACTCACTAAAGAGGCAGGAAAAACAGCCTTGAATCACCAACGGCTTTCCTCCCCCAACTCCTGGTAGTGACAGTATGGTGCAGAGACATTTCTGTTTGCTATGGAGAGGGAGAACACAGCAATTGTGAGACATTGAACTCAGTACTGCTCTATGATAGTAGAAAGAAATACTGAACCAAATTCTACTCATGCCCACACAGAGAGGGAGTATTTAAACCAGCCTTAGCCAGAGGGGAATCACTGACCCCAGTGGTCAGAACCTGAGCTCCCACTAGCCTCGCCACCGTCGGCTAAAGTGCTCTGAGGCTCTAAATAAACTTGAAAGGGAGTCTAGGCCACAAAGACTGAAACTGCTTGGTGAGTCCTAGTGCTGAACTTGGCCCAGAGGCAGCAGACTGGGGAGGCACATGACCTACTGAGACACCAGCTATGGTGGCTAAGGGAGTGCTGCCATCACCAGTTCCCTAACCCCAGGCTGCACAGCTTATGGCTCCGAAAGAGACCCTTTTCTTTCACTTGAGGAGAGGAGAGAGAATAGTGTTGCACTTTGTCTTATATCTTGGATACCAGTTTCGCTGCAGCAGGATAGGGCACTAGTAAGAGTCATGAGGCCCCCTTTCTGGGTGGGCCCAAGCTCCCAGATGACATTTCTGGACATTCCTTGGGCCAGAAGGGAACCTGATGCCTTAAAAGAAATGACCCAGTCCTGACAATATTCATCACCTGCCAACCGAATAGCCCTTAAGCTCTGAATAAGCAGCAGAAATACCCAGATAGTAGGTCATGGGCCTTGGGTGAGACTCTGAGACTTGCTGGCTTCAGGTGAGACTGAACACATTCCCAGCTGGGGTGGCTACAGGAGAAGACTTGTTCTGCTTGAAAAAAGCAGAGGGAAAATAAATAGAAGGCTCTGTCTCGCTCCTTAGTTACCAGCTCATACACAAGGAGAGTAGAGAACCAAGCAGGTTCTTGGGGTCCCCAATTCCAGGAAATGGCTTTTTGGATGACATTTCTGGACCTGCCCTGGGCCAGAGGGGAGTCCAGTACCCTGAGGGGTGCATCACAGTCCTGGCAGCATTCACCACAAGCTGAGTTAAGAGTCCTTAGGCCTTATGGGAACATCAGTGGTAGTCCGGCAGTACTCCTCATGGCGGGTAGTGGCGATGTCCACAGGGTGAGCTTCCTCTGCCTTTAGAAAGGGGAGAGAAGGGTGGAAAGGACTGTGTCTTGTGTTTTGAGTGTCAGCTCACTCAAAGTACAATAGAACACCAGATAGACTTCTAAGGTTTTGGGATCTGGTGCCTGAATCCTGGACAGCACTCTGGACCTGCCAAAGGCTTGGAGGAACTCACTGCCCTGAAGGGAAAGATGCAAGCCTGGCTGGCTTTGCCACTGGCTGATTGTAGAGCGCCAGGGCCTTAAGTGATATAGGTGTGAGTAATAACATTAATTATTAACATATTAATAATTATATTAGTACATTATATGTTTGATCTTTTTAAAGAGGCATTAATAACCAGAATATAATAATTATATTATATATTAATTATATATTAATCCATCTGATAAGGGATTAATAACCAGAATATATAAGGAGATAAAAGAACTCTATAGGAAAAAAAATCTAGCAATCTGATTTAAAAATGAGCAAAATATTTGAACAGACATTTCTTAAAAGAAGATACACAAAATGCTTACAAATTGCAAACAATATTTAAAACAGCTTATGTCCAAAAGAGAGACAATAACAAATGCTGGCAAGGATGTGGAGTAAAGAGGACCCTTGTAAGCTGTTAGTGAGAATGTAAATTGCTATATACACCATATGGTAATTACTATACTATAGAGAACAGTTTGGAGGTTTCTCAAAAAACTTAAGATAGAGCTACCATAAGATCCAGCAATCCTTCTGCAGGGTATATACCCAAAATAAGGGAAATAAGTATATTAAAGAGATATCTGTATTCTCATGTTTCTTGCAGTGCTGTACACAGTACCCAAGATATGGAAGCAACCTAAGTGACCATCAACAGATGAATGGATAAAGAAAATGTGGGGCCAGGCGCAATGGCTCACGCCTGTAATCCCAGCACTTTGGCAGGCCCAGGCGGGAGGATCACGAGGTCAGGAGATCGAGGCCATCCTGACTAACGTGGTGAAACCCCGTCTCTACTAAAATTATAAAAAAATTAGCCGGCCGTGGTGGCGGGCCCCTGTAGTCCCAGCTACTCTACTCGGGAGGCTGAGGCAGAAGAATGGCGTGAACCCGGGGGGCGGAGCTTGCAGTGAGCCGAGATAGTGCAACTGCACTCCAGCCTGGGCGACAGAGTGAGACTCTGTCTCAAAAAAAAAAAGTGGTACCTATACACAATGGAGTACTATTCCACCATAAAAATTAATGAAATCCTGTCATTTGGAACAACATGTATAGAACTGGAGGTTATTATGTTAAGTAAAATAAATCAGGCATAGAAAGACAAACATCAACTGTTCTCATTTATTTGTGCGACCTAAAAACAAAACAATTGAACTCATGGAGAGAGAGAGTAGACGGATGGTTACCAGATGCTGTGAACAGTAGGGGGAAGGTTGGGGGTAGGTTGGGATGGTTAGTGGTTTTAAAAAAAATCGTTAGAATAAATAGGACAAAGAATTAGATCGCACAACAGGGTGACTACAGTCAATAATTATTTAATTGTACATCTTAAAATAACTAAAAGAGTATAACAGGATTGTCTGTAACACAAAGGATAAATGCTTGAGGGGATGAATATATCATTTTCATGATGTGATTATTACTCATTGCATGCCTGTATCAAAACATTTTATGTACTCCATAAACACATACACCTACTATGTACACATAATAAGAAGAAATAAAAATTTTAAAAATAAACTATATTCCTCAAGGTATGGTATTTTCCCTTAATTTTCATGTATAATGGACTATCATAAACTGATATATCCTAAAAATATATGTAGGATTTTTTTATGGTTTGAATATTGGTGTCCTCCTCAAATTCATATGTTGGAACCTAACATTAATAGTACTGAGTGCTGGGGGGTCTTTGGAAAGTGATTATTTCCTGTGGGCTATACCTTCATAACTAAATGAATGCCCTTATAAAAGAGGCTCAAACAAGCTTTCCTTCTCTATCTACCATGTGAGGGTAGAGCAAGAAGGCAAAGCAGACATAGCCCTCAACAAATATTGAATCTGCCAGCACCTGGATTTTGTACTTTCCAGCTTCCAGTACTGTGAGCAGTATATTTCTGTTTTTTGTAAATTACTGAGTCTGCAATATTTGGTTATAGCAACCTGAATGGACTAAGACAGTATTAAGCTATTTAACTGGAAATTTATTATGTATAATTATTTTTCTTAATTGTTTATTGGTTCATCAACGTGTAATGTATTCTCATGTGTCAAAAATCTTTCCATATATGAATATTTTAAAAATTGTTGCATTCGAAAATAATAAAAGGAGTTTAACAGAGACCCCAACTTTTTTTTGTTCCTCACTCTTTCCTTCTTTCCTAATTTATAATTCATCTCCCTTCAAAGTTTATTAGCTTACATGAACACCAAAATTGAGACTAAATTTCACCTGCAGTTAAATGGGGTGACTGGGATGTAAAAGGAATTGAAATACGTAACTTCTCAATCATGCCCTTCAAATGATTAGATGTCTACTTATACTTTGTTTTTCATTGGCTGGAAAACAGCAAAAGTGTCAGAACTTACTATGCAGAGGAGCACTACACCTTAGTGCTGATGGTACAAAAATACAGAAGGGAATGGATAACATTTTAGAGCTAAGGCACCTGCCAACCCTAAACTTCCCACTTACATCTGACTGGTATATTAGGTGGGTGCAAAAGTAATTGCAGTTTCTGCCATTACTATAAGAGAGCAATATCACGATTGCACCATGTAATTGTGGTTACTTTTATCACTACAATTTGGCTCATTCTCTATGACAAGCATTAATTAAATATTTGATTTTTCATTCGTAAAAACCTGGAAATCTAAATGCCAAACAGTTCTAAAATTTCAAACACGGAACGATTACATCGTTTCTACATATAACTTCCTTTGCTTTCTTTAATTTCAACCATCATTACATACTTGGCAAACCTTTCATAATGGAACTATTAGTGACTACAGGAATAAAGTTTTAGTATAAGCCAATATTCATTTAAAAATAACTTCTTTAATGATTATAATAAAGTCTTTACTCTTCTGAGGTTTTTTTGTATCTCAAGCATACTTTGTGTGATTTTGCTATTTTATTTTTATACTTCTGATTATAATTATAAATCAAAACTGCAAGGATGAATTATGAATTAAATTTGGTTGCCCAGAAAGATTTTTATAAGACAAGATAGTATATGAGTTTATGTTATTTGCAGGCATAGAATTTATATTTAATCCGTACTTTAAGAATCACCATCTGTATGATTTAAACATGTTAATAAAACACTCTTCTATTAAAAATATAGATTTATATTATGTTTTGTAAAGAGACAATACTATATACAGTTATATAAATTAATTTAAACTGTTTCCTTCCTATAAATTGATCAACGTGAGCATTATTATTATTATTATTATTATTATTATTATTATTATTATTTTGAGACAAAGTTTCACTCTCGTTGTCCAGGAGTGCAATGGCGCAATCTTGGCTCACTACAACCTCTGCCTCCCAGATTCAAGCGATTCTCCTGCCTCAGCCTCCCGGGTAGCTGGGATTACAGGCATGCGCCACCACGCCCAGCTAATTTTGTATTTTTAGTAGAGACGGGGTTTCATCATTTTGGCCAGGATGGTCTCAAACTCCTGACCTCAGGTGATTCACCTGCCTCGGCCTCCCAAAGTGCTGGGATTACAGGTGTGAGTCAATGCACCTGGCCCCGTGAGGATGTTTTTAATTAAAATTTATGTTATATATGTGAAAGATGCTGAGATCTATATGTAGTTCCATTATATTATTTTCTATTATTTTGTAAATTAGTAATACCTTTTATTATAAAATGGTAACATTATATGCATTTAATTGTGGTATAAATATATTATTTTATTACCTCTTTTATTTTAACTTTGCTTTTTGCCATGATCATACAGCATGTACTCTGAAAATGGTGGTTCTATCAGCTCTTATCTAATATATTTTCTCTAATTGATTAACAAAAGTCTACTTATTCTTCAGAAGGTGATAAAATCTGAGTTTCTTATAATGATGTGTATTTAGTGGAGATCAAAAGCACACATTTGAAAATATAACAATCAAAGTGGAAGCTGGCTTCCAATAAGAAAATAAGTATAAATGTTGGCAGTTTGTCTGGACTGGCTTATGGAACTGAGTAAAAAGCATCGTCAGTTTTCATGTTTACTCAGCTAAACGTTATTGTCTGTATGTATCACCAATAGGAAACTAAATGAACACATAAATTATGAAAGTTGCAATCTTTTTATTGTCCTCCTTATTGTGAGGATTTAGTTTTTACTTATAGTCATATATAATTTATTTTTCAAATGATTGAAAAAATTAAATTTATTCATATGGAAACATTTTCTTAATTGTAAAGCATGTAATATGTAATTTTATGATGGTTATTTCAAATACAACCCATTCTCCTAATTCCTATCTGTTACATTGCAGATACACAAAGTTAAATTAATAATTATGATATTAAACATGCAATGCAATGATACTCCCCCAAGATATTCATCTTTAGAGATATAAAGTTTTAATAAACAAATACTATTATTTAACTCAATATTTATCAACAGAAGTTTTGGAAATCATTGTCTCAAGTCCTTTGTAAATAATCTTAAAAATCCTATCTCTATCTCTTAAACAGAGAGTTTATTTCATTTGGCCTAACACTTTTATTAAAATGGATTTCCAGGAAGTATTTTTTCTTATGCAATTCACTTCTTGGATATATTTAAATCTTTTGTGTGTTCAACACTCAGAATACCATTCAAAGGACACTAATACATAAATAACTAACCCTGGCATTTCTTAAATATATAATCTGAGCCAAAATTTTAATTTTCCCTTTCAAACAGGTTTATCTCACAGTCTTAAATAGCAATGTATTTTTTTTTTTTGCTTATGCAAAACAAGAAAGCAAATACCACCACTGTAACAACAAACCTTGGATTTGTTCTTATTTGCTCTCTTATAACACCCACGCAATCACTAATGTGGTCTAATTCACACCTCTTCAAAATACCTCATCTGACTGATTTTACTTTGCAATCCTACCCGGAATAGTTACTAGAAGAGTTTTTGTCTGTTTGTTTGTTTGTTTTTTTCAACTCTCTCTGCTTTTCTTTTCCTCTTCCAGTTTCTCTTTAATACAGAAGTGAGAATGTGCCCTAGTCCCAAATGTGCACAGGTGTCACTCGATCAAAAGAGTATAGTAGATTGAGTCAGTATAATGGCTTTGCGTTTCACTCAAATTACGCCCAAAATTTTTACAGTGGTCTAAAATGCCTTAAAAATCTGGCCTCCTGCTAACTCTGGGGAATCGCCTTCCCTCTAGCAGCAAGCATGCTTGCACCTGAGACTAGCACTTGTTCTTTGCTTTTCCTGAAATTCCTGTCCTCTGGAGATCTTCCTAACTCATGTCTTAACTTTTTTCAGGTCCTACTCAAACATAAGATTTCTAGGTAATTTTTCTCTTAAGTCTCTGGGTAATGTAGCAGTATTTCACCCTTGGTTTTGCCTATGCTACTTTGTTAGTTTTCATAGTACATGTAATGACTTTGACACACACACACACACCAGGTATATGCCACACAAATGTATACAAATATATACATATATGTACACACACACATACATATACACATTTAAATACATATAGTTTGTCTCTCAGACACCAGAATGATAGCCCTATTAAAATGGCAAGTTTGTTCACATGGATTTTATTTATTTATTATGGGTTCCCAAAGCCTTGTACACTGCCTGGCACACTTCTGTTAAATCAATGAACTGTAAAATATCATCTTTGCTTAAACTATCTTAAAAATATTGCATTGTCTTCCTTATGAGAATGTGTATAAAACATACATTCAAAAATAATTGACTGGGTAAAAATTAACAAGAGCTAAAACCTTTATCTCTCCTTCTTAGGACATATTTTGACTTTCTGTTTGCTTCTTCTATTTTTGTACCTCCCAGTCACTCCTTAACTCACAGCTGCAGTTTGAATTTAATGCCTTCCAACATAAGTAAACTGCTCTAGCCAACATTGCCATTACTTCTTTCCTGTAAAATTCAATTAAAAAATTTAGTTATATTTGTCCTGCTGGTGACATAATTAAACACAAAATTCACATAACACCACATCTTTATTCCCCTTCTGCCTTTTTGGCTGGTACTTTTCAGTTCACTTTGTGAATTCTTCTTTATCTTTTTCCTGGCTTTATATTTTATTCTGAAGTATATGATATAATTTCTAGATATGTTTCAAAAGAGATTTTGAATAATTTAAATGTTGAAGGGGAAAAATATCCATTTTGCTTTGAGCCTCTATTTATAATAGAAGAGTATGTAATGTAAAACTTGAGTATCATGTTTCTCAGGAAATGTGAAAAGTAAATACTTTTTTTATTATACTTTAAGTTCTAGGGTACATGTGCACAACATGCAGGTTTGTTACATATGTATACATGTGCCATGTTGGTGTGCTGCACCCATTAACTCATCATTTACATTGGGTATATCTCCTAATGCTATCCCTCCCTCCTTTGATCATATTATCAAATAATTTGATATTTTAAGAAATTGAAAATAGAATATTTTCACCAAAATGCAAATAAATTATGAGTAGCATAAATGTCTTTCTGTTGAGTAAATATTTTGGATCTCAATTGTTCTTCCATATTATGACTCTATGCGATACTTTATATTTGCCACCTGTATATAAGGTCAGGGACTGTAGTTGGGAGAGCATGTTGCATCAAAAACTGACACAGTCTAAACATTTTTTAAAAACTGTGTGCATTTTTGTGAATAAAACGTCATTTTCATTCTTTCAAAAGCAGCTATATATGCCTGCCTACCACCAATATATTGTCAGAATTAATTACATCTTGCTTTTTATGAATAAACATCCACAATTGGAAACCTCATTAACAGATTCTCCCCTCATTTCTCTTGCTCCAAATCCTGGTATAACTCTCAATTCCTTGCAATACATTTCAGACTTCCCACTTCTTGAAAAATGTTTCCTACACTTGAACTAATTTATCAAACATTCCTCATATTTTCATGCTTCAATAAAAACCTGGCCCACGTATGAAGTGACAACATCCACCGCAATTTTCCTGAATATAGAAGGCTTATTCTTACTGACTGTCTATTTGAAAAGAATTAAGTCTGATATCTTTTTATGCATCAATTTAACCACATAAAATAGTTATTGCACTACTTAAAAAATTACTCTATGGTATTTTTCCATATACCCATTGTACGCTCTACCACTCATTGCTATATTCTATAAGACTACCAAATATACTATTTCATTTGCTGCAATCTGGTTCTTGATTCAAATTTTCTCTCTCTTTGATGCAATATTTGCCTTCATCCTGAGTGAATTCAAAATCCATGCTGACCAACCATATAACCATCTAACCTTTTAGATCTCTAATCAAAAAGTCAGTAATTCAGAAATCCTCTTCTCTACTTTTTATCAGTTATTATTCTCATGATCACATCCTGGAATTTATCATTGATTAATGATGTTCAAGCTCTGACAACTCTAAGTTAGATGTTTCACTGCGTGAGAAGAACCTTCTATTCATACTGCCTCCATGCACAACTACATCCATGATAACTCTAGAACCTTCTATTCATACTGCCTCCATGCACAACTACATCCATGATAACTCTAGAACCTTCTATTCATACTGCCTCCATGCACAACTACATGCATGATAACTCTAGAACCTTCTATTCATGCCTCCATGCACAACTACATCCATGATAACTCTAGAACCTTCTATTCATACTGCCTCCATGCACAACTACATGCATGATAACTCTAGAACCTTCTATTCATACTGCCTCCATGCACAACTACATCCATGATAACTCTAGAACCTTCTATTCATACTGCCTCCATGCACAACTACATCCATGATAACTCTAGAACCTTCTATTCATACTGCCTCCATGCACAACTACATCCGTGATAACTCTGCTCTGCTTTGCCAAGTAGTTCATTTTCCCCGACCATTAGGCAGACTCTTCTGACCTCACTGAGTTTAAACTCTATGGTTAAAATGAATGCATCTTTTTGAAGATACAGTAAATGTCCTTGGCTCTTTTTCCTTCTAATATCCCTATAAGGGGAAACTGCAATCCTAGATCAATACACCTGGTTTTGCTTATTACCTTCTGTACTTTTACAAATATCTGACATCCGGGCAATCTGCTCGGGTCCCCTTCCATGCTGTGGAAGCTTTGTTCTTTGGCTCTTCACAGTAAATCTTGCTGCTGCTAAAAATAAAACAAAACAAAACAAAACAAAAACAAATATCTTACATCCTTATTCTCCCTCCAATCTCAACAAACAATCTCCTCATCTAGTTAAAATTAAAGAAAAAAAGTTAGAGAGAAGATAGAACAGAACCTCTTTAACTTCTTACCACCAAGTAAACAAGGTACAAAAAAATGACATTAACATTTATTTAATTATTTCTCAAGTGAATTCTACTGGGTAAGAGGAAAACATATTTTTTTCATCAGCTTTGGCTAATAACCATTAATTATTCTAATGACTTTCCTCCCTACCCAGCCATTATTTGTTGGAGTTTTCAGCAATCTCTCATATGTATATTCTCTTCTCAATTCACATACTTACTTAGGTGACTATATTGACTCCTGTGGCCCCAGCTGGCTCTAGGTTTGAGCAGTCTTCTCACTCTCAGACTTATATATCTGTTTTGTCACCAGACATCTCAACTTGAATTGTTGCTGGACATTTCATATTCAACAGACTCATCAATTATTTAATATTTATTTCCCAAATTTGCTTTTTTGTTATTCTTCCCTATTTTAGAATATTGTACCTTTAACTATGTTTATGCCAAAAAAAGGGCAGCCATATTTTTCAAAATTTAATCCGAAAGGGATTAACCTATATAGGCAATTAATCTCTAAATTTGATCAATTCTACTTCACATATATATTAATTCTACTCCATATATATCTCTTTTGTTTCTCCCATTCTCTTTAACACCACTATTAATACTGCAATTCATACTAGAACCTTCCCTCTCTTCCCTCCCCTGGATGATGATGATGATGATGATGATGATGATGATGATTATTATTATTATTTAAGACAGAGTCTCACTCTGTCATCCAGGCTAGAGTGTAGTGGTGTGAACATAGCTCACTGGAACCTCAACCTCCTGTTCCCAGGATTATTGAAATGAGTTTCTTTCTTGTCTCTCAACTCAATTATTAACCAATGCCAAGAATTTTACAATGAAAATAAAGGAATATCATTTTACAATTTAAAGGCATTAATGAACTCACTCTCATGTGTTCTGCTTCATACCTCCCTTAGGATTGTGTTCAGAATCTGTACTATGATCCATAATATTCTGCATGATTTTGCTTACTTGTTATGTTTAGTCTCTGCTATAGCCACAATTCCTCAGGCAGTTTTAGCTCAAGGAATATGGAACTACATTTTGGTTATATTCCATCTGGCTTTAGAACATTTACAATGCTACTTTTGGTCTCTTTCCTCTTTCCTTCATTACCTTGCCCAATCCTATTTGTCTTTTATGGCTCATGTGAAACGCTGCTACTCCAGACTAGGCTCATTGTTTCACTTAGTTGCTCCACAGCTCTCTGCACTCCTTTTTATTAGGTTGTTCATGATTAAGACATTTTTCTTTCAGATGACAGATAAAGTGTTGGGCAGGAATGTACTTGTCTTACTTGCTTCTGTATCTCCCATGACTGTTATGATAAAATATTGTTGAATGGTGCGTATCTTGCAATATTAACTAATTGTGATTTTGTTTGCTTGTTTGCTGTTTTCTTTTTCTATTGGTGAGTTTTGTGTGTGTGTGTGTGTGTGTGTGTGTCTAGTCTAGTGTTTGTGTGTATTATTTAATTTTCCTTTTCCTCTTATATTAGGATTATAGCAAATGGTGGTATAATTAAGCATCCTGGAAAAAAAAATTAGCATCCTGGTTGAGACCAAATAGATTATCCTGCTTGTAATCATTTGCACACTGTTTAATTTAATGGAATAAAAACTTAAGTCACTCTCTTTAACTATTTATGATTTAAAGTAAATTTAAATTTAGTGAGTAAAACTATTATTCGAAGTAAATTTATTTTATAAAGTAAATTATCTAAATTAAAGAACTTCATTTTAATCTTTTTATATTTATGTTACCTCGACTATACCAGGTACTAAAGGCATTTTAAAAAGTAATTCAATAATTATAATTACACATACTGACTAATTTGCTAAGTTGTATTTCCTCTGCCTCTGTAAGTCCACTTTTTAATGCCAGTAATATAAATACCAATACTGAGAAACTGAAATGTTGTTGAAGTAAATTTTATGCAACATGTGCATTTAATTGCACATGATAGCAAATTTTGGTGTTTTTTCATTTGTATACAGATTTTTCTGATGATGTGGGTATGCTTAATACAGTGTATCTGACCTCACATCAAATGAAACAATGATATTGACAAGATTCTATGAAGCAAATGGCCCAAATATTTTCTATTTGATTAAATCACCTTTAATGATGTGAATTATGAAATGTTTTACAACACATTTTTTAGTAAAAACTATGTTTTTTACTCTAGATATTATAAGTTCTTATAAGGGTAATCTGTAGAACCATGTAAAATATATACTTTCTCATCAAAAGAATAATCATACGCATTCTTATAGTACTATTAATTCCTTAAACTTTAAATTGTTATTTTTAATTCATTAAGTAGCAAATCCTGAACAAATACATGGTTTTCATTCTCCTTATTTTACATATGAAAATCACTGAGCTTAAAAATTCTCACTTAATTTTTTAACAAAGTTTTTAAATAAAATATGTTTTATGAATTTACAATGCTTTACGAATTTACAATTCAAATTTTTAAATATATTAAAATGCTATATCTTAAAGTGAAAATGAAAATATAATCTGTTTACATAGACAATTAATACATTCAGGTAAAAAAATACAATCTGAATATAGCTATTGAAGGATCAATTAATAAAGAATGGGCTGTATCAAGGGTGCATTATCCTAACTTAATAAGTTCATGCATTTTTAAGTCAGTAGAATGTTGGTACTTTTTTTGTCACAGAGTAACAACCCTCTTGCTCAACTATGAGCATTAAGACACTTCAAGATCTAGTCATTCTTGCTCTGTCACTGATTCTGCCCTTATCCAAGTATCCACAAGTTAGCTGTAAAACTGTGATTATTGAAGCTTGATATCTGATATATTTGAGAAGAGTACCGAGAACCTCTCACCACTAAGCTGGATTTTTTTACATAGTTCTCCATTATTTTCCTAGTTCATTGGAGAAGATTTCTGCCTTCCTAACTTTAGTTTTTGAAATTTTTCTTAAGGTAACCTACTTAGCAAGGACCTGTTGTTTGATCATAATCTTTCTATCTACAGTCTGTATATTCTGCTCTTTACTTTGTGAACATGTTCAAAAGTTTCAGGACCATCACAATGAGGATAATGCCTCTAATTAATTCTGAATATAAGTACTTCCTGAAGTGCTCTGGAAAGACTGAAAAACTCTATACCGAGTTCATTTCCCTTTCCTTATGAACCCATAGCTAGTCAATACCTCCCAGCCTCCCGCACAGGTAGATATGTCAGATAATATACCTACAGTCAATGGATATGAATATATTGGATGTACATTCTGTCCTGGCTGGGCACGTAAAATTTCCTATGGAGTGATTCACTTTCTCATTCCTGTCTGTCAGCTATAAGTCAACACACATAGTAATTTGCCTCTGAGAAATCTTTAAATGAGAAATAGCTAGACTTCCAAAATATTAAGCTATTGTGATTTCAAGATTTAATCTCTTTCAGCAGCTAGTGCTATGGTAAATAATTCATCCACCAAACAGTTGAGTACCTTCCTTAGAAACCTCCTTTTGCCTGAGATCATATTCTTTTTTATTTTTTAATTTTGGCCTTTTTTGAACACTCAAATTTTGCCTGCTGCCAAACATACCTTGCATCAGTTTTGTCTTGACCGTTGGTCTAGGAATAAGCCTAGACCAATCTCCTTTGTCTTACCAGCAAACAGGTGAATTATCCGCATGCTTTAAAGCTGAGCCCATTCAAGATAGAATGGTATGTAACTTAATGTATTTCATTTCAGTAAATAATAATAATTAATCACTATATAAAACATTTTGAATTGAGATTTAAGCATTAATCAGGCAGGTGAGTTTTGATTTATGATTAGCATTAATTGAGATATTGTCTGTAGTAACTACATTCTTGACATTGTTTTAAATATTTTACTTATAAATTCATTTAATTCTTAAGAGTTACTGAAAATTAAAAAAAAATGTTTTGAGGTACAGAAAAACTGTAAAAATATTTTAAAATGAAACCATAATTCTTCTAAAGTCCTGGCACATCCATAGAGAATTGTGGGCTCTTATATTTGCATTTCATATATAAGAGCAATCACCAAAAGTGTCACAGAAACTTTGATCCCAAGAGACCTTTAAGAAATGAATAAATGGGCTCCTGAATGTTCTCTAATATCACCAAACATTACGTTGATTGTATGTGCTTTGCTATGACACACATGCACTCACACACACACACACTCTTATATTTCTCAGAATGTCAAATTTTCAGAAATACATTAAACAGGATGATCAACAAACTTGGATACATATTGAGTTGAAGTACATATCCTACATTCCAATATCACTTATTAAAATGCATTTACCCATCACAAAATATATGTGTATTTTAATAAATAATTATATCATCATATTGTAATTTATATATGTTTTAGTATGCACTATAAAATTTAGAACATACAATTACAGTTAGAAGCATTTTTAAATATGACATTAATTTTATTCATCATAAAAATGGACTTGTGAAGCTAAGAACTGAGAAGAAATTCTCTTTTTTATAAAGTCAATAGTTGTTATATATCTTTAATTTAAATTTTCTTATTTCTCTTTGTATCTAAAAACCCTATTATAATTCTTTCTCATATATTTTTCATTCACTACTCAATTTTGGTGTGCATGAATTTGCTAGACATTCCAATTTCAATCCAGCAGTGCAAGAAAAATAAATCAACTTATTGACAATTAAATCTCATATCCAATGTGGTTGCACAATGCACTTGAAAATAACTGCCATTATTCTGTACCAAAAAAAAATATATGTTAGTACTTTGAAACATAGCTGTCATTTGAATTAGAAAATTAACTTCACAAATTTCAATCATCACAAGAACTTAGATTTATAACTAGCATGATCTGATACTTGGTGTGACATAATTTCCACATATTGGAAGACTATCCCTATAAATCAAGGTACCCGTCTGAAATAATAGGGAAGAATGTGGCAAATGAACTAAACACAAGTGAAATGCAATATTTGCTAGAAAATGTCTTAGTATTTCTAAGAAATACACCAAAACAAATTTTAAATTAGTTATGGCATAGTCTGTAACAATGTAATGAGATTTTTCATATACAAAAACACAAAGCCCTATATCCAAATAAACCTGAGTCAAAAATTGGGAAAATAGAGAAAGACTGACCTTCCATTCAGTAAGAAGCCAAGCAATAGACCCTGTGGAGTGCTGTCATCAGCTGTGTTTTTTTGTGAACCCAGTAGAGTGTATGTGAAGGGAGAGTTATTTATGTAACCAAAAAAATTAATTCATAGAGCCATCTTCATGTAATGTTATTTATTTCTTTCTTCTTTCCATTTTCTTCTATTTTTGCTTGCATAAGAATTTATCAATTACCCATAAAGGGCAAAGCAAAGTCCAAATACTGAAATACATGTATGTATATAAACATATGCTATTAATAATAATTCTGTATAATTCAAAGTGACAAAGACAAGAAGTAAACATGCTTGGGTATATCTACTTACCTGAGAAAGTGGGAGAAAGCACCATAATTTATAGATTTCCATAACCACATAGATTATGATAAAAATTGCCCAAAGGAAATAAAAGATGTATTTTACTGGAAGAGATAAAAGAGACTCTGAACAACTAAAAAATAACTAAACACACGTACTGAATTATAATTTCTTTTACCTTCTTAGGGTTCTATATGTATTCATTCAATTTCATAATGTTACACTCAATTGCAATAATATTTGTTTATAATATAATTCACTGTTTCTATATACAATTGAAATTATACTTATTCTTTCCCAAAGAATCGTAGTTAGACTTTTATAAAATTGCAAGTATTTTAACATAGTCTTTCTGTTTTGATGCAATAGTGACTTCTGTTGACCTGTCATTCTGAGGCTAAATAATATGTTCATCCCAACAATTCACCCAAACATAATGGCAGAGTGAAAACAAAGTACCTTCAATAGCAAATCTTTGGAAAAAGAGCAAAATGGAAAAAATAAACCACTTCATAGCATACTGTCAATTATCAAAAGATAGGGGAAAAATAATACAAAACATCTTCTGACTGATGGAAGAGTGTGTGCATGTAAAAGAATTTGACTGCCTCCTGATTTGCTTCCTGGGATTATATTTATTAGGTATTTACTTTTTATGAGGTGAGAAATTAGGGGCAGATGTTTGACAGATTTATGTTTTCTCTAGCAGTGAACTTCATCTAGAATCGTGGTAAGCTGGATTACTTTCAAGTTCTAGACACTGTTTTTTTAGTTTGTTTCTTTGTTTTTTAAAATAAAACACCAGATATCTGATCATGGTCTTTGTGGCCTTATCGCTACAAATGTTAGCCATATACATATAATTTTAAGTATTCTATTAGTTACATGAAAAATAAAGTAAAAATTAATGGTAAAATTAATTTTAGTGATATATTTATCTAACCCAATAAATCCAAAATAGTATCATTCAACATGTAACCAATGCAAAAATTTTTGATAACATTTTAACTTATGTGTACAGGTTTTTGAATTCTCATGTGTTTTGTACAGTTAAAGAACATTTCATGTGCTCAATAGCCACATGGATTAGTCAGTTCTCACATTGCAATAAAAACCACCTCAGACTAGGTAATTTATAAAAAAAGAGGTTTAGTTGACTCACAGTTCTGCAGGCTGTACAGGAAACATGGCTTGGGAGGCCTAAGGAAACTTACAATCATGGTGCAGGTGAAGAGGAAGCAGACACATCTAACATGGCTGGAGAAGGAGGAAGAGAGAGCAAAGTGGGAGGTGGTGCACACTTTTAAACAACAAGATATCATGAGAATACACTATCATGAGAGCAGCAAAGGGGAAATCCTCCCCTGTGATCCAATCACCTCCTAACAGGCCCCTCCTCCAACACTGGAGATTACAATTCGACATGAGATTTGGGCAGTGACATAAATTCAAACCAT
This sequence comes from Homo sapiens, assembly GCF_000001405.40. Lineage (NCBI taxonomy): Eukaryota > Metazoa > Chordata > Mammalia > Primates > Hominidae > Homo > Homo sapiens. The sequence goes on from NC_000001.11 coordinate 195,081,883, forward strand.
ATCACCACATCACTATAATATCAAACAGTGTAGAGAGATCAAATTTTCCCCATTTCCCTAGATTCCATTTTTACTCCTTGCTCTTGTTCAAGATTCACTCTCAATTTTGCTGTCAATAACTTTATCTTGGAGCAGAAAGATGAATCTTTTTGCATTTCTATTAATGTAATGCAAAAAGATACGAGCCACCACACCCAGCCAGTTCATTATATTTTATTTCCAAATTTATCAGGGCCATACAGTACACATATGTAGGAATAAGAGGTATATTTTTCCACTATCCTTGTTTGATGAAAATTAGTAAAGAGGTTATCTCCATATAACAAAGAGTTATATGCAGATTTTTTTCCCTCTCCCCACTCTTCCACTACAATTGCATTACTAGGGATCCAAAGTTTTCCCCTCTGTTATGAGCATCTTAAAATTCTTTCTTAGATCATTCAAAAATATGTAGTCAACACAGCATAAATAAAGCAGTGAATGAGTCATAACTTAGGACAAGTTCAGGTTTCATAATTAAGGGATATGTAATCATCTGGCCTGCATCCCTCTCAGATTATTGGCCATAAATCAAAAAAAGAATGCTGTTTCTTATGTGTCTTTATAAGACCATTGTATAACAACTTTTTGGCGGCCAGAAGTATTCAACCAACTACAACATTTTAAAATATTTCTTCACAGTGTTCTAAACCTCAATCCTCAGTGATTACTGTATCCCAAAAATCAAGTCAGTAATATGTTTGTCACCTGACACATTCTGTGTCCATTCACTTATGTATTTTCTGTATTGCACAAGGCACTTTTGGTTGAAAATAAGAAATCCACCCCCAACTTTGCTCCTTAAAGGGTTTACACTGGAACAAACAACTGCAATTCCCAGTGATAAGGACAAGCTAGGAAAAGAATGGATTTAATAATACAAAATAAAGTATTCAGGTTCCGTCTTTCCCTCTGTCTTTTGGTTCAGGTTGTTGCTGTCAGCAGTCTTTGTTAGAAATGATCTATGTCATGAAGAATTGAGTTAGAGATCTGTGTTTAACACATTCACAACTTAACCGTCAGTCTTAGTCCATTTGTGTTGCTAAAAGGAATACCTGAGGCTGGGTAATTTATGTACAAGAAGAGATTTATTTGTCTTACAGTTCTGCAGGCTATACAAAATGTATTGTGCCAGTATATGCTTCTGGTGAGGACCTCACACTGCTTCCACTCATGATGGAAGGTGAAGGGGAGCCAGCATGTACAGAGATCACATGGAAAAAGAGGAAGCAAGGAGGGGGGTGGACACACCAGTATCTTTTTAACAACCAGCTCTTGTGAAAACTAATAGAGCAATAACTCCCCCCACACCCAGTGAGGGAATTAATCTATTCACGATGGACCTGCCCCCATGACATAAACGCCTCCCATTAGGCCCCACCTCCAATCCTGGAGATCAAATTTCAACATGATTAAATTTCAACATGAAGTTTGTGGGGGGTAACAAATATCCAAACCATAGGACCATCTCTATGAAAGGAATCTTGTCTTTCGGGCCTCCAACTATCAATCTAGATCCAGTTCTATTTAGTTGCTTGTTCATCCAAGGATCAAACAGGTGTGGTATACAGCCAGGTACCCATTGAATGTGCCAAATCCATAATAGTTCTATGGATATAGACAGAAAATAATGTATAATCTGCTAAAAGGAGCTTTCACCTCAGGACATAAGCTTGTACATTATTTACGTGGTCTGATTGCTCAAGGCAAAATATCTTAGGAGAATTATTTTCTTTATTATACCAACTCACAGCAATTCTAACTAACTGTCTTTTTTTCCCTCGCTGTTGTAATACATGTGTGATCAGGTTATATTTTGCCTGAAAACTGATGTGTTCTTCTCGGTACTTCAATGATCTTTTACTGTTGTTGTTTTACTTCTTCTTTGATGGCTCTTTCCCTTAGGAAGTCATATAAACATGAGCCATACACTAACTTAGGCAAAGATTATCAGAGGGAAACTAGAGAAAAAAGACTATATACATTTTTTAATTTTCAAGTTTCAAAGCTGTGGTCCAAGTGTAAAACAAAAAATATTTTAGAACTGATCCAGGTCATTTCTTGCTGCTTGCTGTTAGATCAAAAATTCCGTGGACTTCAAAATGGGTTTAAAGGGAGGACTGGACTATGTGTGTGGTAATCATAAAGAAACTCACAGCTCCACTTTCATAAGTGCCAATTTTCCCCAGGAATGTCATCGGAGCCATTGTCTATAAACCAGCAGTCTCTATACAAGAGCTCAGTACCTTATCCTTGCCAAGGCTATCTTAAGTCTAGATGTCCCTAACTGGTGTCTGACTTCCCTCTGTGGAAGTTTAAATTTCATTCAACAGTAAAGCCTGTACTTGTCCTGAAATATGGCTCATTCACTGTTTCATGTATGCTGTGTAGACTACATATTTTCCAATGATCTAGGAAAATATTTTTAAGATGCTCATAACAGAGGCAAAACTTTGGATCCCTAGGAAGGCAGTTGTACTAGAAGCATGAAGAGAGGGAAGAAAAGATCTCCATATAACATAATTATATAAAGATTACCTTTTTACTACCTTCCATCAAACATGGAGAGTGAAAAATATACCTCTCTTTTATGCATACATGCAGTGTAGGACCCCAGCTATTTTGGAGGTAAAATATAATGGACCTCAGGCAGAGCATCTTCCAGGTTGATCTGAACTAGCTTTTTAAAAACACTGTTGTTTAAATATTCATCAGGGTTAAGATAAAATGTTAATGTAAATGAGATTCTGAAATTATAAAATAATTGTCCTCTCCAAGTGCTCACATCATCCTGAGGACTTAAATATCCATATAGATGACATATCAAAAACCCCTGACTCAGTATTCTTGTGTTTTTAAATATCAATTATGTTTTCTTCTGGTCCTTTAGAGAATCTAATTTTTTGTTGTATTTCTTCTGAAAGTTTAAAGTATTCTGATGTCTGAATACAATGACCTATTCTTTAGATTTCCTAACTTTCTTATTCTCCATATGTTTACATCATCATCACTATCTTCTAACTTTCTCACTTGCTTTTTCTCCTAATCAATCTTTCCTTAATATTTTTTCATTCCAAAAGTAGCCTAGATTGCACTTTTCTATTTTCTCTTTCTATCATCCTTAGTTGTCTTGTTGCCTATAGGACACATGCTTTTCCAAATTAAGCTCAAGCCTAGAAACAATCTTCCACATGGCATTCTATAATTGCACTTCAGTGGAAAATCCTACTAAAGAAATACATAAACAGAGTCACACACCCACATCCACACCTACTCACACCCACTTCCATCCACCCTCTGCCAAACCACACACTCAAATATAGTAATACATTTAATTCATTTTCTCTAATCTTAGAAAAACTGCTACATCACTTAGCCTTTGATATGGCACTAGGCGGTTATTTATTCTGTGTTCTAAAAGAGCCATTCCACTCCTTGTCTCTCTATCAATCTCTTGTCCGTTTCTCTGTTCTACCATCAATTACATCATTCGCAAACACTTCAACACTTCATCAGAAAACAAAGAAAACAGAAAAACTCCAAGTCACTCAGTTGGAGCTTCACTTATTATTTTCTTCCACTTACAAAACAAATTTCTATCACCTATTATCCTTTTCATCTTCCCTTGTTTCATTATTGGTTAATATCTTCATCTTTCCTCTAAGTTACACAACTTCCTGCATAGACTCTTAAATTTTTCTAACTTAAACAAGCAAAAATACATCCAACCCTATGTTTCTCTTTAGTAAGGACACCCCAGTTGTTATGTTGCAAATAATTTACAGGTACAACTGGAAATATTGGCCCTCATAGTCTAAGGGGTACTCTGATGGGATTTAGAATAGTTTGGATTTCGTGGGCTAGATGCCTGTAGCAATTTATGGTTTTATGGGAGTTTCATGAAATTCATCTATTTCTGTAAACATGCTCTATGGCTAGCATAATGGCATCAGGAAATCATGCTCAATGTGATTTTTAAAAAAGGCTATAATAATTGGAAACTTACTTTAGCAGCCCGCTGCACCGAGCACTACTATTGATAATAAACAAGAGGACCATCCATGGAGCTGCTCAAGAAATGTGTATTCTAGATGCCAGGAAGAATGTTCTTTGGTCCTTGGAGGCAGTAAATCTAGCTGGGAGGGCAGGGTCATTTCATGACTAAAGTTTCTTTATCAAGAATAGAATATATACTTTTAAAAACAAAATCTAATATGTTTTTGAGAATAATCTCATGTTTGTCATTCCTAAAATTAAATATTGAAAGGATTTCATTGCTATGTTTGACTCAAATACAATTTCAATACTTTTCTATATTTCATTTTTAAGTGTAATTCTATAACACAATTAAAGTGAGATTGATATTTTTTCAACAATCTCCAAAATGTGTCCCTAAATCCCCTAAAGTTTTCTCCGGTGTGCTTTACAAATACTATCATTTTGTGGTGTGTTACATTGTAGAAAATTTGCAAAACACTATCTTGTTACTTCACTTTTCAACTTCTTTTTTTATTTTTATTTTTTATTATACTTTAAGTTCTGGGGTACATGTGCAGAACATGCAGTTTTGTTACATAGGTATACATGTGCCATGGTGGTTTGCTGCACACATCAACCCGTCATCTACATTAGGTATTTCTCTTAACGCTTCTGAACTTCCTGTTTAATGTTCAACCTTCCATAACTAGTCATTCATAATCATTACTCGGTTACAAAATAATTTGAGGTCGTCAGTAATTTTCTGGTTATCAAAGCTAGTGGATGGTGCTAGATATACTATATAATATAATTTCTCTTAACCTTTTAGCACAATCTACTACTGTAGCCTTAAAAAAAATCAGTTTTTACTTTTGTGGCACCATTTTAACTCCTAATTTCCTTGTAATTTTTTTCCAGCTCCACTGTAGATTTATTTTCCTTAATCTGCTCAAAGGATGCTGTATTCTCCACAATTTCCTTTCTGTTATCTTTGTTGGTACACACCCATCTTTAAAAATCACCTACGTACTGATGATTTGACATTCTTTTTCTCCAATTCAAAATTTTCTTGAGTTCCAAATATGTGAAAGGTGATTTTTAAAAACACATATTTACCTGTGTTCCTGTAGGGTACCACCAGCTCAAAATTCCAAAAGTAAATTTGCCATATTTTTCTGACTAAATGTTCTTCTATTTTATTTCCTCTGCCAGTCAAACCAAAACCATGGGTTTCTCTTTGACTTTTTATCTCCTTTACACTTGATATTCAAATTAATCTGTTTGTAAATTCTACTGCTTTACTATTAATAAATCCTTTCAATCTCCTACAAAATAATCCCTTTATTTTTTTTCAAGCAATTATTTCTTCCTATTAATCTCAGAGCCTCAAGGTCTGTTTGTCATACTGCTGCTAAAATGTTCTTTATAAAACTCAAAATTCTTCTTGTAACTGTTGTAGTGATTTTTCGTGAAATCCTTATTCCTCATATCCAACTTTTGAAACATAATATGTGAAGCCATTTATAGACTAATGATTTTCAAACTCATTAATCTCTTATACAGATGATTTATCCTCAAAGTTTGTGTCTTAGCTATGTGAAACTTATTGAAGATAAACAAGTTTGTAATAGTCTCTGATGTCTCCGAGTTCTCACTCAGCCTGGAATGACCTTAGTGATTAATCCTCCCTCTCAGGTTTATATCATTATCTCCTGTGCTATAAAATGGTTCAAAGTCATCTCTTGTGACTTGTGGAAATAGAGGCTTTGATATCTACACAAACCTTCTTCTTTGTTTCTAGTAGTTTCCTGATCATTCCACATTACAAATGTCTATATCCTCCTTAGTTTCTTGAAGACAAGAACTTTGAAATTTCATGTAAGTATTCTTACTGGGAGTATATGGCATAAAATATAATAGTGATTGAAGTATAATGTATCTAAAAATGAAAGAAGATACTATATTTCTGCTAAAGTCAGGTATATTACTTTGTAAGTTTGGTTTTTGTTGATGTTCTCACTGTTTTGCTTTTGTCATCATCTTATTGTCTTATGTCACTATAGCAAAAAAGCTACCTCTTAAAGAATAATAAAACACAAATGTATTAGAATATGATTTAAGATACAATTAAAGATATAATACCTTTAAATTATGGAGTTTTTAGATTTTATTTGTACACATCACTAATTTTACATTTCATCCAGTGACGTGTTAAATTTTTTAAACTTGGGTTAAATGTGGTAATCATTCTAAATAACACACTTTAAATTTTACAGCTCTAAGGAAATATAGAAATTCTGAAGTTTTAATAGTTATTTAAAATATCTCAAATAAACAGCATATACTTACAAATGCTAATTGCAGAAGAGGAAAATAAGCAGCTGACTCTACTGAAAAGAATTAGCAACAATGAGACATATAATCTGCACATTTCTTCGTACATATTGTGTCTGGGAAAATGCTTATAAAGCTATTTTACTTTATTAAATATTTTAGTGTGTAATGAATTATTGTCATGTAGCCTTGATTTCCTTATAATACAGAATTTAATAATAACTATTAATAATACATCATTGAGATAACAGAGTTAGTTTCTCATTAGATTATTGATGCTAAACATGTAAAATTTAAATAACAGAATTCAAATCATTAAATAAATGTGACATTTTAATAGCATCTTATTGTTAATAATAATGAAGAAAAATAAACACTTCTTCGTGTTTGATAAGGACTGTATCAGTTTAAAAAAAGAAAAAATGCATGTGATTAATGTCTATTGTACAATGACTTGTATTCTCAATTCTAAATCACCAGCTGAATTTCCTTAATAGGGCAATAAAGTTTATTCTTTTTCTTTTTTTTTGTTTTTGGAGACAGGGTCTCATTATACCACCCAGGCTGGAGTGCAATGGCGTGATCGTAGCTCACTGCAGCCTCAAACTCCTGGGCTCAAGCAAACCTCCCACCTTAGCCTCCAAATTTGTTGAGATTGCAGGCATAAGCCACTAGGCTAGGCTGTTTTTAATATCAATATTAGGAATGAGTGACACTGAAATGCACATTTGACCCTTTGAGCTCTCTGAAGGTAAAAGCAACGGATATGAAAATTTTGTAAATATTGTTTGTTTTGACGATGGATTTGAGTGTCAGACTTGAAAAGGGACTATCTGTGTTCTGTTATGGTGTGTGTAAGTATTTAGATTATGAATTTATATATACACATATATTTGACCTCTTTTATTTTAATTAAGTGATATATTGTTGAAGATGAATGTATCTGATATATCCATTTAAGTTTTGTGTGGAGTTAATTCATCTTTACCAAATATTAATTAATTAATAAAGGTATTCAGGTTCAGTGGATGAAAGTCAGCCAGAACATATTGCCAGAACCACTAGAAGCTTAAACATTTAGAACAGTTTGACTAAAGATAGATATACTTTACTTTCTTTTATAATTCTTTAATTTGTATCAAAGTAATAGATGTGCATGATTCAACAGTCAAATGATCCAAAAAAACTTATAATGAGAAGTAATAAACCCATACCTGGCATATCTTTATCCTCAACTCACATACACCAGATGGATCTGCTTCTGCCTATTCAGTATTTCTAAAGAATATGCTTGTTGTTATATATTCATTTAAATGTTTTAAAAATGTTTTTAGTTGTCTTGATATGATAGAGGACTTCCAGGCTCCCTCTTCCTCAACATTACAGAAATATTAAAAATCATCCATAGTCATCCCTGCATATGACAATAATGTTCATAAACCTGGATTTCTTTTTATATCATACATAGAATGTTACTACTAGAAGATATTTTAGAACACTCACCCTTCGCTTTACTACTCCTAGTTATTTAATTCTCTTCCTTTGTCTCCTCTATATCTGCTTTTTTTGCCCTTGCTTTATAATTATCATGTAAATGTTGTTCACTTCAGAACAAGACTCATTGTGAAATGTTTTCCTATAATTGTCCACATTTAAAAATCTTTATGTCATACAAGGAAGAATGCTTCAAATATTGAATTCAAATGTATTTTCTAGGTTTATACTACACCAGATATTTTCTAATATTTCTATCATTACAGCTAGTCACAATTTTCCCCCATACAATCGCTTTCATAATATTCCACTCATCTAATCAAATTCAGATTCACTGATCTCCAGATGACCTACGCAGATATTTTTCAGTTTCTTCCCTTTGTCTTTCTTCTGTGCTTGATCTACTATATTGAAAACAATTTTATTCTCTTTCTTGTTATATCGTCAACTTTTCCTGGAGTACACTTTCAAGTAAGTTTTAAGAAATTGTACTTGGAACATAACTTTACAAGCCCTTCATTGTCTGAAAATGTCTGCTGTATTTTTATATGCTCTTTGATATTTTGGCATGGAATGTAATTCTAAATTTAAAAATAATTTTCTCTTGACACACTGAAGGTGATATTGTTTTCTAGCATCCTGTCTTGATGAAAGGTCAGATTGCAATTTGATTATTGTTCTTTTGTAATAAACATTTAGAAATATGTGTGTGCATGCCTGTGCCCTTGCATGTGGCTAACATCTATCTTCAGTCTAGTGAATTTTCATAATGATATATTCAGGTATGCTATTGTCTTTAATTAGTTATATTAGGCTCTCAGCATAACTTTTCAAACTAAAGACAGGTTTTGGAATTTTCTTCTGTTTTTCACAATTTCATTCATTTCCAGTTTTTTTCCACACTTCTCCAAAGATGGTTATTAGATTATATATGTATCAGCTAAATTTCTGTTTACTATTTTTCTCTGTACTTTCAAAACATTTTCTACATGATTTCTTCAGCTTATATTTTAACATTTAATTTATTGAATTTTGATATTTTTCAGAAACAGCCAAGACATTTTCTATTTTATTAGTATAATTTTTAATTGACACATGATAATTACACAAGTTTATGGAGTACAATGTGATATTCCAATACAGGTGTACAATGTGTAACAATCAAATCAGGGTAATTAGCATATCCATTACCTCAGAGGCTTATCATTTCTTTGTATTAGAAACATTCCAAATTCTCTGTTCTAGCTATTTAAAAACGCATAATACAGTGTTATTAACTATACTCACCCAACAGTGCTAGAGAACACTAGAACTTATTCCTATTTATAATTTTCTATCTGTTAAAAAAATTCTCCAACCTCCATGCTCCCACATTTGCCAGCCTTGAGTAACCACTCTTCTGCTCTTACTTCTATGGGATCAACATTTTTAGCTTCTACAAATGAGTTAGAACACATGATATTTACCTTTCTGTAATTGACTTATTTCACTTAACATAATGTCCTCCAGGCTCATGAAGTTGTCACAAGTGACAAGATTTAATTCCATTTTTTGGCTGGATAGTAGTCCGTTGTGTGTGTGTATATATATGTATCACATTTTTAATTTATTCATCTATTTATGGACACTTAGCTTGAATCCATATCTTGGCTATTGTGAACAGTGCTGCAATTAACATGGGAGTGCTGATATTGCATCAATATACTGATTTTCTTTCCTTTGAGTATACACCAAGCTGTGAGATTGCCGAATCATATGGTAGTTCTGTTTTTCATTTTTTGAGGAAACTCCATACTGTTTTCCATAAAGGTTGTACTAATTTACATTCCTTCTAACAGTGTATAAGAGTTCCCCTTTATCCACATCCTCATAAGCATTTGCTATTTTGTTTTCTTTTTGCTAACAGACATTCTAACAGGGGTAAGAATATATCTGATCCTGGTTCCCTGATAATTAGTGATGCTGAGCTTTTTTAATATACACTTGGCCATTTGTATGTCTTCTCTTGAGGAATGTCTATTCTGATCTTTTGCCCATTTCAAAATCAAATTATGTGTGTGTGTATGTGTGTGTGTGTGTGTGTTTTGCTTTTGAGTTGAGTTTCTTGTGTCATCTGAATATTAGTCCTTTGTCAGATGAATAGTTTACAAATATTTTCTTCCATTCTGCAATTCTCTCTTCACTCTGTTATTTCTTTTTCCTGGCAGAAGCTTTCTAGTTCGATGTAGTCTCATTTGCCTCTTTGGTTTTGTTGCCTGTGCTTTTGAGGTTTTATTCATGCAAACTTTATTTAGATCAATGTCCTAAAGTGCTCCTCCTGTTTATTTTTTAGTAGTTTTATAGTTTCTTGTCTTACATTTAAGTCTTTAGTGCAGTTTGACTTGATTTTTGTATATAGTGAGAGATAGGAGTCAAGCTTTATTCTTTTGCATATGGATATTTAGGTTTCCCAGTATCAATTATTGAAGAGACTGTGCTTTCCAAATTTGATATTCTTGGCTTCTTTCTCAAAAATAAGTAGACTGAAAATACATGAATTTATTTCTGAGTTATCTTTTCTGTTCCACTGGTCTACAAACTGGCCCCCTATAGGAATATAAAGTGTATCCTTCTGAAAGCAAACGTAACTATTATATAATTCTGTGTGCAATTGAAGCAGAATCAAATGACATACAGCACAGATGCTAACAGGTAAAACAATACTAGTGGGATATTTTAAACCACAAAATATACCCCAACAGACATAAAATTCTGGTGTTAAAATAATTGTGTGAACTATTCAACAAGAGTTCAATATAAAATAAATATTGTTAATTTTAAGCACTGTATTCTAAGCACATCTCTCAAACTTATTCATATTGTGTAGGTGAAATTTTATACCCATCGAACAACAACTTTACATTTCCATCTGACCCCCTCCACCCCACTCCTGGTAATCACCATTACATTTGGTGTTCATTGTTCCTACCACACACACAAAAAAAAAGTTTGAGTGGAGAAACAAACTTTTGAAGGTAATGAATATGTTTATCTTCTTTATTGTGTTAATGGTTCCACTGGTGTATTCATATATTCTAACCCAACAAATTATATACATGATATGTTCAATTTTTTGTATGTAAATTACACTTTAGTAAGGCAGATAAAAAGTTTGTGTGTGTGTGTGCTTGTGTGTGTGTATTTATAAAGAGAGAGAGAGAAGATAGAAAGAGATGCTCTAAAATGAACAATTATAAATTTTCAAACTGAAAAAAAGACACCACTTTTATATAATTGGTACACATGGCCTCTTTCCTAAAATTTATTCTGTGTTAGACCAGAAAGAAAATTTCCATAATGGTATTGAAAAATTAGGCACAAATAAAATCTAATTTTATTTTCATTCACCTGTCTAATCTAACTACATTAGATGATCTTGTTACATATTCCATAATATTTTTTCAAAAGATTTCCACAGATTATACTTCCCTTTCATTTTAATTAATTGAGGTCCATCTTTTGCAAATGACTATTGGCTCCATGAAGGTAGAGATCACGTATTTTGTTGATCGTTTCTTCCCAGGATGTAGCATAGCCTGGCAAAATATAGAACAAAAATCATATTTTCAAGTGAATATATGAGTAATAAAGAAAATAAAGGCAAATTTTATTAATATAGTATTTACAAATTTAGCAGAAAAACACAAAAGAGACAATCATCAGTTAATCTCAACTAATGAAGAATTACAGAGATTACAAAAGTTGAGGAAACGAAGATAAAATTTGTATTGTGAGATATAAAAAAATAGAAAATAACAATAGCCATAATAGAAAATTAATATGGGAATATATTTATACATTAATAGGTTAATATATTTAGAAACACACAATCATTTAAAAAGCACATATTACTGAAATGATTTTAAAAATATATAATAAAGGGAAACCAAAATCCTAAAAGGGGTTTCAAAAAATATTAATGTGTTACAGCCTGATTACTACTGTACTTTCCAAAATAACAAGACCATTAAATATTATACAGGTTATTATAAAAATAGTTATACTCAATTATTTTGTAGGTGAATACTTGTAAGCCCTTGGTGGATGTATGACTGTCACATTTAAATTATTAGAGCTTGATGAAAGGATATCTCAATTTTTATAAGAAAAAATACCAATGTATTCAAAATAAATTTATAGATTAAGCTTATATTTAAATATTAATTCAACAACACAAAATATTAGCAAATAGTAATCATCACTATGTTAAATAATAATATACCATGACCGCAGACCACATATGGGTACTTTAAGAATATAAGCAGTCTGGGCCAGGTGTGGTGGCTCATGCGTATAATTCCAGCACTTTGGGAGGCCGAGGCAGGAGGATCACAAGGTCAGGAGATTGAGACCATCCTGGCTAACACGGTGAAACCCTGTCTCTACCAAAAATACAAAGATTAGCCAGGTGTGGTGGCGGGAGCCTGTAGTCCCAGCTACTCAGGAGACTGAGGCAGGAGAATGGCGTGAACCTGGGAGGTGGAGCTTGCAGCGAGCTGAGATCGCGCCATTGCACTCCAGACTGGGTGACAGAGCGAGACTCTTTCTCTAAAAAAAAAAAAAAAAAAAAAAAAAAAGAATATACGCAGTTTGATATTAAAAATATTGTTATTTTTATTCTTTTTAGTGGTCGGTTGAATAGGCTAAATAATGCTAAATATTTTCCATAAGCTTTTAAAATTTAGAATAGCTTTAAATTTTAAATGTCTAAAATGTTTAATTAAGTCTGCAAACCAGAGAAAGCTTCTGTACAGATTAGTTCAACAAGGTATTAAACCTAGCACTCATTAGTTAGTACTCCATGGTGTATATGTACCACATTTTCTTTATCCAGTCTACTATTGATGGGCATTTAAGTTGATCTCACATTTTTGCTATTGTGATTCATGCCACAATGAACATCTGCATGCATATGTCTTTATGATAGAATGTTTTAAATTCCTTTGTGTATATACCTGGTAATGAGATTGCTCTGTTGCATGGTAGTTCTGTTTTCAGGTCTTACAGGAATTGCCACACTGCTATCCACAATATTTTAAATAATTTACACACCTGCCAACAGCATGTAAGGTGTTTCTTTTTCTCCACAACCTTGCCAGAATCTATTATTTTTGACTTCTTACTAATAGCTATTCTGACTGGTGTGAAATGGTATCTCAATAAAGTTTTGATTTGTATTTCTCTAACTATCAGCAATATTGAACTTTTTTTCATATGATTGTTGGATGCATATTTTTCTTCTAAGAAGTGTCTGTTCACGTCCTTTCCCCACTTGTTAATGAGGTTGTTGTCATCTTGTAAATTTGTTTAAGTTCCTTATGAATGATAGATATTAGACCTTTGTCAGATGCATAGTTTGCAAAAGTTTGCTCCCATTCTGTGGTTGTGTGTTTAATCTGTTGATAGTTTCTTTAGCCGTGTAGAAGCTCTTTAATTAGATCCCGTTTGTCAAATTTTGCTTTTGCCAGAATTGCTTCTGGCATCTTCATCATGAAATATTTGCTCATTCCTGTGTCCATAATATTACTTCGGTTGACTTCTAGGATTTTTATAATTTGTGGTTTTACATTTAAGTTTTTAATTGAGTTGATTTTTTTATGGTGTAAGGAAGGGGTCTAGTTTCAATCTTCTGCATATGGCTAGCCAGTTATCTCAGCACCAATTATTGAATAGGGAGCCCTTTCCTCATTGCTTGTTTTTTATCAGCTCTGTTGAAGATCAGATAGTTGTAGCTGTGTGGTCTTATTTTTGGGTTTTCTATTATGTTCCATTGGACTATGTGTCTGTTTTTGTACCAGTACTATGATGTTTTGGTTACTGCAGCCATGTAGGACAGTTGGAAATAGGGTAGCACGATGGCTTCAGCTTTGTTCTATTTATTTAGGACTCCCTTGGCTCTTCAGGCTCTTTTTTGGTTCCATATGAATTTCAAAATAGTTTTTTTTCTAGTTCTTGTTAAAAAGTCATTGGTAGTTTGATAGGAACAGCATTGGATGTATAAACACTTTGTACAGTATGACCATTTTAATTATGTTGATTTTTCCTATCCGTGAGCACGGGATATTTTTTTCCATTTGTTTGTGTCATCTCCGATTTTTTTGAGCAGTCTTTTGTAGTTGTTCTGGTAGAGATCTTTCACCTCCCTGGTTAGCTGTCTTCCTACATAATTTATTCTTATTGTGGCAGTTGTGAATGGTATCGCATTCCTGATTTGGCAATAGCTTCACTGTTGTTGGATGTATAGGAATACTAGTGATGTGCCAGCAATGCCCCATCTGGAGCGGCCCCTGTGAGGACGCTGGCTGCAGCAGAGGAGCCAGTGCTCCCAGGCACAGCTGCAACTGCTCAGCTATGGCTCCAGACCTCGGCATCCCTGCACTCTAGGGGGCCCAGGAAGCTCCTTGCCTCCGCAGGATTGAAAGTGGCTGCTCCTGCTTCCTGGCCTCTCCCTGCTCCTGGTGCCGGCTCTGGGGTGAAGCAAAGTTGTGGCTGACCCTGGGCACTGTCACGACTTGGCTGGGTGTGTGCATGCTTGGGGCAGTGCTGACACATGAGCCCCCTGCCACCCTAGTCCCTTCCGAACTTTGAGCTCCAATGAGCATGGGAGGGAGCCTGAAGGGGGGCTGAGGGTGGCTCAACGTGGGCCTGCAGGTGCCCCTCAGCATGAACAGCTTTGGCGCTGTGGCTGGCATGTTAATGGCGATGGAGGCAAACAGGCTCCTGGGCACAAAGGGGCAGGTCCCAGGTGAAACCCCACCTTCAAGCCAGGGATGGCCTGAAGCCTGGGGCCAGGCTGCCAGTTCCAGGTGAAGTCTGTGGCCCGGAGTGAGAACTTATGGTGCTTATCATCACCCACGGACCAATCAGCATGCACTTCCTCTGTTCTGAGTCCATAACAACCCCAGATTCAGCCAGACTCAGAAAAACATCAGGACTACCAGCCGTGGGAAGGAGCTATGCACTTTGGATCTCTTCCACTTGTCAGGATGAACTGCCTGCAGAAAGGGGCTACCCACTACGGGGTAGCCCCTACAACTATCTGATCTTCAACAGAGCTGATTAAAAACAAGCAATGAGGAAAGGGCTCCCTATTCAATAATTGGTGCTGCAATAACTGGCTAGCCGTATGCAGAAGATTGAAACTGGACCCCTTCCTTACACCATAAAAAATCAACTCAATTAAATACTACCCTGCTGAGACCTGGATGCTCATTGGGATGACCTGTCTGTGGAAAGGAGCTGCCCTCTATGGGTCTCCTGAGAGCTGTTCTGTGTCTCAATAAGCTCCTCTTCACCTTGCTCACCCTGCAATTTTTTGCATGCCTTATTCTTCTTGGGCACAAGACAAGAACTCAGGACTTGATGAATGGCAGCACTGAAAAAGCTGTAACACAAACACTACTGAAATGCTCCACAGCTTGCCACGTGGTGAGTGAAGAGAAAATGAGAAGATCTGCAGCCTTTTGGGGAGCCCAGACCTAGGGCACAGAGCCAGGGCTGTGACACCTTCTTTGGAGCTCTGTGGTTCCTGGTATCTCCATTGTTCCAGGTGCCACTTCATTACCCTCATCCAAACACAGGTGCCTGCAACAGAAGCCACTTGTGGTATATTTGATCTAGCCGCAGCCTTGCATGGAGCAGGAGCCTGTGCTGGTCCCTGGAGCTGCCTGCTGCGCCACAACAGCCAGTGTGCCTGGCTGTGTGCAGTGGCCAGAACCCATGCTCACTCACTCACACACCCCTCGCTACTCATGCCTGACTCACCCTTGACAGGTGTGGAATGCAAGCTGGCAGTGCAAGCAAACCACAGCCTGCCAGGTCGAGAGGGCAGAACAAGCCCAGAAGGCTCAAGCAAAAACTCAGGCAAAGGTGTCACCAGCCACAGACATTTCTAGCAGGAAAAGTGACACCCTAAATATCCTGAGACACTAGTGATTTTTGTGCATTGATTTTATATTGTGAAACTTTGCTGAAGTAGTTTATCAGCTTAGGGAGCTTTTGTGCCAAGAATATGGGGTTTTCTGGATATGGGATTACATTATCTGCAAAGAGGGATAGTTGGACTTCCTCTCTTCAAATTTAGGTGTCCTTACTTCTGTCTCTTGACTAATTGCTCTGGCCAGGACTTCCAATATTATGTTAAATAAGAGTGGTGAGAGAGGACATTCTGGTGTTGTACCAGTTTCCAAGAGGAATACTTCCATATTTCTTTGCCCAGTTAGTATGATGTTGGCTATGGATTTGTCCTAAATGGCTGTTACTATTTTAAAGTATGTTCTTTCAATGCCTAGTTTGTTGAGGATTTTTAACAGAAAAGGATGTTGAATTGTATCAGAAGAATTTTATGCACCTATTGAGATGCTCATGTGGTTTTGTCTTTAGTTCTGTTTATGTGATGAATCACATTTGTTGATTTGTATATGTTGAAACAACCTTGCATCTCAGAGATAAAGCCTACTTGATTGTGGTGGATGAGCTTTTGATGTGCTGCTGGATTCGCTTTGCCAGTATTTTGTTGAGGATTTTTGCATCAATGTTCATCAAGGGTATTGGACTGAAGGTCTTTTTTTGGTTTTGTCTTGGCAAGGATTTGGTATCAGGATAATGCTGGCCAGAGAGGCTATGATTTAAGGAAGAGTCCCTCTTCCTCAATATTTTGGAATAGTTTCAGTAGGAATGGTACCAGTTCTTCTTTGTACATCTTGTAGAATTTGTCTGTGAATCCATTTGGCCCTGAGGTTTTTTTTTTTTGTTGGTAGGTTTTTTAATCACTGATTCAATTTTGGAGCTTGTCATTGGTCCATTCTGAAATTCAGTTTCTTCCTGGTTCAATCTTGGGAGGGTGGATGTGTCCAGGAATTCATCCTTTTCTTCTAGATATTCTAGTTTGTGTGTATAGAGTTGTTTCTATTATTCTCTGTGGGGGTTACATATAGTTCTGTGGGGGTCAGTGGTAATAAGGTCTTTGTCCTTTCTAATTGTGTTTATATTCTCTGCTCTTCTCTTTTATTTGTCTCTTCTCTTTTATTTGTCTGTCAAGAAGTCTACCTATTTTAGTAATTTTTTCGAAAAGCCAATTCCTGGATTTGTTGAACTTTTGAATGGATTTTGTGCCTCAATCTCCTTCAGTTCAGCTCTGATTTCGGTAATTTCTTGTCTTCTGCTAGCTTTGGGGTTGGTTTTTTATTGGTTCTCTAGTTCTTTTAGTTGTAGTGTGAGGTTGTTAAATTGAGATCTTTCTACCTTGTTGATGCAGGCATTTAGAGCTATAAATTTCCCTCTTAACAGTGACTTAGCTGTGTCCCAGAGATTCTGGTATGTTGTACCTTTATTTTTATTAATTTCATAGAACTTGATTTCTGCTTTAAATTCATTATTTACCCAAAGTCATTCAGGAGCATGTTATTCAAATTCTATTTAATGGTATGATTTTAAATGGATTTGTCAGTCTTGATTTCTAATTTGATTGTGTTGTGTTCTGAGAGTGGTTGTTAAGATTTCAGTTTTTTTTTTTTTTTTTTGCATTTGTTGAGGAGTGTTTTCTGTCTGATTTCAGTGCTGATTTCAGGTCCTAAATATCTTTGCTAATTTTCTGCTTCAGTGATCTAATAATATCATTGGGGTGTTGAAATCTCCCACTATTATTGTGTGGGAGTTTACGTTTCTTTGAAGGTCTCTAAGAACTTGCTTTATGAATTTGGGTGCTTCTGTGTTGGAGGCGTATATATTGAAGATAGTTAGGTCTTCTTGTTGAATTGAATCCTTTATCCTTATGTAGTGCCCTTCTTTGTCTTTTTTTATCTCTGTTGATTTAAAGTCTGTTTTGTCTGAAATTAGGGTTGCAATCCCTGATTTTTCTGTTTTCATTTGCTTGGTAGATTTTCTTTATCCCTTTATTTTGTGTCTATGGGCATCATTGCATGTGTGAAGGCACAGAGTGGCAAGCTGCATAAAGAACCAAGAACTATTGGTATTCTGTCTTCAAGATAATACCAATAGAGACAGAATACCAATAGTTCTTGGTTCTTTATGCAGCTTGCCATTCTGTGCCTTTTAACTGGGGCATTTAGCCCATTTACGTTCAAGGTTTGTATTGATATTTGTGGATTTCCTCCTGTCATGATGTTCTTAGCTGGTTATTATGCAGAGGTTTTTTTCTTTTTTTTGTGTGTGGTTACTTTATAGTGTCACTGGTCTGAGTACTTCAGTGTGGTTTTTTTTAGTGGCTAGTAATGGTCCTTCCTTTGCATATTTAGTGCTTCCTTCAGGGATTCTTGTAAGGTAGGTCTGATAAATTCCCTTAGCATTTGCTTGCTGACAGGCATCTTATTTCTCCTTTGCTCATGAAACTTAGTTTAGCCAGACATGAAATTATCAGTGGAAATTTATTTTCTAAGAATGTTGAATATAGTCGCCCAATCTCTTATGGCTTGTAGGGTTTCTGCTGAGAGGTCTGCTGTTAGTCTGATGGGCTTTCCTTGGTAGGTGACCAGACCTTTCACTTTAGCTTAAACGTTCTTTTCCCACATATCCTTTCAGTTGATGCTTCACTTTCTTAAAGTTCTGGACCAAATGTCACTCTTTTTGTGGTCTTCCTGACTGACTCCCCTCCATAAAATGCAATCTTCTGCCATTTTTTATAATTGTTTAGTCCACTCTCCATGTTTTGTTTATTTCCATAGTGTTTATCAACTTATAATACTCACATAATATATGTATTTGTTATCTGTCTTCTCTCTCATCCCCTTTGAGAAGGGTAAGGGCCAGCTTTTTAAAAAATGTATTTTTATTACAATTCTATCACCAGCAACTATAGAAGTACCTGTTACATAAAAGGTGCTTTAAAAAGGTTTCTCAATTTACATTGCTTGCATATTTTTAGTGCTCAGTAAATATCGATTAACAAATGAGAGTAAGTAATGATAAACCCTTTACTAACAAATATAGAATATTGTTTGAAATATTCAAAGAATACAGAGAAATAAGTATATATACATTCCATTTTCTAGATTAAAAAAGTTGTAATCATATTAGGCACAATAATTTGTTTATAATTATATATATTACCGAAATGTAAAGTCAACTAAAATTGGCTGGGCGTAGTGGATCGTGACTGTAATCCCAACACTTTGAGAGGCTGAGGTGGGTGGACCACGATGTCAAGAGATCGAGACCATCCGGCCAACATGGTGAAACCCTGTCTCTACTAAAAATACAAAGATTAACAGGGCGTGGTGGCACACATCTGTAGTACCAGCTACTCAGGAGACTAAGGCAGGAGAATCATTTGAACCCGGGAGGCAGAGATTGCAGTGATCCGAGATCATGCCACTGCACTCCAGCCTGGTGACAGAGTGAGACTCCGTCTCAAAAAAATGAATAAATAAAAATAAAATTTAAAAAGTCAACTAAAATTATGTTTTGATTTTTACACTAAGAAATGGTGCACAAATTTAAATTACTAATATTACTATTTTTGTTACACTACTTTCAGGATTTTTTATTTTGTCATTTTTGAAAATTTAATAAGTATTTAAATTAATATTTAGTTATGCATCTAGATCCAGCAATTTGTTATAACTTGAAATTATCTAATGCAACACGTGTACTATTCTGTGTTCACTTACTCTAGTTTCAAAAGATAATAAATCATTACTTAACAATGCTATTTTAGTATGCTGTTAGTGGCAGTAATTAAATTCTGTGTTCTCCATATATCAATTGTTAAAATGACACCTGGATGTAGACCAAAACAATGCTCAAATGATTTAAAAGTTTTATTTAAATGAATCATTGAATTTTAGCACTAGGAAAAAAGTTTAGATATTAATTATTATATTTGTCTCTTATTTTAGAGCTGTATAAGCAAGGAAACAGTAGTTAGATGACATGGGAAAGCAAGAAACCAAATTTGCCCAGTCTAGATAGAATACTAAAATGTGTTTTACCAATATTAGTCTGTTTTCATGCTGCTGTTAAAGACATACCCGAGGCTAGTGATTATATTTTTATTTCCATTTGCAAACATTAAATTTATGTTAACAAATACAACTAACCATTCAATTATCAGCTTGATACTTCCTCGGTGAAGGCACTGCATTTTTTTCCTGGACAAATATGTCTATTGAGTTTTAATAACATGTAATATACCTTTATTGTAGTTTTATACTATTATGTTAGAGTTACTTTTTTGTTTGCTTTTTTTTTTTTTTTGAGGGAGGTGAGATGAAAGATACTTATCTTCTTGCCAGGTTGTAAATTACTTAATATGATAACATTGATGTCCAGCATTTCTATAATACACTAGTCTTTAGGTTGAAATATGCTGATGAGAAGAATAAATAGAAAGTGAAATAATAGAGTAGTATTTACACCATGATGGAGATAAAAGCAAAATGTTACAGGGGTATTACTGGAAAAAATTGTTAAATTAGTGAGACATATGTGGTGGAATTACAGCAAGTAGGCAAATTCATTCATATAGGATTTTGTATTTTATTTGAAATACTCTTAATTTCTCCATAATATTTTAATGAACCTTCCATCTTTTATTCTGTATTTCCTGACTCCTTTTCTATCCAATTAGTGAGAAACTATTAGCACTAAATATTAAAGAATTGCCTGAAACCTTCTACATTTCATGTGCACAAATGGATGCTCACAGTGTTACAATAGGCAATTTCATTTGAAAGATTTTTGTCAGCCCTTACATCAGGATATATGATCTCTAAAGATGATGAGGACAAATAATTTAAATGGCTTTTTTAAAGCTGAGGGAAAAAAAGCATGCACATATACACACATACCCAATCAGTACTTTTGACCTTAGAAAAATCTTTGGAGGTTGCATAATGAAGTCTATTATAAAATGTACAAGTTAAAAGGGCACTTATGATTCCAAGTGGCTTCTTTTGTAAAGGGGATTCCTTTGTCTGTTCTATATTAATTACCATTATTTTTGCTTGCTGCATAGAATATGTGCTATTTATTCTGCAGAATTCCTGTGCATGGAATAGAATATTACTTTTAAATTGAGTTTCAAATATTTTAATTAAAATAATACTATTTCAAAAAGATGCTGATTGTGTAAAGAATTTTAGTGGGTAAACACTACAGCTATCTTATTTTTAAACAGATATTTGATTAGTATACTTAAATGTAAATCTTTGTTTCTCTGACTGCCACCTATTGGATTTATGCTAAATGGGATTTCATTTCTTGTACTCAGTCATGAAACCTGCTGCATTCTAGTGATGTAACTTTGGTCTTAGGGAATGTCTTTGTCTGGCAGGTTCCTTAGAATAAAGAGCTTGAAGGCAAAATAGAGTTTGATGCTTTATTTATTGTGAAAGATAATCCCAGGACAGGAGAAAGAGAAAAAGGAAGTGGACAAAACTAGGAAGCAAATACAAAGAGATAGGTTTTTAAGTTGTTAATTGCCCAGTCAGGCTGTTTCTGAGACTCAAATTGATAGTTATCCTCTCCTTTCTTTCTCTTGTATTCTAGTATTCCATTATCTTTAGCCAGTAACTTGGCCAGTTTGAGTAGCTTGATGATGGGGTGACCCAGACATTCAATCCTACATGGTTCTTGTCTTTATTGGATTGTGGTTACTGCAATTGTCCACTGACAGTTATTATTGAACATTACATACTACGTAATGGCCCAAGGAAACCTGAGCTCCAGTTGTTATTATTGTTGCCCCATTTTGTGTTTAAAGCCCAAGATCCATATAACAATCCAGAAGGAATACCCTAGCCAATAACAAAACTTTTTTCGATTCCATGGTGAGTGAGATTATATGGTATTTGTCTTTCTGTGTCTGGATTATTTCACTTAGCACTATGTCCTCCAGGTCCATTCAGATTGTCACAAATGATATGATTTCCCCCTTTATAAGGCTGAATAGTATTCCCATAAATGATATATAAACAACTTACCACATTTTCTTTTTCTAATTATCTGATGATGGGCACCTAGGTGGTTTCTAGCTTAGCTATTATAAATAATGCTGCAGTAAACATAGAAGTACAGGTAGCTCCACCACATACTGATTTCAGTTCCTTTGCATTATATGCCCAGAAGTGGGATTGCTGAATCCTATGGTAAATACATGTTTAGTTTTCTAAGGAACATACATACCCTTTTTCATCATGGCTATGTTAATTTGCATTCCCACCAACATTACCCAATAATTCCCTTTCCTCCACACACTACGCAACACTTGTTATCTCTTGTATTTTTAAAAATAGCCACTTTAACACATGGGAGTTTTTATTGTGGTTTTAATTTGCATTTCTCTGGTTAGGGATGATGAACATTTTTCATTTATCTGTTGACCACCTAAATGTACTCTTTTGAGAAGAATTTAGTTCCTTTGCCCATTTTTTATATTGAGATTTCTTTTTCTTGCTATTCAGTTAAATTCCTTATGTATTTTGGATATTAGCTTTTTATCAGATGTATGGTTTGAAAATATTTTCTCCTAATTTCCATTATCCAGTTCCTCTATGAATTTTTTTTCCTTTGCTATGCTTACTTAAAATAATGACGTCTGGTTCCATCTGACACTCCATTTACCCTGATGTCACTATTACACATTGTATGCTTGTATCAAAATACCTCATGTACACCATAAATATATACACCTACTGTGTAGCCACAAAAAGTAAAAATTGTAAGTATTTAAAAAACCCAATTCCACATCTATTAACATCCTTCATGTGCAGGATCATAACCCATTGAAAAGATGGAGAAAGCATTTTTGTAGGTTTGTAAGAAGGTTCTGAGAGCTTTAACTGTTATTCTTTTATTGCAATAAAATGAAATAAAAATGTGAATAGACCAAGAGATTAGCCATCTTGAAGATCATTTTCACATTAAAAAGCTTTGTGAAAGGTGAGTTTAAAGTAAATGTGAGTGGATAGACTTTCTATTGGTACTCTGATCTAAACTTTTAAAGTAAAGTAATGAAGGAAAGAAAAAAAAAATCCCTTCTGCCTGTGAACCTGCAAAACAAAAGAAAAGTGTGTTACTTTCAAGATACAGATGAGGTGCAGACATTGAGTAATTACTTCCATTCCAAAGGGGATAAATCATCCAAAATAAAGGGCTACAGGCCCCATGCAAGTCTGAAACCCAGCAGGGCAATCATTATATTTTCAGGATCCAAAATAATACATTTTGACTCCATGTTCCACATCCAGGGCACAGTGATTCATGGGGTGGGCTCCCCTGCCTTGAGTAGCTCTGCCCCTGTGGCTTTGCAGAATTCAGCTCCTGATGTTACTCTCAAGGGCTTGGTTTTAGTGCTCACAGCTTTTCCAGGATCAGGGTGCAAGATGCCGGTGGAACTACTAATCTGGGATATGGAGGATTGGTGGCCCTCTTCTCACAATTGCACTAGGCAGTACCCCAGTGTGGACTCCATGTGCAGGCTCCAACCCCACAACTGCCCTCTGTACTGGCTCTTTATGAGGGCTGTGTCCCTGTAACAGGCCTCTCCCTGGATATACAGGCTTTTTCATACATCCTCCTAAATCTAGGTAGAGGTTCCGAAGCCTCAACTCTTTCACTCTGTCCACCCACAGGAGTAAAACCACATGGAAGCCTTGAAGGCTTACAACCCCCTGAAGAAGAGCCCTGAGCTGTACCTCGCCCCTTTTGAGCCATGGCTAGAGCTGGAGTGGTTGAGATGCAGGAAGCAATGTCCTGAGGCAGGCTGCAGAGGGCAGCAGGCCCTGGGTCTGGCCCAGGAAACCATTCTTCCCTCCTAGGCCTCTGGGCCTATGATGGAAGGGGCTGCTGCAAGCCCTCTGAAATGACTTTGAGGCCATTTCCCCATTGTCTTGACTATTAGCACTTGTCTCCTTTTTACATACACAAATTTCAGCAGCCTCCTTAAATTTCTCCTCTGAAGATGGTTTTTCTTTTCTACCACTATACCAGGCTGCAAATTTTTCAAACTTTTATGCTCTGCCTCTCCTTTAAACATAAATTCCAACTTTAGGTTATTTCTTTGTTCACACATATGAGCATATGGTGTTAGAAGCAGCGAGGTCACATCTTGAATGCTTTGCTGCCTAGAAATTTCTTCCACCAGATACCCTAAATCATCACTCTCAAGTTCAAAGTTCCCTAGATTCCCTAGGGAAAGGGAACAATGCAGCCAAGTTATTTGCTAAGATATAACAAAAGTGACCTTTGCTTCAGTTTCCAATAAGTGACTCATTTCCATCTGAGTCCACATCAGCCTGGCCTTTACTGTTCATATCACTACCAGCATTTTGTTAATAGCCATTCAATCAGTCTCTAGGAAGTCCTAAACTTTCCCTCATCTTCCTGTATCCTTTTGAGCCCTCCACCCTCTTAAAACTGCTGCTCATTACCGGTTCCAAAGTTGCTTCTACATTTTCAAGTAGCTTTATAGCAATGCCACACTCCAAATTTCTGTATTAGTCCATTCTCACACTCCTATAAAAGAGACCTGACATTGGGTAATTTATAAGGAAAATATGTTTAATTGGCTCATGGTTCCATAAGCGATACAGGAAGAATAACACCTTTTGCTTCTAGGGAGGCAACAGGAAGATTCTAATTATGATAAAAGGCAAAGGAAATGTTAGGTATATCATGTGGTGGGAGCAGTAGCAACAGAGAGTTGGAAGAGGTGCCACACAGATTCAAGATCTCATGAGAACTTACACTCATGACAGCAGTACCAAGTGGATGGTGCTAAATCATTCACGAAAATCCATCCCCATTTTCCAACCACCTCCAACTAGCCTTCAACATTACAGAGTACAGTTAGATGTGGTATTTGGTGAGGACACAGATCCAAACCATATCAACTGCCCTGTGTGAATAATTGAATTAAAGAGGTAGGAAATAAATTTGTTATTTTGTGTTTGTTCTTGATTTTACTATTCTGTAAAATGACTAAGACATAGACTCTCTCACAATAATAGTGGAAAACTTCAACACTCCACTGACAGTATCAGACAGATCATTGCAGCAGAAAATTAACAAAAATATTCAGGACCTGAACTCAACATTGGACCAAATGGATCTGATAGACCTCTATGGCCTCTCCAACCCAAAACAACAGAATATACATGCTTCTCATTGCCACTTGGCACTTACTCTAAAATTGACCACATATATGGACATAAAACAATCTCAGCAAATGAAAAAGAACTGAAATCACACTAGACACACTATCAGACCACAGGGCAATAAAAAGAGAAGTCAAGACTAAGAAAATCACTCAAAACCATGCAATTAGATGGAAATTAAACACCATGCTCCTGAATGACTTTTAGGTAAATAATGAAATTAAGGAAGAAATCAAGAAGTTCTATGAAACTAATGAGAACAAAGATATGACATATCAGAATCTCTGGGGAAAAGCTACAGCAGTTTTAGGAGGGAAATTTATAGCACTAATTGCACATATCCAGAAGTTAGAAAGATCTCACATTAAAAACATAACATCACAACTAAAATACTTAGAGAAGCAAAAACAAATCAACCCTGAAGCTAAAAGATCAAAAAAATCCAGGAGTTGTTTTTTTTAATTAATAAGCTAGATAGGCTGCCAACTAGAATAATGAAGAAGAAAAGAGAGATCCAAATAAAAACAATTATAAATGATGAAGGGAATGTCACCATTGAACACACAAAAATAAAAATAACTATCAGAAACTACTCTACTACAAATACCTCCATGCATATAAATGCGAAAGCCTAGAACAGATAAATATCTAACATATACACTCTTCTAAGACTGACCCAGGAAGAAATTGATTCACTGAAGAGATTAATAATCTGCTCTGAAATTGAATCAGTAATTAAAAAGTCTGTCAACCAAAAAAACCCCAGGAACTGATGGATTCACAGTCAAATTATATCAAATGTACAAAGAAGACATTGTACGATTCCTGCTGAAAATATTCTAAAAAACTGCATCAACTAATGAGCACAATAACCAGCTGATATCATAATTACAGGATCAAATTCACCAATAACAATATTAACCTTAAATGTAAATGGGTTAAATTCTCCAATTAAAAGACACAGACTGGCAAATTGGATTAAAAGTCAAGACCCATCAGTGTGCTGTATACAGGAAACCCATCTCAAATGCAGAGAAACACATAGGCTCAAAATAAGTGGATGAAGGAAGATCTACCAAGCAAATAGAAAACAAAAAAGGCAGGGGTTGTAATCCTAGTCTCTGATAAAATAGATTTTAAACCAACAAAGATAAAAAGAGACAAAGAAGGCCATTACATAATGGTAAAGGGATCAATTCAACAAGAAGAGCTAACTATTCTAAATATATATGCACCCAATACAGGAGCACCCAGATTCATAAAGCAAGTCCTTAGAGACCTACAAAGAGACTTGGACTCCCACATAATAACAATGGGAGACTTTAACACCCCACTGTCAACATTAGACAGATCAACGAGACAGAAAGTTAACAAGGAAACCCAGGAACTGAACTCCGCTCTGCACCAAGTGGATCTAATAGACATCTACAGAACTCTCCACCCCAAATCAACAGAATATACATTCTTTTCAGCACCACACCACACCTATTCCAAAATTGACCACATAGTTGGAAGTAAAGCACTCCTCAGCAAATGTAACAGAATAGAAAGTATAACAAACTGTTTCTCAGACCACAGTGCAATCAAACTAGAACTCAGAATTAAGAAACCCACTCAAAACCGCTCAACTACATGGAAACTGAACAACCTGCTGCTGAATGACTACTGGGTACAGAGCAACATGAAGGCAGTAATAAAGATGTTCTTAGAAACCAACGAGAACAAAGACACAACATACCAGAATCTCTGGACACACTCAAAGCAGCGTGTAGAGGGAAATTTATAGCACTAAATGCCCACAAGAGAAAGCAGGAAAGATCTAAAATTGACACCCTAACATCACAATTAAAAGAACTAGAGAAGCAAGGGCAAACACATTCAAAAGCTAGCAGAAGGCAAGAAATAACTAAGATCAGAGCAGAACTGAAGGAAATAGAGACACAAAAACCCTTCAAAAAATCAGTGAATCCAGGAGCTGGGTTTTTGAAAAGATCAACAAAATTGACAGACCACTAGCAAGACTAATAAAGAAGAAAAGAGAGAAGAATCAAATAGACCCAATAAAAAATGATAAAGGGGATATCACCACCGATCCCACAGAAATACAAACTATCATCAGAGAATACTATAAACACCTCTATGCAAATAAACTAGAAAATCTAGAAGAAATGGATAAATTCCTTGACGCATACACCCTCCCAAGACTAAACCAGGAAGAAGTTGAATCTCTGAATAGACCAATAACAGGCTCTGAAATTGAGGCAATAATTAATAGCTTACCAACCAAAAAAAGTCCAGGACCAGATGGATTCACAGCCGAATTCTACCAGAGGTACAAGGAGGAGCTGGTACCATTCCTTCTGAAACTATCCCAATCAATAGAAAAGGAGGGAATCTTCCCTAACTCATTTCATGAGGCCAGCATCATCCTGATACCAAAGCCTGGCAGAGACACAACAAAAAAAGAGAATTTTAGACCAATATCCCTGATGAACATCAATGCAAAAATCGTCAATAAAATACTGGCAAACTGAATTCAGCAGCACATCAAAAAGCTTATCCACCATGATCAAGTGGGCTTCATCCCTGGGATGCAAGGCTGGTTCAACATATGCAAATCAATAAATGTAATCCGGCATATAAACAGAACCAAGGACAAAAACCACATGGTTATCTCAATAGATGCAGAAAAGGCCTTTGACAAAATTCAACAACGTTCATGCTAAAAATTCTCAATAATTTAGGTATTGATGGGATGTATCTCAAAATAATAAGAGCTATCTATGACAAACCCACAGCCAATATCATACTGAATGGGCAAAAACTGGAAGCATTCCGTTTGAAAACTGGCACAAGACAGGGATGCCCTCTCTCACCACTCCTAGTCAAAATAGTGTTGGAAGTTCTGGCCAGGGCAATCAGGCAGGAGAAGGAAATAAAGGGCATTCAATTAGGAAAAGAGGAAGTCAAATTGTCCCTGTTTGCAGATGACATGATTGTATATCTAGAAAACCCCATCATCTCAGCCCAAAATCTCCTTAAGCTGATAAGCAACTTCAGCAAACTCTCAGGATATAAAATCAATGTGCAAAAATCACAAGCATTCTTATACACCAATAACAGACAACAGAGAGCCAAATCATGAGAGAACTCCCATTCACAATTGCTTCAAAGGGAATAAAATACCTAGGAATCCAACTTACAAGCGACGTGAAGGACCTCTTCAAGGAGAACTACAAACCACTGCTCAATGAAATAAAAGAGGATACAAACAAATGGAAGAACATTCCATGCTCATGGGTAGGAAGAATTAATATCGTGAAAATGGCCATACTGCCCAAGGTAATTTACAGATTCAATGCCATCCCCATAAAGCTACCAATGACTTTCTTCACAGAATTGGAAAAAACTACTTTAAAGTTCATATGGAACCAAAAAAGAGCCCACATTGCCAAGTCAATCCTCAGCCAAAAGAACAAAGCTAGAGGCATCATGCTACCTGACTTCAAACTATACTGCAATGCTACAGTAACCAAAACAGCATGGTACTGGTACCAAAACAGAGATACAGACCAAAGGAACAGAACAGAGCCCTCAGAAATAATGCCACTTATCTACAACTATCTGATCTTTGACAAACCTGACAAAAACGAGAAATGGGGAAAGGATTCCCTATTCAATAAATGGTGCTGGGAAAAACTGGCTAGCCATATACAGAAAGCTGAGACTGGATCACTTCCTTACACATTATACAAAAATTAATTCAAGCTGGATTAAATACTTACATGTTAGACCTAAAACCACAAAAATCCTAGAAGAAAACCTAGGCAGTACCATTCAGGATATAAGCATGGGCAAGGACTTCATGTCTAAAACACCAAAAGCAATGGCAACAAAAGACAAAATTAACAAATGGGATCTAATTAAACTGAAGAGTTTCTGCACAGCAAAAGAAACTACCATCAGAGTGAACAGGCAACCTACAGAGTGGGAGAAAACTTTTGCAATCTACTCATCTGACAAAGGGCTAATATCCAGAATCTACAATGAACTCAAACAAATTTACAAGAAAAAAACAAACAACCCCATCAAAAAGTGGGCGAAGGATATGAACAGACACTTCTCAAAAGAAGACATTTATGCAGCCAAAGGACACATGAAAAAATGCTCATCATCACTGGCCATTAGAGAAATGCAAATCAAAACCACAATGAGATACCATCTCACACCAGTTAGAATGGCTATCATTGAAAAGCCAGGAAACAACAGGTGCTGGAGAGGATGTGGAGAAATAGGAACACTTTTACGCTGTTGGTGGGACTGTAAACTAGTTCAACCATTGTGGAAGTCAGTGTGGCGATTTCTCAGGGATCTAGAACTAGAAATACCATTTGACCCAGCCATCATATTACTGGGTCATTATATCCAAAGGACTATAAATCATGCTGCTATAAAGGCACATGCACATGTATGTTTACTGCAGCATTATTCACAATAGCAAAGACTTGGAACCAACCCAAATGTCCAACAATGATAGAATGGATTAAGAAAATGGCACATATACAACATGGAATACTATGCAGCCATAAAAAATGATGAGTTCATCTCCTTTGTAGGGACATGGATGAAGCTGGAAACCATCATTCTGAGCAAACTATCACAAGGACAAAAAACCAAACACTGCATGTTCTCAGTCATAGGTGGGAATTGAACAATGAGAACACATGGACACAGGAAGGGGAACATCACACACCGGGGACTGTTGTGGGGTGTGGGAGGGGGGAGGGATAGCATTAGGAGATATACTAATGTTAAATGACGAGTTAATGCGTGCAGCACACCAGCATGGCACATGTATACATATGTAACAAACCTGCATGTTATGCACATGTACCCAAAAACTTAAAGTATAATAATAAAAAAAGAAAACCCAGAAGGAGGGACTCCTCCCCCTATTATTCTATGAGGCCAGTACATACACACCAAAAAAGAAAACTTCAGGCCAATATTCTTGATGAACATTGATGCACAAATCCTCAACAAAATACTGGCAAACTGAATCCAACAACACATCAAAAATGTAATCCTGGATGATCGAGTAGGCTTCATCCCTGAAATTTAAGCTTGGTTCAATATACACAAATCACTAAATGTGATTCATCACATAAACAGAACAAAAGACAAAAACTGTATTATTATCTCAATGGATGCAAAAAAAGTCTTTTGATAAAATTCCACATGCCTTCATGTTAAAAACTCTCAACATGAAGGAATATATCCTAAAATAATAACAGCTACCTATGACAAATTCACAGCCAACGTCAGACTGAAGGAGTAAAAGCTAGAACAGCATTCTTGAAAACTGGCACAAGACAAGAAGGCCCTCTCTTACCACTCCTATTTTTTACATGATTCTCCTTGTACAGTTGTAGGCTCCACTGATTCTTTTGAAAATGTGTTCTTTAGTTATTCCTATGAAATATAGAAAGCAGATATCTCAAGATAATAATATTATTTAATGTAAGTTTACATCAAATAATCAGGGTCAAAGGATACTAATCCATAGTATCTTGCACTCTGAATGTTTCTAAAATACACGAGTCAAGGCATAGGTAAGGAAATTTGAGAAAAGTGAACTTTCTTTATGTGATGTCAAGATTATTCTGCTGTGAGCTGGCCTGAGTCAATTTTTACATACTTGTAATAGGTAGCAGGAGTAGCCTGTGTTTGGTGTTGCAATTCTCTGCTATTCCTTCCAGATATTAATGAACAAAATTTGAAGAACCTTTTACTATGCTGGTATTTATTAAACACAGTTTTTCTTTAGCTAGCTGGTATAAAATACTACACACATACTATTCTGGAGGCTTAATTAAAAACAAACAAACAAAAAACTTTAATAACCCCAAAAAGTCACCAAAACTTATTCTGTTATTTTACTTGCTATGTTAATAATTAATCTAAATGATCCATTCTAAAAAGGAAACGTTTTCTAGAAGAAGAATTGTCTTATACTTAAAATTAATATCAACTCACCAGAATACTTAGATTCAATGGTGGACATAGAGCTAAGTAATCAGGAGTCAGCCCTAAAGCTATGTGCAGTAGGGCTTGCAAATTCTTTAGATTTGCTCATTCATAGCAAAAGAGGGTTTCTAAATATCTTGACCAATTTACCTACGTACTGATCACAACAAAAAGATCCGATTTTTATAGCCTATGTTGTATTTAGCAAATCACTAATTTTATAATTGGATAATTCATTACTTATGCTTAGCAAAGCCTCTATCAAATAAAAATATCAAATAAAAATGTAACTAAAATATAAACAAAGATTATGAAGTAGTCACATCTCAAGTAAGAGGTTTCTGCTAAGGATGATGGTAGACAGTCCTAGTATATAGACTTATCTAAAACAAACATGGTGACACATAACATCCACAACAAAGACATAGCTGTATAATTGAATATTTGATCACCTGTGATTTGCCCAAAATACATCACAAATGAGAGGCTTTTTTTTTTCACTTAACCTACATTAGGAAAAATCTGTCGTGGGAAGTGTCAAATACAGGATTTAATACTTAGAGAAAAAGCATATGTTCCAGATATGTAGAGTTTGGAAAATAACTTATTTCTCAGTTTAAAATGAGGAAATTCTAAGACTTGTCAGCTAAAATTAAGAGTACATGACCTAAGCAAAAGTGAACCTAAGGTATTCATTTGAGGCATTAGAGGTTAAAAAAAAAGAAAAGTATTGTAAGGGTACCATGGAGAGCTCCTTCATGGAAACTGTATTTTTCTTTGTATTTGTGTCAGAGGCCAAGGCAGAACCCACAGTAAAGGGAGCAGTGAAATTCACATTTTGGAGACAGAAGAATGAAAAACTGGATTTCTTTCTATTAAACTGTTATTATAACTCATAAGTTTAAGGAAGCAATCAGTAATTTAGATTTCAAACACTTTTAGAGAATACACAAATGGCAATGTTCTCTGTCATTACAGAAATTAAGCATGCTTTTTGTTATCTGCATGAGTCATAATAGAAACAAAAAGAGAAGAAATTCCTCAATAAGGCAAATATATAGCATCCTTTCTAGAAACTGAAGATGTATTTAAGAAACTAACAGTGCAAAAGGGGTTTGCAGTGTCCTGGCAACCTTACCTGACCTTGCCAATGGCCATGCATTTTACCTTAAATAACATATTTAGAATCTTTCAGACTCAATTTCCATTTAAGTAAGATTATGGGACATAAAAGCATGGGTCTATATAAGGTCACTGAGATTCTAGT
This sequence comes from Homo sapiens, assembly GCF_000001405.40. Taxonomy (NCBI): domain Eukaryota; kingdom Metazoa; phylum Chordata; class Mammalia; order Primates; family Hominidae; genus Homo; species Homo sapiens. Next base: position 195,114,175 of record NC_000001.11, read on the forward strand.
ATTCTTTGATTGTCCCTATCTTCCATTTAAATTAAATTTTTTTTTCAAAACTTTGAGCTCTCTGTAGATTGCCATCAATGGCTGAAATCCTGAGAAAAAGTGAAGCCTAGATAGCTGGAATTGCTTGCTAGCTTTGAAAGAGTTTGCCTCTTGGAGAGTTGTATTTCCAGAAACATACAGCAGGAAATTATTGTGCTTAGGTCCTGCCTTAAAGCAAGATAAGGCTTTGCTACTCCAAGAAGGCAGGAAAATAAAATATGGAGTTATGTGATTTTTCTTATCAAACACTGTTCATATCCTCAGTGACAAATGTAATTTTTAAATGGTAGTACTTTAAAGTAACTGGTTTCTTTTTTAAAGCTTTCAGTGTGTGTTTTATTTTTTTATGTGTGTACCTGCAAATTACAAAATTGCATTTATTACAAATTAGCATTAATATTTTGGATCATTAAGGAATATAATATAGAAAAATCTACTAAAGGAAAATACCCCCAACTTGACCTGTAGTTATGGTTAATTTTTGACATATGCTGTTTGTAACTAACACCTAGAGGGATTCATGGCAATTGTCTTCAGAAAGCCTTGATTATTTTGAAATGTTAAATTGAATGGAAGTGACAGTGGGGAAGTTGGCCATTGCTACTTTTTCCTTAACTCACTGTAACTAACATAATTTCAATCCTTCCTTTACTTATCCTTAACTGTATGTGTATTTATTAGGAATGGGACTGGCAGAACTAGAAAATGTATAGTATTATATTCCACGTGGTAGTACAATATATTAAAAATGCAGTCTCTTGCAAACTGAAATGATCCTCTCATCCATGTAGTATATTTCTGCTTAAGGCTATATTCTAGGCAGGTAATAACAATTAATAAGAAATGAAATTAAATTCTAAATAAACGGACATTTAAGGGTACAACAACTGCAATTCAGAACACAGTTATGTATTTATACTTCATGTGACATTATAAGACATGAGTTATTTAATTACACATGATATATAAATAAATGCTTACATGATATATTAAGTAGAACAGAGCATTTTAAATTTTGTAATTAAGCCTATACATATACAAATTTGAAATATGTATCCCTGTCAATTTGCTATTATTAAAACATCATTTTAATATCATTCTTCCATGAATATCACAGCATACTATTACTTGTTTAAAAATTTTATGTCCTAGCCAGGCGCGGTGGCTCACGCCTGTAATCCCAGCACTTTGGGAGGCCCAGGCGGGCGGATCACGAGGTTAGGAGATGGAGACCATCCTGGCTAACAAGGTGAAACCCAGTCTCTACTAAAAATACAAAAAATTAGCAGGGCGTGGTGGCAGGCGCCTGTAGTCCCAGCTACTGGGAAGGCTGAGGCAGGAGAACGGCGTGAACCAAGGAGGCGGAGCTTGCAGTGAACCAAGATAGTGCCACTGCACTCCAGCCTGGGCGACAGAGCAAGAGACTCTGTCAAAAAAAAAAAAAAAAATTGATGTCCTTTTTATTCCAAATAGTTTTAGTGGTCCAGGAACAACCTTAGAATTTGTATTTAGAGATAAAAATATAGTTTTTGAAATTAGGGAAATCTTTATTTATAAATTTTGAAGATAAATGAGGAGATGTCATTGTAATTCTAACTTTGTTGTTAGAAATTTTCAATAATTTTATTCTGTAAAGACAACCATTAACATAGTAAAATAAATTTGCATCTTATTTTTGACAGGAAAATATAAGTTACAAATACTATACATATTGTAATTGAATTTTAGTATGAAACACTTTATAGAAATCATGAAACAAAACAATTATGGTACTGTTTCTGGTTATAGGTTAGTAAAAAATTTGACTCTACTTTCTAAGTTTCAATGTTAAATTTTATACAATGTACATTTTAATAGGAATAATTGTTCAAATATCTATGTCTATTTTTAAAGTCCAAATATCATTTTTAACACTGTAAATGAACTCTCTATGATTCTACTCAGTGAAGTGTTTCAAATGTCAAATCATTATTAATTACTTCACATATTTCAATCTCGAATCATTTTATAAGAGTGAGGAACTGTTTAATTTCTAATTCCAACATTGTTAGAAATAATATTAATATTTCATAGAGCTGTATCTTTACTTTCTTTTGGGCTAATTATATATATGTATTAGTATTGACTATAAAATGCCAAAATTAGACTATTTTATAGAAATAACATATTTTACTGTTATGCAACACTACATCTAGCATATCGCCCTATTTCAATCATTTAAAATTTTGTAATTACTGTATACTTCTCCCACAGATTAACTCTCACTATTACATAATAATAAATAGCAAATTATATTCTGTATAATGAAATGTGCCCTTAAGCAATAAATTACATTTTTTGGTGTTGATTTATTTAAAAATGAGTGCATGTCAATGTTCTCCTTAATATAAATGATGTGGATTCAGATTATTTCTTAATTAATCAGTAGTTTCACTTGGACATGAGGAAATGTTTATTTTTATTCCAAAACAAAAATAAATTTTTTAAAAAATCTATGGAAATAAAAAATTGTATTTAGTATTTGGAAATGAAGTTTGTGACACCATCAGACAACCTAAAAGCTATTAAGGTTCAAACGTTTGTTTAGAAACATTTTGAGAACTATTATATATTACAAAAAAATCACTTTTTAAAAGATAAAAAAGCATGTTATATTTGTAATAACAAATACAACAAACATTTATTTAATGTCTCTATATTTAAAAGCAAGAAACTATCTTTATACACCAGTAAAAAAAACTCAGAAACCTCAAACTAAAATAGATGAGGACATTAAAAGAAAATTTACAGGACATAAATAAATCAATGAACAATAAAAAAATGGAGAAATGTGAATATAACATGTGACAACCACATTCTAAAAATTAGATACAATTTTTTTAACATATGAGATTTTCAAATATTGCAAATATATTTTATCCAGTATGGTAACCATTCATAAATTTTTTACAAGTAGGAAATAAATGCAATTTACTAAAGTTCATTTAAGAAGCATTTTCAAAAATAGGCTGGCCAAGGAAGGGCCTTCTGATGTCATGACCATAAAGCTAAGGTCTGAAGATAGAAAAGAAAACCTGCGGTGTAAAAGATTGGGTGACAGTGTGGACAACTTCTGAGTAAGAGATTGTTTTCTTCTAAGAAATATTAGAAGTATACTGGAAAATACTGAGCAAGAGAGAAAATGGTTTATATAAGTTAATACAGATACATTCCGTTGTAGAATATATTTTTTATCTTGTCTTAAATTTTATTCGTATATATTCTAGCTCTAATGTAGGTACATACGTTTCTAAGAAGATATGAAAAAGAATGTTTTCCTCTAGCTCCCTAAGAACCACAAAAGTTAGTATTTTTGCTCTGGGGAAGAGCAGCCCAGGATTTTTTAGCATTACAACTATAAACCTGAGTTCTTCATTCAACCATGTTCTTTGCCTGGCTCAAGCCAGATTTTTAGACGTGCCGAGAATAAGCAAAAGTTCCTAGTGGAAAATAATATCAGAGATCAGCTCATTTTAGAAAATTTTGAGAGTCTGAAATTTTAATTTGTATTATATTTCTTGCTTACTTAGCTCTCTGAGGCCATTGTTTAAAAAATAAATATAGTTGAATAAATAATGTTTTTCCTAGTTGTTACAGCAGAAGTTATTATTTTCCAAATCATTCTGACTACAACTACAGCCTTCTTGGAAGCAAAAGTGCAAATTAATTTAGTTTGTAATTATGAAATTCATAAATATATAAAGTTTAGAGATAGCACATATATTGTTATGGATTTTAGGAAATGTACATCTTTTTACCTAATATTTAGGAGAATTATTTGTAAGCAGTGACTAGTATAATCTGAAACACATATTATACTGACTTAATGGTGATTTGCCTATATTTTTTACTTACTTTGTTACCACCAATATTTGTTTTCTGTTAACGTGCGTGTGTGTACATGTATACTTGTGTATGATTCCTCTTAAAAAATACAGAGAAATAATTTGACCAAATTTTACCTACGTTCAATAAAGAAATTCAATACTGAACAAAGAAGAAAATTTTCTTCATATAATTAATAAAATATAAATATCATCTATAGCAAATATACTCAATGACAAAATATTGGAAAAAAAATTCCCTAAGAGGAAGACTAAAAAATTACATAAGTCTCTGTGCATCTTATTATCATCTGTTTATTTGTGAAAATATATTGAGATGTATAATTATTTGTACATGGTTTAATACAACTAAAATAAGAAATACTGAAATACAACTTATATTTTTCAAATAATTATGGATAATTAAATTTTTAATTATAGAAGAGTGCTTTCAAATATAGTAAAAATATGTATTGAAAACCTGTTGAAGTTAATAAGTGAAGTGAGTAAAATCTAGGATTTGAAATCAATGTTAAATATTAATAGTATATCTGTATACCAACGTTACAAATGGAAAACTAAATATACAAAAGCACAACAATAGCAATAAAGCTATTGAAGTATGCATATAATGTCTCTAGTGGGAACTAAAATACATAGCTGAGAAGAATTAAATAGGGTATAAATAAATGGAGAATTATACTATGTGCATAGATTCAAAAAATCAATAAGACAAATAATAGTTGAAGGAAATTTAAAGAAGAAAAACTATGCTCAAGAATTTGCATTGCCAGATAAGACAGTCTGTTAAAAATCGTGCTAATTAACTGTATTACTGAAAGCATAGTTAAATAAACTAAGGCAATAGAATAGAAACTATATACCGTCATCTATTCATAACAAAGATGACACAACAGTTCAATGGGTGAACCTATAGTCTTTTTGGTAAATAACTCCGGGTAACATTGAAAAAAATATATATTGGTCCCTAAACCATATACAAAATTCAAACTCAATGGATTGCAGATTTAAATATAAATGTCAAAACACTAATATATTTGTATCTAAGAGATACGTAAAAACATCTCTGTGATTCTGGAAAATACAAAGTTTTAGCAAACATGAGGCAAAAACTGCCAATCATAAAGCAACATTTTTAAACACTGAATTAAATTAAAAACTTGTAATTTTGTTCACCAGGAGATACCATTTAAAAATGAAAATATAACCCATATAATTAAAGGAGATATTTTCAATGCACATAGAATAAAACATCTTACATCGAAGATATAAAAGGAAATTTTACAAATTAATAATATTTTTAAAATGAGCAGAGAACATTAAGAGGTACTTCACAAAAGATGAGCTCTAAATGACTGAAAGCAATACAGTACATTTGCATAAAATGCAAAGGTAGCAAACTAATGTGCATTCTGAGAAGTGAGATACTGTAAAGTCTATTTTCACTACTTTTGGGGAATCGTAACTGGAAGGTAGTATTCTGAAGCTAGGGATGACAGATATTCTGTTTCTTGATCTGAGTGCTGATTGCATGTATGTGTTTATTTGTGTAACTATATTGAGTTGAAATATTGTTATAATTGCTTTCCTCTGTGTATATTATACTTCAGAGTTAGTAATAGGAGGCATAATATTTAAAAAATGGCTAAAACAGGCAGGGCACAGTGGGTCACACCTGTAATCCCAGCGCTTTGGGAGGCCGAGGTGGGTGGATCACCTGAGGTCAGGAGTTCAAGACCAGCCTGACCAACATGGTGAAACCCTTTCTCTACTAAAAATACAAAAATTAGCTGGGCATGATGGCTAACAGAAAGTTAAAAATGGTCAATATATTGAAATCATAGGAAAATAGAAACAAATCCACAGGTGAATCAGAAATTGAAGTTATAAGACTAGAATTTTAAAATAATTATGACAAATATATTTAAGTATGTCTATTGTCACCATATCTATTTAATTATACTGGAATATCTAGTCAGTACAATAAAAAAGAAACAAAAGGTATAAAGATTGGAAATAAGTACTTCTGTCATTAGTTGTAAATGATATGATTGTGAATGTAGAAAATATTAGCCTATAAACAAAACAGTAGAAATAGTAAGTGAATTTATCAAAGCTATTGGATACATGGTAAGTATTTAAACATGTATTTATGTACACTAGTAATCACACTTTGTTAATTAGCTGAAAAACGTACCACTTGAAATAGTATAAACATCATCACATATCAAAGAATACATCTAATAAAAGATGAGCAAAAACCGTACATTAAAAACTTACAAATATTACAGAGGTAAATTAAAATAAACATAATAAATGAAGAACTATAACATATTCATGGATTGGAAGACCCAAGGTCGTTAATATGTTAATACTACACGTTATTCTATTGATTCAATTGACTTCTTCTCTAAATGCCAGCAGGCTTTTGAGGGGAGTTGACAAAACTAAGTCAAATACACACACACACACACCATAAAACAGCTAAGATAATTTTCAAAAAAAAGCATGTTTGGTGTACTTGCATTGCCAGAAACGTGATATTGGTGTAAAGACAGGCAAATGGACCAATCAAAGAATAGAGTCCCAAATATTCACATGAACTCATGGTCACCTAATTGGTGATCTAATTCAGTAGAAAAAGATGGCTATTATGTTAAATGATACTGGAATAATGGGATATCACTGTAGAAAAAAATAAACATAGTAAACCTTTCATGTTCTTAAATATTACATACAACCACAAGTACCAACTAAAAAGTTGATTTGACTCCATCAAAAATTTATTCTTTAAAACTTTTTAAAGTTAGACATTGGAAGGGTAAGCCACATGTTGGAAGAGTGTATTTCCAATATAACTTGTACATAAAACACACAGAACTTCATGACCAGTAAGAAAAATATGGAAGACCCTGGGTAAGTGGGCAAATGCATAGAGCACTACTTCTAGGATGTTTAAATGATTAATAAGCAAAAAGCTGTTCAATATTATTAGTTCTTAGGAAAATGAGAATTAAAACCATCATAAAGCACAGCAAATGCATTGAAACGGCTAAAATTAGTAACACAAACTATAATTATTGGTCAATGTATGGAACAACTTGGATTTCTTACATTTCTGGAGAGATTATAAATTGGCATAACCACATTCAAAGAATGTTAAATGGTATACGATTAAGGTAAACGTACTCCTATCCTCTGAGAGGGCAAATTAACACATAGGTCCATGCTCAAAAACAATGAAATGCAAATGTGCACCAAATTGTGTACAAAAATATTTATGGTATGAAGACAATAATTGGGAACAAATCAAAAAGTTGTCAACATAGAGAGAAAAAGTAAATTGCAATATTTTCATAAAGCAAAGTTAACTACATAGCTATAGAAATGAAAAAAAAAATCTGCTACGTGTAATGACTTAAACACAACTCAGACATAGCTGATGAAGAAAATCAGGAATAAAACGATGTATCTTCTATGATTTTATTCATTTTTAATTCAGGAACAGGCAAAATTAATCCACACTTATAGCCAAAAAGGAGTTATATTTGGGTAACTGATATTTTCTGGGATTTGTGGAGATTATAATATTCTACATTTTAATCTAAATGGTTGTTCCATAATACATTCATATGTAAAAATTAAAAGACTTTCAAATTTAAGATTAATGTCCTTTAGTGTTCCATGAAGAGATGTTGTACCTCAGCAATTGTTCACTAAAGCAGTGTTCATTTAATAAATATGAGACAAATATCTGAAAGTTGAATGTTTGATAAAATGATTTAAACATATATCAAAAGGTAAGATTTTTTTGAAACTTGCAACTTGGATAGAAAATAAATTATGTAGTTATATTTATTTTCAATAATAAAAATAACAAATTGTAACTAGTCCAATAAATATTTCCAATTTTCTAAAACAATTTTACTCTTTTTTCCTTACAGTATGAGCATTATTCATTATTAATAAGTAATCTTTGCCTGCTCATTTCTTTCATAGAAATTGCTCTCTGAATCTTACTATTACTATGTGTTTTTAAAACTATATAACTTTTATTACTTCTTAATCTGACAATATCTGAAATGGTCAGAAGACAGAGATAAAGAGGTACACTTTTTTTTAACTTGTGGTGCAAACATTTGACACTTGACATATAGATCTATCCTCTAAATAAATGTGTGAATGTATAATACAGTCTTCTTAACTATAGGCACACTATTGTACAGATCTCTAAAACTTATTCATTTGCACAAATGAAAGTTTATGAAATTTTAGAATCCCCCATGTGGTTCCATTTTTATAAATAACTTTTTAATTTTAATTATAGGACTGGGAAGGCTTTGATTTGTAATTCAGCAAGCTTTCAACTCATTGCTGAGCAGCAATTCCCTATTTCCCTCTCCCCAAAGTGCCTGGCACCTACCATTCTACTCTCTGCTTCTATGTGCTTGACTATTTTAGATATCTCAGTTAAATGAAATCATGTGAATGTGACTGGCTTATTTTGTTTAGCATAATTGTTGCAATCTGCTTAGTCCCTGGTTCAGCTAGGTTTGAGTTCTTGTCACATGACCAAGAAGAATGAGGCACAGAGACAAAAGAGAATGAGTAGAATTTATTAGGCTGGGACTATCCCTTCTCAGCAGACATCCTGACTCAAGGGGAAGTTCTTAACCACATTTATTCCCAATAGCTGTAGAGGTGGTGCAGGTGTTGTCCCATGGTTGTTCCCTTGAACATCGCCTTTCTCTGTCCTTCTTCCAAGACGCTCCCTCTCTATCTGCCTACCCAGCCCTAACTGCCTCGTCTGTCATAATGTTCTTAATTTTCGTCCATGAAACTCAAGAATTTCTTTTTTAAAGGCTGAATAATATTTCATTGAATGTGTACAGTATTTTTTCATTTTCCACTCATGCATCAATGGACCAGGTATTTCTATATCTTGGCTATTATGATTAGTGCTGCAATAAATGTGGGAGTGAAAATATCTCTTTGAAATCCAGATTCAATTATTTTGGATAAAGAGCCAGAAGTAGGATTGATGGATCATATGGTAGGTCTACTTTCAATTTTTGACGAACCTCTAAACTGCTTTCCACATTGGCTGCACTGTTTTATATTCCCATCAACTGTGCACAAGAGTTGCGATTTCTCCACTGTGCACAAGAGTTGCGATTTCTCTACATCCTTTTAAACACCTCTTTGATACTATAGCAAAAGTCTGTATTCTAAAGAACTCATCATACTTAAATGGAGCTATTTTCTGGAAAATGTTACCCCACTGATTAACTGTATATTTATGATATATAGATATAAACAAATATGCAGATAAAACAGAGTAAGTGCTTTATTCCTTAAAGTCAGTAGTTAGTCTACTTTAAGATCACATTTGTTAAGACAGAAGAAATTAATAGAAAGAAAGATTGGGATGGCTAGCTTAAAATACTGGTTGAGTTACAATGGCTTAGCAGTTTCCTTCGATAAAGTATATTATTTATTTTCCAGCACTGTTTCAATGCTTGCTGCAATTTTAGCTGCTTGAAGTATTAAAATTATAGTCCCTATAGTCAATAATTCACCAGCTATATTACAGAAAAATGTAAGTGTAAGACCTGGGGTTTAGGTATTATTTTCCAAATCCTGTCTTGAGACGGCATTACTTTTCTGAATATTCATATATATTTTATTATATTGTGAAAGCTATATGTACTGTGTGACTAGAGATCAGAGACATAGTCTTTATAATATATTTCATAGACTGCCACACTAAGATTATCTTACTCTTGACAAATATCAATGCCTTGTATTTTGTTATAAATCCATTGAAAATATAATACTTTTCTGAAAATATATCTCAATCTGTGTTTATGACCGTCCAGGTATGAAACAAGTATACTCTGATTACACCAAAAAAGAGTTTATGGCTATTACATCATTTTCTTATTTGCCCTTGATGTGATTTTTGAAAAAGGAATCAATACATCCATGCTCGAAGTGTTGCAAGTACATGGATTAGGTAGGTGAACTCATTAATTGCTGCAATTCTTTTTATTATGCATCTTTTTAAGTATAAAACTATGTTGTATAACATATCAAAATAAAGAAATATTTTAAATCATAACAATTCCCAAAATACCTATTTTTGTTTAATATAGCTTTATGTTTGTGTAAATATTGATGACTCTGAAATAAATACAGCAGAATAAGTCTATGGGAACTGTCTTGAACTTGTTTCTTAAATAATATAGTTCAAAATATTTATTTATTGTACTGTGTGCACTAGGAACTTGGAGAGAATTTTGTCTATTGTTATTTTTAAGTAAATCTATACTTTATTATGTGCATATATTTTATTTGGTGTCAACCATAATATTTGTCTTCTTGACAATTCTCCTCAGTAAAACTAGATCATGATACTTTTGGAAAATATTGTTTGGGGAATTATAATTATTATTCCTACAATTGGAGAAATAAGACTCATTTTTATATCATATTTTAGTAAAAGAGAAAGGGTATCCAAACGTGAGTTTGTATTTAAACATAAGTATGTGGCATTTTCTGGAAAAAATTTTCTGAAGTGTATGAATAATTACAAAAATCAAATAATGCTTAAGATAAGTTAGATTCCTCATGCGTATATCCTTTCAATTTCTAGTGTTTATTATGGCATGCTCAAAATTACTCAGAATATTTAAGGGGTTAGTGTTATGCCAGAGGGAAATACACATGTACCAGTTTCTCACAAGTATTAATAATGGGAGTGAATCCTGGGACATTTTCAGACACAGTCTTTCTAGGTCAGGGAACCAATATGAAGATTCAAATCCTGAAAATAGAAAGTTCACTTAAAATCTAAGTCAGAACTGCATTTGTAATTACTGCCTTTAATTAGCACCTTTCTCTGTTCAAGTAGCACAGTGTTGTTTTAATAGCCAAGGAAATGTATATGTATAAACTAAGGCCAAAAAGACCTCTAGAAGTCTTGATAATGCCATTTCGGTTAAATGACCTCTGATCTCTTTTGAGAAGACAAGGAGAAGACATATTGCTGTGGTGGTTTATAGCATCCTTTCTCAATGAGACATGACTTCCTGTTCATTCAACTAGTCTATGACTGTTTCAAGTCAGGAAATTTTTCTCGATTGAAGCTATTCAAATCGGTCACCGATTCTCAGTTCTAGGAATTTTCATCTGCACAATTAAAGGAGAATTTTGGGGCACTCCATCTGTTTCAGTCTTCAGCATATCATGATCCATTAGCCACTGACAAAAACATTTGCAGGTTAAAACATTCTGCTTACTAAATCAACCTTCTTTTCATTCTAGTAAGCTTGCCTACGTTGTCTCCAGTGCCAAAGATATGCAGCTTGCCTTTTGTCACTTCAGAAATTTATGTCACTGAAATCGGGAAACCCATTTGAACAGTGGCATCTCTCACAATTATATTCTGCTAGTAGTGGGGAGACATTGCAAAACTTCTCAAAGATATTATCCCCACACCGTGCCATATCCTCAATGCATTTCCTAATGCCTTTTGAAGGAATATTTTTTTGGTCAATCCACGTAAAATGCTTTTTTGGATGTTAAGCAGTTTGCAGGCACATGGATAGTCCTATCTCCATAAGCTTTGTGATTCCTTCCCATATATTACATGGAGCTGTGCTACTTCAAACCCATTTAATATAGGCCATGTATGAATCTGTGCTTAAGTTAAACCAAACTTATTCTTCATTTCTAGTTATCAAGATAACATAATGAATCTACAGTCCAGAATTTCTATGTAAGTCAACCCATTTGGATAAATTCATCCTGATTCAATGTTATGCTCCTTTTTGTTCCTGATCTGACATACTATATCCCTGCATGTATTCCCATGATTCTGACAGCATAATTTTGTAAACTCATACCAGATTTTCAGTTTGTATGCTACATCCCAATACAGACTTTGTAGCTGCATCTCCACTCACCCCCAATGAGATCTACTTGGATTTAAATTTAATTATTAGTGATGTAGCAATGAGAGGTGACTGAGGTAGGTTGTGAGGAGAAATGTTTATAAGACAATTGCCAAAGGGAGATTGTTAAAGATATGTCAGCAGGGAAACTAACCTGAGAATGGAAAGGAGAGACTACTTCTCCAACTGAGGAAGTTTAGAGGGAAGTAGGGTTTAAGGCACATAGACCCATTAGAATCCCCCATGTGGTCCCACTTTTATAAATACCTTAACTTGTTAATTATAATTAAGGACAGGGAAGGCTGTTATTTGCAATTCAGCAAGCTTTAAACTCATACATTGTGTCTAATTTTCTGAAATATTTGTATTGTGTCTTAAAAGAGCCAAGAACTTATTTCAAGGAAGTATAGAAAACCTCTGATTCTCTGAACATGATTGGAAATGTGAATTTAAATTCATGAGATTCTCCTTTTCTTTCTGTAATCTTTCTAAGGCATTCCAAAGGGGCTAATGCAAAACAAAGTATTTGAATTATTATTTATGCCATAATATTTTATTGTACCAGTCAATTGTCTCTCACTACCTGATTTTCAACAAAAGCAATAGAAACTTTATTTCATTCATTACCTTCAGATATTTTATACATGTATGTATGTGTGTGTGCGTGTGTGTGTGTATATATATATACGTACATATACACATACACACACGCACACACACATACACACAGTGTTACCACATGCTACATTTTCAAGAATCCTATTCTTTATTGCTGACAATTTAATTCCTGTCTTCAAATCCATTCAGGTCGGATTACCTACCACAAATTCCTATCTTTGAAGCTGCATTTCCTGGAAATATTCTCAATCCTAAATAACATATTAGCTATGATATACTCAGTGAAACATAATACATTCTATTTTGAATGGCTTATTTATGCCAGAGTCTACACAATTGAGGTTAGTCTTTCTATTGATTTCTGAGAAAAAGTGTGGAAGTACTTTTATTTAGCTTTTACAATATGCTCAGAATTCCAGGGAAAGTAGTACCATCTTCAGATTTCTTAACAGATATGAAATAAGCCTACTTTCCAATATTTAAACAGTTGTAAATTGGGTTGAAATTCAGGTTTGGTCTCACTTTGAAACATCTATTTTTCGTGATAAAATTGAGCCTCATTAATTTTATCATATTATGTTCTAGTTTATTTTCTTCTCATGTCCACTGTTCCTAGAAATAGATTGCAATCCTGTCAGGTGTTAATATCTTTCAAGTTGTTGTTTTTTTTTTCCTAATAATTTGGATAAAAATGAAGAAAAGCTGGGGGCAAATACTAGAAATAACCATTGAAACTATGGCAGTGGGCAACCCAGAGACAGAATTACATGCCAGAGACAGAATTACAACCCAGAGACAGAATTACATTATCAAAAACAGAGTTGAGAACTGAGTCTTGAATTATTAAATTCTTAATACGTTTGAGCTAAAAATATTTTTGTAATTATTTTCCCTAACAAATTTTATTAGTTCATTCCCACACTGCTTTAAAGAACTGCCCAGGATTGGATAATTTATAAAGGATAAAAGTTTAATTGACTCAAATTTCAGCATGGCTAGGGAGGTCCTAGGAAACTTACAATCATGGGAGAAGGTGAAGGGGAAGCAAGGCACCTTCTTTTCAAGTGGCAGGAAGGAGAATGAACACAAGAGGAACTACAAAACATTTATAAAACCATCAGATCTCATGAGAACTCACTCATTATCCTGAGAACAGCATGAGGAAAACTATCTCCATGATCCAATTACCTCCACATGGTCTCTCCCTTAACACATGGGGATTATGGGGATTATAACAGTTATAATTCATGATGAGATTTGGGTGGCTACACAAAGCCTAACCATATCATTCTGCCCCTGGTTCCTCCCAAATCTCATGTCCCTTTCACATTTCAAAACCAATTATGTCTTCCCAATAGTCCCCCAAAACCTTAATTAATTCCAGCATTAACCCATAAGTTCAAATACAAAATCTCACCTGAGACAAGGCAAGTCCATTCTACCTAGGAGTCTGTAAAATCGAAAGCAAGTTAGTTACTTCCTAGATGCAATCAGGATATAGGCATTGGGTAAATACACCTGTACCAAATGGGAGAAATTGGACAAAACAAAGGGGCTAAAGGCCCCATGCAAGTCTGAAATCCAATAGGGCAGTCTTTAAACCTTAACGTTCCAAAATGATTCCCTTTGAATCCATGTCTCACATCCAGGTCACATGGATGCAAGAGATGGGCTACCACCACCATAGGCAGCTCCATCCCTGTGGCTTTGCAGGGTACAATTCCCTCTTGTCTTCTTTCACAGACAGACATGGAGCATCTGTGGCTTTTCCAGGTGCATGGTGCAAGCTGTTGGTGGACCTACCATTCTGGGTTCTGGAGGATGGTGGCCCTTTTCTCTCACTTCCACTAGGCAGAACTCCAGGAGGGACTCTGTGTGGGGCTCCAGCCCCACATTTCCCTAATGCAGTGTCCTAGCAGAGGTTCTCCATGAGGACTCCACCCCTGTAACAAACTTCTGCCTGGATATCCAGGAGCTTCCATACATCCTCTGAAATTTAGGTGGAGATTACCAAACCTCAATCCTTGATTTCTGTGCACCCACAGGCTCAACACCACATGAAGCCCACAAAGGCCTGGGGCTTGCAACCTCTGAAGCAGCAGGCTGAGCTATATGTTGGCCCCTTTTAGTCATGGCTGGGATGCAGGGCACCAAGTCCTGAGACTGTACAAAGCCACAAGGTCCTGGACTCGGCCCACAAAACCATTTCTTCTCCTAGGCTTCTTTACCTATGATGGGAGAGGCTGCTGTGAAGGTCTCTGACATGCCCTGGGAACATTTTCTCCATTGTCTTGTGATTTACAATTGGCTCATTGTTACTTATGCTAATTTCTGGGGCTGACTTCAATTTCTCTCTAGAAAATGGGTTTTGCTTCTCTTTTGCATCCTTAGGCGGCAAATTTTCCAAACTTTTATGCTCTGTTTCCCTTTTAAACATAAGTTCCAATTTCAAACCTTCTCTGTGAATATATAAAACGGAATGCTTTTAAGAGCACCCAGGTTATATCTTGAACACTTTGCTGCTTTGAAACTTCTTCTGCCTGATACCATACAGCACCTCTCTGAATTTCAAAGTTCCACAGATCTCTAGGGCAGGAGCAAAACGTCTCCAATCTCTTTGCTAAAGCATAGCAAGAGTGACCTTTGCTCCAGTTCCCACCAAGTTCCTCATCTCCCTCTGAGAATACCGCAGCCTGGACTTCATTTTCCATATCACTATCAGCATTTTGGTCAAAGCCATTCAAGAAGTCTCGAAGAAGTTCCAAACTTTCCTGCATCTTCCTGTCTTGTACTGAACCCTCCTAACTATTTCAACCTCTGGCTGTTACCCAGTTCCAAAGTTGCTTTCACATTTTCATGTATCTTTATAGTATCACCCCCCTAACTCAGTACCAATTTGCTGTATTAATCCATTTTCACACTGCTATAAATAACTGCCTGAGACTGGATAATTTATAAAGTCAAAAGGTTTAATTGACTAACAGTTCAGCATGGATGGGGAGGCCTCAGGGAACTTACAATCATGGAGGAAGACAGAGGAGAAACAAGACCCCTTCTCCATAAGGTGGCAGGAAGTAGAATGAATGCAGGAGGAACTACCAAACACGTATAAAACCTCAGATCTTGTGAAAACTCAGTCAGTACGGGGGAAACTACCCCCTTAATCCAATTACCTCTACCTGGTCTTTCCCTTCACACTTGGGGATTATGGGAATTATGGGGATTATAATTCAAGATCAGATTTGGGTGGGGACACAAAGCCTAACCATATTATACATAATATTCATTGTAACTTTAACAGATACCTATTTTTCCTCATACTGTTGTAAAATGCCTGCTATAGAGTAGATGTTTAAAACCAATGTGGAGTTAGTGGAATTATGCTTCATTGCTTATTAAACAATATCATATTTCAAATATTTAAAATGTTTTCAACTAAATCATATGTAATTGTGATCATTTTAGAAGTAAAAAAAAACCATGAGTTTAACATTGTAATTGCTTATTATTATCAAAGAACCTCTCCACCCAAAAAATATTATTAGAATTTATTTTTATGCTTTGAATATAATATATTCCATTGTAAATTTTATATCCAAGAGAAACTCTTATATATCTATATCAGAAAACCGTAATGAAAAAAATGCATAGTAGTGTTGTTTATAAAAACAAAAATTATAAACAACCAAATAATTTTTACCAGATAACATATAATGAAACCATATAATAGAATATTACAAATCAGGAAAATGAAGAAACCATAGCTGTATACAGAAAACTTACACTGTTGAGTGAAAAATTATGTATCAGATGATGACTATGTCAATTATATTAACAAGAGGAACAAGAGAGCACTGTCAAGTTAGAATAATTTGAGGAGGATATACTTAGGAAGCTGGAGCTGTGGGCTATTAAATAGGAGAGAATTGCAACCTGGGACCTAGCAGGTGCAGGGCCACTACTTCCTTTGGAGACTGGCTCTGTCACTTCTATTTATTACCCACTAGAAACTTCTGTCTTAAGTCTAGGTATAAAATTTCAACTTCTTTGCATTTTAATAAAGTGGCAGTTTAAACAATAACTAGCTTTAACATCTTTTATTTTGATTTAAAGAAATGCATACTAGACAAAAATGGCAGAAACTGCTTTTGAAAGAAGTAAATATTTTCCACTCAGAATGTTAGGTGTTTTTAGATACTTTTTTTTTTTTTTGCTTTTTCCATGAAATTAAAGATTAATTTACAGATTTGGAATATAAAGGCTTGAGAAAAATAACTGAACTGCTCATTTAACTATGACAAGCAGAGATATTTAAGTCCAGGTTATCAATATTCAGTTTGAGTAACATCAGTAAAGTTAAAAAGACCATCTCAAGTTTACAGTATTTTAACTGATTTCCGGTTTTCATAAAATGGTTTAATACTAATTTTAATACATTATTTTCATAAATTCAATCAGATTCAAAGGTGACCAAATTATTTTATTTATATGCTTTAAGGATGTCTTAGTGTTTCATGTACAACAAGAGATTCAATAGTTTTGTAAACCTAAGGAAATAAAGAATGTGAAGAAACAAAATAGAATCAAATCTGTAATTATGTCTTGCTGTAAATGTGCTACATATATAGTCTAAAGTCTCAAAAGAAAATGTGAATTGTCTAGCAGGGCATAGTGGCACATGCCTGTAATCCCAGCTACTTGGGAGGCTGAGGCAGGAGAATCGCTTGAACCAGGGAGGCAGAGATTGGAGTGAGCTGAGATTGTGCCACTACACTCCATCCTGGGCAACAGAGCGAGACTCCGTCTCAAAAACAAACAAACAAACAAACAAATGTTTCTACCTGAGGACTCTTGTATCTCTGTATGCTTCTACTGTTTTTTTCTTGGTCTTTCTCATTTAGTCTTGTCTTATGGAATGCATAGTAAACTTTTATCTGCCTCCAAAAAAAGGGAATTGTATAATAAATATAACATGCTTAATTAAAATCGTTTAAGAAATGTGATTTTCTACTTCATTCTACACATTTTAAATCTTTTTTGAAAACAATGTTTGAGGACATGTACTCAAATTAGAGACCACTGGAAGGAAGAGCAAATGAGTCACTCAACATTTAGCATTTAAATTCTTAAATATTCAGGCTAATATTGATCCAACCCCATAATCCACATTCTGTAGATTTATGTTTTCTAGATATACACCTAACTAATGATTTCTAACATGTGTGATATTAAGAACTCTGAAATACTATCCTAGATTTATCTGTGCACAGTACTACAGTTTCTATGATAAATAATACAGTTATGTTTTTTTCAATTAGCCAATGACATTTTAGAATTATATTTTGCCAAGAGGTCCTTATTGACTGGATTCAATCAGATTCCACTTTATTTTGATCAGCTAAACGAAGAAGTAATATTGGCTTTACCTTTTAACGAGAGTATTCCGAAATGGTTATTTTGTTGGCTAAAAAGGGTTTTTATTCATAGGAATGCATATATATTTATATATGCATATATATAATGTATAAACATATAATGTATACACATGTATACACATATAATGTATATGCATGTAACATATGCAAATAGTATATTTTATATACATACATGTGTATATATAATGTATATAATGTAATATAATGCACTTATTGCTACATTTTAGTTATCTTTCTATGTAATATATATTTATAGATATATATAGTTTTATATACATATATATAAAGTTCACTGCAGCCCTGATCTCCCAGGCTCAAGCAATCCTCCCACCTGTCGCTGGGACTGCAGGTGTGTGCCATCATGCCTGGCTAATTTTTTTGTTTGTTTTTTGTAGACACGGGATCTCACATTGTTGCCTAGGCTGTTGTTGAACTCCTGGGTTCAAGCCATTCTCCTGCTTCACCTTCTAAGGGGTTGGAATTACAGGGGTGAGCCACTGTGCCTTTTCCTAGCCCATAACCCAGAACGAGAAATACCTAAAAGCTGTCTCTACTTTAAAATTAACAGGAAAACAATGATTCTGGATTTATTTATATAAGCATTTATATATACATATATGCTTCTATATTTACATTTTCTTTGCAGTATATGTGCATTTATATATATACATATATATGTTATTTCCATATATATACACATATATATGTTATTTACCCAATCTGTTCATTTACTTCCTCTCAAATCTTCTTAAATGCACATTCCTAACCCATGCTTATTTATATGTTTATTTATTTATTTATTCGGAAGTTTTTAAACATGTACTGCATGTCATTCGATGTGCTAATTATTAGAAACACTGAGATGAATAAAACACCGTCTTTGTGTATCATATGACAGACAGTCATGATACTATCCCTTAAGTGTTGTAATGGAAGCATAGCATGGTTGAACTAGATATAGAGAAAAAATATGTCTTTTTTGATTACTCATTCTGTACTAGAAGCTACTGCTACATTTTAGTTATCTGTAAGTGGCATAGAACAACCCGATTTATTATCCCCAGCATCTACAGCACAGAAGTCTTTGTGTGGCACAGCTGATTTTTTGTTCAGGGCCTCCGCAGGCTAAAATCAAGGTGTGGAGCAAACTGTATTTGCATATACTCTTCCAGTATCATCCAGGTTGTTGACAGATTGTATTCCTTTTGTTGTAGGTCTGAGATCCCCATTTCCCCACTGGGTGTTGGCCAGGAGTCACTGTGTTAGCTTCCAATAGTCTCACTCAGGTCTCAACCATGTGGCCTTCTCATAAGATTCTAGCTTATGTTTTTAAGGAGAACAGGAGGAACTCCCGCCAACCTGCTGCCTGTTTCAGATACAAGGGAATTTTATATGTTTTGTGCATATTTTATTATTATTTCTACTAGATTTGCTGTCTACAATGTTCCCTTGAAATTAATATGGAAGATAAACTTATGTGTTCTACAATGGAAGTAAGGAAATCAACTAAATAAAAAGCTATCATAATAATCTTATTAGAAATGGTGATGGACTTAAGTAATACGAATAGAGGTAAAAAAAAGTAGTTTTCAAATCAAACTATTTTCTTTTCCATAATGTCTGATATTATTAACCTCTTCCAGTAACTGAGAACACACATTCTTTGAGGAATAAAGTAGTAAGTAGAAGCTCAGAGACCAATATAATCTATAGACAGTAGTATACTCACTGCTGTCTCAAATTTCCTTACACATTCCAGTATTATTAAACTCATATTTCTCTTAAAAAAACTTGACAAGTTAACTTTTGAAATGTACTAGCAATGTGTGGAAGATGACATATGAACATTGTCAACATATTTGGGTATGTGTGTATACCTTTATCCATAAACAAATAAAAATGTATGTTAAGCATGCAAATTTTAATTAAATTTTCCTAAGAAACTAACAATACAAACAAAAATAAACCTTTATGTATAGCATTAAATATTTTAATATTGGTAAGAAATGAATAGAGAAAAAACACATTTTCTGAAGGACATATATTCAGTTTTAAATGATAAGCCTTCTGGTTTCTTTTAGTTGGTTAAGCCCGCAAAAGGGAACACTATAATAAATTACATTTTATTGCACTAGATTTCAATAACATAACTTAACTTTGAAAGAGGTATTATAATTTTCAGGGTAATTTGTAGACATTTGTTCAAATATCTTAATTTCTAAAGATTTATTACCATGATTTAAATAATTTTGAAACTTTATATTAAATATATTAAATGGATATATATTTGTTTAAATAATGCTGTGTTTTGAAAATGCACTAGAAGTAAAATAAGACACAGATTCTACTCCACAATAGGAGTAGAATAAGAACCAGAAAAAATGATAACAGCAACCAGTATACTAATAATAGCAATCGTGGCTATGTCATTGAGGGCTTAGTACATATAAGATACTGTTCAGTATTTTGCATAATTAGTATCTATCTACAAAGTAAAAATTTCGTAAAATATCTTGTTGTTTTCTCAAAATAATATGAAAGATTTTATCCAAATCCTTTATTCGAAGAGGGTAAATGAGAGTCAGAAATGTAGAGTAATTTGGTCAATATTTCACACTATAGTGTAGTTGTACAATTATGGACTCTCTGGGCAAGAGAATGTAATTTTTGGTTTCAATTATCAAAAAATGTACCATGGAGTTAAAAATAATAGACACCTCATAGAATTGTAAAGAATGTTTTAAAAATGTAATAAACATATTAATAAAATTCAAAATGCATAAGAAGTATAGGGAATTGACAAATATTAATTTATAATACAGTAATTCAGATACAGTAAGTATCTGAAATATAATTATGTATTATCTATATATTACTGGAATGCATATAAAGCATTATAGTGCACATACATATTTGCATATTAAAAACATAGCAAAAATTATGAATTCATAGGGATATAAATATAGAGATACATGATAATAGCATTTTATAGTTTATGGTAGAGTATCTAATATTTCCTTTTAATTATCAAGACTATTAACCAGAATTAAAATGTAATTGTTGTAACTTCAATAGCATTTACTATTTTTTTTTTTTTTTGAGATGGAGTGCAATGGAGCAATCTCAGTTCACTATAACCCCCGCCTGCTGGGTTCAAGCGATTCTCCTGCCACAGCCTCCTCAGTAGCTGGGATTACGGGCATGCGCCACCATGCCCTGTTAATTTTTGTATTTTCAGTATAGATGGGGTTTCACCATGTTGGCCAGGCTGTTCTCAAACTTCTGACCTCGTGATCTGCCTGCCTCAGCCTCCCAAAGTGTTGGGATTACAGGCTTGAGCCACTGTGCCTGGCCACATTTACTATTTTTATATTGCCATTACCACTCTCAAGAAAGCAAGCACACATTTTAAACTTTCTTTCATTTACTTTTTAAATTCTTGACATGGGAGTGATGTATTATATTACCTCAAAAGTTTTGTTTTGCTCGTTCATTTGATGGTAATGATTTTTTGATGCAGAATATATCACATGTTTTCGGTTGTCCTTATATCTAGGATTTATAAAATTTTTCACTTACTGTTATTTACATTTTTGAATATAGGTTGCTATTTATATCAGTTTTTTGTTTTTTTGTTTTTTTTTTTTGAGACGCAGTCTTGCTCTGTTGCCCAGGCTGGAGTGCAGTGGCGTGATCTTGGCTCACTGCAATCTCTGCCTCCAAGGTTCATGCCATTCTCCTGCCTCAGCCTCCCAAGTAGCTGGGACTACAGGTGCCCGCCACAATGCCCGGCTAATTTTTTTGTATTTTTAATAGAGACACGGTTTCACCATGTTAGCCAGGATGGTCTCGATCTCCTGACCTCGTGATCCACTCGCCTCAGCCTCCCAAAGCGCTGGGATTACAGGCGTGAACCACCGTGCCTGGCCTATTTATATCAGTTTTAACAAATAATTTTATTTTGATGTAAACTGTGGATGGCGCATTTTACATTGACACTATTTTCTGAAAAAATATATGTAAAAAAACTAGTTTGGCTATTAGCAAATTACTATATTTTCAATCTTTCTACTTTTCATTTATATTTAACTTGAAGAAATATAAATTTATCCTTCTATGTTGACACTTTGGGTCATAATGTATAATTTTGTGTCAATGAATATATGAATTTTCAATTCACCTGTGCATTATTAGGGCTGACTTTTTAACCTCTAAAATGTGATAAGGGATTAACTTTCATGATGAGAAATATATTTTATATCTCAAAAGTTTAATCTATGCTGAACTTATTTTTATTCAAGACAACTAGGAAAAGTCTAAATATTTTTTCTATGAGCTTGCCATCATTTTCATTACATGAGTAGATAAATAAACATAAATCTGGAAGAATGTACAAAATCAATTAACTAAACAAATCATGCATGTAACTCAAAAGATGTAAATTCTAAACGCTAAAAATGCATTCAACCAAAAACGTTAGGTTTGCTGACATTTTAATAATTCTTATTTAATATAATTTTTTATTATAACCTTTTAACCAAAGTTCATTTCAGTTTCAAAGGAGATAAATGTGAGAATTCTGATTCGTAATTATTTTTCAGTTTTTAAAAATGAAAAGGATATAACATTTTTAGATCAGTGTTCATATTAAAACATAGCTCAAACTTCTCAAATGTAAGATAAATCACTAAAATAATAAAAATGAAATATTTTGTAGTTATTTCACCTTCATGCTTCTTGAGTATAAGAATTAAAATATAAAACTTTATCAAACATCTATGTGTTTGAAATTACTTAATACAAATAGAATGATTGCCAATAAAAAGATAGTGAAACTGGGCCAATACTCTCATGGACTCCTCTTTTGGATAAACATAGAAATTTACCTCCTGCTATCAAAGCTTGAAATTTGCGTTTGTTTTACCTGAAGTCCTTCCTCAGGAAAGGACCTTCAGGCCTCTTGAAAAAAGTATCAAAGAACCAAAACTCACTAAATCATGGCCCCAGATGCCTCCTTGCCTCTCCCTAGTTCTGGTTTTCTTACACATTGTTACATTTCTTTCCTTATATATAAGCCCCTAGTTTTAGTCAGTGAGGGAGATGGATTTCAGACTGAGCTCCCACCTCCTTGGCTGCAGCACCTGATTAAAGCCTTCTTCCTTGGCAAAACCTGTCCTTTTAGTGATTGGCTTTCTGTGCAGCAAGCAGCAGGACCTAGACGATACCCCTGATGTTTCAGTAACAATAGAGCTTGGCTATTTAAATCTTTATAATACAATGAATATTTAAAACATTATTGAGACTTCAGTATTTTCTTGGTCTGATTATCCCCACCAAGACTGTGAGAACAGTATCATACACCCTATTAATCAAGGCCTTGAATAAGTATTTTTTTCTGAACTCTTCTTAAGGTACTTAGTCAGCAATTAGTAAGTGACCTCTGCCTCCAGCTGACATACAGAGATTGTTAAATGGCCATGAATCCAGTAAGTTGCCAATAAAATTTTCCAGTGGGCTCAATTTACTCTTCCACAGAACTGGGACTTAAGTTTCTGAATAATATAGTAAGGTTTCAATTAGTTCAATAAATTTTTAATAAGCACAGCTTATTAATAATAAGGATATCTTATATTTGAGGCTTTTTTTTAGACAGCATAGAAATAATAAGTTCTGATTTTTTAAAGAAGGGAGTTTCTATAGGCATGCCTTTCCTATTATTCAATTTGACCTTTGTACCATTTTATGGAAGGCATGATTATAATGACTATTTCTCCTTAATTTTTCTTCAATATAATAATTAAAGCAACCATTTTCAACAGCTGAGACTAATTTCCTCATCTTGTATCTCTATGTCCTTCTTTGTGTTCTCTTGGGATTAACAAATTGATTTTACTTCCCACCATACAATATTGTTCATGTTTCCTGTTGTCAGTTATGTTCAGAGTTCACTGTTGAGGATCTCTAAAACATCATCTGAGATATTAATCGCATTGTAAGTTCCAGGCTGAGTCTTCAGGTGAAAATAAACTCTTAAGAGGCAGAAAAAAATAAACAGGCTTCTGAATCTATGCTCCACTTATTTGAATAATTTCAATTTTGTTGTCTGTATGCTTTTGATATTAGTTATTCCCCAGTATGGATCCCCACTGGGACCTCGACTCAGATCATGGGGACTGGAGTTGCAAACATCTATTGACCTGTGTTCTAGAAGGACTAAGGAGAATTAGGAAAAAGCCTACGAATTATTCAATGATGTCCACCATAACTCAGGGAAAGGAAGAAAATCCTTCTGCCTTCCTCGAGTGGCTATGGGAGGGCTTAAGAAAATATACTCCCCTGTCATCCGACTCACTTGAGGGTCAATTGATCCTAAAAGATAAGTTTATTACCCAATCAGCCACGGACATCAGGAGGAAGCTCCAAAAGCGAACCCTAGGCCCTGAACAAAATCTGGAGGCATTATTAAACCTGGGGACCTTGGTGTTCTATAATAGGGACCAAGAGGAACAGGCCGAAAAGGAAAAGTGAGATCAGAGAAAGGCTGTAGCCTTAGTCATGGCCCTCAGACAAACAAACCTTGGTGGTTCAGAGAAAAGAAAATTGAGCAGGCCAATTACCTGGAAGGGCTTGTTAACAGTGTGGTTTGCAAGGACACCTTAAAAAAGATTGTCCAGTGAGAAACAAGCTGCTCCCTCGCCCATGTCCACTATGCCGAGGCAATCACTGGAAGGTGCACTGCCCCAGAGGACAAAGTTTCTCTGGGCCAGAAGCCCCCAACCAGATGATACAACAACAGGACTGAGAGTGCCCGGGGCAAGCACCAGCTCATGTCATCACCCTCACTGTGCCCCGGGTACATTTAACCATTGAGGGCCAGGAAATTGACTTCCTTCTGGACACTGGCACGGCCTTCTCAGTGTTAATCTCCTGTCCTGGACAGCTGTCCTGAAGGTTTGTTACCATCTGAGGAATCCTGGGATGGCCTGTAACCAGGTATTTGTCCCACCTCCTCAGTTGTAATTGGGAGACTTTGCTCTTTTCACATGCCTTTCTTGTTATGCCTGAAAGTCCCACACCCTTATTAGGCAGGGACATATTAGCCAAAGCTGGAGCTATTAGCTATGAATATGGGGAACAAGTTACCCATTTGTTGTCCCCTGCTTAAGGTGGGAATCAACCCTGAAGTCTGGGCATTGGAAGGAACGAACTCAAGCTCCAGCCCTAAGCCTTCCCACAGGAAAAACTTCTCTTCATACATCACAGAGAGAGGAGGAATAGCTCTTGGAGTCCTTACTCAGACTCATGGGACAACCCCACAACCAGTGGCATACCTAGGTAAGGAAATTGATGTAGTAGCAAAAGGCTGGCCTCACTGTTTACGGCTAGTTGTGGTGGTAGCTATCTTAGCATCAGAGGCTATCAAAATAATACAAGGAAAACATCTCACTGTCTGGACTACTCATGATGTACATGGCATACTAAATGCCAAAGGAAGTTTATGGCTATCAGACAACTGCCTGCTTAGATACCAGGCACTACTCCTTGAGGGACTGGTGCTTCAAATATGCACCTGTGTGGCACTCAACACTGCCATTTTTCTCCCAGAGGATGGGGAACCAATCGAGCATGACTGCCAATAAATTATAGTCCAGACTTACGTCACCCAAGAGAATCTCTTAGAAGTCCCCTTAGTTAATCCTGACATTAACCTATAGACCAATGAAAGTTCATTTGTGGAGAATGGGATATGAAGGGCAGGTTATGCCATAGTTAGTAACAGTACTTGAAAGTAAGCCTCTTCCCCCAGGGACCAGTGCCCAGTTAGCAGAACTAGTGGCACTTACCCAAGCCTTAGAACTGGGAAGGGGAAGAAGAATAAATGTGTATACATATAGTAAGTATGCTTATCTAATCCTACATGCCCATGCTGCAATATGGAAAGAAAGGGAGTTCCTAACCTCTGGGGGAACCCCATTAAATACCACAAGGAAATCATGGAGTTACTGCATGCAGTGCAAAAATCCAAGGAGGTGGCAGTCTTACACTGCCAAAGCCATCAAAAAGGGGAAGGAGAGGGGAGAACAGCAGCATAAGTGGCTGGCAGAGGCAGGGAAAGACCAGCAGAAAGGAAAGAAAGAGACAGAAAGTCAGAGAGAGAGAGGAAGAGACAGACAGAGAGAAAGAAAGAGACAAAGAAGAAGTCAAAGAGAGAGAAAGAGAGATAGAAGTAGTAAAGAAAAAACATTGTACCCTATTCCTTTAAAAGCCAGGGAAAATTTAAAATCTATAATTGATAATTGAAGGTCTTCTCTGTAACCCTATAACACTCCAATACCACCTTCTTGGTGGTGTAAACAAGGGCACAGCCTGAAAGCACTGAGGCTACTGTCAACCCATAGACTTCCTATCAAAAATCCTTAACCCTGCAGGTTTCCTAACAGGGGATCTAAATCTTAATTAATTACCATACAAGGGTCTGACCAGATCTAGGAAGAACTCCCTTCAGGACAGGACGATAGATGGTTCCTCCCAGGCGATTAAGGGAAAAAGACACAATGGGTATTCAGTAAGTGATAAGGAAACTCTTGTAGAAGCAGAGTTAGGAAAATTGCCTAATAATTGTTCGGCTCAAACGTGCGAGTTGTTTGCATTCAGCCAAACCTTAAAGTACTTACAGTATCAGGAAGGAGCCATCTATACTAATTCTAAGTTAATATGGACTGAATGAGGTCTTATTAATAGCAAAGAATAATTGAAATCCCAAATTTACAAGGTTTTCAACAAAAGTAAAGTGTGCTAAAAGTTAACAGTGTAACATGTATTATCCTACTACCACACACTCTCAAAGGATTTCTCAGACAAGAAATAACAGAACTTATCTTTACTCCACAATCCGAAATAGACTCTTTGGCAGCAGTGACTCTCCAAAACCACCAAGGCTTAGACCTCTTCACTGCTGAGAAAGGAGGACTCTGTACCTTCTTAGGGGAAGAGTGTTGTTTTTACACTAACCAGTCAGGGATAGTATAAGATCTGTCCAGTGTTTACAGGAAAAGGCTTCTGAAATCAGACAATGCCTTTCAAACTCTTATACCAACCTCTGGAGTTGGTCAATTATGCCTTCTCCCCTTTCTAGGTCCCATGACAGCCATCTTGCTATTACTTGCCTTCGGGCCCTGTATTTTTAACCTCCTTGTCAAATTTGTTTCCCCTAGGATTGAGGCCATCAAGCTACAGATGGTCTTACTAATGAAACCCCAAATGAGCTCAATTAACAACTTCTACTGAGGACCCCTGGACCTTTCACTGGCCTAAAGAGTTCCCCTGTGTAGGACACTACAACTGCAGGGCCCCTTATTCACCACCATTCAGCAGGAAGTAGCTAGAGTGGTCATCGCCCAATTCCCAGCAGCAGTTGTGGTGTCCTGTTTAAAGCGGGTATTGAGAGGTGAAGCCAACTGGACTTCCTGGGTTAAGTAGGGACTTGGAGAACTTTTTTGTCTAGCTAAAAGATTGTAAATGCACCAATCAGCACTCTGTAAAAACACACCAATCAGCACTCTGTAAAATGGACCAATCAGTGCTCTGTAAAATGGACCAATCAGCAGGATGTGGGTGGGGCCAAATAAGGGAATAAAAGCTGGCCACCCAAGCCAGCAGCCAAAACCCGCTTCTGCTTGATTAATTCTGCTATTAAGAGATTCTGGCTCATTCTTCATTGTGTCAGTTGCATTTTTTCAACTCGAGAATTTCTGCTTCATTCTTTTGAATTATTTCAATCTCTTTGTTAAATTTATCTATTATCTTTAATTTCTTTGAGTCTCCTCAAAACAGCTATCTTGAATTCCCTCTGAAAGGTCATATATCTTTTATTCTTTAGGATTTGTACCTGGTGCCTTATTTAGTTTATTTGGTGAGGCCATGTTTTCCTGGGTGGTGTTGATGGTTGCAAATATTCTTTGGTGTCTTGACATTGAAGAGTTAGGTATTTATTGTAATTTTCACAGACTGGGCTTATTTAGTCTGTCCTCCTTGGGAAGACTTTCCAAGTATGTGAAGAAAGTTAGCCCTGAAACCCAATAATACTATAGTTTTTGCAGACTTTTAGAGGTACTGTCTTGTTGATCTTGGATAAAATCTAGAAGAAATTTCTGGATTACTGGCAAAGACTTTATTCTTTTTCTTTGCTTTCTCCCAAACAAATGGAGTCTCTCCTCTCCTCTCCCCTCCACTCCCCTCCCCTCCTGTCCTCCTCCCCTCTGCTCTCCTCTCCTTTCTCCTCCTCCTCCTTCTTCATCTTTTTCTTCTTGTTCTTCTTCTTCATCTTCGTCTTTATCTCCTCTCTCTCTCTCTCTCCCCCAAACCACCTGAAACTGGGGGTGTGGTCTATGGCCACCACGACTGGTACTGCACTGGGTTAGAACTGAAGCTAGTACAGCACTGGGCCTTGCCCAAGGCCCTTTCTTTCAGGGTGGCAAGTTTTCCCAGGAATTGCAGTCCTTGTGTCCTAGACTACCTTTCAAATTTACCTAGGACCCCAAAGCACTTCAGCCCACATTGGTGAGGCTTGCCAAGAAAATGAAGTTCAGGCTGGGCATAATGGTTCATGAACGCAATCCTAGCACTTTGGGAGGCTGAGGCAGGTGGATCACTTGAGGACAGGAGTTCGAGACCAGGCCAACATGTTGAAACCCCACCTCTACTAAAAATATAAACATTAGCTCAGCATGGTAGCATGCACCTGTAGTCCCAGCTACTTGAGAGGCAGAGGCATGAGAACCTCTTGAACCCTTGAGGTGGAGGTTACAGTGCACCAAGATCATGCCATCACACTCCATCCTGGGTTACAGAGCAAGAACCTGTCAGAAAGAAAGAAGGAAGGAAAGAAAGAAGGAAAGAAGGAAAGAAAGGAAGGAAGGAACGAAGGAAGGAAGGAAGGAAAGAAAGAAAGAAAGAAAGAAAGAAAGAAAGAAAGAAAGAAAGAAAGAGAAAGAAAGAAAGAAAGAAAGAGAAAGAAAGAAAGAAAGAAAGAAAGAAAGAAAGAAAGAAAGAAAGAAAGAAAGAAAGAAAGAGAAAGAAAGGAAGGAAGGAAGGAAGGAAGAAAGGGAGGGAGGGGGAAGGAAGGGGAAGGAAGGAAGGAAAAAAAGAAACTGAAGTTCCCACCACTGGGATGAACAATTTCCCTCTGGCTAGGACTGGTCCAAATGCTCCTTCTATGTGTGCACAGGTGCTAAATGAGCCCAGAACAGTTTTATTATCTACTTTGACAGGGAAGTACTGAATTCAACATAAAGTCCTCCGGTCCCTGTGCTCTCCCCCACAAACTGCACAGATTCTCTTTCTATGCCACATGGCTACTGCCAGGGAATGGAGGACAGGTGGTGTCTGCAATTTAAGACTGTCTCTCCTGCCCTTCTCAATGCCTATTTTCATGATATGAAATTAAAATCAGATACTGTGAACTGCTAGTCTTGGGGTGAAAATTTAACTTTAGTTGGGAACCTTGAGGAAGAGGAAGCTCTGTGTTCTTAGATGTAACATCCTGGACCAAAGCTTCTGTTACACTAATCTGGAGGAGAAAGGGTAGGAGCATGTTGTGGTTCAAGTGCCGTAGACTCTCATCTTTAATACTGAGATTTAGTCATTTTTTATGAATATGTGTTTATTTGTTGTTAAGTCTTAGGACTATTTCCAGAAAGTTCAGTTTATACATAAACCTGTTAAATGTGTATTTCAGTAGGGAGAAGGTATGCCAAGCTGCCATTTCAGAAATCTTTGTTCTTTTTCACTGCAATGCTGAACCATTGTGTATCTCTTTAGTTCCCTAGTTTTTGCATTTTGTTATTTTTTTATGAGACTCTTGACCACCAAACATAAGAAAATGACAAAAACCTTATGGAAAAGTAAAGACACAATATCAAGCACACCTGTCAGAAGCTTCAGGGTTTTTCTGGCGTCTTGACCTCTGAAATCTAGCACACTTTCATATCCCTGATCTCCAATGTTTGTCCAGCCACATAAGGCTGCTATAGTTTTGATCTTTCTGCCTGACCTCCAAGCTGAATATCAATTAAGAATCAGCAGTGTCTCAAAAAAACAAGCAGCAGAGAATATCATGTTCACTTTGCTGTTTTTCTCTCCTCTGTGCTACATTGACCCTTAAATCTCAACTGTCTTGGATGCTTTTTAACGCCTTCAAATGTCAGCATTTTTGGATTTCATCTAGTTTTTAGAGTTGCATTTATTGTGTTTCTGTGCAAATCAGTCATAGGCAGGGTTCACGTCTATCTAAAAAATCTTAAATTAAAAAATGCATCTTGAAGCATTTTTATAGATAAGTATCTGAAATATGTCATGTTAACTGTGTTAATCTCGTTAATGTACCTATTATTTTGGCACAGAGATTTTTTTTTTTTTTTGAGAGTCTCACTCTGTCACCAAGCTGGAGTGCAGTGGTGTGATCCTGGCTCACTGCAACTTCCACCTGCTGGGTTCAAGTCATTCTCCTGCCTCAGCCTCCTAAGTAGCTGGGACTATAAGCATGCACAACCACACCCAGCTAATTTTTGTATTTTTAGTAGAGAGGGGGTTTCACCATGTTGGCCAGGATGCTCTCCATCTCTTGACCTCATGCTCTGCCCACCTTAGCCTCCCAAGAGATATTTTTAAATAAATATTCCAATTTATAATTAAATTAATGTTACATGCTTACTAGGAAGTTGTTTCAATTATCACTCTTTTTTAGATGCTGGCTGCTGGTGTTATGATTATCTCAGGTGATTGAATAATATCAAAATTTGGAAAAGAGATGTAGCAGAAAGAATGTATTTTAGGCATTTCCATTTAGTTTTGTTTAACTCAGAAAATCATGTGATTCAAGGGTGAATTTTGTTATAGCTTTTCACAAAATTCTCACTTCAATTGAATTGCATGCACTGTGGTCAATCAATGTGTTAAACTGGATTGTTATTTAAGTCTTCAAGGAGATTGGGTTAATTCAGTATTACTATGAAAAGTTATTGTATAGAAAGGACAACAGAGCAGAGAAGTATAATTTGTTATAATTGAAGCAAACATTTGTCTCTGAAGAATGACTATAATTCCACATTTCCTTGAAAAGCCAACAAGCATTTTATAGTTACTAAGAAAAAATATATACTTATAGGTAGATAAAACTGTGTTATGTTTTATTGCAGAGATACATACACAGGAATTTCCTATCATATGCTAAGATAGGCAATGATGCAAAAAGAATGAGAAAGTCCATGGAATAAATAATAATATTAAAAAAGAACAGAAATAAGAGACAAGAAGAGTTCATGAGTTGTGCAGGGTTCTTTTTCGAAGAATCGTATCATACTTTAATTGCATGAGTTTTCCTTCTAAGTTGTATATAAAATAACTTTGCATCTTAATAATGGATTGTATCCTCAAATATATGAAATGTGTTATTGATCTATAAATTCTTCTCTGTGCTTAGCATACAATGCCTTGTATATCAACATGCTAGATAGATGTTTGTTCATGTTTGAATTATGAGGTTTCTCGCTTGTACTTAAACAATGACTCCATACTTACTGTCTTAAAAATAACATATTAAAATTATCCCTTAACTTAAAAGTTTAAATCATTAAACTTGCACATAATGTTTTATGTGAAATTTACATTATGTGTTTAATGAATATTTGATATTTTGAATTCTTTAAAAGATTTAGAAAAGATCAATAACATATACTGGAGGTCTTCAGAAAATGTTTTCATTATTTAAGGACAACAAAATCTCTGATTACATTTTTGACCATTTTTTCAGCAAAGACATATAACTAGTATTTGTTTGTAAGTTTCTGTTGATAAAATGCTGACAAGGAAACTGTCAAGCCACTGGAGTCAGTTGTTCACAAAGCCAACATTTAGAAAACACTAAATTTTTCCTTACCATTGATTTTCAAAAAAATATTTTCCTATGATATTTCTTCATCTTATTTGGAGAACTTCAGAAAATGTGGCAAATATTTTGGAGGTTATGGTTTGGATAAAAGAACTATTATATATATATATTCTATTATGTATATATAATAATCTATTGTATATATGAAACTACTATGAAATAAAGAGTATGAAATTATAGCTTTTAAGCCTGCTACTTAGTGGAGTGATTTTGGGCTAAACAGTCTGTTTTTTCAGAATTCACTGTGTTCATCTAAAACTTAGGATTTGGCTGATAATTGAGTTCTCATACTTCCAACCGTATCTGTTGTATTCTCTCTCTTTTGTTATAATCTGAATATAGTTATTTAAATTCTTATTATACATCTCAGAATATACTTTGAGAGTTTTTACAATAATTATAGTGTTTGGAGGATAAAGGCACCCAAATGAGAAGTCATTGTTTTTCATCATTTACTTGGATAATTAACCATGACTATGTGAATGTGTTGGCAGCAATTAATTGTTAAGACAGTGGAATGTCCATTATAAAAATTATATAACATTTTTATTCTAGAAAATATAGGAATAAGGGAAGGGATGGCACACAAAATGTAAAGGAAATTTTACAATCCAAAATATATTTCACCAATAATGCACTATATAGGGGCCTTTGTTATATTTCTCAGCATAATTTTAGATGGAATAAGCAGAATTTGCAACAAATTCCATTTTAACATTTTTTTTCAATCCTTTGTATAACTTAAGGAAAAATTTATGTAGCAAACTTATAAAAACAGCTTTTGGTCTGCAATAAAATGTATATTAATCCCGCTACTAGTCAGCATCTGCTTTGGATATAGAATGCTGAAATCATGTAGATCTTGAAGTGATGCATATAGATCTTGAATTGAAGTGATCCAATTATTTAAGAGCCATTAAACTGACCTAATTGGGTTGCTGTAGAAAGATTAGACTAGCTTTTCTGCAATCCTGGATATAAAGTGTGTATCTATCTGCAATTTAAAAAAGAAAAAATATTTGAAGAATCATTTGACTATCAGCAGCCAAATACCTTGCATATTATGTCTTTCATTTCACTTCATAATTGTAGATGTACGTGATGCATCTCACCCTTATTTCCTTTATTTTTGTCTATGTGTCTAATAACTTGGAATCCAGAAGAGCTATTTGAATAATTTGTCCCTCTTTCTGGATAAACCAAATCATTACTTGACAAAACAAGGATGTAACTCATTAATCAGTAGTGCCTACATTTGAACATGTCACAATGATCTTGAAATGTCTGACCATGCTGCACTGCCATAAGATAGTTGACTGAAATAAAACATGTATTTTTGTATGCTTTTGAAACTTGTAGTCTGCTGGTCTGAATTTTTTTAAACTAATGTGGTGAATATAGCATAATGAAACTTATTTGGATAAATAGCAAATTGAACTTATTCATTGCTGCTATGGAGTGTTTGATTTATTATAATCAAAATGTGATTCTTAACATGTTTTGCAGACAACATAATCTTAAATATGGAAATCTCTAACGACTCCACTGAAAAGCTATTAGAACTAATAAAAATATTCAGTTAAGTCACAGGATACAAAATCCACAATAAAAAATCAAAAGCATTTCTAGGCAGTGATTGATAGTTAACAGAAAAAAATTAAAAACGTATTTACAATAGTTACAAAAAATAAAGTATCTAGGAATAAACTTAACTAATGAGGTGAAAAATCTCTACACTGAAAACTATAAAACATTGATGAAAGAAGTTGAAGACAATACAAATAAATGGAAAGATATTTTACATTCATGCACTGAAAAAATTAAAATTGCTAAAATGGCCATAATGCCCAAAGTGATCTACAGAGTTAATGCAATTCTTGTCAAAATATCAATGACATTATTTATAGAAATAGAAAAAGAAATTCTAAAGTTTGTATGGAACTACAGAAGACCCTGAATAATATACTAAAATAATCTTTGAATAGCACAACTTCACTGTATTTACTAAAGACATACCTCTCATTAAGACACAAAATTATGA
Organism: Homo sapiens; assembly: GCF_000001405.40. Taxonomy (NCBI): domain Eukaryota; kingdom Metazoa; phylum Chordata; class Mammalia; order Primates; family Hominidae; genus Homo; species Homo sapiens. The sequence continues at coordinate 195,148,095 of NC_000001.11, forward strand.
CTATAAAAATTGCTTGCCTTTTTTAGTGATATGTTTCAAATGCAGAACTGAGTGATTGATTCTGATATATCTTTGACTGTAAGACCTGGCTTTTAGGAATACATCAAATTTCAGTGAAATAGTACTAGCTACAGTTAATTTTATAAAGATTTTCTTTATTATTTTTATTGTGAGAAATAGAAAAACATTTCATAGATGAGATTTTTCACTGCATATACTAATAATGATTGTATGGATGGATATGATGGCTGTCTCACTTCCTTTCATTCCCCAGCCAAGAGTCAAGATGCAAGGAACCAAGAAAACAAAAAGTTAATTACTTTGAGGACAAGATCTGTATTAAGCACCAATTATTGCTAGCCGCATGCCTCAAGGATCAGAACTCAGTTCCATAAGCATATTTAGCCACAAAGAAAAAAAATGGGAAAATTTAGTTGCTACCAAACAGCAATTTGTCATGCTAAATTTCTTTTACTATGAAAGAAATAAAAAAAAAGAGATGAGAGTGGTGAGTGTGTAATGTCAGCACGAAGAACCAAAGGACTGCCTTAGTAATTGGTTTTTATAAAATTCAGAGGAAACCATATTGTCAAATTGAATGGATAAATTTTAAAAACTAACTTTACAATAAATCCATAGCTATAATATTCTTTCTGCAATTTTGATATTTCAAATATTCAAAATAATTACAGATTACAAGAACGCTTCCATCAGGCCTTATCAGATTTCCACATTAGTAATGCAGTCTGGCATAAGAAGTAACACATAAACTCTAGGGACTATTTGATTCTTAGACCAACTACTTGCTACTCTGTGAATTTACGCAAACTTCTTTATCTCCTTGCGTATTAGTTTCCTCATTTACAAAATTAAAAAAATACTAATATGCCTTTTGGGTTGCAGTAAGAATTTTATGAATAAACATTTACATTATTGCCTGGACTATGATAAGCATATGTATGGGCTGGGCTAACTACTTACCATCTATATTATATCATCTTATATCATCATTAACATTTCTAAGTTTAGATATCTGTTCTAATTTTATAGTTTTAATAAGATACACATTTATCAATTTTAAAATAACTGTATTTCAAGACATTGTAAATATTAAAATGAAAATATAAAACATATTTAATGCCCAGAATACCTTATTTAAACATAAATGTCTGCTTCCACAGAACTATTTGCAATGAGATAAATGTTTCAGTATTATAAAAATATTATTTTTAAAAGTTCTAATGTTAGGCACTGATGAAAATTGGAAATTTCCAAATACTTTATTAAATTTTTGAAAATAAGTGCCAATTCAAATATTAGATTTGATTTTATAGAAAATGAATGTCATTTAATCTACAGGTATATTTGGGTACCATTTAATTTAAAAAGGACAAAACCAGGATATTTAAACAATTTTTTAAAAAGTATTCAGAATATTTACTTTATTACTTATACCTAGAAAGTGAATAATATGTTTTGGTATTGAATGCAAAATTGCCTAACAGTGTTTCATTCAGAAATCTGAGTGGGACAGTTATTGATGAAGTTATTTAGATGAAACATAAAAGCATTATTTTAAAAGACTCTTTAAAAAGTTTGCAAGAATTATGTGATGCATGTCTATCACTGGATACTATCTAGTACTTCAAGTTTAAAAATTGCAAATATTGTTCTTCCAATCTTTCTTATTCCCTTATACTTAACGGAATTAACCTACAACCATCAGACCAAGCAAGAATATTTCAACTGTCATTTGCCACTAGTTGTTCATATTCATCAAGCACTCTGAATCTTGCATTATTACTTTATTTCATATGGCTCTCCCATTATTCTGTTTCCCTGAAATTTTATAGTAATATTTTAATGGGTATCCCTTTTTTCCAGTTTAATCCTTTAGAAACCATCCACCGTACTGTTATCTGAATCTTTCAATATCAAAAACTAAATTAAGAATTTTTCATATTTTACATTTAAACTGTTTTCAATAGCTTTTTAAATAAAGACTGGGTGTACCAATAAGGGACATAATACCACTTATACTCTACTGCTTTTTCCAGTCTGATATTTTGTCAGCTCCACAACTTATATTAATAAGATTATCATTTTTTAATGATGCTCAAATGATTCCAGTCTTTTCAAATCACCACAGATGTTCACATTTCCACCATGTCTTTCTGCTGGTACTTTTTCAGCTTAACCTGGATTGAATTTTTATTTTCTCTGTCTGAAAAATTGCTGCTTATTAATTATTTTGACAGTCATCTCTGGGAACATTTTTCATAGCTTCTCAGAGATAATTTATTCTTCTTTTTCTTTTTGCTTGTTAAGGTTCAAGTTCAGTTTGATCATAAACCTATTAAAATACATCTCTTCAGAAGAATATGTTCGGTTAATTGAGGACCAGTATGATGTCTAAATAATTACTTTATTTCTATGAAATGTAGAGGATAATCCTTCATTTTTTTTTTTAAGATAGGGACAACTCACCCAGGCTGGAGTGCAGTGGTAGGATCATAGCTCACTGCATCCTTGAACTCCTGGGCTCAAATGATCCTCCCATCTCAACTTCAGGAGTAACTGGAACAATAGGCACCCACCACCATGTCTGACTAATTTTTATTTTTATCTTTGGAGACTACATCTCTCTATTTTGTCCAGGCTGGTCTCAAGCGTCTTGGCTTTAAGCCATCTTCCAGCCTCAGCATCCTGAGTAGCTGGGATTACAAGTGTGAGCCATTGCACCCAGCTGACAATCCTTATTAGCAAACAATTTCTAATAAATTATTTATAAATTAGCATAATGTAATAATAATGTAATAAATTTATAATAATTGTTAATGTAATAATGTAATAAATTTTATACAATAATTTTAATGTAATTTAAGTTTTTAATGTAATAAATTTATACAATAAATTTTTATGCAATAAATGGACAATATTTTTAATGTAATAAATTTTATAGATTGATAATTTTGGAGTATGGGAACTGTGATGAAATATGGGATATATTTTATTGTTACATATTGGTCGCAATAAAATAAATCCACTGGCTGGGCGCGGTGGCTCACTCCTGTAATCCTAGCACTTTGGGAGGCTGAGGTGGGTGGATCATGAGGTCAGGAGATCAAGACCTTCCTGGCCAACATGGAGAAACCCTGTCTCTAATAAAAATACAAAAAAAAAATTAGCTGGCCGTGGTGGCACATGCCTGTAATCCCAGCTACTCGGGAGGTTGAGGCAGGAGAGTCGCTTGAACCCGGGAGTCAGAGGTTGCAGTGAGCCAAGATCATGCCACTGCACTCAAGCCTGGTGATACAGTGAGACCCCGTCTCAAAAAAAAATAAAAAATAAAAAATAAAGCTACTAAGGAGACATAGATTAAGCTATCATTACTTTATAAGAAAGTATATATACATATACTTGTATACTTTATCATAAACTTTCTTATATATTTGCATACTTTCTTACATACACATGTATTATCATATATACATATGTACTTATATGTATACATATACATATGTATACGTATGTACTTATATGTATACATAAGTATACATATATACTTATGTATAAATATATGTCTATATACTTTCTTATATACATATATACTTTTTTATAAACTAATGAAAGCTTAATCTATGTTCATTGGTAGCTTTATTTTATTCCTTATCAGTATGGCTTGATGTTTATACCATTTCAGTACACTTAAAAGTAATCAATTTTAAAAAATTATGATATTGCATTCCATTATGTGGGTTTAACATAATATATTTAATCAATCTCTTTCTTAGATTTTTAGTTGGCTGGAATATTTTCTATATTCATTATTCATATATATGCATGCATTATTTTAGGATTAAATTTTATGATTACTGGGACAAATGTGTAAGCATTTATCTTTAAATTGAAAAAGTTTGTTGAATTTACCTCCATAAATGGTATGCAAATTCATTTTATAAGCAGCCTTCTGTGAAATGTTTGCTTTAACTAATAATTTGAAATAAGTGTCATAAACCTTTTTGATTCTCCAATTCTGATTTCAAACACAATAGTTCATTTTAGATTTAACTTAATAGTTTTCTTTTACAATAGCTATGTTTAAGAAGCTTTTTATAGATTTATACCAGTAACATACTTTTTCTATTGGATTGTTGGTTTTCTTCTCATATATTCTTATTTAACTTATATATTCTCCTTTCAACTTAGCAACATTAAGGTCATGTCATCAAACCATATCACTCTTTAACTGTTGATCTACAGATCCCCTTGTAGCAGTACTTTTAGTTATCTCAGTAATATTTCCACAACAAACACCCTGCCAATTATCTTGACTATTTCAACATGCTTATCTATACCTGAGCTTCTCAGTTCCTTAACCTACTTTTAATAAATCTTCTCATACACATTACCACCCATCGCCATGCTTGTGAATCAGTGTCTCAACCATTGTTTTGATATAATGATCTCCTCAGCAATTAGGGGACCCAGTTGGAACCACGGTACCTGTAGTATCTGAACAGTCTGCTCTGGGGCTCTTTAAGAGAATGGTCTAAGCAGAGCAACAGTGATGATGTCATATAGTCCCAAGGCAGAGCAAACACAAGTATCCAGGTCTAGCATTGTTTATTCGATTATAACTCTAAGTATGACTAGGAACACACCCCACAACCTGGATATCTACTTCAGCAGACAACTGCAGAACAGTAGTTCACCACAGAAAACGAATTTCTGGTAGGCTGGATGAATTTATGTTCCATTCACTGAAAAAGAGAACAGTGTGGCCAGGCCCGGTGGCTCATGCCTGTAATCCCAGCACTTTCGGAGGCCAAGACGGGCAGATAACCAGGTCAGGAGATCGAAACCGTCCTGGCCAACACGGTGAAAACCTGTCTCAACTAAATATATAAAAATTAGCTGGGTGTGGTGGCACGTGCCTGTATCCCCAGCTACTCAGGAAGCTGAGGCAGGAGAATCGCTTGAACCCGGGAGTCGGAGGTTACAGGGAGCCGAGATCACATCACTGTACTGCAGCCTGGCAATAGAGCGAGACTCCATGAAAAAAAAAAAAAAAAAGGAAAAGTGCATGGTATAGAACTGGGAAAAAGTTGTCACTATAGCCACTTATCTCTGTTTTCTCTGGCATTTGATAATTCAATATGTCTTCTAAACTACATGTAAGATAATTGCTCTAAATTATCTTTGCAAATTGCTGAGTCATTATGTTAGAAATACTTGATATGCAAATATTCACTTGTTTTCAAATTATTTCACATTATCCAAAATATTTTAGTGAAATGGCAGTTCAAATCTTTCATCCATTGTTGTATTGGGTTGATTACAATCTCATTAATGGTGACAATAATGAGAATAAGAATTATAATTAATGAAGATAAATGTATGGCAAATAACCAGATGAAAAAATGTTCAGTCTCATTAATGAAATAATTACAATCTCAATATGGTATCACAAAACCCTTACAAAAATGGATAAAATTAAGAAGACCTTATATATTTTGAACTAGCTTCTACATATTACTGAAGGGATACAGTCATTTTTAAATCAATAGAATATTTGTTCTTTGTTTTTATGTTCAAAAAAACAAGAAATGAAGTTCAACATGGGAATAGCTGGTATGCTGAAGCTCCTTTTATAAAAAATAAGTGCGTTTGGTTGCTGATTTTTATTTTCTGAAAGTATTCATGAATGAGGACTTCACACACACACACATACACACACAAATCAAAACTGCAAGAGTAATTTTTGTTAGCATCCTGATGCTACTCTTTATCTAATACCATATGTAGTCATAAGAGTAGCATAACCAATTGGTTCCCTTACACTCTTAATTTCTTTGTATATGAACTAAGCAGTCATTAAAATAAAAATGATTCATAGTAAAGGAATAAATTTAGTGTCATTTCCTTTTTTAATTTATTTTAGTTTACTTTGATTTTTTTAAATTTCAAATTTATTGTAGATTCAGGGGCTACATGTGCAGTTTTTGTTACATGAGTATATTGTGTAATGCTGAGGCTTGAGGTGTGATTGATCTCATTATCCAAGTAGTAAGCATTGTACCCAATAGATAATTAGTTCTTCAACCACTACCCCCTTTCCTCCTTCCCTCTTTCTTTTAGTGGTAGCAAGGGACTTTTGTTCCTAACTTTATGATCATGTGTACCCAATGTTTAGCTCCCACTTTTAAGTGAGAACATGAGATATTTGGTTTTCATTTCTGTCTTTAAGTATATACATCATATTCATACATTTTCAAAGTTTCAAATCCAACATTTTTAATAGTATGTCACTTGCCAGAAATGAATTGAGAAATCAACAGGCAAGAAAAAAAATATTGGGCTGGGCGCAGTGGCTCACACCTATAATCTCAGTACATTGGGAAGTCCAGGCAGGTGGATTGCCTGAGGTTGGCAGTTCGAGACCAGCCTGACCAAATTGTAGAAACCCCGTCTCTACTAAAAATACAAAATTAGCCAGGTGTGGTGTCGCATGCCTGTAATCCCAGCTACTTGGGAGGCTGAGGCAGGAGAAGAATCGCTTGAACCTGGGAGGCAGAGGTTGCAGTGAGACGAGATAGTGACGTTGCACTCCAGCCTGGGCAACAAGAGTGAAACTGTGTTTCAAAAAGAAAAAAGAAAAGAAAAGAAAAGAAAATCTCATAACAAATATCAACACAAGCTTTTAAATGATGTCAAGTATCATCTACATCACTGTCAGCAACTGTGTGTTTAAATCTGAGAAGCAGCTATGTAACACATATTATTCTAAATTACATTCACTCCAATATTGGACATTTTTGCTAGAGTTACTCTTCTCTAAAAAACAAAGTATAATTATAACAAAAATTATCTTGAATAGAGTAGAATCTTGACAATTTGATAGAAAAGTGTAAGGTATCAGTTCGTGACCCAAGGTATTATCACAGTATGTTCAGGTTACAGGTGATTTACACACACACACACACACACACACACACTTTTTTAAAGAAGAAAACCACTAATATTACCTCTTTGTTTAGATGCTAGCATCAGAATCCATTTATGAATTTTTGTCTCTTGATCTTTAGGTCTTAAACTTCAGGGATGTTGAGAACAATCACCATAGATATACGTAACATCTCTTATTGCTTCACCTAGTACAAAAGCCTTAGGAGTAACCCCAGGGGAAAATCCACTCTCTTGCTGTGTACTTAAAAATCATTTATGCTTCCTGGATTCAGCATTCAAGCAGGTCATACTAACAGAGCAATGCAATTAACCTTTCCTATAAATTAAATGTGCAAATATTCTATGCAGTACTTGCTTAGAATAATTCTCCATCATTTATAAAATGTTAGAAAAGTAATTTTCCATCATCTGCTAGGCAGTTTAAAGATTAATTATAGAGTTATATTTTTATTTTTTAACAAATTATCTGTTTTCAGAGGCAAGAGGATCATAAGTGTTGGTGTGTGTGTGTCTGTTTCTCTCATTTTATCACATTTTCAAGAGCGCATAAGTCCTTCTTAAGAAAATGAGACTGATTTTTTTCTTGTAAATTTGTTTGAGTTCATTGTAGATTCTGGATATTAGACCTTTGTCAGATGAGTAGGTTGCGAAAATTTTCTTCCATTTTGTAGGTTGCCTGTTCACTCTGATGGTAGTTTCTTTTGCTGTGCAGAAGCTCCTTAGTTTAATTAGATCCCATTTGTCAATTTTGGCTTTTGTTGCCATTGCTTTTGGTGTTTTAGACATGAAGTCCTTGCCCATGCCTATGTCCTGAATGGTAATGCCTAGGTTTTCTTCTAGGGTTTTTATGGTTTTAGGTCTAACATGTAAGTCTTTAATCCATCTTGAATTAACTTTTTTATAAGGTGTAAGGAAGGGATCCAGTTTCAGCTTTCTACATATGGCTAGCCAGTTTTCCCAGCACCATTTATTAAATAGGAAATCCTTTCCCCATTGCTTGTTTTTCTCAGGTTTGTCAAAGATCAGATAGTTGTAGACATGCGGCATTATTTCTGAGGGCTCTGTTCTGTTCCATTGATCTATATCTCTGTTTTGGTACCAGTACCATGCTGTTTTGGTTACTGTAGCCTTGTAGTATAGTTTGAAGTCAGGTAGCGTGATGCCTCCAGCTTTGTTCTTTTGGCTTAGGATTGACTTGGCGATGCGGGCTCTTTTTTGGTTCCACATGAACTTTAAAGTAGTTTTTTCCAATTCTGTGAAGAAAGTCATTGGTAGCTTGATGGGGATGGCATTGAATCTATAAATTACCTTGGGCAGTATGGCCATTTTCACGATATTGATTCTTCCTACCCATGAGCATGGAATGTTCTTCCATTCGTTTGTATTCTCTTTTATTTCATTGAGCAGTAGTTTGTAGTTCTCCTTGAAGAGGTCCTTCATGTCCCTTGTAAGTTGGATTCCTAGGTATTTTATTCTCTTTGAAGCAATTGTGACAATCCCATCAAAAAGTGGGCAAAGGACATGAACAGACACTTCTCAAAAGAAGACATTTATGCAGCCAAAAAACACATGAAAAAATGCTCACCATCACTGGCCATCAGAGAAATGCAAATCAAAACCACAATGAGATACCATCTCACACCAGTTAGAATGGCAATCATTACAAAGTCAGGAAACGACAGGTGCTGGAGAGGATGTGGAGAAATAGGAACACTTTTACACTGTTGGTGGGACTGTAAACTAGTTCAACCATTGTGGAAGTCAGTGTGGCGATTCCTCAGGGATATAGAACTAGAAATACCATTTGACCCAGCCATCCCATTACTGGGTATATACCCAAAGGACTATAAATCATGCTGCTATAAAGACAGATGCCCACATATGTTTATTGTGGCACTATTCACAATAGCAAAGACTTGGAACCAATCCAAATGTCCAACAATGATAGACTGGATTAAGAAAATGTGGCACATATACACCATGGAATACTATGCAGCCATAAAAAATGATGAGTTCATGTCCTTTGTAGGGACATGGATGAAATTATTAATCATCATTCTCAGTAAACTGTCACAAGGACAAAAAACCAAACACCGCATGTTCTCACTCATAGGTGGGAATTGAACAATGAGAACACATGGACACGGGAAGGGGAACATCACACTCTGGGGACTGTTGTGGGTTGGGGGGAGGGGGGAGGGATAGCATTAGGAGATATACCTAATGTAAATGGTGAGTTAATGGATGCAGCACACCAGCATGGCACATGTATACATATGTAACTAACCTGAACATTGTGCACATGTACCCTAAAACTTAAAAGTATAATAATAATAAAAAAAAAGAAAATAAGATTGAAATAGACACATAATTTTTTGAGAATACACTTGTATATTTGATGATCAGTTTCATTAATTTTTTTTCTAAAGTAATGCGTATTAATTAATTTGACACGCATTTACTTAGCACCTTCTGTAAAAGTTCAATGACAGTGCTGAATATAAGAGAGAGTTCTTATCCTCCAAAACTATCTATGTATCTATCTATCCATCTACCTATCTATCCATAAAAAACACTAAATACAAGTAACTCAAAAAACAAAACCATATGTATATATTGTTTATATGGATATTTTGTTTATATGTAGTGTCATGTATGTGTAACAATTATATATATGTCATTAAGGTAGATTATTTCTTTCATATATGTGTGTAATATACTGTGGCTTTGCCACATAGTTCTAAAATTATAAATAAGTAAGCAAATGAAACAGTTCTTTGGAAGTAAATATTATTTTGTTGGGTTAGCTGTTGTTTAATCCACTTCCCACAATTAACTAATGAATATACTTTGATAAATAATTGATATCATAGTGCATAAAACAAGATTCTATTAAAACATATTAATTGATAACCTTCATATGAAATGTAGTTCTAGATATGCTAAGATCATAAAGCTGGACTTATTAAACCTTTGTTGCAGGACTTTTTCTTAGTTCAGCTAAAGATGGGGTTCTTGTCCATCCCAGGGCCATGAAAATTTAGGCTCACAGATGGTTTAAAGGGTGAGTAAAGCAGGGTTTATTGGGTGAAAAGGGAAAAATAGAGGAAACAGGAATCCTCCGCAAGGCCAGACTCCCCTGCTAGAGTGCTTCCTGCCTGGGAATTGGAATACCAGATTCTACACAGGAAGAGGAGGGGCGAGTCTCTTCCCTGCCGCAAATGTTGTTAACTTCCCAAGGCTCCACCTCAGTGGATAGACTGATTGGAGTTTCTCCAGGGAGCCCCTCCCACCTGGCTGTCTCACCTTTAGTGACAAAGAAAGGCCTATGTAACCGCTAATCACATTAAACAGCATATTTCAGTTGGTAGAGTTTTGTATAGTAAATTCAAATCAAGACATCTTTTTAATATAGTGCTGTGAAAATAAATCCCTTGACCTTCATTAGCATTAATACAAATGGAAAAAGCATATGAATGTGAAGAAAGTTATTATAATTTTCATCATAATAGTATCTTTAATAACAAGATTTCCTTTTCATAAATCAATAATTACAATAAAAAAGTATGTTTGTGGACATCCTGAATGTTTATTGAGAATGAAGCTCAAGGTACTGCATTTTATTCCATCTTAATATGGCAGAATAAATCACAAGGTACTGTGAAATACTAATTAATAGCTTTTAATTGTGGGAGAAAGAAAATTATTGCAGCTGACAATGTAAATCTTCAAAGGACTGATTTTTTTTTTTATTTCTTTTGCTGTGAAACTACCGCTATGGAATCAGGTTTTATTAATTAATTAATATTTGCAATGATTAACATAAAAGAAGATAGTTCATTTCCGTTAATGTAATACATTAGCCGTTTTAAGTCAGGCAATCTCAGAAATATAACAGTAGAATTACAGAAGTATACAGTAATATGCTGTACAATGTAATATGCTGACCTTCCCATGAAAACTTGCTGTTTATTTTGTATAAGATATTTAATGCAATGTCCCTTGACAGAACAGAAAGATGGCACAGTGAGATTTTCAAATTAATATTTATTTTATCACAGTTATTAAAAATACATTTGTTCCATTTCACTTCATTCCTTATTTATACAGTTCTTTTGAGTACTACATTCTATTCACTTTCTAAAACTGAACACATCCACTGCAATCAACAAGAGTTGATAGCAATGGGCATATGGCTTACAACGATAATTGTTTAAAATAATATAATGCGTACATAATAGAAATAAGATTCACTATTCCAATGATAGCAACTTAACTTTCTATCTGAAGTTAAATTATGTGTCTAGGTAAATTGCTGGAAAAGATAGAAGTATGATGCAACGACTAATCTCTGCTCTATTGTTTTCAAGTCCTATCCCACATTATTTTTTTTTTCAAGATATATATGGAAACTTCCAATTTTCTTCAACTTTCCTGTTCTTTACTCTTTGATTTACTTTTTCATCTCATTTACTTTTTCCTTTTGCTTTCTAAAATGCCTTTTTTGTATTCCTTGGGGTTTTCTAATTAATAATTTTGTTTCTCATTCCATGGCACATTCCTGTGACACTGCCAGCCCCTGTAATTAACTAATATGGTTTTGTACTTCCATATATTTTATATTTCAACTAATTATAATTTGTCATGGCATTCTCAGAGGCCTTTGAAGCAGAGCAATTCCATCTAGAGTAGAAGCTTGGTAAAATAAGGCTGAAAACTACAGGGCTGCATTTCCAGATGGTTAGGCATTCTAAGTCACAGGATGAGACAGGAGGTCAGCATAAGATACAGGTCATAAAAACCTTGCTGATAAAACAGGTTGCAGTAAAGAAGCTGGCTAAAACCCACCCAAACCAAGATGGTGATGAGAGTGACCTCTGGACTTCATCACAGCTGCACTCCTACCAGCGCCTTGACAGTTTACAAATGCCATGGCAACATCAGGAAGTAGCCCTATATGGTCTAAAAGGGGGAAGTGTGAATAATCCACCCCAATAAATAACCATGAAAATGGGCAACTAGTGGCCCCCAGGGCTGCTTTGTCTATAGAGTAGCCATTCTTTAATTCCTTTACTTTGTTAATAAACTTGCTTTCACTTTGCACTGTGGACTTGCCCTGAATTCTTTCTTAAGTAAGATCCAAAAACTCTCTCTTAGGGTCTGGATCCAAATCCCTTTCTGGTAACAGCATCATATACAAAGAAATATTGTCATTATCTTGGAATACATGAATTCTGAAAATCAACATCTACATATATTATTTTACTTAACATAAACTTATAAAACATGGAATATAGCGCTCAAGTAACTTAGAAGAAATCCATAAGTCAGTAAAAGGGAATCTCAGAGAAACAACTGTATGTGTGTGTGTGTGTGTGTGTGTATATATATATGTATTGTTTTCTCATTAAATGTTTATTTTATTATTACTAAAAAAGTTGTTGAAAATAATTAACTCCTAGCCACAACTTACATTGACAAATGATAAAAATAGTGGATATACAATTGATGAAGTAAATTAATTGGTTCTTTTCACTGGACCTTTTTATCACGTAATATTTCTGTAGTTTACGTTACGAACAAGCACTTAACTATTTCACCTTCATAGGCAAAATAAAGTTAAAAAAAATTGGTAATTATTGTAATAATTCTGCCTAGCAATTTTGCTTTGCTACTTAGATAATTAAGAAAAGCACCTGTTTATTCTAATTAGCAAGATAACTTTATTTACATTTACTTAGTAGACATGCTACTGTCAAAGTAAAAAGTGCACTGGGCAAAGTGAAACAGGTTTGAAAAAGGACTGTATCCAAGACTATTGCAACAACTGAACGGAACTGCATTTAAACAAAGGGTGGGAGAGCTTTGCAGTGAGGTGGAAAATAGACCCTCTGCATTTCTAACTGGCCTTACTCAAAGGAAAAGTAAACTTTCTCAAGTCTTCATTACAGAAGGTAATTTTACAACGTGGAGCAAGGCACCCACTTAGTTTAGGTGGAGCCTTCCCTCCCACAGAGACTAAGATATGTCCATTCTGTTTCTTGGTGATGACCTTTGGAAGGCATGTTCCCCAGATCCTTAAAGAAGACACACTTGGGTTTTAAAGCCAACAAGAGTCTTTTCAAAGATTTACATTTCAAAGAAAGAAAGAACTTAAAAGTTTTCAGTGTAAATACTCCAGGAAAAGAGAGGTCAGGGGCTTAGAAACAAAAAGAAGCTTGTCTAAATGTGGTCAAGCTGAGGGAAACATTATGTCTTCCTTGGTCATTAGATATAACAATAAGGTACCGCATAATAACTTTCTCATTAATATTTAAAAAAATAGGTATTTACTTGTAGTCTCAGCTACTTGGGAGGCTGAGGCAGGAGAATCACTTGAACAGGGGAGGCAGAGGTTACAGTGAGCTGAGATGGCACCACTGCACTCCAGCCTGGTGACAGAGCAAGACTCCGTCTCAAAAAAAAAAAAAAATTAGGTATTTACTATAAAATGTTTGCTTAACAATCTTTATAGTTCTGCTTACGTTAGCTATTTCTTTCAAAGAAGCTTTTTAATTATGTTTCCATAAGTGTATTCATATCCATCTTATCTATTTATTTTAAGGCATTTTAATTTGATACCTCACTATTTTTGTCAATAAAGACTTCAGTGATTCACTTAAAATCTCTATAAATTGTGTTATTTTGTTTTGCGCCAATGACTTTCCTTCTTTATATTTTATAATGTTTTCAGGTAAAACTAAACTTTTGGTTATAGTTTTCATACAAACTTTTAATTGACCATATCACATTCCGTAAAAAAGTGCTAGTTTTTCTGCATATTTGATTTACTTCCCTCATTCTTCTTGACTTAATTTTGGAACACATATAAATGTTAAACTTACTGTTCTTTATTCTTAGTTAAATTGTCCTTAATTTGTCAGTTTATCAATTGAAAGTAATATGCTCCAACCTATTGTTTGGATCAAATGTTATTAAATTTTCTTCTCACTTATATATGTCATTTTCCTGTTGCATTTTAATAATTCCACTATGCTTTACAGAATTAATAAACAGAAAAAAAATAAGCAACATACTCATGCCCTTAACAGCTGAGCTTACATAGATAAATATTCATGATGTGTATAAAATATTTGTTATATTAAATTTAATGTACCATTCTAAAAAATATAATGAAATTCTGAGTTTCTAAAAAATATAATCAAATGCATTATATTCTGTGTGACTCATGAGTTATTGAACAGTTTTAAGCTTCATGGTTATAAAAGTTGTATTATCTACAATAGTATTTAATTTTATTTAGGTTCTCTAAACTAATTTTTAAATCATTACATGAAGAAAGAAAAATATGTAAAAATATGTCTAATATTGTTAGTCTCTATTATTAGTTTTGTATCATATTTTAGAGCTAGAACATATGTGCAATGTATATAACATTTCACTGATGTAAATTGTTTAAATAAACAATAGGTACATTGGCTTCTTTTTATATTTAGATGTTGAAAAGTTGTCAGGAATATACCCAATATCACAAGACCCAATAAATTTAAAGGGCCTAAATTGCTTATGGTTAAGTTCTTTTTTTTTTAGTGGGGGGAGGGCGGGGAGTGGAGACGGAGTCTTGCTCTGTCTCCCAGGTGAAATGCAGTGGCCCCATCTTGGCTCACAGCAACTTCTGTCTCCCAGGTTCAAGGGATTCTCCTGCCTCAGCCTCCCAAGTAGCTGGGACCACAAGTGTGTGCCACCACCAGGCCCGGCTAATTTTTGTATTTTTAGTAGAGACAGGGTTTCACCATGTTAGCCAGGCTGGTCTCAAACTCCTGACCTCAGGCAATCTGCCCTCCTCGGCCTCCCAAAGTGCTTGGACTACAGGCTTGAGACACCGCGTCTGGCTGCTTATGGTTAATTTCTAAATAAATAAGATTAATCACTAAGAGTTTCTTGATGAAAGTGATTTTGGCATCTCTGACTGGAGTTAGGTAAGAAAAATTGACATGGACAAAAATACTCTGATTTCCTCATGTTTACATGCTACAAATATTCAATTAAAAAAAACCATGATAGCTTAGGTTCATGGTTAACAAGCATATTCACATGGAATACTATGGTCTGGATGTTGTTAGTCCTTGCCAAAACTTAAGTTGAAATTTAATTGTCAGTGTGACAGTCTTGAGAGGTGGTGGGAGCTTTAAGAGGCGTTTGGGTTATGAGACATGTGGCTTCATGAAGGCATTAATGCAGTTTCTGAAGGGAGTGAGTGAGTTTTACCTCTCAGCAGACATCTCAAGAGCAGGTATTTGGTCTCTTCTTTTTTTTCTTTTTTCTTGTTTTTGCATAAACCCCCTACCCTTCCACTCTGTAAGTCAGAGCAGTAAGAGGCCCTCCACAGATAGAGAACCCGATATTGGACTTTCTAGTCTCTGTAATTGTGAGCCAAATAGACTTATTTTCCTCATAAATTACACAGTCTCAGGTATTCTGTTATAGCAACAGAAAACAGACTAAGACAATGAAGCTTTTACAGTTAACTTTATGTACGATAGATGTTCTCATTTTGTTGTAGTGTGTATTCACTTTCTAATCGTCAAGTTCCAGCTTTTGCCTTAATAACTGCTCCCGGGTTTCCTCGTAATCCTTAATTTTGTTAGCCCTCAACTGTGTTATTGAGCTATGTATTTTGACTAGTCTTACACATATGTCAAAAATGATACTTAATATAAAGCCACCTATCTATTGGTACACATTCATCCATTTAACAAGTACTAAACTTAATAAGTACTAAATTTATTTGCACTAAAGTTATTTGCACAAGAAGTCAATTGTTTTAAAAATTGAGTATGACTATCTATAATCATATAAAAATGACTTTACAATCACTTTACATTTAATGTCCAAAAACATTTATTTTCAATTACCAAAAATTAATTAATGTGTGCTCCATGCTACACTAAGTAATTTATAGATACAGTTTAATTTATTTCTCATAAATAACATTTAAGAAATGTATGTAAACAATTATATAAAATGATATTGAGACTTAGAAAAAGGTTAAGATACTTGTCATCAACAGACTTCACTATGTAGGACTGTAAATTGAAACAGTAAAAACAGAGGTTACCTGACAATGAATTAAAAGTACATTTACAGAAATTTTGATTAAGATTTGTTATTGTTGTGCTTTGTTCCTTTAGTGTGTCTAAATAAAATTGAAATCGTCCAAGGACATAAGTGAAAGCCTTGTTTTTATAGAAAAGCTGAAAAAAAATTTTGTTATCTCTTTAATAATGCATGAGAGATATATCACTGTTCATGTGGTTTTGTTCATTTAGTTATTTGTTTTACTATCCTACAACCGATTAAGTCTTATTAAAGGCATGACTTATGAATTAGTCCAGAGTGGCAAGTGTCAGAAGTGGGGAAGAAACAAAGATTGTGAAAAATATTTAGAGAGAGAGATAGGAAAGAAAATAAAACATCTGGTCAAATTAAAAATACATTTTATCTCTTTGTACTGAATTATCTATGGAAATAATGATTCAAGCTACAATCCTATTCCATTCTGCTCTAGTCTTATTTTTTTTAATAAAATTATACTGGAATACTGCCACACTCATTTATTTTCATATCATCTATGGATGCTATTGCACTACAGTGGCAGAGCTGAGTAGTTACTGAAGGGACTATGTGGCTTCCAAAGCCTAAATTATTTACTTTTAAGGCCTTTACAGAACAAAGTTTGCCATCACTAATTCAGATTAAAGAGGGCAAGATTTACTTTGGATTTAGAATTAAAACTATCAGAAAATGAATATTCCTATTTTATAGCACATTCAAAAATATTTACCTATTTATTTTATGTTACAGATAGACAAATGATATTCATTGAGGCTAATTAACATACCCAGTATTCAAAGTTAATAGTCAAAAATTCAAGTATCTGAAAGATTATATAAAATCATTAGGATGAAACTGAAGTTATCTAAACACACAGTCTCAAAAAAGAAACACAAATAGTCACTAAGAGAAAAAAGAAAATAATAAAACCTTAATATATGGCTATGTAATAGGTTTAAGTGCTAAATTTTTTGGAATATGAACAATTTGTGAATAATTTTCACGACCAGTTCTGAAACTTCTCAGAAACATATAGAGCAAAAAGCCAGATTCCATACAAACTTTTGAATTAAAATAATGATTAAAGAAATTTTAATATGAATATACAGTTTTTCATTTCATTTTCTTCAAACTGTGTAAATCATTTTAGAACATTAGCAACAAAAGATTCACACTCATTTTTATTTTCTTCCTGGTTAAATAATAAATAGATTGACACACAAGAGGGCATTCTGGTCAGGTGCAGTGGTTCACGCCTGTAATCCCAACACTTTGGGAGGCTGAGGTGGGTGGATCACCTGAGGTCAAGAGTTTGAGACCAGCCTGGTCAATATGATGAAACCCTGTCTCTACTAAAAATACAAACAATTAGTGGGGCATGGTGGCAAGTGCCAGGAATCCCAGTTACTCAGGAGGTTGAGACAGGAGAATCGCTTGATCCTGGGAGGCGGAAGTTGCAGTGAGCCTAGTTCATGCCACTGCACTCCAGCCTGGGCAACAAGAGCGAAATTCCGTCTCGAAAGAAAATTTAAAAAAAGAGGCCATTCTGTGGCATTCTCTGGCAATACGTAAGTTTTGAAAATAAATATAGTCTAAATCAACAGAAAATAAGTAAGTGTCTTAGGAAAGAAGAAGTTGATATAAATTCCACTATATCACCAAATGAGATAAAGATTGAAAATGCAAAATAGTGTATAAACTGATGATTAATATACATGTTGAGAATAAATTTTGACTTCATTTGAACTTCATATTCTCTTGGTAAAAATACTGTGGTTCCCTTCTAAGGTTGCCAGATGAAACATAAAATATTTAGTCACATTTCAATTTCGGTAAACAACAAAAAAGTTTTTTAGTACAAGTATGTCCCCCCAGTATTCACAGGGAATACCTATATTATAAGAAAAAAACAAGTGTTGTTTATCTGAAATGCAAATTTCACTTGCTTTTCTGTATAATTATTTCCTATAATCTAAAAACATTATATTCCCTGCCTAATTCTGCTTATGCATTTCAGTAGTAATATTGAATACCTTGTACTAATACTTACCCACAATTCAGCTTCAGTGTTCCTGAATAACATCAGTTAAAAAAGCAAGCAAAGCAAACAAAATGTGCAATTGTAAGTTTGTAAATTGATATTTAAAAAATATACTGATTTCTCAAGAGAAGCACATATTTTCTTTAAACCAAAAGTTGTACTAAGGGAGGAGGAGGCTATGTAGTAAAAACATACAGCATTACTTTCATCTCGGTGATTAAAAGTTTATGAGAGTCTGCTTAACCATGGCAGATTTAGAATAAAAAATGGAAAATTTATGAAAAAAACAAATCAATAAATAAGAGGATTTTATATATTAATAAAGTGTCAGAAAAAATGTAAAATTGAATAATGGATTAGAGAATGTCTGGAGGTCTCTATCTGCAAGCAACTGAAGCTGTTTCTCATTTAATGGAAAATTTATGTAGATGTGGGAATACTCAAAGAATTTTTGAGAAGTCTGGTGAATTGGGTTCAGAAAATAGGACAGAAATGAAGAGTGATACTATGCAGCCAGAAACACAGCAATGGCAAAGATATTGAATTAGCGCCTGAATGCGGGGCTGCTGGTACTGACTGCAGAATCACAGCACCGGCACTGCTGACGCTGCCTACCCTGGAAACTTGATAGTGTTGCTGCTTCTACTATGTCTCTTAGAACACATTTTGTATTCTCCCGAGAGTCACTAGGAAACTTTATTCAAAATGAATACATCTAATGAGCTGAGATTATGTCAGTGCAGAGTACAAGGGAAATTGAGGACCTAATATTCGGGGTTTCCAGCTATTATATCAGGAAGCAGGCTCCATCTCCCATCTAGAGAGAGGAACTTCAAAAATCATTAAACCATTCCAGATTTTGGACAGATAAAAAGTAGAGGAAGAGAGAGGAGGAGGAAAGAAAAAAGAGTGAGAAAAAGGAAGGAGAGAATGGGAGGCGAGGAGGAGGGAAAGAAAAAATATATTCCTAGGTGTATGGGAACATCTGACCGACCTGAGCTGTGACCACACAAATACATAGGAATGAACTACTAAAATCCTTCCAATAATTGCTTTGTAGAAATCTTGAACAGCAAAGACAAATGACTTGAGATGGGAATGAATTTGGTGTGTTAAAATAATTAGGAATACAGGATGGTTCTTATGGCTCAAACCTGAAGGACTGACTCCTCTTTGCTGGGTGACGTGACTGCTGTGATAGACAGGATGCTCAGACCCCTCAGAATTTTGCATGTCACAGTAAAACTTTGGATTTTATTTAAGGTAAGTTATTCAATATATTATTGCCCTATTTTTTAAAAAATATTTTTGTCTGTTTGTCCTGTAATTATTTTTTGTAAAAGGATAATTTTAAAATGATTTAGTTTTAAAATATCACTCCACTGGAAATTGACTTGGGACATAGAGTGAAAAGAGGTAGATGAATTAGGAGCCTTTTGAATTATATAGAGAAAAGTATATGGTGGCTTGGATGGGGTTAAGATTTTGAAATAATGAGATGTACACTCACAGACTAGAAGACTGACTAAAGAAGCCGAAGGAGTTAATGGAATCTAGATACCATTGAAGTTTATGTCTTTAGTAAATATATAGATAACATGTAATCTACATTGAGGTTGGTAATTCTGGAACTGGAGCATGTTTGGAGGGGATTGTAAAAGATGTGGTCTGTTTTGGGGACATTAAGTTTCACATGCTTATATAGACATCTGAGTAGATGCATAGGCTTAGTAGTTAGATTTAGAACTCAAGGATCAAATCAAGATTAAAGCAATACATTTTAATATTACATATAAATTCTTTACTTATAGCCATTACTGTGTGAAAGTCTGAATAGAGAAAGATACATTCTCTCCAACATATTAAAGTCAGATAAAAGCACGTTGAGCATATGAGACTTTTCAAAAAGAATGAAGTTGGTGATAAACAAGGAAGTCAAGAAAAGAAAGTGTTTTAAGACAGAAGTAGTACATAATTGTGGCAGAGACTTCGAAAGGTTGAAAAAGATGAAAACATTTGATATCCAGTAGATTTTGACAATGCAATGTACTGGTTGTTTTTTAAAACTATTAAGAAAAGATAAGTGAATTAAAATGTTTTATTTAAATGAGTTGAAGAAGGAAAATGTTGGTTGGCAGGAAATTTTTTGTTCATCTACTTAGTATAGAAATAGATGTCCCCAGTTAATGGAAAAATATCTGATAGTGTTAATAATACTTGCTGATACTTATTAACATGCTAGCGTGCATAATGTTATTTTCATGCTCAGGCAATCCTGTGATATAGCTGGGACAAATATAGAACAAATCTATATGAACTTTTTTTTTTTTTTTTTTTAAGATGGAGTCTCTCTCTGTCGCTCAGGCTGGAGTGCAGTCGCGCGATCTCGGCTCACTGTAAGCTCTGCCTCCTGGGTTCACGCCATTCTCCTGCCTCAGCCTCCTGAGTAGCTGGGACTACAGGCGTCCGCCACCACACCTGGCTAATTTTTTGTATTTTTAGTAGAGACGGGATTTCACCGTTAGCCAGGATGTTCTCGATCTCCTGACCTCATGATCCACCCTCCTTGGCCTCCCAAAGTGCATGAACTTATTTTTATGTTAAAAAATGAATTAGAAGAATGATGTGATTTAACCTGTTTTTCACACCCAGTAAATTATTGAGCAAGAATTGTAGCTTAGTGTTGTCTTTTTAGCTTTAATGTTCTTTCTGCAATACAATGTCTCTTGCTATACATATATACATATATACAGACACACACATATATACATATCTTTATATATTATATTCATATATATGGAAAATTTTAGGTTATTATTCCAATAATAATAACCTAAGGTAGATGAATTAGGAGCACTATTTTCAAAAAGCCAGTAAAGTGACATAATTAAGAACTTGCACGTTCACATCAGTTGGCTGGTATATGATGTCCAGATTAGCCATTTATTAGCTATGTGACTTTGGAAATTTACTTGGGTTGGTTTCCCAATATACAAAAGTGGATTAGCAATAATTAATTATTGGTTTTACTTTAAGTTTAAAATGAAATAATAGTGTCAACTCTGTGCTATGCTAGATTTTTAAAATTCAAAATAAAAATAAACACAAAATAATAATTATTTAATTGATAAAGTGAGTTAAGTACCCTTATAAATGGTGCTTAGCTTCTTCCTATTAAAAAACGTCTTTAGCAATGTACTAGAATTTTAGAAGATTATTCCTAAATTAAAAAGCTGTTCTCCAAGTTTTGGTTATTTTTGCACTGATATTAAGAATATAATTGTTAATGCAAGTTGTTTGGAAATGCAGATTTTCTAAGAACAAATTTCAAGATTGTTTTACTGAAATGGCTTTGTACACTGTTTTTAATTAGTTTGTAATGATTATAATTCATAAGATATCTCCTCACTTATGAACCTAGAAAAATTTGTTTCATGCCATAAATTGAGCAATACAAGATGAAGTGTAGCTTTTTATGTTTAAAGGTTATACTCTGTATGGTAATTGAGTTACATTGGTTCAAAATTCTGAACGTGAATTTTAACAATTGATGAGAATATTTCTGTCTTCTGCATACTGGGTGGTTTTATAATGGGTACAACTTAGAGCCAGTTATTTAGAGATTTCCTATAACGAAATCTATTTATTTTTAGTTAAGATACTTGAGATAATTAAAAAGTTATCTGCATTGTAGAATAAAATTAGTTGGTGACATGTGGATTAAGAAACTGTTTTTCTCTGAAAATGTTGCAAGTTGTCATGATGGGAATATGCTAAGTCAATTGATGCTTAAATTGATATAAAATTATGGCACATTTATTACCGAAACAACGTAATTATTGGGGTAAATGTATAATGTGTTTCTAGAGCATTTTCTCAAGGAGAATTAGGGGAAAATGCTATAGGCTTCCCTTATTGTGCTAAAATAAGAGATGTAGGAATGAGAGATGGTAGACACATTTTGATTTTGTGGGATTAGTGTCATTTGATGATCATTAACATGGGTTATCTCTTCACAGTGAAGAACTGGAGTTTGATACAAACATTATTCACTTCACCCTGTACTGTACTCCTCTTTATTAAAGCAGCACATCCCCATATCTACAACTTATAGCAAATTTATACCTATATCTTACAACAAACTTTATTAATTTGTTTTGAAAAAGTGATATTTACATCATGGAACTTCTAATTGCTAAGTAATGTTTTCCTTTTTTCCTTGCTTTTTTTTTAAAATAAGTTATGTTGTAAAATAATTTTATAGGACTCAATTATATAAATCACAAATAAATTGTATATATTTGTGATCATATTTTTTGACCATTCAAACTATTTTAACCTACAGTAAATAATATCAAGGAGACAGTGAAGTTTATTTTGTGCTATATTATTAATATCACTTCAGTAAATGAATATGGTATTTGCTAAATACCACAGTAAATACATCAGTTTATTTACATAAAGCAATGTTAGTTTGGGATCGACTATATTTATGGCACCAAATAAAATGTTAAAACATTTTGGATTGTTGTCATTGAAATAAAGTTATCGATTATTTTAGCAAGAAATATAAAGATTATTTGTCAATCCGGTTCTGTCTGCTTTATATGTATTGAAGATTAAAGTTCAGAATATAGGAGAAAACATATGTAGGAAAATAAAACAAATAAGGGATCTCATGTATGCTTTGAATATATTTGAAAACTGATTTTTTTCATAAATGCCATAATTTAGATATAAAATAAAATGTAGAGAGAAGATAATAATCTTTTAAGCAATGGAATAGCACTGACTTTAAAAAGCTAATTGTTTTTAAACAATTAATAAGGTCAAATACCTAGGTTACTCTAAAGGGATTATTATCTATAAGGAATTGACTATATTTTTATTAGGTAAGCTTATATAATTTGTCTTCTGTTCTTTTTCAAACCAAAATAAGTAGAGATAATTAAAATTGTCCAAAATTCAGTCAGACTCTCTAATAAAATAACCAAGACATATGATTTTTAAAGGATAAGAGCAACATTTAAAACACTCCTTAAATAGTGTAATAAAAATATACCATTTATCAGTTTCCTAGTAGTAAATTTTCCAAACAATGTGTATCAACGGTATGCAAGAAATTATGTTCACATGAGTTGCTAGATTACCTATATTTAAGTGGAGATTTATTCCCATATAAATTAAAGGTATTGTTTCTGAATGAAATAAAAAGAATTGCAGTAGGATATTTTGAACAACAGGGTGGCATTATTCTAAAATTTGCGTTAAATAACAGATCTCATTGTTTCAAGAAGACATTGTTGAGACAAATCAGTATGGTTGGGAGATTTTTTCTACCAAGATTGAAAACTCAGACCATGCTCTGACATGTAAGAGAGTGTGATATTAATATAGTGATTGCCAGCAAGTTAAAGGGAACAGAGTACCTAGAAGTAGACCCCAGGCCATATATAAACATGAAATATGATAGAATTAACATCACAGATCAGTAAGAAAGAATGTTCAGTAATGAAGTTAAGGCAAAGACTTATGCATAGCAGAAATGTTAAAATGAAATAATGTTTCTAACTTATGCCACACATAAAATCCAATTCTCCAAACACAAAACAATCAGACAAGAAATACAGTACAACTGTTTACTATATATAAAATATCTGAAGAAATTCTACAGATCAACGAACATATAAATAACCCACTTAAGTGACTGACCAATCTACGGACAGTCATTTTAATGAAGAAAGTAGTATGACTAATATCCTTAGAAAGAGATGTGATTAAAAAAACATAAAGAAAGACTATATAATAAGGTAGTATATTTTACCCACTCACTTGGAAAAATTATAATATCTGATAATATCAAAAATTTATAATTTATTTAAACTGTGATCTTTTCTTAAGTTGTTAAAGCAAATGGAGTGTAGAGTGTGATCTTGTTAAAGTTAGGGGTCAGTATAAAATTGATGGGCGGGATTTAGACTACAATTATAATCATTCTGAAATTGTCTTTCTGTTTTCTATTTCTAATATCTAGAAGATAAATTTTTAAGAATAATCAAGGTATGACTTTTATACCTTTTATGTTATATTCTCCAACATCTATTTATAAAAAAGTATACTCTAGATCACATTGTTCTAGCTATTTAGTAGGTATAGCTATTAGCTTTAGCGTCAAGAAAACCCTATTACTGCAACTTGTGCCTGTAATATGAAGCACTAGTAGACTATGCTATAGTACTCACAAAAATAATGCTAGATAAAATATAACAAAAATATCTGTTGAAATGTATGCCTGGAGTCACAAAATAAAAGGAAATTTTATATTTCACAAGAAAATTAAGAGCTGAATGACATAGCATTGACTCAGAAGCTAATGTTCCTGCAGCTACTCTGTGGAATTATTGGATCCATGAACTAACAACTTGGGCTTTACTGCCTACATATGGCCTGGGCAAAGGTTTTGAGACTCAACCTAACATTATATATAGTGCTAAAATATTCTAGGGTGAGAGGATATAGAGTCACTTTACAAAAGCTAAATAGTGTTTAATGCTCACAATTTTTGGCATGTAAAAAAAATTAAAGGATAACCTTCATGAAGAACAAAATGTAGTAATTGAATGCAGTTAGTGATGGTGAGAAGAAAGCGGGGGCAGATATGTAGACAAAAAAAGATGATGATGATGATGACGGTGATTACTTTGAGGCTGCTGTTTAAAAATACATAAATATATATCTGATAAGAGTAAAACAGGATTTGAAGGAGTAATTGAAGGGAAAGCCTTTTAAGAACAGTGCATTTTACAAGAAATACTCTTGCGGATCCTGCATTTCTCCAGCTGTATCTTGAGTCACTCTCTATTGATTTTCAAAATCCCACTGTTCTTTCCTTGTATTTCTTCCAAAATACCATATGTTCTCCCATCCTAAGCCTTATACATATTTGACTGCCTAAAATATATTACCCTATTATTTTACTACTTTTCTCATATCTCAAATCTATTATTTTTCAGTGAAGCTTTCACTGATAACATCGAACATATTTGAGTTTTAGGTAGTTGTTTAGAACTCAAGTTCTGGCCCACAATGTCTGGAATTATTCCTAGTTCAGCCACTTAATAGCTATATGGCTTTGGGTAAGTATGTTACCATTTCTGTATTTCAGTTTTCCTCACAGTATGGTTGTTTGAGGATAAAATAGTTAAGATATATAAAATAATTTGAATAGTGTTGGAAACATAGTTAAAGTTGAATCATAGTTTTAATACTTGCAACATATCAAAAATCATTATTCTTTTATAGCACAATTATATCATTCTTGTCTCACTAAGATAAGTTATCACTGTAATTCTTTTCTTGGATAATTTGATTTATTTCTACTTCACTCACCAGCCTTTAGCCTCCATGAGGTCAGGTACTATGCATGTTCTTGGTCACCAGTTCCTTACTACACATAGCACTGAAAAAAGTTCATGCTAAATGTCTAGTCAATTAATGAATTAAACCATGTATTATTTGTCTTTGCCATGATCTTTTCTAAAATAATTTAAACATTTAGAAACTGAATGACTTGGGAATAGGAAACATAGTCTTCTATAAATCCATGAAATATAAACCTGGGCTGCTCCTGTATCATGGAGCTCTATGCAAAGCAATTATTTTCAGAGACTTCTGGACCTATGTACTGACTAGGCAAGAAAAAGAGATGAAGAGCTAATGTTGTAGATTCCCAGTGCCTGCCTATAGAGGTCAGATGACACAACTAGATATGTAGAGGAGTTAAGAGTTAAGGAGTACAGGGATGGACTTTTTCAATCAAATATTGTATTAGTTTGTGTTGCTGTATAACAAATTTTCACAAACACAATGGCTTAAAGAAAGATAAACCTGTTTTTCATAGTTTTGATGATCCAGGAGCCTCAGCACAGTTTAGTTAGGTCCTCTGTTCAGGTTCTCACAGGGCTGCAATCAAGGTGTCCCCTGGACTGCATTTCCATCTGCAGGCTTGGCTGGGGAAGAATCTGCTTCCAACTCATTTAGGCCTTTGGCGTAATTTACTCCCTTGCAGCTCTATGACTCAGGATCCTCACTTCCCATGGTTGTTGGCTGGAGGCCACCCTCAGGTTCTAGGGACTGTCCTCATTTCCCTACCCAGTGACCCTCATTATAGCAGTTTATAATACGGCCCTTTGCTTCTTTAAGGACATCAGAAAAATATGTTTCTATAGTCTACTAAGAAAAATTCATAACCAGTGAGACATAATCACCTTAATGATTATTTGTATCATCCCATTTTATGACATGAGTGACATCTGATCATGGTTGTGATAGAATGTAACCTAATCAAGCAAGCAATAATCTTTTCACCTTCAGTTATAAGCAAGTCACAGTTTCCACCTGACAATGAATGGGAAGGACCTATCAGATAATGTATTCAACCCCTTTCCTATTGGTCTGCCCTAGGACAAAGTGAGCTATTGTGTTTATTAAAGAAGCCACTTGAAATGAAGCAGTCAGTGGTACCAGTTAAGAAGCTGTGGCCAGTTCATTACCTTCCTGGATTTTTTTTCTACTTTTATTTTAGATTCAGGAGATACGCTTGCAGGTTTTTTACCTGTATGTGTTACATGATGCTGAAGTTTGGAGTACAAATGATCTCATTACTCAGGAACTGAGCATAGTACTCAACAAATAGATTTTCAATCTTTGCTTCTTTCCCTCCCTTACTGCTCTAGTAATCCCCAGTTTCTATTGTTACCATCTTTGTGTTTATGACTATCCATTGTTTAGCTCCCACTTATAAGTGAGAACATTGCGATGTTTGGTTTTCTGTTCCCACATTAATTTGCTTAGGATAATGTCCTCCAGCTGCATCCATACTGTTGCAAAGGACATGATCTCATTTTTTTTATGGCTGCATTGTACACCACGGTATATGTGTACCACATTTTCTTCATCCAGTCTACCATTGATGGGTACCATATTGGTTGTCTTCTTGGTTTTAATCTCTCTTTCTCTACCTCCCATCTACTTTCTTCTTAACTCTCCTTTTCTGAGATTTGAGCATATTACAATTTTGTAAAAAAAAAATTAAAGACAGGTTCAAGACAATTGTCCAGCTACATGACATTGTAAATGTCAGTGAGCCTCTATGAAAGCATTAAAGGAGACTGGCATCTCTTGCAGCTGTGGGGTTACTTGGCCAACAATCTGGTTTAGAAACTAATAATAAGAGTGACAGAACTGCAAATGAAACAAAATGTTCACACTCACTGATATCTCATATCAAAATCTGAACCTTCCATATGGGATTTGTAGGTCACTGGGAAAAGGAATGGCAATGAACAAAATAATTTTGAGTCTCTAAATTTCTCAGCTGGCAGAAATCATCTCATTTGCCTTTACAGAGGAAAAGAGACATCTATTTTTGGGAGAAACATAAAGCCAAGATGGTACAAGACGTTTGCATTTTCTTTCCTCCTCCATCAACCCTGCTTTCTACAGGCCAGTGATAAGGGAATTTTTAACTGAAGTCCAAGCAAAGCAGTGCAACCTCTGTTCCAGAAAGAAATACCATACAAACTAAACAAAGTGTGTGTCCTTGGTAATAGTTACCATAAAGAACTGGGGTTGCATCTGTGAGAATCTATTGTGTTGGTGTCTGACTGGAGAGGTGGATGGGATGTAAAGCTGTATTGGGAAGAATTTCTTGACATGGGTTATTCAATCATGATTCAAGATTCAACGTTTGGCAAAAACATCTTGAGTGATTCTAATTGTGAACAAAATGAATAAATATTGTAGTTCAACATTAATTTATGTAACAAATTAATGACCATACCCTATACCAAGCATTGCTCAGGACACATGGTAATATTATAAAATAAAAACTATTTTCATGGAGCTTACGTTGCATAGGAAGAGAGTTAGAAAATATATAACATGCATAATAAATAAGTATGTTATTTTGCTATGAGGCTATAACTGTTATAAAATTGGAGCAGGATCAGGTCCAGCGGGAGTTCTAAGAATCATGTTTGAAAATCCAAATATGTTTGTCAGGACAGTAATCTATGTAAAGTTAACATATGAATAAAATCTTTAATACAATGAAAAAGTTAAGCACTGAAGGTCTGGAAAAAAATGTGTTACATGAAATAAGAATGAGTAAAAAGACACTAAGTTTGGAGGGTGCCTCGCTTGGTTAAGGAACAACACAAAGGCCAGTGTCTGAAGCAAAGTTAAGTTACCAAAAGCAAGAAGAGAAGAGATAAGCTCAGAGAGTGAAGATAGTAAGGCCATGGAGGGACAAACTTTTATAATGATTTTGGCCTGACTCAACATTAAAAGGAGAGCTCTCTGGAGAGTTTCAAGTAGGGGAGAGTTTATATACCTTAAAGGAATTAATCTGGCTATATGTAATATTAGATACTGTATATATGTGTGTGGAGTATAGGGGGAGCCAATGTGAGACCAGTTAGCAATGTATCATAGGAGACCAAGTGAGGCATAATGATAGCTTGGATCTAGAGGTAAATGGAGATGGTAAATGGAGATGCTAAGATATTTGGAAATGTAACTGTCTAGAATTCTCCACCAGGTGAAATTATCTTTCAAAGTTGAGGTCAAATTAAGCATATTTTACATAAAAAAGCTGAGAAATTAGCAACAGTAGAATTTCGCTAAAGAAATGTCTAAAAGAAAATAGTTTTATCAAGTCATGAGGGCATACTGGAATTAAGGAAGGCTAGGTTTCTAATTAAATTAGAAAATAATTAAATTATATTATTTTATGTTAAAATGCATGTTACATTTTCTAAGATGGCCACAGTAACACAAAAAGTAGAGTGTAGGTGTAGGTAGTCTGAAATAGATTTAGAGTAAAATATAAATGAAATAAATCCAAAATATGACAAGACATCATTAAACATACATATATGCACATGCACAAGCATACATACAACAAAACACACAAAGACACACACGCTAGCTAACAAGAGAAACATTGAAAATTAGGATTAATAGAAACTGAAGCAGACAGTAAAAATACTGTGGTAATGAATCCTAATACGTTTGAAATCAAATATTTAAAAGGATTAAAATAATCCAGTATAAACAATTATTAAGCTGAATTTTTAAAAAGTAGATATATGCTTTATGCAAAAAACTTTTTTCATGAACATGAAAACATTAGAATTTGAAATTAAAAGGATATGAAAATATAAGCCAGCCAAATATTAAAAATATTGATGGTGTTTATATTCAATATTTATATTAATGTTGAACAATCCATACTTTTAAAGAATAACATTAAGAATTAAATGCCCTCTCTCACCACTCCTATTCAACATAGTGTTGGAAGTTCTGGCCAGGGCAATTAGGCAGGAGAAGGAAATAAAGGGTATTCAATTAGGAAAAGAGGAAGTCAAATTGTCCCTGTTTGCAGATGACATGATTGTATATCTAGAAAACCCCATTGTCTCAGCCCAAAATCTCCTTAAGCTGCTAAGCAACTTCAGCAAAGTCTCAGGATACAAAATCAATGTACAAAAATCACAAGCATTCTTATACACCAATAACAGACAAACAGAGAGCAAAATCATGAGTGAACTCCCATTCACAATTGCTTCAAAGAGAATAAAATACCTAGGAATTCAACTTACAAGGGATGTGAAGGACCTCTTCATGGAGAACTACAAACCACTGCTCAGTGAAATAAAAGAGGATACAAACAAATGGAAGAACATTCCATGCTCATGGGTAGGAAGAATCAATATCGTGAAAATGGCCATACTGCCCAAGGTAATTTACAGATTCAATGCCATCCCCATCAAGCTACCAATGACTTTCTTCACAGAATTGGAAAAAACTACTTCAAAGTTCATACGGAACCAAAAAAGAGCCCACATCACCAAGTCAATCCTAAGCCAAAAGAACAAAGCTGGAGGCATCACACTACCTGACTTCAAACTATACTACAAGGCTACAGTAACCAAAACAGCATGGTACTGGTACCAAAACAGAGATATAGATCAATGGAACAGAACAGAGCCCTCAGAAATAAGGCCGCATATCTACAACTATCTGATCTTTGACAAACCTGACAAAAAGAAGAAATGAGGAAAGGATTCCCTATTTAATAAATGGTGCTGGGAAAACTGGCTAGCCATATGTAGAAAGCTGAAACTGGATCCCTTCCTTACACCTTACACAAAAATTAATTCAAGATGGATTAAAGACTTACATGTTAGACCTAAAACCATAAAAACCCTGGAAGAAAACCTAGACAATACCATTCAGGACATAGGCATGGGCAAGGACTTCATGTCCAAAACACCAAAAGCAATGGCAACAAAAGCCAAAATTGACAAATGGGATCTAATTCAACTAAAGAGCTTCTGCATAGCAAAAGTAATGACCATCAGAGTGAACAGGCAACCTACAGAATGGGAGAAAATTTTTGCAACCTACTCATCTGACAAAGGTCTAATATCCAGAATCTACAATGAACTCAAATAAATTTACAAGAAAAAAACAAACAACCCCATCAAAAAGTGGGCAAAGGACATGAACAGACACTTCTCAAAAGAAGACATTTATGCTGCCAAGAAACACATGAAAAAATGCCCATCATCACTGGCCATCAGAGAAATGCAAATCAAAACCACAATGAGATACCATCTCACACCAGTTAGAATGGTGATCATTAAAAAGTCAAGAAACAACAGGTGCTGGAGAGGATGTGGAGAAATAGGAATACTTTTACACTGTTGGTGGGACTGTAAACTAGTTCAACCATTGTGGAAGTCAGTGTGGCGATTCCTCAAGGATCTAGAACGAGAAATACCATTTGACCCAGCCATCCCAATACTGGGTATATACCCAAAGGATTATAAATCATGCTGCTATAAAGACACATGCACATGTATGTTTATTGTGGTGCTATTCACAATAGCAAAGACTTGGAACCAACCCAAATGTCCAACAATGATAGACTGGATTAAGAAAACATGGCACAGATACACCACGAAATACTATGCAGCCATAAAAAATGATGAGTTCATGTCCTCTGTAGGGACATGGATGAAGCTGGAAACCATCATTCTCAGCAACCTATCGCAAGAACAAAAAAACAAACACTGCATGTTCTTACTCCTAGGTGGGAATTGAACAATGAGAACACATGGACACAGGAAGGGGAACATCACACACTGGGGACTGTTGTGGGGTAGGGGGAGGGGGGAGGGATAGCATTAGGAGATACGCCTAATGCTAAATGCAAGTTAATGGGTGCAGCACACCAACATGTCACATGTATACATATGTAACAAACCTGCACGTTGTGCACATGTACCCTAAAACTTAAAGTATAATAATAATAAAAAAAACTAAAATCATAATTTAAAAATTTTTGGCTGGGCACGGTGGCTCATGCCTGTAATCTCAGCACTTTGGGAAGCCAAGGTGAGTGGATCACTTGAGATCAGGAGTTCGAGACCAGCCTGGCCAACATGGTGAAACCCCATCTCTACTAAAAAAAAAAATACATAAAAACTAGCTGGGCATGGTGGTGGGCGCCTGTAATCCCAGCTACTCAGGAGGCTGAAGCAGGAGAATTGCTTGAACCAAGGAGACAGACGTTGCAGTGAGCCAACACAGTGCCACTGCACTGCAGCCTCGGCGACAGAGTGAGAGCACATCTCAAAATAAATAAATAAATAAATAAATAAATAAATAAATAAATTTTCACAGTAGCTGCACTGGCAAAACAAAGGATGAAAATATGATGATGAAGATGAGAAAGAACACAAACTTTTACATAGTGCTAATGAAAATGTAAATTGATATAAAAATTTTATAAAATAGTTTTTTGTTACAGAGTGTAAGTGAATGTACACATTAGTTATGATACAACCGTTTTACTATGAGGAATAGCCCCTTACCTATGCACAAAGGCAGGGATTTTTATATCTGCATTATTTGTCATAGCAACAATTGAAATAAATTGAATGCCCAAGATAAAAAAAATTGTAAAATATCACATAGTAATACAATTTGAGTAATTACAATAATATAAAACAACACATTTGATCTCAAATACAAACATTAGGAGACAATAGCAACAAATGAATTTATGCACACTATCATTTATCATCTGTCTATCTATCTATCTATCTATCCCAACTTTTACCTTAGAATCAGGAGGCATATGTGCAAGTTTGATACAAAGGAATGTAGCATGATGCTAACGTTAGGAGTACAAATGAATCTGTCCCCCAGGTATGGAGTATAGTAACTAATAGGTATTTTTTCAATCCTTACCCTCTTTCTTCTCTCCCCACTCTTGAATATCACATTATCTATTATTCTCATCTATATATTCATGTGTACTCAATGTTTAGTTTCCACTTATGAGCAAGAATATGCAGTATTTGGTTATCTATGTTTGCATTAGTTTGCTTAGGAGAATGGCTTCCATCTGCATCCATGTTGCTGCACAGAGCATGATTTCATTCTTTTTATGGCTATGTAGTACTCCACGGTGTATATGTACATTTCCTTTATCCAATCTACTAACCCACTGTTGATGGGTACCTGGATTGATTATTTGGCGTTGTAAATAGCGATGAATTAACATATGGGTTCATGTGTCTTTTTGGTATAACAATTTACTTTCTTGTGGTTATATCCACAATAATGGGATTGCTGGATCAAACGGCAATTCAACTCTTAGTTCTTTGAGAACTCTCCAAACTGCTTTCCACAGTAGATGAACTTATTTTCATTTACATCAACAGTATATGTGTTCTCTTCTTTCTGCATCTTCACAAACATGTTACTTTTTGAATTTTCAACAAAAATCATTCTGACTGGTGTGAGATGGCATCTCATTGTGGTTTTGATTTGCATTTCTCTGGTAATTAGTGATGATGAGCATTTTTTCATTTGTTTGCTGGCTGCTTGTATGTGTTCTTTTGAGAACGGTCTGTTCGTGCCCTTTGGCTGTATTTTAATGGGTTTGTTTATTTTTTGCTTGTTAATTTTTGTTTAAGTTCCATATATATTCTGGATATTAGCCTTTTCTTGGATGCATAGTTTGTAAATATTTTCTCTCATTCTGAAAGTTGTCTGCTTACTCCAATATTTCCTCTTGCTGTGCAGAAGTTCTTTAGCTTAATTAGGTCCCACTTGTCAATTTTTATTTTTGTTGCAGTTCAGTTTGAGGGCTCAGCTATAAATTCTTCATCAAAGCTTATATCAAGAAGTGTTATCTTCTCAAAGATTTTTCTTGGATTCTTATACTTTGAGTTCTTACATTTAAGTCTTTTTAATCCACCCTGAGTTAATTTTATGAATGGTGATAGGTAGAAATCCAGTTTTTTTTTTTTTCTTGCATATGGCTGGCTAGTTACCCCAGGCACAATTTATTGAACAGGGAGTCTTTTCCCCATTGCTTACTTTTGCCAACTTTGTCAAAAATCAGATGATTGTAAATGTGCAGCTTTATTTCTGGGTTTTCTATCCTGTTGCATTGGTGTATGCATCTGTTTTTATAGCAGTACCATGCTGTTGTGGTAAATATCATCTTGTAGTGTAGTTTGAATTTGGGTAATGTGACACCTCTGGTTCTATTCTTCATGTTTAGGATGGCTTTGGCTATTAGAGCTCCTTTTGGTTCTATATGAAGTTTGGAAAAGATTTTTCTAATTCTTTGAAAAGTAATATTGGTAGTTTGATAGGAATACTGTTGAATCTGTAAATTGCTTCAGGAATGTGTCCATTTTAATGACATTGATTATTCCAATCCATGAGCATGAAATGTTTTTCTACTTATTTGTGTTACCTCTGATTTATTGAAGCAGTCTTTTGTATTTTTGTAGAGATATTTTACCCATTTAGTAGCTGTATTCCTTGATATATTATTTTTGTGGCTATACTAAGTTAGATTGCAATGGCTCGATCTCGGCTCACTGCAACCTTTG
Organism: Homo sapiens; assembly: GCF_000001405.40. Lineage (NCBI taxonomy): Eukaryota > Metazoa > Chordata > Mammalia > Primates > Hominidae > Homo > Homo sapiens. The sequence goes on from NC_000001.11 coordinate 195,182,202, forward strand.
CCTCCTGGGTTCAAGTGATTCTCCTGCCTCAGCCTCCCGAGTAGATGGGATTACAGGCATGTGCCACCATGACCAGCTAATTTTGTATTTTTAGTAGAGACAGGGTTTCTCCATGTTGCTCAGGCTGGTCTCGAACTTTTGATCTCAGGTGATCTACCTGCCTTGGCCTCCCAAAGTGCTGGGATTACAGGTGTGAGCCTCTGTGCCCGACCGACTGCTTTTTGATTTAGATCCCAGCTTGATCACTACTGATGTATAGAAATGCCATTAGTTTTTGAACATTGATTTTGTATCCTAAGACTTTTCTGAAGTCATTTATCAGGTCTAGACATCTGTTGGAAGAGTCTTCAGGGTCTTCTAGGTATAGAATTATGTTGTAGGTGAAGAGAAATGGTGTAACTTCTTCTTTTACTATTTGGATGCCTTTTCTTTATCTCTCTTGCCTGATTGCTTTGACTAGAACTTCCAGTACTATGTTGAATAGAAGTGGTGAGAGTGGACATTCTTGTCTTGTTTTATTTCTTGAGGGAAATAGTTCCAGCTTTTGCTTGTTTGATATTGGCTGTATGTTTGTGATATACAGCTTTTACTATTTAGAGCTATGTTCCTTTGGTGCCTAGTTTGTTGAAGGTTTTTATCCTGAAGGGATGTTGGATTTTACTGAAAGCTTTTTCCATATCTATTGAGATGATTATATGGTTTAGTTTTAATGATATCTATGTGGTGACTCATATTTATTAATTTGTGTATGTTGAAACAACATCACATTCCAGGAATACAGCCTACTTGATTGCAGTGAATTAACTTTTTGATGTGCTGCTGGATTTGGTTTGCTAGTATTTTGTTGAGGACTTTTGCTTCTCTGTTTATCAGGGATATTGGCCTGTAATTTTCTCTTTCCATCGTTTCTCTGCTAAATTTTGGTATCAGGGTGATACTGGGTTCATATAGTTAGGTAAGAGTCACTCCTCTTTGAGTTTTTGAAATAGTTTCAGTAGAATTTATGCTAGCTCTTCTTCGTATGTGTGGTAGAATTCTACAGTGGATCCATCTGGTCCAGGGCTTTATTTTTTGGTTGTTGATTTTTTGAAATTACTAAATCAATTTTAGTACAGACCAATTTCAGTGGTCTGTTCAGGTATTCTATTTCTTCCCAGTTCAATGTTGGGAGGTTGGGTATTTCCAGGAACTTAGCCATTTTCTCTGGATTTTCTAATTTATGTGCAGAGAATAGTTAATAATAGTCTCTGATGATCTTTGTATTTCTGTGTGATCAACTGTACTGTCATCTTTGTCATTTTTTATTTTGGACATGCTTTTTTTCCCTTGTTTATCTAGTGATCTCCCAATCTTGTTTATTCTTTCAAATAACAAGCTTTTGGTTTTGTTGATCTTTTGTATGGATTTTTGTGTCCCAATTTCATTCAGTTCTCCTATGATTTTTGTTATTTATTTTCTTTTGCTATTTTGGGGGTTCTTATTTTTTCTAGTTACTCTAGGTGTGAGGTTAGATTGGTAATTTGAGATTTTTTTAACTTTTTAATGTAGATATTTAATGCCATAAACTTTCCTCTTAACATTGTTTTAGCTGCGTCCCAAAGATTTTGGTATTTATGTCTCTGTTTTCATTCTTATGGCAGGTAAAACAGAGTTTCAACAACAGTCAAAATAGACAAATAAGGGCATTACATAAAGATAAAGGGTTCGATTCACCAAAAAGGCTTAACTGTTCTAAACACACACACAATATTGGAGCACTAAGATTGATAAGACGATTTCTTCTAGTCCTACAAAAGGACTTAGACAGCCACACAATAATAGTGATAGAATTCAACACCCTAATGACATATCATCAAGCAGAAAACTAACAAAGAAACCTGGACTTCAACTTAACACTGGATCAATTGAACATAATGGACACCTACAGAATACTCCACCTAACAACCACAGAATATACCTTCTTCTCATCAACACACAGAACATACCCTAACATGGACCACGTGCTCAGCCATAAAAGGAGTCTGTATAAATTAAAAAATAGATATCATACCAAGCACACTCTCAAACCACAGTGCAATAAAAGTAGACATCAATACCAAGAAGTTCTCTCAAAACCACACAATACATGAAAATTAAACAACTTGCTCCTGAATGATTTTTGGATAAACAATGAAATTAAGGCATAAATACACACTATATTTCAAATCTATTATTTAGATACATATACCTGCCTGGTAAAAATATGGAAAAAAGTAGAATGATTTAATAAATTATTAAGAAAGTAGATAATTATTGTCAGAAAAATGCAATCACTTAAGGTCTCAAATGAACTTAAAATATACTGGTATTCTTCCATCTGATAAATGGGTAGTTATGGGTAAATCAATGTTTTCTTGTACTATATATTGTTCATTAAAATATCCATATTGCACATATAAATATATATGTATATATATGGCAGTACATTTAATATATTAGTTATATTATTGGTGCATTTATTCAGCATTTCTTAAGAAAATGTTTTTCAGGGCATTGACTAGCAATGCCCTGAGAAATCATAGTTTTATAGTTCTGTTCACTTATTAGTTGTATGCAGTTTTTGGATAAGCATTGTAGGACTAATTTTAGCAGATAACTAATTTTAGCAGATTTTTTAAGCCATTGGAGATTTTTACAGAGCCTTGTTTCCCCAAAGGCTTTGTTCTAAGAAAGAAAATGTCTCACAATCTATTTAGAAATCTTTACAATTATAACATCAGAAACACTGGACATGATTGTGTACCAAATATAACAAAAGGTGTGCCAAAAATATCATCATGATTTAATTTAGTTTAAAATGAGATAAATACAAACTAGGCAATAAGATGATTTTTAAAATCTGTAATTACCAGCTTATATGCAACCATTCTCTCTATAAATAACTTATACTCTACAAACTGGCATTGGAAGAAGGTACACTGGATAGACAGAGTCAAATTGAAGGGAAGAACAAGATTACAGACTACACCCTTTCTTATTGTTACCTGACTGGAATATCAGGAGGCCGTTTATAAAAGAAATATTTTGAACTTTTGAAATCCACTGACTTTGGTAAGTGTGGCATCTTCTCATAGAGATTCTCTTCATTCTTTTTACAAATAAGGAGCTTCTCAAACTTACCACCCTCTTACAAAAGACACACATTGAAAACTTACAAATACTAATTATACCCCAGTCATACCTGACTTAAAAATGAAAATGACATGTCTCTCTATAAAGAACACAGTGCCAGCTATCACACTGTTTGCTAGTGAGAACAGCCAGCGAAAGTTAAAATGTGTTCATTTATGGTTAAGAAATTGGGGAACAGATGCCAAGATAAATGGAGCATATCAAGAGTATGTAAATTTTTGACAAACATAGTAAACACAATGTTTCCAAAATACGGCCTCTCGGCAAATTTTTATCTTACAAAATTTTAATTTGTCGCTCTAAATCTATGCTATTTTTAAAGGATACAAATGAACTTACATTCCAATGTAATGGCATTTGAAAATTTCCTGGGTAAACATGATAAATGAAGAAAATTTATTACTGGTAAATAATAGGTAGTGACAGAAAATGCTGCAAAATGAAAAGGTGTTAAAGCTGGCCCAAACTGCAAGTAAGAAGAAAAAAAAACCTCTTTACTGTCTAGCCATCAATGAGCCTGCTGAAGCCAGGAAAAATCTGGCACCTCTCCCAGATGAATACAAATGAAATTTAAAAAATTACAAGGCACAGGTTACTGCTCATCAATGGGCTTGCATGCAATATTAGTCACATGAGAAAATATACAATTGCTCCTACTGGGATACAAATTTATTCCAACGAATATATCCTCCCCTCAGAGAGGCGAATTATGAAGAAAAATTTAAAAAGTTAAGCTAGTTCTCATAGGAAATAGAATGGTTGTCATTTAATTGAAGTTTTAAACCCAGCAAGAATCAACAAAATCATTCCAAGTGAACTCCTTATATTTGTAAAAGGGAGTGAAAAACAAGATAAAATGTTAGCAGAATGTTATTTCAAGCTTAACTGTTTTATAAGTCAAGGGATGCAAACTATTTTGCAGTAATATTCTTTATTTTACTATTTCTTATTTTTTTATCAAGCTTGTTTTCTAATGGATTTGAAATCATTTACTTGTTTCTATTTAGCATAATTTGGGAATCACATGAAACAGAAAATCAGAGGTGAGTATATTGCAGTGGATGTCGTAAGTCAGCAAAGATGAGCCCATTATCACAATTGTGCGCTAGATTTGATTTATGGTTTAAAGACACTACAATGTGTACACCTTAAATCCAAAAATGGTACAGCATTCCTTCTTACATCCCCACCACCACTACCATTTCTTGCACTGAATATATCTGAATTAATGAATGCAAATAAAACAAAAAGTCATAATAATTATTATTATTTAAATGTTAAACAATATTTGTTCAAAAACAGTATTGTGCAAATACTTGTGCCAAAAATTCAGTGCTGAGCAAGGCCATATGCTTGACCTCAAGACGCTTATGGCTTGATGAGAGAGAGAGAGCCAAGAAAATAGATAGTTTCAATTCACTGTGGGAGGTTCAAAGACAGGGCAAGTTGACACGTTGCATACACACGTTGAACAACCAAACCAAGAATCAGGAGCTAGAAAAAGTTTCCTGACACATTTTACATTTAAGAAAAATAATAAGTAGAAATTAAACAAGAAAACAATATTCAGATTAGATGGAGTAATAAATTCATTTGCAAAAGCATTGCTCTCCAGAAAATTGTTATTAATATTTCTAATATGAAAATGATTTGACATATTTTTCCTATTTCCCATATTCTGTTGAAATAAATTATTTTAATTGATTTGAGCAACCTTTTCTTTATTGAATTCATAATAATAAAAAGAGGTGGGACCATTATGGAGTTAGATCTAATTTATTATATAGATTACAGATTCAGCATATAAAATATTAATTATGCTTAGGTAAAAATTATCCAGAGAGTTTCATTGCCTATACTGAATAAATGTCTATAATTCTGCCACACATTAATAACTTATATGCATTTTCCAATAAACTCAACTCAGTCCTATTTTTCTTCATTATTGAAACAGATCAATTTGGCTGAACTTGAACATTAAATGATGGTACTGGCTTGTTTACTAGCAATGTTTTGTGGGAAATTACCTTCCTTAAACACAAAATCCCTGTCAGTATTGTGTGAAATTTATTCTGCGAACATTGTGAAGAAACTAGAACTTCTGAAGAGAGTGGATTCCTATCTTTCATTATATGATCACTCACCTCCCTGAATAGAAGCAGAAGAAATTAGTCTATTCATTCCTATTTATACTACTTAAAATAATGTCTGTCTGTACCTCTGTCTCTGTTTCAGCCCCTGCTTCCCTCTCTCCATCCCTCTTTTCCTTTCCCTGATTCTCTGTTCCCTCATGCACAATACATATAATAGTTTTTTAATTCTCTTTTTAATTCTTTTTTTTTCATGGTAATAGTTTTTTGTTAATTGTTGCATAACAAATTGCCACACAGTGATTTAAGTAACTCTTGTGTATTATTTCACATTTCCATAGTTCGGAATTTTTGGTCATGGGTTCTCTACTTATTTTCTTACAAATCTAAAACCAAGATACTGACAAGTTTATATTCTCATCTAAAACTTGGGAGTCCTCTTCCAAACACATGTAGTTATGGCAGATTTTTGTTCTTTGCAGATTTAGGTCTGACAGCCATGTCTTCTTGTTGGTTTATCTGCCCAGGAAAATCTCCCTACCTTAATGTGAACTGGTTTAGAAGCTTAATTACATCGACAAAATAGCTTTACCCTAATACCTAAATTGCACTTGATGGAATAACTGAAAGAAGCTATGTGTATACTGGGCACTAGGAATTGTGAGGGCTATTGTGAAATTCTGCCTACAACACATATGGTTAAGTTTACTCAGATTAGAAAAGTTGTGTTGTAGTTTCACTGATGTAAAGGGTATGAACACATTTTAAAGCTTTGCCTTCTTAGGGTCAAACTGCTCAAGTTTATTTTAGAGTTAAGTGCAAATGGCGGTCTGGTAACTAATGTAAACATTCTTCATTATATCTTAACCTGAATCAACTTATGACAGATGGATTTAAACTTAAAATAAAAATAGATTTTGGAAAGTTATATCACTAGGTTGTTTCTGGAGTGTATCTTTCCACAGAAGTTTGAGTTTAATCTAAGGCTAATGAAAAGGCTTGGAACACTGGATAATACAAACTAAACTTTACCATTCTGCTTTTTCAAAGAATTTAACACATGTGGATGAAAAAGCTTTGTATAACAGCACTGTCCAAATTATAATACTAAGTGATCTTTGGGGTTGATCTAAATAGGTTCTCAGTAAAAGCTTTGCAGCCTGAAAAACAGTGTGTTTCAAGGAACTATGCATGAAATCATGTTATTCCAAGTACACAAACTCACAGTAATATGTGACCTATTTTTAGGAGTCTAATAAATACCTAGGAAAATAATGTGTATACAAATGTTCATGTCCAAAACTTTATATAACTGCTATAAATGTGATACAAAAATGCCATAAATATTGGAAAGAAAGAGATATTTCTGGTTTCAATGAATAAAAGGGAGGGGCTCTTTATAGTAGAAAATATTTAAGTTGAATTTATAAGGACACCCAGAATCTCAGCTGAAATGTATGGAAAATAGATTGAGAAAATATAAACAATGTCTCATTGAGTGTAGCAAGAGACAGTATAGTTCTTTAACAAACACTTCATGGTTTCCACGGCAAATGCTTGACTTACGATTCATACGAAGATAAGCTTTAGCATTGTTTAACAGTTTCTGGCAAGTTGTGGTCTAATAAACTATTTCTAGCTATTCTGAAGTTTCAGATTATTTTAACAAAGTCAATAAATGAATAATTTATTATTAACATATTAAATATGAAAATATGAATTCTAAAAAAGTTAAAATAATATTTTATAGGAGTTAAATATTACATAATTAACATAAACATTAAAACAAGCAGCCTCACCCATATCATTAGTACTTGTCTTGCTAGAGCTAACCACGTTTTTCGGATTGGTGAATATATCTAGAGATTTTATTTCCAGTATACTCACATGAGAGTTTTAATGGGACTTTCTTTGTGTCACAGAATATTTTTTAGAAAACTTCTATGATATTAAATACAGTATTTATTTAGTATATTATATTTATTATATAGTATTTGATGGCAGAGTGTTCATGTGTTTTTTTTCAATCATTTCCCCTTTTAGAGAAAATGAAGGTATTTCCAATTTTTGATCATTGTACATATTGAAGCAATTACTATTCTTGCTTATTTTCTGGAAATGTGCACGTTCACTTATCCAATGGAATCACTTAGTCAATATAATCACTTAGTATTATCAATTAGATAATCAATATAATCACTTAGTATTATAATTTGGACAGTGCTGTTATACAAAGCTTTTTCATCCATGTGTGTTAAATTCTCTGAAAAAGCAGAATGGTAAAGTTTAGTTTGTATTATCCAGTGTTCCAAGCCTTTTCATTAGCCTTAGATTAAACTCAAACTTCTGTGGAAAGATACACTCCAGAGACAACCTAGTGATATAACTTTCCAAAATCTATAAGTGTTGGATAAATTCATTCATTTATCCAACAGCTATTTTTCAATGCCTACTATCAATCTAGTACTGCTCTAGGTATTGGGGACCTACTCGTTCACTAAGAAATATAAAGCTCCTGATTTCATCAATATTATTACCTGGGAGGTTGGAGGGAGGCAGACACTAAAAATGAATTAACATTTTAAGTAATATGGTTAGTTATAAGTACTGTGGAGAAAAAATAAATAGTTACTGGAATGGAGAGGGATATTGGGTGTCCTTGAAATGCTTTTTTAAGGAGGTGACATATAACCAGAACCTACATGAAGAAAGAAAATGTACAGCTATTCCCACCAGTGTTTTCTGGCCAAAAGAGGTTTCAAACCACCCTGGGATGGAGCTCCCAGAGGGAAAGGCAGGCTACCATTTTTGCTGTTTGGGAGACTTAGCTCTTCCACCCTTTGGGCTTTGAAGAGTCTAAGGTGACAAGGGCTAAAACGTACCCCCAGGGCAGCACAGCTGCTCTATCCAAATGTGGCCAGACTTCTTTTTTAAGCTGATTCCAGATCCCATTCCACTTCACTGGGCAGGACTTCCCAACCAGGGTGTTCAGCCACCTCCTACCGGTTCGTTCATGCTAGCAACTGGTCCATAACTCCTTGGGACAGAGCTCCCAGAGGGAAAGAAAGGCTGCTATCTTTGCTATTTCACAGCCTTCACTGTTGATACCTGCAGGTACTGGAAAATCTGAAGTGTCTAGGGACTGGAGTGAACTCCAAGCATACTGCAGCAGTCCTACACAAAAGTGCCAGACTGTTACATGGGTGCCTGTTCCCATATCTCCACACTGGGCAGGTCCTCCAGGCCTAGGCATCCAGCCACCCCCTGCCAGGACCATTAAGCCAGTAGGAGCTCTGCAACTCCCCGGACAGAGCCACCAGGGGAAACTGAAAGCCTCTCTGCCACTGCCTTTGCTACTCTCAGACTAATGAAGGAGAAAAGACCTTAAGTGCCTCATCCACACCTCCAACAAGCTGCGTTCAACCCAAAGAGAGGAGGCCAGTACATCTCCCACGGGTCCCACTCACTATCCCTAATCATCTCCAGACAGGGAAACCCTGACTTGGGACACAAAATATAGACTCTCCATCCTGGGGTGATTGCACTGAGCAATTGCTGATCTGTATCTCTTTTGGGTGGAGCCCCCAGAAGACAAGCAAAAGACCCTTGGCCACAACCATCACTAAAATCCCTTCCTTTGCTGCATCCAACTTGGGAAAGGAACACAATACCTTAGCTTCCAGAGCTGCACTGAGCAGTCCAGGAGTTCCAAGCCATGATCTATAGCCAGTACTCAAGGGGGAGAGGAGCCCCCACTTTCAGACCACTGGGGGGGAACATGGCTGCAAATGTGAAGAAACATAGGGGAGCCACACAATGGACCAAGAGTCTACCAACTGGCCAATATGCCTAAGTACCACCTACTGGATCACATCACAAAGCTTCAACAGCCCCCTCAAAAATACCTTGCTAACATACGCCTTTGTAAAACCAAAGACAATAAATCATTTTCAAATAAAGACCCTAAACAATGCCTTGGCCCTGTGAAAACATCCAGAAAAGACGTCTATTTACTGTATTCAATTTATACTGCAGTTAAGGGAACTCTCACATGCAGAGATGAGAATGAACCAATGAAAGAACTCCAGCAACTCGAATGGCCAGAGTGTCACCTGTCCTTCATACAACTGCACCAGTTCTCCAACAAGAGTTCTTAACCAGGCTGAGCTGGCTTAAATAACAGAAATAAAATTCAGAATATGGAAAGGAAAGGAGATCATGGACATTCAGGAGAATGGCAAAACCCCATTCAAAGAAACAAAGAATCATAATAAAATGATACATGACAGAAAAATGAAATAGCTCCTATAAAAAAGAACCAAACTGAAAATTGCAATACAGGAGTTGAAAAACACAATCCAAGAATTTCACAATGCAATCACAAGTATTAACAGCAAAATAGACCAAGCTAAGGAAAGAATCTCAGAACTTGAAGACTAGATATCTGAAATAAGACAGTCATGCAAAAATAAATTTAAAAAAGAATGAAAAAGGATAAAAACATCTCCAAGGAGTATGGGAGTGTACAAAGAATCATTAATCACTGGCATCCCTGAAAGAGAAGGGAAAAAAGCAAAAACTTGGAAAACATATTTTAGGATATTGTCATGAAAATGTCCCCCACCTTGCTAGAGAGGCCAAGTGTCAAATTCAGGAAATACAGAGAATGCCTGCAAGATTCTACACAAGAAGATTATCCCAAGACACATGACCAACAGATTCTTCAAGGTCAAAATAAAAGAAAGAATGTTAAATGCAGCTAAAGAGACAGGAAGTTTCACCTAAAAAGGAAACCCCATCAGACTAAGAACAGAACTCCCAGTGGAAACCCTACAGGCCAGAAGAGATTGCAGGTCTATATTCAACATTCTTAAAGAAAAAAAATCTTCAACCAAGAATTTTATATCCAGCCTAACTAAGCTTTCCAAGCAAAGGAAAAATATGATTCTTTTAACATAAGCAAATATTGACAGAGTTCATTACCACCAGACCTGCCTTACAAGAGATCTTGAATGCTAAATACAGAAAGACTGCTACCAGCTAATACAAAAAGACACTCAAAAACACACTAGTGACACTATAAAACAACCATATAAACAAGCCAGCATAATAAGCAGCTAACAACACAATGACAGGATTACATCTACATATATCAATACTAAACTTATGTGTAAATGGCCTACATGTCCCTAACTAAAAGTCACAGAGTGGCAACCTGGATAAAATGTCAAGACTAAATGGTGTGCTGTCTTCAAGACACTCATCTCACATGTAAAGTTATCCACAGGCTCGAAATAAAGGGATGGAGGAAAATCTATCCAGCAATTGGAAAACAGAAAAAAGCAGAGGTTGTGATCCTCATTTCAGATAAAACAGACTTTAAACCAACAAAGATAAAAAAATAAAAAATAAAGAAAGGCATTACATAATGGTAAAGGGTTAAATTCAACTAGAAGACTTAACTATCCTAAATATATATGCATTAAACAGAGGAGCACCCAGATTCATAAAGCAAGTTTTCAGAGACCTACAAAAAGATGCAGATTCCCACACAATAATAGTAGGAGACTTCAACACTCCACTGATGGTATTAAACAGATCATCAAGGCAGAAAATAAAGATATTCAGGAACTGAACTTAACATTGGACTAAATAGATCTGATAGATCTCTGTAAAACTCTCCACCCAAAAACAACACAATATACATTTGCCAACAAGTAGCTTATTAATAATCTCAACAAGAGTAGTTTCCATCAAATGTTGAATAAAGTGATTGAACAGAGTTGTATTCATAAGAAAATATGAAGGATGCAATGGGATAGAGAGCTCTCTTGAATATTCTATGAGAAGGAGTATAAATTGCACAATAGCTGGAGCATGGTATGGGGATGTGAAGTCTTATTTTATGGCACCTGAAGATTATAACTTTTGAAGGGTCCTCATTATGAAAAGAATACGAAATAATAAATATAACACTAAGAATAAAAGGAAATACGTGTTCAGAATTTATAAATTTTAATAGTAATTTTAAAATCCACAATATTAATCTACAATCATCACAAACGGACAGGATATTTATAAATTAACTGCTTGAATCTAACACACCTTTATAATACTCCAGTCTCATGTTTCTAGTGGATGTATAACTTTGTTAGGTTCTTTGTATAACAACAGTTTTAGTATCATTTTCAATGGAGATAGTAGAAAGGTAATTCATTAATTTCCATAAGCAAGGTGTTTTAAAATTTAAATTTTTTATAGTTTAGTACTTTTTTTCTCAGATTCACAGGTTTTTATGGAAGATATCAGCAATATTAGATTGTTATTAGACTTGACAGTTTTAGGATTATTGTAGAATTTTTTAGAACTTCAACATTTTTTATAATTGTATGACTATAAATATTTCATTGTCCTCAGCATCTAACAAAGCTAACTACTCTTTGATTTTATGATACTTTTTAGTAACTTTATTGCTGCCACACATTTTCTTCTATATATATTATGCATCCCGTTATACATTATAACTTTTTTATTTTGAGAATTATCATTTAAAGAAATTCAAAATTCAAAATTTATTTTCTATTTAGCCACATTATTGCCATTTCCAGTGCACTTTATTCCTTTTTGCATACCCACATTTACATATGGTATTATATTATTTCAGTGTGACAAAGTTTCTTTAGCATTTCTTGTGCTGTAGATGGCTGGCAATAAATTTGTTCAGCTTCGGTATGTCTGAAAAACAAAAGTATTTTATCTTCATGTTTTGAAAAATTATTTTACTGTTTATAGATTGCAGGATTGTTTCTCTTCCAGTACTTTAAAGAAGTCACCCGTTTGCCTTCTAGCTTTCATAGTTTCTGACAAAATTCTGTTGTTTTCCTTGGTATGTTACATTTCTCTCTCCCTTTCTTTTATTCTTTTTCTTTCTCATTCTCTTTTTCTTTCCCTTTTCTCTCTCTCCATCCCACTTCTCTTCTCCTAATTCTGGCAGGCTTCAAAATATTGTCTTACTCTTTCGATTTTAGACAGTTGATTCTGACTTTCCCAATATGTTTATCCTTATATTGATTATGCTTGGGTTTCCTGGCTTTTTGTAGATCTGTTTTTGTTCATGTGTTTTTTGGCCGTCAATATTTTAGCAAATAGTTTGCTATTGTCTCTTCAAATACTTCTGCTCCATTCTATCTCTTCTCCTTCTTTAACTCAATTCCCTTTTTTTCTCAACTTAAAAAATATATATGTGGCCCGGGCACAGTGGCTCATGCCTGTAATCTCAGCAATTTGGGAGGCCGAGGCCAGCGGATCACCTGAGGTCAGGAGTTCGAGACCAGCCTGACCAACATGGAGAAACCCCGTCTCTACTAAAAATACAAAATTAGCTGGGCGTGGTGGCACATGCCTGTAATCCCAGCTACTCAGGAGGCTGAGGCAGGAGAATGGTTTGAACCCAGGATGTGGAGATTGCAGTGAACCGAGATTTCACCATTACACTCCAGCCTGGGCAATAAGAGTGAAACTCTGTCTCAAAAAAAAAAAAAAAAAAAATATATATATATATATATATGTGTGTGTGTGTGTGTGTGTGTTCAAGTTTTTGTAATTTAATTTGGGTAAATTATTTATCCTCTGGTTGTAATTTATTAATACATTCATTAAAATAAGTTTTATGTCTAATGAATTTTGTATTTCTAATACTTCTTTTGACTCCTTTTTATAGTTTTCCTCTCACTGCTAAAATTCCCTTCCCCCTTTTTATACATAATGTTCATTACATCTGCTAGATCCTTTGAAATAATAGTTACAGTTACTTTAAAGTTTCTGCTTGATGGTTCCAACATCTGTGCAATATATGACCTGGTTTATTAGCTGCTTTACCTCTAAAGAACAGGGGTGTGTGTGTGTGTGTGTGTGTTTCTGTGTGTGAGTAGTAATTTTTTGTTTAAATGTGAAACATGTGTTTTTAAAAAACGGAACAAAAAGTTAATAGATAGAAGTGTGAATATTCTGTCAATAACTGTGGAAAGCTAAGTCAATCTAGCCAGTAGTTGAGGTGAGTTTCGGTTTTGTAGTTTTTACAGCTTTCAGTGCATTACAGACTGCAACGTCTTCCACTGATGGTTTTTTGTGGTTTTACTTTGAGTGTCACGTAGTTTCATATTTTTTCTTAGTGTTTGAGGTGCACCACTAGCTTTCAGAAATGAATATTTCTCGATGCACTTGTCTTTCACCCTGCAACACGCTGCTGTTACTGGTTACTCAGCATAAGGTTCATAATAGGAACTGGAAGATTTCTCAGTTTTCCATCATAAAATTACTTTCAGACAAGCCACGGAACCTCAAACTTAGGCGTGAGGTCTTATTAGCATTGCTCCTCTTTCCCCTGTGACAGCTAAACCCTGCTTTAAGATTTTTGGGTAGTCTTGGGTAGGCACATGATTAAGTCCCCCCACCACTCAAATTATAGTAGACCACTGCTTATTATGAAGTCAGAGCCCTGGTCCCAAGTGCTTTTTCTGCTATTCTCCAGGCAGATAGCATTCCCTTCATACTTAAAAAGAGTCTGAGATCTTAGTAGTGGTCTGGGTTCTATGTCTGTAAACAAATGAAAATCCCTAACATTTCCAGACTTGTTATCAATCATTCCCTGGTGGACTTCCCATGTATTTGGGGCATTAATGGATTCCAGGCTATCACGCTGGTCCAAATTTAAACTTTGAAACTAATTTTTAAAAATCATTTGTTTTCTATTTAACCATTTTTCTGGGTGTCAATTTTTTCCTTGCCAAAAGTGAAACAATGTGTGTCTCATACCTATTTGTAGCATGTTTTCATTATTTGGAATTAAGTCCACCTACTTGCCTTGTGAACTCACTTTTCTAACAAGCTTACAAAAAGTTATGATTGTATAAGTTACTCAGCTCTTTCTTTCTGATTGTTAGATGGGGAGTAATGATCTTTTGAAGGTTTCTACATCTTAAATGGAAGTGGAAACTCCAGTTATTTTTTTTTCAACTTTAGTGTTTATAATTTTTTATTGTTTTCTAAGCAGCTAGATTTTGTTTAATGGCCAATTAAACTGGATAACTTTGTCCAACTAACTCTTTATTATGGCTTTTAACATATTATGATCTATTTTTACTATTATATACTATTTACTATAATGTTTTCTATGTCATCTTCCCTATTTGTAAACCCTGTTTTGAATTTTTGAGGCACAATTAGTCCTTTTATCTTCATATGGCTTTGGAAAACTATAACTTATTTTATGTGGCATTTCATGTGGCATTTCCTCAGTACCTATTTTATTATGTAATAAATATTCCATAAAAATGTATTAAGTTGGTCACTATACCTTTCTTCTTCCCCAAACATAAAGAATTTAGAAGTTGCAAAACCAAAATCTTCCATCTCAATTGGCATATATTGTTACACAGTATTTTATTTCTACCTCATTCTCTACTGAAAATAACTCATTGTTCTTATTTTCATTATTAGCAATATTATTTACATATAGAATGCTTTTCTTAGGTATATCAGTGATTTCTAGTTTCGTTGTTTACTGATTATTTATAAATTAAAAATTTTGTTAAGGTTGACAGAGCATGTTTCTTTCTGTTTTTAAATTTACCTGTCAAATTTTTCCTTGTAGGCTACAAGTTTTTGTAACAAATCAAGTAAATGTTTCTTTTTAAATATTTTTGAATCCATTTCTAACATCCCTTTTTGCATATTTTATCTACCTATTTTAATATATCTTTATTCTTTGGTAATGTTATTTACCAGGTTTCTTAAATCTGTCACACCTGCCACAATGTTTTGACCAGCGTATATGCTAATTATTTCTGCTTCTCATATGGCTGCTTAGAATTTTTTAAATTGCAAATTTTATCTTTCTGATTCATTCCAGGAAGTCTTATCTCTGTTTGGCTCCCATATCTCTTATTTGAATCTTAGTTTCACATATCACAACTGTGTTTTCAGAGGATAAAATAACAAAACTATTTTTAAAATAATTTTATTTTTCTACCAAAACTCATATCATGTGTACTTTTATGAGCTTTTGTCGATTATTTTTTCATTCTATATATACATGTATAAATTGACTTCATACCAGTTTTTGTTGTTGTTATTCTTTATAAATAGTGCCACATTTATGGTTCTTTCTGAAATGACTCTGCCAAATAACAATAGAGAGTAGCACTAAGTTATTCTAGTCAGCATTAATATTTGCTCTCTTTCAGGAGAAATAGAAAAGCAAACTTTAATACGAGCACTTTTCGCCAGTCACTGTGCCTACATCTCTAGAGGAAAGAGCAGAGATGAAGGATCATGCAGAAAGACCAACTTTGAAGAGGCCTAAAAAGAGTTCCTGGACTCAGTTGCTGCTCGATCAGGTCCAAGTCTCAAAGATCTGTGATTTGCCCTCAATAAAGTCAGCAGTTGCTGTTTGTATGATACATTGAGAAGGCCTCCATAGGTTTGCCTGCGCCTGCAAAGGAATTTCATTTGTGGGAAAAGTTGTTAGTAGAGTTGCTAAGCTCTTGAACTGGGACAGAAGTGCTACATGTACATGTGAAGTTGACTTCCAATTATTCTTCTAATCTAATAAGCCTACCTTGTGGCTCTGGAAATAGTGATAAAATGGGTAGTTGTGGGCTGTGTAGGCAATGGAGACAAAGGCTGTTCATCTTTTCTCATTGTTTTACCTCTAACCTCACGGTGCAGCTACTGGCTCCTCCCAGGTCATGAAGAAGTGTTCTCAAGGGATTAAAGAAAAGGTATTTTACTTTACTAGGCCTTTTGTAATCTAGCATTGATGCCCTCTCTGTGACAGATAGCCCCATATTCAAATTCTTTTTCATAAAGGTCATTACTGAGTTGTTCAGGTCTTCCACAGTGGGAATAATTAGCATCACAGTACCCTGATACAGGGGATACACATTGCATTTCCCTTCTTAAGACTAACCTCTCATCACCGAAAGTCTGCTCATGAATAATATCATTATATTCTATCTATAATAGGTACCTCCCTAGATTTACTCAGCACCACTAGCTCCCAACATTTTTCTTTTTCTTTTTTCTTTTTTCTTTCTTTTTTTTTTTTTTTTTTTTTTTTTTTTTTTTTTTTTTTTTTGAGACAGGGTCTTGCCCTGTCACCTAGGCTGGAGTGCAATGATGCAATCATGATTCACGGCCATTTGGACCTCCCCAGCTCAGTGATCCTTCCGCCTCAGCCCCCAGAGTAGCTGGGACTACAGGTGTCTACGACCACGCCTGGATAATTTTTAAATTTTTAGTAAAGATGGGTTCTCCCTGTGTTGCCCAGGCTTGTCTTGAACTCCTGGGCTCAAGCAAATTTCCTGCCTCAGCCTCCCAAAGTACTGGTATTACAGGCATAAGCCACTGTGCCTGGCCACTCTACCTCTTGATTGTTTTCTCAATGAAGACTCTTAGCTACCACCATAGCTTCATTCCAGACATCACCCCCATGAGCTTATCTCTATTTCAACAGACATAGGGGCTAGGTCTATTCCATCCTTTTGTCACAAGACAATTCTAATATCCTGCTCCACCCTTAATGGAAGCTGGACATTATTGGCTTCCACAGTGATAGCCCGAATGGGCCAGATAAGGAGACTCAGCAGTATAGTGGCAAACTGTGTCCAATGAGAGATATAAGAAGGAATGTTACAAGGTAGATTCTACTACAACTACTCTACAGATAGCTCTCACAACATGTCCTCCTAATTTTAACAGAACTCTCTACAGCTGTGTTTTCTCTGTATATCTTACTATTTAATTTATCTCTTTTTCTCTAGACTGGATATAGGTGATTGCGTAAGGGATGAAGGATGATATTTGTTCTCATTTAATGAGTTCTCAATTGGTATGTCCAGAGCCTTTGTCAAAATGATTTTTACATAATGACTGTGATTTGAAGACTTAGATGGATTTCAAAAGCCTAGGAAATTTCTTGCTCTCCTATTATATCATATTTATTTTTTATAAGAATCTAACAATGATCAATTTTATTAACATTACATTTATTCTTATTGCTGTTGTTATTGCACCATTGCATGAGAATATTTAATATATTTTAAATCTTTTTATATTGCAGATGGTGTCTTTTTAACACCCACACAATACTTATACACGCAAATGTCTTACCCTTTAATAATAACTATTGACTTACTATTCCTGGGTAACCAGCTTTGGCTTCCTCTTAATTTATTAATCCTTATCATTTAAAGCACTATATAAATGTAAATATAGCATTTCTTATCTATTTAAAATATTATCCATCATATTACATTCCTTCCAGCTATATCCAAGGGTTGAAAAACATTTGCTTATATTTAGTGTTAATAGCCAAGTTATTAACTTCTTTCACATGTTTTAGCTGGAGATCCTATTTTATTATATGTCTAAAAATAATAATTTTTTATTACAATTCCCATACTCTCCAGGATATACAATCTGGAATATCACTTATTATCCTACTTAATATACATGTCCTCAAATTCCTTTCCATATAATTTTAATCATGTATTTACATTCTCTTTTCATTATAGGAACAGTCCACACATCAACTTTTAAATATTTGATCACTTTAATTTATTTAAGAAGTGCTAACATTATCATGTCAGAATCCATCCTAGTATGCTTATTTGGTTGAAAACTAATATTTTCTACTTGCATAGAGTTTTAATGCAATTTAGTAAAATAATGTTAAAATTTATTGTAGGTTATTCTTAATTTTAAAAAACAAATTTCTAAATAAGTATCTCCTATTAGCTTTGTTTCATTGATGTAGCTCAACATTCTTTTATCTAGTTGTTCCTGAAAAAAAAATGTTGTTTAATAACTTTCAAATGTCAGAAACAGCGTTAGGTCTTTTAGAACTTTGAAAGCTTGGGAGTTGGTGCTACAGGAAATTGCAAATGTGAAGCAGACACCGTGTCTGCTAATAGTAACCTAAACATATTGTGGAGCAGTGACATGTATGCAGAGTCTAGCGTACAGCAGAGTGTCTTATATATAATTTGATATGTTCATAAATAAATGGATTGTTCATAATTACAGAGGAATAAAGGAAAGAGCAGACCCTACCTATCATGAAGTTAAGTAGTACAAAGTATATGATTCATGGAAGTAAGAGATGAGTTTTTCTTAAGGAGCATGTGAAAAATAGAAAGGTGGCAAAAAGTTAAAGGAGCATTGCAGGAACAGCGGGGTGACACAGACTAGGGCATCTTCGTATAATGCAAAAGGCTACTCTCTTCAATCATTGACAAAACAATAAAGTAATTTTCTATCATCATGAAATCTTAAGAAGCAACAGAAAGAGGCATCCTCAAAAAGCATTCCAGGAAGATTAAAGTGGTTACCTGGCTGGAGAAAGACCTCAACCACCTGAGAGTGACTCTGCAACAGAAAGCAAAAGCTTAGGAGGAAAGATGCTGTGATTGCGTTAAGTGAACTGACTTCAAGTATGGGTTACAACTACTACTTGTGGCCTCCTCCACCTTTTAGCTTATATATTGCACAATATTGCAATGTTATAAAGTAGGCTTGTTTTTTTAATATATGTTTCACAATTTTTATTATTATTATAATTTAATACCTCCTTATATAATCTTATAATATTCCTTAATTTGTGCTTTTTAAAAAATTCATCCCCTTCTGAGGAATTAAACATGTTTGTTTACCTTTAATATAAGTATGAAGAAATTTGAATGGAACAAAAACCAATATTATGTTTTTTTTTTCTTTTTTCCTTTAGCAGAGAGCATGCAAATACTGATGTAAATTTGTAGTGTTATTGAGAATTATAAAAAAGCCTCAGGTCTGATCAAATAATTATCCTTTATTTCCCCTCTTTTCTATGAACTGGCCTGTGTGGAAATTATAGTCTTGATCACTAATTTGACTCTACCTCTGTTCCTTTAATTGGCAAGCAAACACAATAGCACATTTTTGTAGTGTTTTTTTCATGTACTTTATATCATTCCAAATATGTTCCCTTTCCTAAATTTCAAAAACAAATATACTTTCTTTTTTTTGCATGTGAAAATGAATTGAGTCTAAATAGTAATTTTAAAATCATGACAAATAATAGTAAAAGAAACAGAAGTAGATGTCAGAAAGAGACAAGTCTGGTAAGAAGGTTCTACAACATTTGAGAATTTTTAATTATAGTCTTGGGAATGACAAGAAAAATGGAAGAAATTTGACTTACAGTAGAACTACATTTTGAGTTTCTTATGATAGAAGAAAAAAAGATTTTTGAAATTGAATCTACATCTTTGAAATCAAGGTGAAGTTTTAATGGTAGGTATCAACAACAATATAAATAAGTATCAGATACTTGTAGAAAAGTGTCCATTTACTTTTGCTTATTTTTATTTTGATATTCTTTACAGTTTAATTTAGTAATTTAAAATATATGTATAATGGGATTAATAGGTTGACATTTAATTTTGCTTCCGTACGTTAAACATTTTAATATAAATTTCCTTAGGTTGTATTTTTCAGGAGTCTAATCCCATGAAGCCAGGAAAAGACAGAACATGATTATTAGTGCTGAATGGTAGAATTTTTGCCTTTCTTTTGTATGTTACAAATATTTTTTGATAATATTTTGAGAGGAAAATATCATTTCTAAATGTGTTGAGGCAAACTTTCATATTTCACAAACTGATATCATTCTCAGCACAATATGATTTTAATGTATACGTATTCTCTTTCTCACACACACATTTGCACACATAAACACCTCAAGCATAGATGATTATGTGAATCACACTTTATCAATCAAGAAAGAAGAACCACCAGAAGGGTGATATAAACAGTTGATAAAATTTATTTCCTATAAAGAGTCAGAGAGTAAATATTTTAGATTTTGCGGGCCATATGGACCTTCTCTCAACCACTCAACTGTGCTGTTGTAGTACAAAAGCAGCATTAGATAATAATACTTAGGTGGCTGGCTGCGTTCCAGTTAAACTGGATTTACAAAAACAAGTGTGCTTGATTTGGCTCACAGGCCGCAGTTTGCTGATCTCTGCTTTGGAGAAGCTAGGGATTTAAGGGTCTAAAAAAGGAGTAACAGCATCAGAGGAAAGTCACTAACCAACCCTCCTGAAGCCAAGAACTTTTACCAGCGGGAGTGTAACCATGAGAGAGCAATGGTGGAAAGGCAAAGGGAACACTATTGCCTCTGTATCTTGGGTGGTTGGACTGGAATTTGTTGGACACCAGGTTACATATTGGGAATAAATGCTGCAAGTGGAATAAAATGAGAGCAAGACAAACTGGAACTCACCTCCACCTCCACATCAGTTTCCTGTCTCCATTCCCCACTTCCGCCAACAGCCCCACATCTAATTCCTATGACCTCCAGAGAGTAATAGCTATGGCTTCGATTATTTTATTCAAATCTACTACTTTTTTTTTTTTTTTTTGCCAACTGTAACTTAAAGCATACAGGAAAGGGGATTCTGAAGACTGTGGTTACAGTTCAGTCAAACTGATTCAATATGGAACTACCACAAATACTTCTCAGGTTACTAAAAAATTTCATTAATAGTCCATGCAAGATCATTTTCCTTTTTTGTTAGTTGAATTAATTTATTCTCATTATTTTTCATATCTCACTCTCATTCCCACACTTCTCTTACGCAACCATTCTAATGGGTTTAATGTTTATAATTGTATTGTAGGTTTTATTGTAAATCACATATTATGTGCACATTTATTTTCAGTTATTGGTATGTTATATGTTATATTTGTATGTTATTATATAGGTTATATTTGTCATTCTGTACTTTTTCATTTACATATTTTGAAGAACTATTATGCAATGTTTTCATTTAATCTAGCCCCGTTTAAGATTTATTTGCAGCAGTTTACTTATACGTCTCTACTAACACAAACATTGCTAAAATGAGTAGCCTTAAATAGGTTCCATTATTGACCATTGTGAGTAAAAATCCTTACCAACACTTGCGCATTTACTTAATCTGATTAAATATTGTCTCCAAAATGGGTGGAGGGACATCCTTCTTATTCATCAACAACACTTGCTTCTCTAATATTGGCCAGTCTAATATTAAAAAGTGTTTAATTTTATTTATCTAATTAGTCAATATTATACAGCATCTTTTTATATTCTAGCTGCTTTTTGGATTTCTTCTTCAGTATTTCAAATATGAAGATGGTTCTCTTTTTCTTGTTTAGTTACCAGAAATCCTTGTATAATTTATTAATCTCTTATTTTAGACAGTCAGCTAACATTGTCTATAGTTTTCTTACAGTGAATAAAATCTTTAATTTTATTCTTATCAAAACAATAAATATTGTTTAATAATTTTTAAAATAACTTTTTGAAGTTTTGCTAAATTTTTACTAGGTTCCATATCCCAACATTAACTTCTTAACATTATTTTATTAATGTCATATTTTTTACTATTATAGTTAGATTTCGAATGTTTTTAATGTCTGTCTTTTTACATTTTAAATATAGGTACCTTTTTATTTTCTTGTAAAAAATAGTTTTCCCAACTCCTACATAACAACTCCATGTTTTTACTCATTTAGTTTTGATTTATTCTGCTTGTATACTAAGTTTCCATTTATTATTGTTCTACAAGTGTGATCTCTGTTCCTTTCCATTGGTCCTAACTTCTCATCTTGCACCAAAAATACTATCTTAAAATGATTATAGATTCTCAGTATGTCTCATAATTGAGAGTAAGAAATATTCCCTCTTTAGTCTTCCTTTTAAAAAACAACTTAACTATTTTTGGACCTCTGTAACACTGTTAAAACTTTAATACACATTTATTGAATTTCTAAATAATCAAGAAACAAATACAAATGAGATTTAATGCATGATAACTGAGCACAAAGAAAGTGAAAAATTAGAATTACTATAAGAAAAATATGTGTGGAGTGATGAATGCAGTTTAATGGGGTGGAGGAAGGTTGTCAATGAGGGAGAGAGGAAAAGAAAGACAAAGAGAGCGAGAAAGAGGCAGAAGAAGGAAAACGTGATACATTAATTTCATATTTTGCCTTTGTTACACTATTCAAATGAATGCTTATGTTTACCTGTTTTTTTTCCTCTTCCAAAAGAAAAAAAAGACTAATTTAATTAGAGTCTGAGATCTAGTCCTAAAAATAAATAAGACTTTTAGGGTTTGTCTCACCACAAAGATGTCATAATAGGCATCTTTTATTATAATCCTAACATTGGAAAACTGTAATTATGTCAATGATTTTCACAAAGGCAGAGAGTGCTGCAGAATATTAAAATATCATGAGGAGTGTTTCAAAGGATAGATTTAAAATTCTGTCTCTTGATTATAAATAGCATATTAAAAACATAAAAGGAAATCTATATTAAAAAGGAACTGTGTTTCCAGAAACACTGGAGTAAAATATGATACCAACATCTTCCAAGAAATTAATCTTACTGAAAGAAGAGCTATAAAAAAGAAGTATATATATATCAAACACAAAGAAAATCAGCAAATTAATAAACAGTATATTTAATAATTATAACAAATGGCATTAAGAAACTTCAAATCGGGTTAAGATGAGAAACTTATAAGATGAGGGAGAACGGCTATCTTTATCAAAGTTTTAAAAGAAATTGTCTCTCTGAATATGACATTCGATGAGAAACATGAATGAAGTAAATGTAGATTGTTCCAGGAAAAATGAACTGGGTTCAAAAGCTCTTGAGGCAGGAACACGCAGGTGTGTTTGAAGAAGAGGAAGAAGAGCAGAAGAGCAAATACAGCTGGAATGCAATGAATGGAATGGGAAATGAAGTCAGAGAAATAAGACTTGCAAACATAGTATCATATACTTCCTTGGAACGTTTAAATTCTAGACATGGGCTGAAGAACTTTACTGACACTTGCCTGATTTTCTATGGGAGGTGCCATTATCCCTCATCCTTGTGGGGATGCATGTGTCAGACAATATGTAATGATGGAAAGAGTTGGATTATATACATACACACAAATCTATACAAACACAAACAGAGAGAGACAAAAAAGCCATATTTTGATAATATTATAGAATAAGTTAACTTTCTATGTGCAGTTTCATAAATTGAGTGGACTTTAAATGAAATCTTTTTTTCTTTTCTTTTTTTTTTTTTTTTTTTGAGACAAGATTTTGCTCTGTCTCACAAACTGGAGTGCAGTAGCAGGATCATAGCTCGCTATTGGCTTAACCTCCCAGGCTCAAGCGATCCTCCCACCTCAGCTTTCTGAGTAGCTGGGACCACAAGCAAGTGCCACATGCCTGGCTAACCTTTTTCACTTTTGTAAAGATAAGGGTCTTGCTATGTTGCTCAGGCTGGTCTTGAACTCTTGGGCTCAAGCAATCTTCCCAATTCTGTCTTCCAAAATTCTAGGATTACAGGCAAGAACACCTGGCTAAATCAAAATCTTAACATCAGGAGACTTGGTATATAATAACACTGAGTAGTATAGCAAGTCTTTATTAAAATGGTAATGTTTTTCACACTCTGTTAACTCATTTAAATAGCACCTAACTTGTCATTTATATTCAATAGTATAAGACAGTTTATTTAAATTTTCATTAAAATCCATGCAAACTACCATTTATGTAATCTAGTAAAACCAATTTTTATTAGTTTTTATAATTTCGCTATTAAATTTTGATACATGTTTGTCTTTTGTGTTTTATGTCTTCAAATTTCAATTCATTTTTTTTACAGTGATAAAAATACCACATAGTTACACAATTTTATTGGAAATTTTTAATATATATTTGCATTTTAAAATAGTTTTTAAAAGCAATGCACCATGCCAAAACCTACACTTACAGTGTACAATAATAATCTTAATATTACCTGCAGCAATCTATGTAAATCACTATAGATTTCAGTCTACACTATATAATCATAAATACAAGTATTTACACTTTGTTAAAGGAATTTTATAAATAATCTAATTGAATAAATATCACATTTCATTTTTTAATTATAGCACATGTTAAAAATGAATTCAGGTGGATCACACATGGATTTAAGTGTATAGGAATTATGTTTTAAAATTAAATTCTTAAAAATAAAAGGAAAAATAGGTGGCATACAATATTATATAAATGTTAATTTCAAATCATCCTATTACTAGTTAGAGGTAGACCATGTATTTGATGTGAAGATACAATGGTTTAATATGGACAATCATTATTAATCTTATGATCTTTTCTAAATTATTTAATTTTTGTGAGTATGTAGTAGGTGTACATATTTATGGGGTGCATGAGATGTTTTGATACAGCCATGTAATGCATACTAATCACATAATGAAAAATTGGGTATCCATTCCCTCAAGCATTTATTATTTGTGTTACAATAGGCTTTACTTTTAGAGGACTTGTAGGTCCACTGCAAAATTGAGCAGAAAGTCCAGAGCTCCTATATATCACTGCTGTCACACAAGCACAGCCTTTCTCACAGTCAACATTCCTCACTAGAGTAGCACATTTGTTACAGTTGATGAATATCTGCAATGAAACATCAACATCACCCAAGGTCCACATTTTAAGTTTCACTTTCAGTGTTTTACAGTCTATTGATTTAGATAAATGTATAGAGATATATTGGAACATTATAGTGTCATACAGAATAGTTTTTCTGTTCTAAAAATTTTCTGTGCTGCACCTGTTCATCCCTCCTTTCTCTTTAACTCCTGGAAACAACATTTTTAGTCTTCTTAGTTTTTCCTTTTCTAGAACATCATATAGTTGCAATCATACACTATTAATATGGTTTGGCTGTCTCCCCACCCAAATCTCATTTTGAATTGTAGTTTCCATAATCCCCACATGTCGTGGGACTGTGTGGTGGGAAGTGATAGGATCCTGGGAGTGGTTTCCCCCATGCTGTTCTCATGATCATGAGTTCTCACAAGATCTGTTGGTTTTATAAGTTTCTGGCATTTCCCTTGCTTGCGCTCATTCTCTCTCCTGCCGCCCTGTGAAGAGGTGTCTTCGGCCGTGATTGTAAGTTTCCTGAGGCTTCTCCAGCCATGCAGAACTTTGAGTCAATTAAACCTCTTTTCTTTATAAATTACTCAGTCTCGAGTTTTTCTTCATAGCAGCCTCAGCACGAACTAATACAGTCAATTGGTAACGCAGAGAGTGGGGTGCTGCTATAAAGATACCCAAAAATGTCGAGTCAATTTTGGAACTGGGTAACAGGCAGATATTGGAACAGTCTGGAGGGTTAAGAAGAAGACAGAAAGATGTGAAAAAGTTTGGGACTTCCTAGAGACTTGTTGAATGGCTTTAACTGAAATGCACAAAGTGATATGAATAATGACGTCCAGGCTGAGGTGGTCTCAGATGGAGATGAGGAACTTGAGTTTGGAATTGGAGTAAAGCTCACCCTTGCTATGCTTTAGTAAGGTGATTGGCAGCATTTTGCCATTGCCCAAGAGATCTGTGCAACTTTGAACTTGAGAGCAATGATTTAGGGTATCTGGTAGATGAAATTTCTAAGCAACATAGTGTTCAAGTGGTGGCAAAGCATAAAAGTTTGAAAAATTTGCTGCCTGGCAATGCAGTACAAAAGAAAAACCCATTTTCTAGAGTGAAATTCAAACTGGATGCAGAAATTTGCATAAGTAATGAGGAGTCAAATGTTAATCACCAAGACAATGGGAAAAATGTCTCCTGGTCATGTTAGAGAATTTTGCAGCTGTCCCTGCCATCACAGATACAGAGGCCTAGGAGGTCTGTGTCCAGGGCCCCCCTGTTGTGGGCAGCCTCTGGACTTGGGAGCCTGCATCCCAGCTGCTCCAGCCATGGCTAAAAGGGGCCAAGATACAGCTTGGGGCTGTAGCTTCATGGGGTGCAAGCCCCAAGCTTTGGCAGTTTGCTTATGGTGTTGGTCCTACAGCTGCACAGAAGACAAGAATTGAGGTTTGGGAACCTCCACCCAGATTTCAGAGGATGTATGGAAACACTTGAATGTCCAGGCAGAGGTGTGCTTCAGGGATAGAGACCTCATTGAGAACCTAGGCTAGGACGGTGCAGAAGGAAAATGTGAGGTCAGAGCCCCCACACAGATTCCCCATTGGGGCACTGTCTAGTAGAGCTGTAAAAATAGAGCCACTATCCTCTAGACCCCAGAAAGGTAGATCCACTGACAGCTTGCACCATGCACCTGGAAAAGCCACAGACAATGCCAGCCTGTGAAAGTAGCCAGGACAAGGGTGGGCTGTGCCCAGCAAAGCCACATGAGTAGAGCTGCCCAAGGCCATGGGAGTCCACCTTTTTCATCAGGATGACCTGCATGTGAGACATGGAATCAAAGGAGATCATTTCAGAGTTACAAGATTTGACTGCCCCACTGAAAATCAGATTTGTGTGGGGCCTGTAGCCCCTTCATTTTAGCCAATTTCTCACATTTGGGATGGGTGTATTTACCAAATCCCTGTACCCTATTGTATGTAGGAAGTAACTTAACTTGCTTTTGATTTTACAGGATCCTTGGTGAAAGGGACTTGCCTTGTCTCAGATGAAACTTTGGACTTGGACTTTTGAGTTAATGATGGAATGAGTTAAATTTAAGGGACTGTTGAGAAACCATGATTGTATTTTGAAATGTGAGGACATGGGATTTGGGAGAGACCAACAGTGAAGTGATATGATTTGGCTGTGTCCCAACCCAAATCTCATCTTGAATTGTAGTTCCAATAATCCCCATGTGTCATGGGTAAGACCCAGTGGGAAGTGGTTGGATCCTGGGGTGGTTTCCCCCAGGCTGTTCTCATGATAGTGAGTGAGTTCTCATGAGATCTGATGGTTTTATAAGCATCTGGCATTTCCCCTACTTGCACTCATTCTCTCTCCTGCTGTCCTGTGAAGAGATGCCTTCCATCATGATTGTGAGTTCCCTGAAGCCTCCCAGCCATGCAGAACTGTGGCTCAATTAAACCTTTTTATTTATTTATTTTTTAATAAATTACCCAATTCTTTGGTATTTCCTCATAGCATTCTGAGAATGAACTAATACAACTATGTAGCTTTTAGATTGACATCTTTCCCTCAGTAATAAACATTTGAGTTTCTTCCATGTCTTTTCATGGCTTGATAGCTCATTGCTCTTAAGTGCCAAATAACATTGCACTGTCTGGATGAACCAATTTATTCATTCATTTAGACACTGAAGGACACCTTGGTCGCTACAAAGTTTTGGCAATTATGAATAAAGTTGCTATAAACATCTGTGTTGCGGGTTTCTGTATAGACATCGATTTCCAGCTTTTCTTGGTAAGTATTAAGGAGTAGGATTTGTGAATTGCATGACATGAGTTTGTTTAATTTTGCAAGAAACTGGGCCGGGTGTGATGGCTCAGACTTGTAATCCCAGCACTTAGGTAGGCCGAGGTGGACGAATAATGAGGTCAGGATATCAAGACCATCCTGGCCAACATGGTGAAACCCCGTCTCTACTAAAAATACAAAAAATTAGTCGGGTGTGGTGGAGGGCACCTGTACTCCCAGCTACTCGGGAGGCTGAGGCAGGAGAATCACTTGAATCCTGGAGGTGGAAGTTTCAGTGAGCCAAGATTATGCCATTGCACTCCAACCCAGACAACAGTGCGAGACTCCACCTCAAAAAAAAAAAAAAAAGAAAAAAAAAAGAAACTGTCAAGTGGTCTTCCAATGTGACTATCCCATTTTTGCATTCCCATCAGCAGTGTCTGAGAGTTCTTGTTTCTCCACATCCTACTAGGTATGCAGTAGTATCTCAATATTGTTTTAATTTGCAGTTCTCTAGTTACTATCACACCACGTTGAACATCTTTTCAACTGTTGATTTACCATCTATATATCTTATTTTGTGAGTTGTCTGTTCGTATATTTTGCCCATTTTTAATGTACATTGTTTGTTTTATTATTGCTGTGCTTTAAAAGATTTTTTTTGCATATTTTGGATAACAATCTCTTATCAGATATGTCTTTTGCAAATATTTTTCCTAGTCTATGTCTTGTCTTCTCATTCTCTTGACATTGTCTTTCGCAGAGCAGAATTTTATAGTTTTAATAAAGTCCAGCTAATAATTATTTATTTTATGCCTTGTGGCTTTGATGATGTATCTAAAATGTCAATACCATATCCAAGATCATCTAGATTTTTCCAAAGAGTTTCATAGTTTTGCATGTTACATGTAGTTCTATGATTCATTTTGAGTTAATTTTTTTGTAAAGAGTTTAAGGTCTGTGTGTAGATTCATTTATTTTTGCATATGGATGGCCAGTTTTTCCAGTACAATTTTTGAAAGGTTATAAGATTTTCATACCTAAAATTGCAAGTGTTAGTTATTTAAACATAACACGAAAGATGCAAAGCTACTTTTGAAATTGTAATAAAAAATGTATACTATGGTTTCTCCCAGGTCTTATAGAAACAAAGCTGTTACATGCAACGCAAAACATCTTTGTGGTAAATAGAAAATATTTTGTTTGTACAGCTTCCTTCAATGTACACCAGTGGAAGATAATTAGTAAACAAGAATTTAATGAGTTGCAAGTATCTTTTTGTTGTTTGGATTTTTCTAAATTAAAAAAAAAATCCAAACCAAAAATTGTTAAATTTTGATACATGTGTGCACGCACACACACATGCACCCACACACATATTTACATATAAATGACATTTTATTAAAGTTTTTTTTTTCCAATAAAGCAAGTGTTCATAAGTGTTGAATGGCAATGAGTTTAAGGTCATCCTTGCAATAACAATCTATAACGAAAAGTGTTCTTTATTCCAGATTATGTGCAAAAATTCTTAAATATTCAGCTAGAGCAATGTTTATTTCCTTAATCCTAGGGATTTGTTTTTTGTTACTTATCTTTATGAAATGAAAGAATTCAACAAAAACATATTACTTAGAATGAGGCACTTACTATAAAGGACAGTGTTGGAGAGGACCTAAGATATAATTTTGCAAACTAGTGGGAGGATGAATGATTGAGGCCATCAAGTTTTATGACATAAAGCAAAGATAAATGTGATCTAAAAACTTATCTTTTGAAGCAAATGCCTCCACACAGTCTAAGAAGAATAATGAATCTCATTGTACCCAATTTCTTATGTACACTAGAAAAGAATGTGTTCAGATACCACAGTTAGGTAATTGAATAGATTTTTTTTTTGTTTAATGCTATTTCCACAAATTTAATATTCATTTAAAGATAGATGTTAACTTAAAGGTATTATTTGTGGTATGAGTTTTATATTAGGCCTGTTATGTATGAGGTTACTACTAGAATGTGTCAAAAAGACATGGTAGCTGCATAAAGGAGCACATTACTTTTGAGCCTATTTAAAGTTATGTCTAGGTAACAATGCACAAATGTGAGAGAAGAGTCAGAGTAGATTCCTGCTTTACCTCATTGAAAAACTGTAAGCTTATTAAAGCATTAAGATCATTACTCATTACTACTGATTCTGATTCCAAAGTAGCATTAAGGAGTAGATTTTATATAAAATATATAATGGAAAATTGCAGCAAAACATATAACAAACGTATGTATGCAATGTCAACATTCTCCAAAGCTACAAGCAATTTAATTTGGCCCTAACATATTTCACTTCATTGAATTTCTATTGAATAGTTCAATCCTAAAATATGTTTGTTGTTTTGCAGAATGTTTCTTTGATAACTGAATTTGAAATATTTATGAAAAAAGTTACATACATTCTGTTGGAAGATTTGGTAAGCTAATAATGGTTTAATTGAAGAATAAGAGAGTATGACATTTAGAAAATGAGTTGTCATTTGAGTCAAACTAAACTTGGCTATGCTATGCTAATATATATATATATACTTTTTTTTTTTTTTAGAAAATTGGATCTTAGAATCTCCAGAAACTCTTGAAAGTCTGTACAAATATCCCCTTGAAAGGTAACAAATATCCCCAAGACCACTAATTATATCCAGTCTTTTAAGAAAGAATACTGTATAAGAGAGTGTTCCAGAAGCACCTTTCAAAATGAGCTCTGGAATTCACCATATTAGACACAATTAACATTCATTATATTAAAGTATCATGAAATTTATGAAAAATATTTTGCAATAAATATATTTTTCACATAAGACAATAAAAATCCCGTGATTTTCAAGATACAGAGCTTTTAAAAGAAGTTCTGATTATAAACAATTACTAATGGAAAGAGAAAAGTCAGTTTCCTGGGAGAGCATATGGTAAAATATTCTATCTTTAGTACAGATTCTCTAATATACTTTGAAAACTCTTACATTAACATAACTTGACTTTTAATACTTGCCATTTAATCATAAATATACCTTGCCACTGAAGTAGAATTGTCAGAGATTAAATTAAAGTTTTATTATAATGATCTTAAGGCTAGAAATTAGCAGAAGGAAAATTAACTCAGTATACAGGCGCTCCTTGATAACTAAGGGAGCATTTCTGAAAAAGTATTTAATTTTAAAAAGCTTGTCAAAAGCAATTTTTATATGAAATATTGTCTTCATTACATAATTTTCAAGACGCCAGGCACTACAGCAGATTAATTGCCAGCATGTGGGCTGTGGTAGAGTGGCTAAGGCAGTCCCTGCCTCCGTCTACACTCAAAGGAGGAACTGATATCATGTGCAGAGACGACCAGATCATACATCCCTCCCGTGTACTCCTCCCATATTCGTGTTCTACTTCGGACTAAAAGCAATTGTAATGAATGGCTTTTATGCATTTTTGTCACGAGAGTTTTTCAATGAATTAGAATCATTTTCCTTTGATAGGCGGCAAGGGCAAATCACAAGTGGTCAGAATATCAGAGTCAGCTTTAATCACTGCTGATGACCATAAAGATCTATTAAGATCTACTAAAGGCACGAAACAAATAGAGCCATGTGAATGATGACACTGTAGGTTTCCAGTCACTGGTGATAACTACTTGTAATGATTCCGTGTCTGTTCATACATGTGGCTTGAGATAGTCTATATTATCAGAAACATAATAATCAAAACACCTGGGTCAGGTTAAGGGAGACATATAAAATTGTGGTAAGTAGCTTGCCTAGAGAAAAAAACCTTATCAGCAGTAAGTCCCTCTCAAATTCATCTGTGCTTCTCCAGACTGGTAATTCTAATACACCATCATTTTTCCCTTGAAGCATCTTTTAATGTTGCTTCCTCCCTTCATAACGCACACCTATGATCTTCAAAACATTATGGTTTTTGTTTTCTGCTTTAATTCATTGAGTTTACATTGGAGGAACTATTTTATCCTTCCATCTTTTCTCTAACATCAAAAATATCAATGATTGGTATCCCTTAATATTTCAATCAGCTGAGAAGCCATCCTTAACCATGAGATAATTTCAATTACACATCTTGATTTTTTCTGCTCAATTTATCCTTCCCATTCCCTTCTTGTAGTACTTCTTTTCCACTTGTGAACCGTGACCTTTCACTCAACGTGATACTTCTGAAACTGTTGACAATAAAGTGATTTCTCTTCCATGAGAATGAGCATATTTGCTAGGCTAACAGAGTTTCCTCTCTCTCTAAAGTTAAGGATTGTGCTAAGAAATGGCTGCATGCCTTTAGAAGGAAATTTAGAATCCTTTGTGAACTTTTTACACAAATGATAAAGGAAATGATACAAAAATAAGCCAGTAACAGAAGAAAATGAAGAGATGGAGACCAAGTGAACAGCAGGGTCCTGACAGCATCATGCTGGATTTACCCTTTCCTGAAAGCAGTCAATAATTAGAATCTAAAGTTACAAGCAGAAAAATACAATTTTTTAAAGTAATTTGAGTACTTTTTGAAATTTAATTTAAACTTTATAATATAGCTCCATTTTGCCACTTTCAATATATTTCAAACAGTCAACTGAAACTTTCTGCTTACTCCCCTGTATTTCCCACTAGACTCTAAAGCACAGATAAAATTTGCTAGTTAGCTATAATGTTACCAGGGTTAACTAAAATAACTATCACCTTATATTATTTAGAAATTATTTCTAAAAATATGAATCGAAATTACAACAATTTCCATCACAGTTTCTATGTCACTCTATATCAAAACCCTGAGTTTGACAGATCAGTGGGTCTATGTTGAGGCTTCTTTTGGTTTGTCTGTCTGTTTTCCCTTTCAATTCAATGGATTTAATTCCCCACTTCATCCCTCCTGTGTGATCTTTGTAACCACACATTACAGGGACTGTATATTTCTTTCCTTATAACAATTCTAGGACTATTCAGAATAGTTTTAATAATCATGAAGGTTTTCCTATCATTTTATAATATATAGGGTGAGAACAAATTTCTGATTATCTAGATCACAACTATAAATACAGAGAGAGAGAGAGATCTAGTGACTTTCACCTCTGAAGAACTTCTATTGGTTTTATAAATACTAGTTCTCTATGTTGAATGCATTTTTGTTTGAAGTACCTAAAGTATCTTTTGTTTTCTTTACACAACTCAGAATGAAATAGAATACTGTACCATAAGTGGTAGCAAGAGCTAAACCATCAAAAAGATAACTGGGAATTGTTTATTTCTTCAAGTGGTTTTGGTTGGTTCCAAGAGTCTCTTTGTCAGTGGAAAATAGGTATTGACATTCTATAGCATGGAATGACAAATAACTCTTTAAATATCATATGTACCTCAGTAAAGTACTCTTTGGAGGCAAGGCTTAACCACAAAAAGCCGCTGATACAAAAAATAATATGGAAGAATTAGTCACTTCAAGATTTTATAGTGGACTGGCTACTTTTGTGTATATGAAATATCTTAAAGATAAAAAATAACTAGTTAATGGCTTTAAATTCTCAGCCTATGTATAATAAAAAGTCTTCTCTGTCTACCCTTATGTGAATTCTTATATTTTATAGAGTGTAGGTAGCTGGAAGCAAGAGACACCTAATTCTGTAGGTTCCTGAATTAAGGGGCGAGTGAATTCATAGCATAGCTAAATCTCTTATGACATTTAGGGCATTGATTAGGAAAGAGTTAAATCCTTACATTTCAAAAGAATAGATATGGAAGGATAAAACAATCTTTCATTATCATGGAAGAGTGTATTTTGACTATTAAAAAAAGCATAATCACTCAGAGATGGATAGAGTGACTGATCAAACTTTAGATCTTTCCCTTGAAGAGAAAGCTTCAGAATGCCTTCACTTATACAAGTAATGGCTTGCATTATGTTAGGTCAAAGCGTGCTATTATTGATTTTGCCATTGTTCACAAATTTAAATATAAGCTATGTGTTGAACTGTTGGAGAGAACTGCCTTTTTGCAATGAGCATCAATTCCTAAATTATCTGTGCTCTCCCTAGTAGTATAAGTATTGTGAGCCTAGGAATTAGATAATTCAATTCCCTTACCTCCTGATTTCTCGATGGAACTTACAGTACACCAATGAGATAAACTTGCATGAGGTTCAGAAAGTGGTAGACAGGGAATGCCATATTAACCTTCATCATTGATAATGAGCAGAAGTGTGTGCTTTTGTAAAACTGAATGTTTTGTTGTTGATGATGATTGTTTATTTGTTTGGTCATCAACCTGAGGTCATTCACCTGTTCATCTGTCATTCAGTTGCCTTGATGCTACATGGAAGGACTATTAATTGGTGACACTCTCTTGATCTGATGCAAGAGGAGGAACACCAATTGCCTGCTTCTCTAAATAAAGATTGATGAGTAAAATCTGAAAGCTACAATATCTCCTCTTGACTTTCACTTCATTAGTCCCTAAGCAATTTTATAAGTGCCTGATTCCCTGTATTTTATACCTTTGTTCTTGAAAAACCTTTACTGTTTCTCTCTTCCAGAGTAAACACTAATTGATGCAGGTAGCCAGTGTACCATTAACTAAACCAAAATCTTTTTCTCTAGCAACTAGTACAGTGGGAAATTCTGAATGTGGGGCAGTAATACTTCTATAATCTGTATCAGTTTCATGCATGTGTTATTGAATTACATATGAGAATAAAACATCT
The DNA here is from genome assembly GCF_000001405.40 of Homo sapiens. Taxonomy (NCBI): domain Eukaryota; kingdom Metazoa; phylum Chordata; class Mammalia; order Primates; family Hominidae; genus Homo; species Homo sapiens. The sequence goes on from NC_000001.11 coordinate 195,216,509, forward strand.
GTATCTGAATATTTAGTATTAAAACATTTATGTTTCGTTGGAAAAAATTTAGTTTTCAAAAAGTATAGTGAAACACGTTAACATGATCTTTAAAATGATGATTAATTTTTTATTTCTGTAGCTTACAATACTTCTGTAAACATTGATTGTACTGAAACTATCAACTGTGCATTTGGCAAGCTGAGGTTTCTAATTAGCAAATCCCTGAGCAACTTACATTGGACAAACAAAAAGTTCCTCAAGAACTATCAGTGGAAGAATTGTAATCTGTCACAGTGATTCACTGGGAAAGCCAGAGATGAGATTCAGACCAGCCTTATGAGAGGTCCTTAATGGAGTACTAAACATGGAATTGAAAACAATGATACGTGCTACCACAAAAATACACTTAGGCACATAGCCCACAGGTATTTTAAAGCAATCACACAGTCAAGTCTACATAACAACTAGGTAGCAACATGATGACACAATGAAAATCTAATGTATCAATACTAACCCTGAATGTAAATGGGCTAAATGCTAAATGCTCTGCCTAAATGACATAGAGTGGCAAGCTGGATAAAAAGACAAGACTCAACCATCTGCTGTCTTCAAAAGACCCATGTCACATGTAATGACACCCACAGGCTCAAAATAAAGGGAAAGAGAAAGATATGCCATGCAAATGGAAAACAAAAAAGTGCAGGAATAACTATTCTAATATTGGATAAAACAGATTTTAAGCAATACAATTTAAGAAAGACAAAGAAGAACATTACATAATGATAAAGGGTACAATCCAACAAGATGGCTTAACTGTCCCAAATATATATACACCCTACATTGAAGCACCCAGATTTATAGAACAAGTTCTTCATTTCATACAAAAAGACTTAGAGAACCACATAATAATAGTGGGAGATGTCAACACCCCACTGACAGCATTAGATCATCAAGGCAGTAAACTAACAAAGAAACTAGATTTAAACTTGACACTTGGCCAATTGTACCTAATAAACATCTACAGACCACTTCACCCAACGACCACAGAGTATACATTCTTCTTAGCTGCACATGGAACATATTTTAAGATCAGCCATATGATCAGCCATAAAGCAAGCTGCAATAAATTCAAACGAAATTGAAATCATACCAAGCACAATATCAGACCAGGTTAAAAAAGAAAGAAAGAGAAAGGAAGGAGGGAAGGAACGAAGGAAGGACAGACACCTCTCAAAACTATACAAATTAATAGAAATTAAATAACTTGTTCATGAATAACTGATAGGTAAACATCAACATTAAGGCAGAAATAAAAAAAAAATTGAAATTAATGAAAATAGAGACACAACTTACCAAAATCTCTGGGATGCAGGTAAAACAGTATTGTTAAGGGGAAAGTTTATAGTGCTAAATGTCTTTGTCAAAAAGTTAAAAGAGCTCAAATTAACAATCTAATTTTCTTCTAAAAGAATGAGTAAAAAAAGAGTAAACCAACCCCAAATCTAGCAGAAGAAAAAAAAGTAATTCAAATTAGAGAAAAACTTAATGACATTGAGTTGAAAACTCTATACAAAAGATAAATGAAACCAAAGTTTGATTATACAAAAAAAGAAAGAAAGAAAGAACAAAAAAGAGATTGAGAGAACACAAGCTAGATTAATTAACAAAGATAAAAGGCACAATGCAAATAAGTACAATGAACCCATAAAAATCCCAGATTCAGCCACACCTTGGGACTACCCACCTGTAGGTAGGAGCTACACACTTCGGGTCTCCTCTTTGCTGAGAGCTGTTTTGTTGCTCAATAAAATTCTTCTCTGCCTTGCTTACCCTCCAGTTGTCCATGTAGCCTCATTCTTCCTGGATATGGGACAAGAACTGGGGAACCACCAAATGGCAGCAAGAAAAGGGTTGTAACAATTTCCTGGCCAACTCACTGAGCTGCAGGTGGGAGCCAAAGGAGCTGTAACACTGCAGGCAGTGATATGCTCCCATTTGCTGGACTGTGGGAGTGAAGAGTAGAAACCCTTCTGGGGGCCCAGACCTGGGGATTTTCCAAGCCAGAGTAGTAACACTATAGCCCTCCTGCTCTCCACCAGTGTGACGTGGCCATCTCACATGACGAGAAGCAGGGGCAGGGCCGGGCCAGGCCGGGAGCTGCAGGCAGGAGCTAGGCAACGGGACTGAATGAGCTGAAAACATGCCCGCCACCCTGTTCTCCATGCAGTGGGCAGCGGGAATAAGAGTGCTGTAGCACACCCCACACTCACTCCTTGGGGCTTTGCGGTTGCTAGTGTCTCTGAGTTATTGGACGCCACTGCGTTCCCCTCGTCAAGAAACCAGTGCCCACAGAGGAAGCCACATGCAGTATGCGTGGTCTAGCTGCAGCCTCACAGGAAGCCAGCACCTGTGTCGGCACCTGGAACTGCCCACCCTACTGCAGCAGCCAGCGTGCCGAGCTCACTCACTTATGCACCCCTTGCCATTCCACACCTGAATCACCCTCAACAGGAATGGGATCTGGGCTGATAATATGAGCCGAGTGCAGCCTGCTGGGCCGAGTGGGCAGAATGAACCTAGCGGGAGCAAGCCAAACTCAAGCAGACGTGCCTCGGGCCACAGAGGTTTCCGGCTGGCGAAGTGACACCCAAAGGATTCTGTGACAGTACTTATAATTTTGGGGAGTATTTTTGTATCATTAAAAATTACTCATTGCAGGACTATAAGCCTTTAACCTAAATTCTGAATTATATATTTTTTTATACTTGGGTCACAGATATTTTGAGAATTTATTTGGAATAGCCTCAAATTTTACAAATGATGTCAAATAAAAAATCCACACCTATGCGTATACTTTACCATTTTAGTATGACTAATACCTTACCATTTCAGTACCAATTCAGTGAATTTTATACTTTACCATGCCATTTTAATATTATACCTAGTTATTAATGAGATAAACTTGTATAATCAATATGCCTATATTTTAGTAAGTAGTTATGTATATAAAATATTACTGAAAGTATTATAGTATTTGTGGTAACAACAAAGAAAATATTGTATATTTTAATAAAATTTCCGTAAATTATGTCTACTAAATTAGAGACATATTGAGCCTCTACTCATTCTAATATAAATGTGTGTTTATAATTATGTTAATTGCATTGAGTAACATAAATACATTTTCAGAATTGGAACATTTTTATAACCACATAATTAAAAGTCTGTTTTCTTAATTTTTCTCATAGTAAAGTTATAATAGTGTTTGCAGCAAAAGAAAATCTCATTCACATCTTTTTTGTCTGTTAAATAATTTCTGTCGGATTAAATTTAACATTAGCAAATATTGTAAAATGATTAGATGTAAGAGGTTGTTTGCCAATTAGATTATATTTTCTTTTTAATGTTTCTTTTTTGTATAGTTTTATGAATATCACAATATTTAAACATTTGTGTGTGTATAAATGAAAAAGTAAGAGTAAAGGATAAATAAAAGCAGTGTTTTTATCAAAAACAGTTGTCTGCATAAATACACATATTCCCATTACATACATATTCCCATTAACTTTTTATATTACCAGAGGAATGACAAACTCAAAATAACAACAGTTCTTTGTAAAAAAGTAAAAGTTGATTGTGGTTTCTCCAGATTTATATCAATTTCTCTTCAATATTTGTAATTAACTTATATGACACTGAGATAGTGTCAAATTAAATATTTTCCTCTGTTAACTGATTTTTACCAATGGCACAACCATCACATTTAAAACTTAAATGTGAAAAGATTAAATGAATTAAAATATTAATTATACTGAGTGTATACAGTGATTTATTATGTGTAAAGTTTGAATTTGGGTATTCTTATTAATTAAATATTTTATTTTCTCTTCATAGATTGGCAATGTTTAATGATAGATAAAACAAAAGAAAATAAAAATCTTGATGGTTCATAAATACCTTAGAAAGAATATGTACTAATAAGGACTCCATTAGCTTTGAAATATCATAGCCTTAAAATATAACTAGTGTAAACTGATGGCAGAACTTTCTGTAACAGATGCCATTTGGGCATATTCTATTGTTTATGTCCTAAATAAAAGTCACCAAGCTAATATCTACCTCAAAAATAAATAATAGCCAGGAGCGATGGATTACACTTGTAATCCCAGCACACTGGGAGGCCAAGGTGGGCAGATTGCTTGAGGTCACGAATTCTAGACCAGCCTAGGTAACGTGATGAAACCCATCTCTACAAAAAAAAAAAAAATATATATATATATATATATATATATATATATATATATATATATAAATTAGACTGGCATGGTGGTGCATGCCTGTGGTCCCAGCTACTCAGGAGACTGAGGTGGGAGGATCGCTTGAGACTGATGGGGGCAGAGGTTGCGGTGAGCTGAGATCATACCACTGCACTCCAGGCTACATGATGGAGCCAGACTTTGTCTCAAAACAAACAAACAAAAAAATCAAAAAAGAAACCCAAAAAACAAACTAAAATAAGAATTATTATTTTTTCATTAAAATATAATGCAATTTGCTTTTCTATAGAAAGTTGTCACAATTTATAAAATTTTTGCATTCAATGCCAATAACCACACTACGTTTCATGTTGTTATTTCAAATTCATTTATGTGAAAATTGAGATTCTGATTAATTAAGACTTGCCCAAGTTTTTACCACTATTACTATAGAGCTAGTATTCAAATTTGTATCAATTCACAAGCTATGCTTTTCCATTTTGTTTTCAGTACTAATTCTTTTCAAGGAGCATAGATCATATTGGACTCAGTAAATGTGTTGAAGTGTACTTCATTATGTTGGTTAAATATTTAGAGAATAAATATGTTGACCAAGCTAATGACTGACAGTAAAAAAGCAAACAAACAAAAACCTATAGTAAAATCTCATGTTTTGAAATTTTAATTATAAAGCTGATGATTCATTTTCTGCTATTTTCACTTTTTAAAAATAGCTGGAGAGGATGTGGAGAAATAGGAACACTTTTACACTGTTGGTGGGGCTGTAAACTAGTTCAACCATTGTGGAAGTCAGTGTGGCGATTCCTGAAGGATCTAGAACTAGAAATACCATTTGACCCAGCCATCCCATTACTGGGTATACACCCAAAGGATTATAAATCATACTGCTATAAAGACATATGCACATGTATGTTTATTGCAGCACTATTCACAATAGCAATTACTTGGAACCAACCCAAATGTCCATCAATGATAGACTGGATTAAGAAAATGTGGCACATATACGCCATGGAATACTATGCAGCCATAAAAAAGGATGAGTTCATGTCCTTTGTAGGGACATGGATGAAACTAGAAACCATCATTCTCAGCGAACTATCACAAGGACAAAAAACCAAACACTGCATGTTCTCACTCATAGGTGGGAACTGAATAATGAGAAGACCTGGACACACGGTGGGGAACATCACACACCAGGGCCTGTCGTGGGGTGGGGGGAGGGCGGAGGGATAGCATTAGGAGATATACCTAATGTAAATGACGAGTTAATGGCTGCAGCACACCAACATGGCACATGTATACATATGTAACAAACCTGCATGTTGTGCACATGTACCCTAGAACTTAAAGTGTAATTACAAAATTAGATTAAAAAAATAAAAATAAATAAAAATAGAATATGGTCTTCTAGCTGTTAAGCAGAGCACTATTTATCAAGGGAAGCTATTCAAATATTAGTCATTCACTTTTATGCAACTTTATTAATATAAATGCTTTAATAAGTGTCCATTTTCTTTAGGATATAGATCCTATAACTTTACTCATATTTACTTATCTATTGATTTATCTACTTACTTCTTTCTCTCTCTCTCTGTGTACTAAGTTAATTTTGAAAATCAAATGCTGTCTTTTTGGCCTATTAATCTATACTATCAGGTTGGCTAGTAATATTTATTCTACATTGATTTCCTTGATCCTGATAACATTATTTTTCTCATAAATACCATTAAATAATTTGATGAATTATTTCTAGTTCCACTTATCAAAGTCATAAGTTAAAGTGTTTTTATAATCCCGGGTCTGTGTTTCATGCTTTCCAATGTCTTCCTTTATATCAAATACTTCTAAAATGACTGTAGTCAATGATGCCCACAAAAGAGAATAATGTGTATCTACAAGTGAGTTATTTGATATACACAGTTCTAACAAAAATTTTCTCTGATTTCACATCTTATAAAAAAGATAATGAATTCACAAGCTGCCTGAGAAACGGCATATTATTTGCTAGTCAAGAAGGGAAATGCAAGTCTTTCCTCAGTCTAGGAAAGATTATCTATGGAAGTTATAGATATGACAAAACTTTAAAGACCTTCACCAGAATACATGTTTAGGCAACTTCTTTGAAACAAGGCAATCAAACAGTTAGCTATCTAATTCCAATATCAAAATGTAGTGTAAAAAACATTATTGAGATATTATTCCTACTAGTATTGTTGCTGCTCTTAACACCATCATTTCAACTAGTACTGACTTTTTTATATTAAGGAATGTCTGATATGCATTACCATTGTGATTAGCATGTATATAAAATATCTTTTAACACAACATTTATGAAAATAGGTGACACGATTAATTCAATTTTACTTACATTCATGCATAGAAAGGTTAAATAGTCTATATAGTATCACACAGTGACTAATTATTTTGGACCTAAAACTAGGACCAAAAGATTTTTTTATTAAATTATCCTAGCTAGTAAATTAGGTCCTATAATAATTATACAAATTAGCCAGGTCAACTAACTTAGGTTATACAATAATTATCCAAATAAACCAGGTAAACTAGATGCTCAATCTCCACCAGCATACATGTCATACACATGCACCTGTACCCCCGAATCTAAAATAAAATTAAATTTAAAAAATTCAAATAAATTTGTGAAAAATGCGACTTTTTAGTAATTCTATTACTGGATTTAAAAAAGTTATGATCATAATGCCATGTAACATATACAATTATACTTTAATAACCTTTCTTAAAGTTTAACTAGGTCAATAGTCTTGAAAATAAGTAGAATAGAATATGTGTTTGAAGAATAATTATCCCTGGTGTCTGGATGCAATCTCAAGCCAGTAGAATTAGTCTGACATGTCTAAATATGATTCCGAGCTCCTCATGCTGTCACTATTACAAGAATAGTTGCTCTAACATCTTAAAATATTAGCTGTTATTTTCTTCATTATTTTACTTTGTAAAATATAGAACTATAAGTCGTGTATTAATATGAAAGGTTTTTTTTGTTTTGTTTTGTTTTGTTTTTTTGAGATGGAGTTTCACTCCTGTTGCTCAGGTTGGAGTGCAAAGGTGCGATGTCAACTCACCGCAACCTCTGTCTCCCGGGTTCAAACAATTCTCCTGCCTCAGCCTCCCGAGTAGCTGGGATTACAGGCATGTGTCACCACGTCCAGCTAATTTTGTATTTTTAGTAGAGACGGGGTTTCTCCATATTTGGTCAGGCTGGTCTCAAACTCTCGACTTCAGGTGATCCACCCACCTCGGCCTCCCAAAGTGCTGGGATGACAGGCATGAGCCACCGCACCCAGCCTAATATGAAAGTGTTATGGGGAATGTCTAGGGATTATTTTTGCTATCTCATAAATGCATATTTTCTTCCTGGATAAAACATAAGGTAAAATTATCAACAGTACATTTTTGTATCAGCTCAAGATAAGATTTCTTTAGGTTTTGCCTTCCTCACAAATATCTGTAAGTAAAAACAAGGACTTGACCAAGAAGGCCTTAATATTCTCCTTAGCTTGACTAAAATTCCGACAATTTTCTTCTTTACTTTTTTCTTACAGCACATACTTTAGGAAACCAACAATTTAAGTTATTTCTGTGATCTTCTGAGATGTAAATCATCTATAACCAAGACAGTCTTTCTCAAGGACTTCGGAGTCATTTCTTTGATTCCCAAGTCATTAGGAAAGACAGCGCCCCTACCCTCTACATTTCTGTGGGAGGGTAGGAGTCTCACTTCCATAAGTGACAATTTGCAAACTCAGATGGTCTAATCACATTGATTAACCTCTTCATTTACATCCTGCAGTGCTTTTTCATTAACTCAATCCAGTGTACAAAAATCCTCCTGCTTCAAAATCTCCTCAAATCTGAAAACTTCTGTTTCAGCAGAGTCGAGTTCAATCTCTCTCATCTTGCAATAATCTTGACCCCTTATTGTAATAGCCTTAAATAATTTCTTGCCTGTTTTACTGTGCCTTTTTTCCTTGAAAGATGTGTGACTCTTTTATTTTAAAAATAATTTTAAAAAGGAAGAAATTTTACTATCAAAATCTGTAATAGTAGATAGTTGATGCTATTTGTGGTTAGCAAGTTTCAGTTAGAAGTTTAGAGTATTACTTATTTAACAAAGTGCTGGTCTCCCAGTTGGCTTTATATTGATATTTTTACATAATTTATGCAAACTATTTTTTAAAAATCACCAAATTTTAAAGAAAGCACAACTTCTTAAATTTCGTATAAGAAGAATTTTAGAAAACCAGCATGTCATTAGGTCAAAAACTCCTATCAATCTTTTTGGCAAATTGGATTAATGTTAAAAATACAGTTGATTCTCCACTATTAAAATAAACAATAAGACATTTACAAATTTATTTTAATCACATATTAATTTCAAGTCCTTTTAACTAACATTTGTCGAGTATACTCCTCCTTTCCTCAGCTAACACCTACAGGTTCATTATTAGATGAATAGACTCATCAATAATCTAATCAAATGAATCACTCGTGAACCATCATTATCACTTCACAAATGTTTTAAGCTTTATGGGTAATTACATCATAAGCTTTATAAGCCACTCAACTAATCGTATTAATGTATTAGAATATTTCTGACTCAAATACTATTTTTATGAAAGAAGTTTTATCATTATTCTAAAAAAATGATTAATCTCACCTGGTATGCCATTTCAGAAATAGTGAAAATTATTTAATAAAAATGTTTGTCTTGAAACACCTGTAATTCTTTCCCCATTAGTACAATCTTCTCTTAGAAAAGTATTTCACCCTTAATATAAATATTAATAATACCCTTCTTCCTTTCCTTTCTCAGGCACTATTAACAAATAAAAATATTTACATTTTAATTATTTGAAAATAAAACAAATTATTTTGCATGACATAAATAAATGCCACTGTAATAAAATAAAAATACAATGAAAATCTGGCAAAATACTTGAAATACTTTCAAAATAAATAAATGTGATAATAAAGAAAATAGAATTAACAGGCACTAAATAAGGGAGTACAAGTGTATGTTAAGATGAATATAAATTAAATGTTTATGAGATAAATACATTATATGAACAAAAATTTTAAAGCTTAATAACAAACAGTGATGGTAGAGATGTGGAGAAAGAAGCACACATTGTTGATGGGAGTACAATTAACACACTGCTTTGGCACATAATCTGACTATATAAAAATTTAAAATATACATATTAGGTTCTAGTTTTACTAGAAACATCATAGCAGTATAGTTCTCTCTCTCTCTGTCTCTCTCTTTCTGTCTTGTCTGTGGAGAATATAGTTGATTTATACAGAGCCCTGTAAACTCTATATTTATTTCTGGGGAAATTTGTCTTTAACTATTGGCCAAAATAAGGAGATTTTGATGTGTGGTTCAAAGTCCAAAAATCTGATAATCCCCAGGATCAGTTGATTCCCTGATGGTTTTCACTGACCTAACCAATTACATAGACTGGCTTAATTATATAAAAAGAAAGATATTAAAAGAAGAAGAAAACAGAAAGGAAAACAAAAAGGAAGGAGTAGCCATTGGAAGAAAGGAAGGAAATAAGAAAAAAGGAAGAAAGAGAGGGAGGAAGGGAGAGAGGGAAGGAGAGAAGAGAGAATAAAGAAAGGAAGGAAAGAAGAAAGAAGGGAGGGAAGCAGGAAAAAGAAAAAAAGAGAAAAAAGTAAACTTGTATCCATATTTCACAACATAAACCAGAAAAAACCCCCAAAGTGATGAGTGATTTTAAATGTAAATCACACAAATATTAAAATAATATGTAGGTGAATTTGTTCACTATCTTAGCTTGAAATTTTCACTTAAATATAATGTAAATACGACTCAAAATCCAGAAAGTGTAAAAGAAAAAGGACAAAACTATGTAAAAAATAAGTACTTCTACATAAAACTCATAACAAAATCTAAGTAAAAGACAAACTGTAGCAAAATGCAGAAATATCATAGACAATAAAATTATTCTTATATTTCAAAACTTCTAAGAAGAGGGGAGACGTGATTTAGCAGAAAAAAATGTAAACAAATATAAAAATAGTTCTCAAAAAGTGAAAGATCAATTGCTTTTATGTATATGAAAAGATAAATCCAGTCATAATAAGAAAAATTCAAATAATAACTACTCAGATAGATTTTCTCCATTTCTCTCTGTTGGCAAAAACTCAAAACATTGAAATTTACTTACTCTTCGACTTATCTGTGGTGTAACAGACCTTTTTCATTTCATTATATAATCATAAAAAACACTTCAGTAATATCTTAAGTAATATTACCTAATATTTTGTCTTACCACATTTTATCTCAGGCTGTAGATGTTAGATAATATGCAATTTCTCCTAACTAGATATTACCTTCTTCGAAGACAGGAAAATTCTCAAGACACATATTGTTCCTTGATTTTTTATTATTCTTATTATACTTTAAGTTCTGGGATACATGTAGAGAATGTGCAGGTTTGTTACATAGGTATACAGTTGTCATGGTGGTTTGCTGCACCCATCAACCCGTCATCTATATTAGGTATTTCTCCTAATGCTATACCTCCCCTAACAGGCCCTGGTGTGTGATGTTCCCCTCCCTGTGTCCATGTCTTCTCATTGTTCAACTCCCACTTACGAGTGAGAACATGTGGTGTTTGGTTTTCTGTTCTTGTGTTAGTTTGCTGAGAATGATAGTTTCCAGCTTCATCCACGTCCCTGCAAAAACATGAACTCATCTTTTTATGGCTGCATAGTATTTCATGTTGTATATGTGCCACATTTTCTTTAACCAGTCTATCATTGATGGGCATTTGGGTTGGTTCCAAGTCTTTGCTATTGCGAACAGTTCTGCAAGAAACACACTTGCATGTGTAAACATAATTTACTGTAACTAGAAATCAGTTCATGAAATTCCTTCACTCTCAAGTTTCAATTAGTTTTTTCAACCTAAAGTTGCTATTTTCTATAACTGTGAAAAATTCAGAATGTTACTGATTGGGGCACCTATAAAAAATGTAAAAACAATCACAATAAAGATAATTTGATTACAAGAAAAATTTGTTTCTGTGTTAGTGGAAGAGTTGGAAGTATCAGGGTTCTAATGCATAATTATGAAGCAAAAAGGCCAATAAAGAGTTTGCATGTGTGAAAGGATGAATTTCTGTGCAAAAGCACAAAGAAAATTATATTTGGCCAAAGAATAAATATATAATGTTGTGGAGTTTAGTACAAAGAAAATTTTTGCCCATTAAAAATGTTCGAAATCTAATCCCAAGCACAAAAATTTATAAACTTGTGATCAGACTCTGACTTTGTTTCTTCTGTTTTAAAGAATATATATTAAATATTAATACCTAACTTGCATGACTGACAGCAATAAACTTTAATTTCGTCAGGTGTAACAACGTGATTTCCAAATTTCTTTACCGCTAATGGTAATGTCACCTTGCTATCCAGGCTGATATGGGCAAGGTGTTTTCACAAAAGAATTACAAAATACACAAAATTTTTTGTTGAAAAAATTATGAACAATTTTTGCATTATATTTATTAAAGTCTTAAAAACTATGCTTTTATGTATTGACTAATACTATAAGTAACTCTAGATGATGATTATAGTACTGAGCAAAATGACCAGTTCACTACTGTAAGCTCTTAATAATGCAATGTATGTGTGCAGATACATAAAAAAGCAGTATCTGGGAATGAGTGTTATTAATTAATGCAGACACAGTTTTGGAAGGTTTTTGTTTGTTTTTTCAATTTTTTAAAATCAGTGATTGAATCCCTTTTTGCAAAAGCCATATATTGGACAAATTAAAAGTCTTATCTCTGTTTATACATGTTTTTGTCATTGATGTTTGGCATCTTGCTAGACAATTTTCTGCTTCTCAGTGGGATTTGATTATTGAGCAGTCAGCCCTGCTTGGTATGTGCTCTGATCAATTGCATGAATGCCTCATCTTTTTCTCTCCTGGTATGTCATACTTCATTTTGCCTTGATCCAATCCTACTCTCAGCTTCTTCATTACTGGCACTTGTCCTCGTGGATCATTCTCACCTTCTGTTCTGAAAAAAGTATATTGACAAAAAACCACTAGCCCACAGAAAGGTTTTTTCCTGATATCTTCTAATTCCTGATAACAAATACCCACGTATCATGTTGTCTATTTGTATTGTGAATATTATAAGGCAAATAGGAAATATCAAATTGATAGATATTAATAAAATAAAATAAAACCATTTTATCCACAGCTTAAAAATTGGAAATATTAAAGCTTATTTTAAAAGTTGCTGTAGAAGTCATTTATCAACTCTTAAATGTAACTAAAGGTTTACATAATTTTACAATATTCCTCATAGTTTAGCACTTTTTCAAAATGTTTTATCTATATATTATTTAATCTAACAAGTTTCCAGGATATGAATTATCTTTATGTCCTTTGCAGGTAAGGGAAAATAAATTACAAATAAATATTTACTATTTCTGAAGTGCCAAGTGTACTCCAAAGTAGTTATAATTTATATGAGCTCAAAGATGCTTAGGAGATCTTGTTTGACAAATTAAATTTCAAAAAGTGATTCACTTTTGTTTTATTTGGAGATTATGCCTGTGGTCTTTTTAATAGCTTGATGATTGAATAAATGTATTCTTTTGTTATAAATATGTTTGTCTTCATTAATATTAGGCAACTTTATAATTAATAACTCTTCAGAAGCAAAAACATTTTATATGAGCCTATCAGTAAGTTGAGAAATGCTCCTCAGCTAGGAATGTGGCCATTTTCAAATAGAAATACAGATTCGCCCTTATTCAAGGTTATGGAGGATGATTGTAATATATCGTAAGTATGAACAGAAGTGAGGAAAGAAAATAAACTGCTTATGTCTTTCTTCTTGAAATAGTGGTTTGGATTTGGTGTAAATCCTTATAAAACTCCCACTTTACTATCCATCCTTACATACACTTTTTGTTGATATACAGATAGAATTTTTATTTGTTAATTTATATCAAGTGGCATGGAAGAAATATTTCGGGGCTTTGTCATATGACAAAAACTGTTAAAGATCACATATGGTTAATTCCAAGAATGTTGGAAGAAGAGAAGGTGGAAGGAGAAGAGAACAAGAAGGAAAAGGGAAGTGCAGCAAAGGAAAGGGGAAATAAACCATTCTAAGAAAATAGAAGGGAGATAAGCCTATATTCAAATTCACTAGTGTTATGAAAACAACAACAACAAGAAGCCAAAAACAAATTTGAATTTGTTTAAGGGGAACTTCATGTCAAGCAAAATACACAAGAGTATTCATTTTTAAATCCATCTTAGATTTTCTGCCAACAGATTTTTGTATGTAGTTATTATCCATTTAGTCAATATAAATGGCATATAAGAATGTCACAAAACTGATTTTTGTTTTATTTTCCTGACTAGCTTGAAGAGAAAAGGTGCTAAGGATTAACACCAGCTATGAATCGTGATGTATCAGCTTAATTCTCTAAATTGGAAAATTGCTATGGAATGAAATTACTTCTGTTAAAATGAATACATTTACAGATTCAAGAGAGTTTGGGGTTGAAGAAATTTTTAATAAAAATAGGACTTTAATATCAAAATGGAAAAAGTTAGAATCTATGTTTCATAATATTCTATTTCAGGAGTTTGCAAACTAAGACCTATATTCCAAAACTTACCTGCCATTTGTTTAATATAAAGTTTTATTGGAACACAGTCCTGCACGACTGTTTATATATTGTCCACGGCTCCCTTTGTGCTACAATTGTGTATTTTAGTAGTTGTGGTAGAAGTTGTATGACTTAAAATAATTTACTATTTGACCTTATAAAAAATACATGCTAACCTCTGTATTTATTTAAAACATACATATCATTCTAGCTTCAATTTGAATATGTCTTCTTTTTTTTTTTTTGCAATTTTGACTGCTTACACTGTTCTTTGCAACTATAATTTGTCATTAAAATCATATATATACATTCACTGCTTACTTTTTCACTGTTTCTTTTACAACTATATTGTAAGCACTATAAAGGTCGAAGGTCGAAATTATATTTCTTTGATTTCTTTTTTTTTTTTTTTTTTTTTTTTTGAGATAGAGCTCACTCTGTCTCCCAGGCTGGAATGCAGTGGCACAATCTCAGCTCACTGCAACCTCTGCCTCCTGGGTTCAAGCGATTCTCCTGCCTCAGGCTCCCAAGTAGCTGGGATTACAGGTGCACACCATCACACCCGGCTAATTTTTTATATTTTTGGTAGAGACGGGGTTTCACCATGTTGGTCAGGTTGGTCTTGAACTGCTGACCTCAAGTGATCCATCCGCCTTGGCCTCCCAAAGTGATGGGATATTTTTAATTACAAAGCCCAGAATAAATATTACATCACTAAAAGATAGCGTGGGCTACACATAATCTTTTCACAGAGGCAAGTATATGTGATAAATAAGATTAAATCATCAATTCAAGTAAAAGTTTGTTACTAGATAAAAGTATAATTTTTAGTTTTTCTACATATGCCCCAATGATAGATTTTGTCATTTGTTACTTTGTTTTCATTAACTGAAATCAAAAGACATATTGGCTGTAAGCATAAACTGTGTATTATTATTGATAAATTAACCAACTAAAGTATTGGTAACCTCTCTATACGGGCGATATACTAGAACTCTCATTTTTGATTAACTGAATTAATGCTGATGTGTCTTCGTTAAAGCAAGCATTTAACATCTTGATTTTATAAACATGAATAAAAAAGGACAAATTATGAAAAGGATAATGTGATTTTTTGAGAAAATAATAATTACAAGAAGAAAATCTACCAACATGATAATAAAATAACTCCTTTCAATATTTTCTGAGACTCATTAATTCAAAAAGTGCACACTCCAGTGTAATCACACCATGCTGAAGTGTCACCAAGGGAACCCATCCATGCATCCAACAGCATTCAGATGAAGAATCAAATATTATCACATTCTAAAAGGTAATTACTCTCACCTGCAAGTGAGTACCTTCCAAGGAAAACTGCTATCCTGAATTCTACCCACACAAATTTATTTTGCCTATGCTTGAACTTTAAACAGAATAATAAATAATATGTGTGTCTTGTTTTACTCAATATTATGCTATCGAGTTTCATCTATATTTTTGCATGCACTTTAGTGTGTACAATCTTATTGATGTATAGTATTCTATTATTTAAAAAATATGTAACTGGTTCCTCTATTCTACTCTTAAGAGAGATGTTTGGATAGTTTCCAGCCATTAACTGTTACAAATAATGCACCTGAAGGCATATGCACACAATTTTTCTAGGAAATTGTTATGTTATAGGGGTACATAGGTTCTACCAATTGACACTCCAAACAGAAGTTGAGTATTCAAGTTGCTTAACACATTAACTACCTCTTGATATTTCCTGTGTTGTTAAATTTTAGCCATTGTATTGTGTACGTAATGACTATCAATTTGGTTTTAATACACATATTTCCTAATGAGTAATGATGTTAGACATACAGGTTTATTGTCATTCCTTTGTTCTGCTACTTTTGGTTGGGTTATTTGCCTTTTCCTATTAATATGTTGGGAATCTTTATATTTGGGGACATGAGTAATATATATGATATATGATATATTATATATACTTTTAATTAACTTTATTCAAACTTTGACCTGGGTATTTACTCTTACAAAATGTCTTTAATGAGCAGAAGTCCTTATCATGAATATAGTCCAATTTTCTATGTATTCCTGTATGGTCATTGCTTTTCAAACTGGATTAAAAAATAATTCCTACTTTAATATTTGGAAGATATTTTCCTATGTTTTATCTTCTAAAGGATATGTTTGTTCTTTCACACTTAGATCTGTAACCTACCTGGAATACATTTTTGTGTTTGTTGTGAGGTATGGATCACAATATATGTTTTCCACGTGTTTATTTAAATGAACCAGCAGCATTCCTTTAAAAATAACACTTTTTTTCTTCTTACTTTATTGCATTGTCTGATTTGTTGTATATAGGGTACCCATATAATGGGTGACTGTCTAGTTTTACTGTTATTTTATTTCATTGGTCATTTTTTCTATTCTTGTCTTCATGCATCACTGTCTTATTTATCAGCGGTTCATTACAGGCTTGATATCTGGAATTAGATGATGGTGATACTAATAATTGTTATAAAAAACAATTTATGTAATTTTACCTTATGCTATTAAGTGGAGAAACTAATTTGTCATCCTAGTAAACATTTTGTTATTAAACAGTGACTACCTGACTTTTAATACTTTTTCGTCTTAAAGTCAATTTTGCCCTATCTAATTTTGTTTTCAACACTAACACGAAGAAATAATAGTAAAAAACTTCAGGGTGAGAAAGCTTTCCAAGTGAAAATAAATCACTGAAAATACAGTGCCCTGGGTCATACTATACAACTGGGTCAAATGTAGGAATGGGTAACAATTATCCCAGATCTATCCACTTACACATGACTTATTTATTGATATTATCTTCAGAATAACAGCTAGGGAGTTCCTGCAACATCTCAGATCTGTCTGAGGAGAGCTCAGTCACAGTTACATTGCTTGCTACCAAAATCATTAACATGCCTTTTGATTCACATCTTTGAGAAATTGCCTGTTTCTAGACTTGGGGCACAGGGCAAAAGGAAGTATAGATTGTTTCTTATAGCTAGAAAGGACACTTGAAGCCCTGTTCACATCAGACATACTTTAAATTTATACTAAACACCTGTTTAATATGTCAAAACTAGCATATATGTATATCTTATTGTATGTTAAAATATTATGAGTATTTCAATAGTCAATAAATAAGCACATTAATATTAAGTGAAAATATTTTCTGTGTCACTTTTATAATTAGATAAACGTTGACAATTAAAAAATCAAAAACTTCAAGATATTTCACCTTTCTCATATTAGTCACCAAGTTCTGTTTTATACTGCTTGTAAACAAACTGTGTTGTCCTCATTTTTCATTCATACAAGTTGGTTTACTCTAACTTGTGTGTATGTATAACTTGTATGTATAACTCTTACTAACTTGTAACATTCTCATTTTCACCACACTACATATTGTTGATGTAATTTACTTTATCAACATCCAGAATAAATAAACTCCAAATACACCATATTTATTGAAAAGCTTTTATTTACAGGAATTGCTTTTCTTTTGTTTGGCAACATCCTTCCTCTTTTCATGCGTATGTAATCATTGGATATACTTTAAAAATCAGTTTATGGTTCACTCATAATTCTTGCATTTACCTTCCACATTTCCCAGCAAAACAGCAATTTCAACACAAACCAAGAATCTTTTACCATGGACTCTTAAACTCTTTTGTCGGTTTGTCGTTTTGGATCTAACCCTTGCACTATATTAGATTACTATTAGCAAATAATTTAATTTCTTTATTTCCAACTGTGTATTGGGATGACAATATAATCTACATCCTAATGCATTCTGATGACTGAAATAGTGATAATAGGCTTAGGTTACTGTCAGGAACATAACAAGACCCCAATGACTATTGTTAAAAGTATTATACATTTATGTAGCTTATTAAAATAAGATCTTTTTTTCTCGTCTTGAATATCTGAGATACTGTGAACTCAATGAAGAGTATTGTGACTTGTTCATACCATGTTAGGGGGTCAATCTTCATGTAACCTAAACCTAATGCAATGCCTAGTGCCCAAATTATGTTTACTAATCTTTAAAATAAACTGAACTCTACCTCAACCTATGGTTTTATCAAAGATTGAGATAATGTATGTATATTTCTTGGTAAACTATAAAGTGCTATGAAAACATATGTCGATATTCCTAAATTGTATATAATAAAATTTACCTTTGTAGTTTTCCTCTCCTATCTCTTTTTCTAAAAAGTGATATTTTCTCTTCTTTAGGAAAACTAGATGAGTAAATTCTGTCAAATTTAAGACAAATTCTGAAAAACTTTAGAAAGAGCTCTCTGGAGAAAATATGCAGAAGCCACCATATGTTCTACTGTTTTTACCTTTCATGATTCATGTGTCCAGAGATAGTTGTTATAGATATAAACTTCATATGAAACTGGACAATATGTTTATGCTCAGTAAAAAAACATGGCTCACATTAGCAGTTTTTAAGACGCTGAGGAAATGTTGCCTGAACTTTAATCTCACCAAATGCTTTACATTCACCTGTGATATTATTTAAAAAATAATTTAATATCATAATAAAATTACTCATAAATATTTAATGATTTTTAAGTATGCTAATAATATATTGTTTTAAAAAATTCAAACAGATTTCAGGTATTTACATATTACCACTTACAAGGCATTTAATGAACTTTTATGTACCTAGAAAATTATTTAAATAGAATTTTTAATGAATATATTTGACATACACCAGGGTGATACAGCTAAACTAGCATACACAAAAATAATACTTTTCCAAACTCTTTAATTTGCTATGCCACTACTGAGAGAGAAAGAATCAGAAATCATAAGCAGGTGGGATTTTACTGCTTATTATATCATGCTCTAGTTTCTTGCTTTTGGCTACCATTGCCTACCAGATGTGTTTTTATCTTTCTTTTTAATTAAAAAATTAATGTGATCTATATCTTTACTTGGTTTCACACCCAGAAAACAATAAGTTTATATACTATTTAAAATCATCATGATAAGAAATACTGTATAGTTAAAAGAAATAGGACTAGGTTAATGAAATATGCAGAAATTAAGTCTCCAATAAATATTGGACATAATTTCCATTACTTTTAAAAGATGGGAGTTTTTAAAAGCAAGTAAGCATTTTAAAATTTCAGCTTCTAACATATTTAATGGTTACATATTAATAATGGTCAATAAAATATAGTTAGGTCACTGTATATCAAATTTTTCATTGATAGATGGAACACATTTTCAACATTTAAAACTTTCTCCCTACCTGTACATAATATGACCCTAAAACATCAAAGCTTACTATGCTACTTCTCTGTTGAGATTCATTTTGTGAAAGAATAATAAAATAGTTTTTCCTCTTTCTCCTAAATTATGGAATATTAATGAAAAATTAAAAGGATTAAGTCAC
Source organism: Homo sapiens (assembly GCF_000001405.40). NCBI lineage: Eukaryota > Metazoa > Chordata > Mammalia > Primates > Hominidae > Homo > Homo sapiens. The sequence goes on from NC_000001.11 coordinate 195,235,910, forward strand.
AGCCCTTAATTGATTTTATTTTTTTTGTTTAGATTAAATGTAGATGACTTGGTTATTCTTTTATTTTTTATTCATATCTCTATAAGGTAGAAAAGCATATAGTAAATGTAACAGGTGCCAATTATTTAGATCTTATAACTATCCAGAAATAAATGTTTTTAACCCATAGGTGAGTCAAATTGTATAAGGGACCAGAGCAAAGGGAGGTTGAGGGAAGGGATTGCACCTATAAAACTGTAATAGAAGGATTGGAAAGGCAATGTTAGATTGTTATTGAGACCTAACAAAAAATAGAACTGAAACTAGAAAAATACAAGAAAAAGCATTGTAGAAAATGGTATAGTTTTTATATTTTTCATGAGCAAAAGTTCTCCATATGAAGTGATTAAAAGGAAACAATATATATGGGAGTTCTGGTGGGGGGAATATTTAGAAGAAATTTAAGAATTGGTTAAGGTCTGAAGTAGTTGGCATAGATAGGAAAAATGGAAGCTGCTAAAATTGTGGTGTGTCTTTAAACTCCTGCATACACACACACACACACACACACACACACACACACACACACCACAAGCATTCAACCTTCTCTCCTTTATTGAGTAGAGATAGGAAAGGAGAAAATCCTGGGGTTCAGCCATGGAGACATGCAGGTAGAGGAAAAAGAACAGATGCATATCTATTTCTCTGCAGTATATGCAATCTTATCAGATTAAATACACAAACACACCCTCACACCCATACTCTCTCTCACACACACACACTTCCAGACAATTAAAAGCATAGTTTTCTTTGCACTGGAGACAACATGCTGTTTTCCAAGTACTCAAAGAGAATAGAAATAAAGTCAAGATAACTTATGGCACAATAAATTTTACAGAGCCTACAATCCTGTCTCCTTGTACAGACTCAGTTTCTCCCTCAGCACTTGTCAAGTTCTTCAGATTTAGAAATACTGATGCCTAGAACTATCCAACATTTGGAGTGAAATCATGTGCTCAAATAGCGCATCTCATTTATAGGCTTGGTTTACAAAATATTAACATTCTTACAGTATATATAATATCTTTTTCTGGGTTAAGCTTTCTATTAAATATTTTGCATTCCACCGGAATCTTATTCTAGCCCTAAGTATAATGAGAGCCAGTGTTTCCTAATACAATTGACATTCCCTTGCAAAATACTGCCTCAATATTCTCTTGCAAAGAACTGCCAAAATGAATTCATTACAGACTTTTCAAGCAAGGGCCATCTCATTTCCCCAAAGGAAGGAAATGGTGTGTAAGAAAGGCTCATGGAATGTTCACAGATTAATTGTAACCTACCAGTGATGACAGCAGTGGACTGTCTGGAGTGTCTGCTGCAAAGATACTGGCTGCAGTAGGAGAGGCACAGCGGGGGTTGCAAGTTCTGCAATGCCGGTAGGAGCCTGGAACAGGCAGGATCCCTTTCCCCGACTGAGTTGGCAGGGTAGTGGTGCCATGCTCCTGGGGGCAGCTGTAGCCACCCAACTATGGCTCTGGACCCAGGCATCCCTGTATTCTCAGGGGCCTGGGAAGCTCCTGCCCCTCCAGGCTTGGAATTGCCTGCTTCCTCTGTCTGGCTTCTCCCTGCTCTGGTGTGGAGCAAAGTTGTGGCCAAGCCCAGGTGCTATTGCTACCTAGCCAGGTGTGTGCACACTCGAGGAGGTACTGACACACAAGCTCCCTGGCACCTCAGCCCCCTCTGGACTTCAGGCACCAATGAGTGTGGGAGGGAGTCTGAGGGGAACTGAGGCCAGTTTGGCACAAGCCTGCAGTCACCCCTTGGTACAAATAGCCTGGGTGCCATTGACAGCATGTTGATGGTGGGAGGCAGACAGGCTCCTGGGCAGAAAGGGGCAAGAACCTGGTGAAATCGCACCTTCAAGCCAGGGACGGCCTGAAGCTAGGGGGCCAGGATGCCAGTTCCAGATGGAGCCTGTGGCCCAGAGAAAGAACTTGTGGTGCTTTTCCTGGGCCTGCCCATGGCCACCCATGGACCAATTAGCATGCACTTCCTTCTGAGCCCATAAAAACACCAGGCTCAGCCAGACTCACACAGACATCAGGACTACCAGCTGCAGGAAGGAGTTATCCACTTCAGGTCTCCTAGACTCATCAGGACAACCTGCCTGTGGAAAGGAGTTACCCACTTCGGGTCTCCTGAGAGTTGTTTTGTCACTCAATGCAGCTCCTCTGTGCCACTCACCCTCCAGTTGTCCACATACCTCATTCTTCCTGGATGTGGGACAAGAACTTGGGACCACATGAATGGTGAAACTGCAAAAGCTATAACACAAACAAGGCTGAAACACACTCCCCAGTCGCCATGTTGTGGGTGATGAGAAGGAGAGAAGAGCGGCGGCCCTTCCAGGAGCCCATACCTAGGGGCTCTCCAAGCCAGGGCTGTGACACTCACTTTGGGGCTCTGCAGTTCCTGGCAGCTCTAAGCTTCCGGACTCCACCATGTTCCCCAGTGCCCACAGTGGGGGTCGCTTGCAGTACTCCTCATCCAGCTGCAGCCTCGCATGGAACTGGCAACTGTACCAATGCCTGGAGCTGCCTTCCCTACCACAGCCAGTACACCTGGCTGTGCACAGTGGCCAAACCCCATGCTCGCTCACACACTCCTCACCATTTTGTGCCACGCTCACCCTTGGCAGGTATGGGATTTGGGCTGGTAGCGTGAGCCGAGCACAGCCTGCTGGGCTGAGTGGGTGCAATGAGGCCAATGGGGGCCTAAGCAAAACTCCAACAAAGGTGCCACTGACCACAGAGGTTTCTGGTTTGAAAAGCAACACCCTAAGGATCCTGTGACACTGGTCGTTACTCTAATTCTCAGATTCTACTATTTTACAATCAACATTACACATTTAATACAATAGTATATTTCAAATTACATTATAATTTTACCACCTGCCTTATGATCAAACTTTATTTCTTAATTTCAGATATATATTTTCTGCATTTCCAAAAAATAGGAGATTTTTCTTACAGAATTCATAGAAGTCCTGTGGTTTTTTGGCTCATACTGAATTTTTAATTTTCTTCACTTTGATATCTTCAAGTTAGTAAGGAATAATCATCTGGCTCAATAATCATTGTAGTCTACAATTTTGACAAAATATGTTACACCAGCTATTAGCTTGCTAAATATGTGTTATCAATAAATACTTAATTTTACTATTGTTTTCCATCCAATTACTTCTCATATCCTAGCTCTATGAAAATTAAAACCATTACTCTCATAATCTAACCAAATCAGTAAACCAATTCCAAATTGCTATCTTTAGAGGTCTATTTCCACTTCTGTCATATGCTTTATATTTTGTCTCTTTCTTGATTAATTTTTCAAGAAAACAAAATGTTAAATACACATTTATTTCTCATACATTTAATCTCTTTTTTTGCTTTTATTTTAGGTTCAGAAGTACATGTGCAGGATGTTATATAGGTAAACTGCATGTCACAGTGTTTGGTTTACAGATAATTTCATCACCCAGGTAATAAGCATAGGATCCGCTATGTATTTTTTCTGACACTCTCTCCCTTCTCCCACCCTTCAACCTCAAGTAGCCCCCAGTGTGTCTTGTTCTCCTTCTAGTATCCATGTGCTCTTGTTGTTTAGCTCCCTCTTACAAGGGATAACATGCAGTATTTGGTTTTCTGTTCTTGGGTTAGTTTGCTAAGGATAGTGGCCTCCAGCTCTATCCATGTTGCTGCAAAGAACATAATCTCATTCTTGTTATGGCTGCATAGTATTCTATGGTGTATATGTACCATATTTTCTTTATCCAGTCTACCATTGATGGGAATTTCAGTTGATTTCATGCATTTGTTGTCGTGAATAGTGCTGCAGTGAACGCATGTGTGCATGTGTCTTTATAATAGAATGATTTGTATTCCTTTGAGTATATACCCCAAAATGGGATTGCTGACTCAAATGGTAATTCTGTTGTAAGTTATTTGAGGAATTGGCACAATGCTTTCCACATGGCTGAACTAATTTACACTCCTACCAGCAGTGTAAAAGTGTATCTTTTTCTCCTCAGCCTTGCCAACATCTGTTATTTTTTGACGTTTTAATAATAGCCATTCTAAGTGGTGTGAGATGGAATTTCATTGTGGTTTTGATTTGCATTTTCCTAATCTCATGTATTTTATACCATTGGTGTATTTGTGTAGCTGTTCCTTTCATTATTCCCCCCAAAAATACATAAATGTGAAAACTTATGTGGTAACCCCCCGAGGAAGACAGTGTCTGGGAATATCATATAATCCAGCATATTTGAAGACAATCCAATCTAGTTGGTTGAATTCTAGTTCAAAGTTATTCTTGTTAAATACATTGAAGTATTGTATCCACATATCAAATATTTTTATATAAAACTGATGACAGTGTTATTTATGTTTCTTTGTAGATAATCTCCTCTCTCTTTTTAGAAACCAGCATTTACAGCATATTTTTTGTTTGCTCAAATTTTAATCTGTATTTTGTTTGCTTTTTATTTATTTGTCTGTTTTTCTTTTGTGTTTTCATTTTGGCACTCTGTGCATATTTTCAATATGGTTTTTAAAATATTTCCCTAATACTGGGTAAATATTTTCATTTATCTATCAAGACTTTTCTTCCAGAGCTCCTACAACCACAATTTTTAATATCTACTAATATATTAAGTATATTCCTTATCAATATTTTCTTTATTTTTCCTATCTTTCTCTATGTATCACTTTTTGCCTCCTCTCTTAGAATACTACTGTTTGATCTTTCAAGTAAGAAATTTATCTTTTATCATTATTTAAATTAGTTTTACAAAATTTTATTTTTCTCTTGATTATTTACTTACTTTTTACACTTGTTTGATATATCCAATATGGTTTTTTATCATCTTAGGTACATACATGCTTCAAAAAGTTGGAGCATTTTTATATTGATGTATTAGATAATTGTTTTTTAAAAAAGTTTTTTAAATAGTTATAGTATTTAATGTCATGCCACCTTGGGAAATATCAGCACTGTTGCCTGAAATTGTAGAGGAAGAAACATTTGCAGGCAAGTCCTTTGCTGTGTCATTTCTAGTTTATGTAAAAATGAAAGGTCGATTGAAAAAAATTTTCCTATTATTTAAAGACAGCCCACAAAAGTATTGCTATTTACTTCTATGTTCCATTACCTACAGGGAAACTCCATTATTAATGATTGGAGATGTATTTAATTCATGGGGATATTGACAGAATAGAAGATAAGAGAGTGCCCAGGGGCAGCTGGTTAGTCCACACCAATATGCAACTGTTTTGATATTGCACTATGGTTACATAGACCAGCTGTCACCGTCATTTCGGAAGAAAAAGAAGAAAGTGATGATTGATCCTAGGCAGCTGAGAGAAAAAAAAAGGCCAATGTAAGCTCTCTCCAATGTTCTATTTAATGCATATTCAGTTAGATATGCATTTTAATGCTGATACGCATTTGTTTTTTTCCTGTAAGTTGCTTTTAAGAACATTGTTATATGCATCTCTTTGTATAAGAGTAATTATAGGGTATACCGCCTGGGAGTATAAATTTTGGGACATTATCAAGGGAATCTTCAACCTTACTAGGTATTGCCTAAGTATAATCCAAAAGTACTATAACATTTTTCTATTTATATGCTGACAGTATATGGGAGTCATTTTTGCTTTACGTTTCATTAGAAATTTCTATTGTCAGGCTTTTATTTAAAGTCAGTGTTGTAGGTATGTAATGGTATCATGTAATGCTTTTAATTTAAACTTTCCTGATTATCATTGAGATTGATTATCCTTTTATCTGTTTTCTGACTATTGAGCTTATCTCTTCTGTGGACTTTCCGACAGCTCAAAATTTTTTCAATTGGGTTATTGATTTCTTTAAATTTATGTGTATATATTTAATATATATCTTTGGAACTAATATTTTTGGTTACATACATTGAAAATATTTTTGTAGTCTTTCTAAAGTATTTTTTCTATAATTTTTTTTCACAAAATATTTTAAATTATAATATAGCCATATTTATTAATTGTCCTTTATATAATTTTGAAAACTTTTCTGATTTTTCTAGTCATTCTTTCCTCTACATAGATCATAACTATATTATCTTATAACTTGTAAAAGCTTAAAGTGAAGATTTTTATTTTTAGCAATTTAATTCACTTTAATGTATAATTGTCTTCCTTGTTTATCAGGAATATAATTTTTTGAAAGGTTGTAATTCAGTGTCTCCCATGTCTCTACTGATTAATGTGTCCTTTATCATAAATTATACTTCTGTTTTTGCATTAGTGTCTTTCCACTCTTTTCATTTGCCTTTAATGTTTTCTTTATAATTTCCCATAATTTCCCCACTTCTTTTTTCCATTGTTTTAATTCAGAAGTTATGGAGAACCAACCTAGTAAAGTTTTAATAAGCTTAATCTATTGGTTAATAAATAGCTATAAAATAATTTATGAATAAAACTTATCTAGGATTTATTGTTATACTGTTTTCTTAACTTTGCAATATTTTTATATAAATTAATTTTGAAGCATATTTAGAAAGTTAACAATTTACCATTACTTTCAGGAACCACACTACTACCACTCTATTACATCTAGATGTCTGCTGTAGCATAATTTATATTCTCACTTCACTTTTCAGAGTGGTCTCCTCTTCACAATTTTGTGTGTATCATACCCTTGATATTTTAAAGTACTTTATTTTCTTATCAAAACATTTATAAACACTATATCATCCCTTCCATTAATTGACTTCTTGTTTTTTGAGTTTTGTGTTTACTTTCCTTCAGTGACTATATTTTTTACTACCAGAATTTCTACATATTTTAGAATTTGCACTTATATTAATGTTCGGTTTCACCATATGTTGTTTCATAATTTATTGCCCTTAAAAATAAAGTTTGGCTTTCAGTTGTAACTTTGAATATCTTTATCACAGTTATTTAAAGCCTTTAAAAAGCTTTAATCTTATATACTTATATCACTGAATTATCACTTTCATACTTTATACTATTTCTATTACATGTGTTTCATTGCTTTCCTCTTAATGAGAAAAGTAACAGCAAGTCAGATAAAAACATTTTACTTTTGAGTAAAGCATAATAGGAGCCAGAAAAGTGGTGACTCTCTCACTTTGGCCCATAACAACACCATTGAAAATTTAAATAAGAAGAAACTATTCTTGACAATCAAGCTTTTTGGTACCATTTGTGTTCATTTTATAATTGCATTCAATTACTCATGAATTCTGAAGTATTTGTTTATTAATAAGTATTATCTAGTTTAAATGCCTTATCTTAGAAATTAGAAAAACAAGGAGCATATTTGTGATATATATTTGCAAGCTTTTGTAGCAAATGGAAATTTATTACTAAATCTCACTAAATAAAGATTTATAAGTAAAGTGGTACAATTTGTTGCATTAAACATTGTAAATACACTGTAAAATGTCTGTACTAGCATTTTTAATTTATAGTCCAATATTAAATAAATTTGGTTTTTTTTTTTAGTTTTTAAAACCTGGTTATTGCTCACAAAATATTGTACACTGTATTGGATTACTTTTATTAGATACCTCAATTTTGAGAAAACATAATTCGGTAAAAACTAGATACATAATGGCTGCTTCAATGTCCTATTTTACTATGGCACTTAAATGACTCTGGTAGGAAAATATACTTTATCAAAATGATGGTTTGATGATACATAAATTCCTTCACTCTTTGACTGCAATGTCAGTTTTGCTGACTTTGCTGTTAACATAATTCTTCATTAGTTACAATAATGCTTGGCCTACGCAAAACAAATTACATATTCAGCTACCTCACCATTATGAACTAATGTCAGTCATGAAATCTGAATAGCAACTTTTAACCTTATCAGGCAAATTAAATAGGATAAGGATGTGTAGCCAAAGTATCGAGCAGTGAAGAACAATGTATTATATTTTGATTGGGCTATGTGACTTTAAAAAGAAACGATTTTTTTTTTTTTGAGACAGAGTCTCACTCTGTCCCCCAGGCCGGAGTGCAGTGGCGTGATCTCAGCTCACTGCAAGCTCTGTCTCCCGGGTTCACGTCATTCTCCTGCTCAGCCTCCCCAGTAGCTGGGACTATAGGCGCCTGACACCACACCCGGCTAATTTTTTTTTTTTGTATTTTTAGTAGAGACAGAGTTTCACCGTGTTAGCCAGGATGGTCTGGATCTCCTAACCTCGTGATCCGCCCACCTCGACCTCCCAAATTGCTAGGATTACAGGCGTGAGCCACCGCACCCGGCCAGAAACGATTTTTTAAATTCCATAAAATAGTTATTTTCTACGTTATAAAAATGTTCTTTATTGAAGGCTTAGCCTGAAATTTTTTTTTTCCCCCAGACGAAATCCCACTCTGTCGCCCAGGCTGGAGTGCAGTGGCACAATCTCGGCTCACTGTAGCCTCCACTTCCTGGGTTCAAGCAATTCTCCTGCCTCAGCCTCCCGAGTAGCTGGGACTACAGATGCGCATCACCATGCCAGGCTAATTTTTTTATTTTATTTTATTTTTGTATTTTTAGTAGAGACAGGTTTTCACTATGTTGGCCAAGCTAGTCTTGATCTCCTGACCTTGTGATCTGCCCGCCTCGGCCTCCCAAAGTGCTGGGATTACAGGCGTGAGCCACCGCACTCGGCCTGGACTTTTTACATATATCAGAATAATAAATATGGGTAAGACTTCCACTTAAAGGTAGCAGATTAAACACACTGACTTATTTCCACCTAACTCAAATTCTAATGTAATGAATATAATTTTTAAAATGCATAATCACTTAATAAAATGCAAGGGGCGACATGTAAAAATAACAAAAATAACAACAACAAAAAGGATCCCAGATGGAAACCAGAACTAGTGACTATTAATAGCACATTATGTGTGTTGTAAGTGGGAAAGTTTCCATATTTTACCATACTTTTTATAAGAATGAGATATCTTTTCCTAAAAACTTATGTTTTTCCCCCCCATTCTTTACCGTTTCCTGGAGAGTTCGCACGGGTTACCTTTTCTTAAGTGTGTGGCTAATTTACCAATCAATATTACTAAACTCTGAGCACTTATCTTTCCTTCTCTATCTGGCTAAGTGTGAGGCATTAACCCAGATCTACAACACTGGATAGACTTTTATAAGGTCTATATGGGCACAGAAGCCCCCTCATTTGTTTGGACTGTCATAATAAATATACACCAACTAGCTTCTGTAGAGTGATAGAATTGATGTTTCGTTCTTCTACTTGGTGACACTTTTGTCTTATTTCAATTGATTGAAAGCCTGGTTTATCAACAGAATTGTTACAATTTCTCACCAATTACTTTATTTGTATTATAAACATAGATTTAATTATACTTAAAAAGTTACCTTTACGTGTTTTCTATATTGACTCCTTAGTCCTGTGCTGTTTCTCTTTTATATTTTCGCTTGTAATAATAATAAAGTAATAATAATATTAATATTAATTTCAGAGCTTGTTGGATGTACCATTTTAAATATTTTATATACATATATAATTTATTCTTTACAACAATTCTATGAAACAGATATTGTTATTACTCTCATTATGCAGACAAGTTACAGAAAATTTAATCATTTCTGAATCACAGAGCTATTAAATGGTAGAGTAGGGGTTCAAAGTCAAGCAATCTAATTCCAGAGTTCACACTTTAAAAAATTCTTCCATATCACAAATAGAGTTTTTACTAGTTTCTTCATTAAAATAACATACAAAACAAAATAAAACAAATGTTCTTTGGTTCTTAAAATAAGAATATGGTCTGAAACAACATATTGAAAGTTAAATATATATCTATTTTTTCCAGTTACAGATGTTGTACTTTGTATTAAATGTCAAGAATCAGAGTTAAACGCTTCTCACAGTATCAAGCAAGTACAGGAAAGAGTATTAAATGTCAAATAATTCATGGAAAGTGTTTGCTTTATATTTTATTAATGGTGTTTATGTACAGATAATATCTGTACATAATATCTACTGTAGATAATATCTACTTTTGTGCAAATATATTTAGAAAAGTAAACCATGGATTTGAAGTCAATCAATAGTGCATTATTAACATAAATGCAAATTTACTAAACTACTGAACTACCTAATAATTATCAGTGAGTTTAAGAGAAAAATGGCAAGATAATTCTTTTTTGGAATTAATGTACCAATGAGAATTTATAAACTAGAATTTTGCTTCTGACTATGATGAAATAAAACGTCCAGACATAACTCCCACTATACAGTTTCTGAGATTAAACACAGTTAATCACACATAAAATCAAAAAGTCAACCTATTGATTAATAATAACTACATTAATTATCAACAGTTATCGATAACTACAGTATTATCAACAGAATCTATTAAACTGGAATAAAATAGCCACGTGTGGTGGCTCACACTTGTTCAGCACTTTTGAAGGCTGAGGTGAGCAGATCAATTGAGGTCAGGAGTTCGAGACCAGCATGGCCAAACTGGAGAAACTCTTTCTCTACTAAAAGTACAAAAATTAGTCTAGCGTGATGGCAGGCACCTATAATCCCAGCTACTCGGGAGGCTGAAGGAGAAGAATCGCTTGAACCCGGGAGGCAAAATTTGCAGTGAGCCGAGATCGCATCACTGCACTCTAGCCTGGGCAACAGAGCAAGACTCCATCTTAAAAAATCAAAACAAAACAAAAACTGGGGTACAATGAAATAATGCTTTCAATTTTATGAGAAAAAATGAATTACAACCTGTAACACTATACAAGCTAAAATAGATTTTAAATATTGGAATAGGAAACATCTTTTTAAAACACATAAAGCCTAAAATAGTGTACCTCTTTTTGCATTTTTCCAGAAAGATAGTTAAGATTGTGCTCTCATAAAGCCGGTAGTAAAGTATGGAAAATAAAGGCATAGCATGTTGTTAACAGGGCACCAGAAACAGGAGATTTAAAAGTTCCCAAGATCACAGTGAATGGAAATCTAACAACCTATGCAGAGGTTTGGGAATGCAGCTAACCTATGCTAGAGGAGCAAGAAGGAGGAATGTATCCAGTAGATGAAATAATAAATTAAATGAAGCTGGTATGTGTGACAACATATGAAAGAGTATTTAGTATTATTTGAATGTTTAGGGAAGAATTACTAGGTACATTGCAAAAAGAAGGAAAGGCAACCTTTAACTCAAAACAAGCAACTATTAAAAGGAAGATTTCTGGTGAAAAACATGGATAAGCAGTACAATTTACAAAGTCAAAACACTGTGGTAACTCTGTGATAAATATCCTGGGAGCTTAGGCAAGATGGAATTTTTTAGAAGGATACTCAGATATGGTGAAAGGAAGTTCACACAAATTGTCTGACATTCTCAGTGTTATAAAAGCAAGAAAGCCCAGGCAAAGTGGCTCATGCCTGTAATCCCACCACATTGGGAGGCCAAGGTGGGAGGACTGCTTGAAGCCAGGAGTCTGAATCTAGCTTGGGCAACATAGTAATATTCTATCTCAATAAAGTATAAAAATTAAAAATAAAAATAAAAAGCAATATAAGCATATAACTTAGGAATATAGATAATTATCAAAAGAAAATGCTAAAATATTGAAAGTCCTGTTTTATGGGTAAAGAGGCATGATGATGCCGCTTGTCTTTATCACTCGGTAGTAATATTTGACTCAAATATGTCAGACATATTGGATTTTTTAAAATAAAAAAAGAAAGTTCACAAATTTGAAGATTAATAAAATGATGTGAAACTGATATGCTATGATCACATTAGTCCAAGTATAATATTATTGGCCAGTATTCAAAATATTGTTATGGTTTAAGTAAGAGAAGTTGCAGAAAATATTGGAATAAAAGAGAAGTTTGGAAGTTGTGAAAGAAAAGAAAATCATGTTTTATGTGTGTGTGATGGGCAAAATTAAGGTTTTGGGTTTTATACTTGTATCCATGAGAAAAGCAAGTTACACATTTTCTAATGAGAATTCTATTAAACATGCTATTGAGCTACTGAAATTTACTTCTGCAATTGAAGAGACAAACTCATTTAGCATTAAATTAAAACTTTTTTCTGATTATAAAATCAATGTAGGACTTATAATCAATATCTTCTGAAATTAAATTTTATAATTCAAGAGTTTATGTAAGTTATGAGAAGGTATCCTAAGAATAAGTACAAGTTTAGTTTGGTTTAAGGAAATATAGGAATGAATAAAAATCTGTATTACTCACAACATAGTGAATAAGCTCTGATAATATATCAGATTTGCATTATAAAGTTACGCTTTAATAGTTTTCATTTACTGCTTGAGCTGAGCACTGTGCATCATTAGATTTCTCATAGTAAATGGACTTATGTTAGTGTCAAGGAGATTTCCATATATAACTAAAATGTTAAAAATGTAAACAAACCTGGCCGGGCTCACGCGTGTAATCCCAGTACTTTGGGAGGCCGAGGCGGGCAGATCACGAGGTCAGGATATTGAGACCATCCAGGCTAACACGGTGAAACCCCGTCTCTACTAAAAATACAAAAAATGAGCTGGGCGTGGTGGCGGGCGCCTGTAGTCCCAGCTACTCAGGAGGCTGAAGCAGGAGAATGGCGTGAACTCGGGAGGCGGAGCTTGCAGTGAGCCGAGATAGCGCCACTGCACTCCAGCCTGGGCGACAGAGGGAGACTCTGCCTCAAAAAAAAAAAAAAAAAGAAAAAAAAGGAAACAAACCTAAATACAATATACGTTGATTTTTTTTCTGAGAAATGTAAACAATACCAGAATTTGTACACTTATATTTTTACTAGTATTATTTGATTGAAAGTATTTCGATTTACTTACAAAGACATGAAAATAACTGAGATAATCTTTCATCTGTTATGCCACCCATGAATAGAATTAGACAAATATGAAGATTTTGGAAAAGTCAATAATATCAAATCAAAGGAAGTTTGTTGGTAAATTATACATGAAATTGCTAGATGACAGAAAACTAAAATTATTGCTTTATTTCATGTATTTTATATCATATTTCTAGGATTTCTGGAATTACTCATTTATAATGCAGAGGCAGTTTCTGCAGAGACTTCTAATGGTACTAATGTCTGTCAAATACATGAGAAAATTCTGATCATTGTGATAAGCCTCACAAAATATATATTTAAACAAAAAGAATCAAGCACTCAGGAAAAATAAACTTTCATTAAGGCAATGCGATTATTGAGAATTGATAGGCTAAGCTTTAACCTTTTGCCTTGTTACTTTGCCAAAAGCTTGGATATTAATGAAACCAAGCATAAAAGGTGAATGGAGAACAGCCAGAGAATTTATTAGCTCTTCAATTGAGGCATCAGTCTGTTCAAAGGCTAATTAGACCAATCTGTGAATGTATCAATCCCATAATTACTCAGACTAATTATATTAATCATCTAAAATATGTTCATGAGAAACTGCTAATGTATAACCTTGTGGTTTTGACATGATCTTAGCTCAATTAGGACATGGTGTCCATGTATGATTTACTAACTGTGGCTTTTGATAAGTAGACAGAATAAGATTTTAAAAAACCGATATAGATTAAATAGCAGATATACAACTGAAATTGAGTTAGTTAATATAATTTAAAATATTTTCAGTTATCAGGAACTTGGTCAAAATTGAGAATATTTGACAAACCTTTGGAGACATTAAATGTAAAGATCACTCAATATTTTTCTTCAGGATTTTATTTATTTTATTTTATTTATTTTTGTGAGTACATAGTACAGGGTGTATGGGATTCACAAAATACTTTGATACTGGCATGCAATGCATAATAATCACATTGGAGTAAATGGGGTAGCTATCACCTCAATTATTTATCCTTTTCTTCTTTGTGAATTACTTTGTGTTTTTGTGTGTGTTCATATGTGCATGTATACCTGGGCAATCTATGTATGTGGATAGTTACTATTAGCAGAAACATATACTAAACTCAGATTAATTCAGCAAATTTATTGAAATATCTACTATACGCTAGGCATTAATGTTAGATGTTGTTAAGCTATAAGTAATAAAGAACCATCCTTTGCACTCTAGGAGCATCAAGTTTGCTTGAGGACAGGAACAGATAAATATGTAATAATGATTACATGTAAAAAGATTTACATATTTTATTTCTCCTTACATCGATAAGACATTATGTGTTAATGTCAAACGACTACTCATCATTGGGCTGAAGCTTCCTGTCTACAGGCAGACATTCAGGAAGGGAAGATCATAAGCAAATTGAACCCCATGGGCACTAGCTGAAGCTGTTTGCCACTTCAGCCATATAAGCCAGCAAACCTAATGGTACTTTAGGTATCATTGCCATATAGCACCATTGTTTGGAGCCATTGGCAGATTTCCTATAGATACATTGCATCTCAGACCCTCAGGGTTTTGGAGTAAAGCCCAATCATCGTATGGAGATAAGTAGGCTCCTTTTGAGAGTTAACTTATGGCATGCTACTGGGCCTCAGTAAAAACCTAATGCTTAATTATAGGTCATCAAGCTATCCTGCAATCTAAACTGCGCGTCATGAAGTGGGATTTTTCTGACCCACCAAGGCACAGAGTTGAACATACATTACAGCAGTCTATTATCAAATAGAAGAGGTATGTATGAGATGGGGTTTGAGCAGAAACTGAAGGAAAAAATGTAAGCTATATGAGGCCATGGTCCAAATGTCCATAGCTCCTATTATTAATGCATTATCTCCTTTCTCTCAGCTTGAACTTATGGCACCGTGGTAACATCCTTATAATAAATTGACAGAGAAACAGCAACAACAAAAAACTTCAGCCAAATCTATAGAAAATTCTGCATAATATACAGGCACCACACCAAATATGACAGCTGCAGCACTACAGCCCCTTGTCACCACATCTCTGAAGGACAATGATGAAGAAAAATTATCCAAGTGTTCAGAACTTAAGTAAGCACAACTTCTATGTTCATTGTCATCTAGAAGGAGAAATAGCCAAATGGCCAAGTTTATATCAATTCATGGGATGTGGCCAATAGTTCGGCTGAATACCCAGGGACTTGAAAAGCACACAGAATGTCGGTGAAAAAAATGGTTTTGGGGAAGATATGTAGATAGATCTCTTTGAATGGACTCAGGATATGAATATATTTGTGTTCCTTGTGAATTATCACAAGAAGATGATTTAAGAAGAGGTGGGTTTTAATAATCAAGTGGATGCGATGAACCATTCTGTGGATATTAGTCAGCATCTTTCAACCATTTCTGTCATTGCCCATTGATTCATGAACAAAGTGGCAATGGTAGTAAAGCTGGAAGCTCAGCACGGCTTAGTAAAATTGACTTCCAAGGCTGACCTAGCCACTTGTCAAGGCTGACCTAGCAGTAGCCTCTGTTGAATGTCCAATAATCCAACAAGAGAGACTGACGGTGAGTCCTGTTGTAATACAATCCCTGGAGTGATTAGACAAATATCGGATGGCAGGTTGATTACATTAGAGCACTTTCATTAGATGTTGGGCAGCATTTTTATTGTTTTTAATTTTGAGACAGAGTCTGGCTCCATTGCCCAAGCTAGAGTGCAGTGGTGTGATCTCAGCACACTGCAACCTCCACCTCCCAGGTTCAAGTGATTTTTCTGCCACAGCCTCCTGAGTAGCTAGGATTACAGGCACGCACCACCGTGCCCAGCTAATTTTTTGTATTTTCATTTTTAGTAGAGGTGGGGTTTCAACATGTCACCCAGGCAGGCCTTGAACTCCTGAGCTCAGACAATCTGCCCGCCTCAGCCTCCCAAAGTACTGGGATTACAGGTGTGACCCACCACACACAGCCAGAATTTTGTTTTTATTGGAATAAACACTTACTCTAGAAATCAATTCTGCCCAAACTCCCATGACTGTCATACCCAATGTCATGATATTTCACAAAGTACTGCTTCTGACCAAGTAAATCACTTCACAAGAAATGGAGGGTGACAATGGGCCCATGGTCATGGAATTTGTTATTCTTATTGTGCTTCTCACCATCCTGAAACACCTAGTTTGCCAGAATAGTGAAACAGCTTTTTGAAGTCTCAGTTACGAAATCAGCGAGCTCAGGGGTTCCTAATCCCTGGGCTACGGTCCGGTAACAGTCCATGGCCTGTTAGGAAATGGGCAGCACAGCAGGAGGTGAACAGTGGGTGAGCAAGCATTACCTCCTAAGCTCTGCCTCCTGTCAGATCAGCTCCAGCAGTGGATTCTCATAGGAGCACAAACCCTATTGTGAACTGTGCATGAGAGGGATCTAGGTTGCAAACTCCTTATGACAATCTAACTAACATCCTGATGATCTCAGGTGGAACAGTTTTATCCTGAAACCATTCCTCCCTGCTGCATCCCCCCATCAGCCCTCCACTCTCCCAACACTGCCTGTGGAAACATTGTCCAGGAAACTGGTCCCTGGGGGCAAAAATGTTGGGCATAGTTAAAGTACATGGCAAAATCTTTTGTGGCTTGGGCAGTATCTTCCAGTAAGCAGTAAATTCTCTAAATTATCATCCAATATAAGAGCTTTTTCTCCCACAGCAAAGATTCATGGGACCAGGAATAAAGAGTTGAAAATGGGAGTGGCTCCTCTCACTATTATTGCTAGTATTTCACCAGCAAAAATTTGCTTCCTGTCCATGTGATTTTAGGCTCTACTGATTAGAGGACTTAGTTGGAAGAATGATTCTGTTTGATTAAAAATTGTGACTGAAACCTGGTCCTTTTGGTCTCCACATCCCTCTGAATAGACAAGTAAAGAGTGTACTATACTGGCTGGGGTGATTAATACATATTTCTAAGGAGAAATTGGGTTTTTTACTATGCATCTGAGATACGTAACAGAATGTCTGGAATACAAAAGATCTGTTGTGGTATCTGCTATTACTACCCTGTCCTGTGATTAAAATCAATGGAAACTCTAAAACATATTCAGGACTGCCAGTAATCCAGATCTTTCAAGAATGAAGGTTTGAATAGCTTAATCAGGCAGAGAACAGCATGCTGAGATGCTTACTAATGGGAAGTAAGATATTAAATGTGTTACAGGGAAAAAAAAGCAATAAATAACAACTATGACCATGTAACCCATTGTAGAATGCATAGTACAATAATTATGATTATTTATTCTTTATTTTAATATAAATGTGTGTGTAATTAGTTCTGTGTATTTCCATTTACATATGTGTGGTTAAATACTTTTTGGATCTATTATCTAATATAAAATGTGTTATTAACGATTGACATTATATATTAGTGTTTGAACTATAGTGTATTAAAATAAAATGCTTTGTATGTTTTTATTTCTATGAGAAAGGTGTTCAGGTGTTTTAGGTTTTAAATGGGGTAGTTGTGTGGTGCTTACAGAAGTAAGACTTTATTATTGTCTTTATTTAGAAATTAAGTATGCTTTAAGGTGATGTGCGTGAATGCCAATTTGCCACAATGTGGAATGTGTAAGCTTTGTGATGACCAAGTCGGGTAGGCTACACTACGTCTTTCAGAATTCTCTTTCTACTGCGTTTTCACATGAGGTAGGTCACAAGAGATACACTCTTGTGAGAATTGGAAAAGGCTACAAAACAACCATATAGACACCTCCCAGTGATTCAATCATACACTAATCTAGGTGCTGCTGTGAAGGAATTTTTCAGCTCTAACTAAAGTTCTTACTTAGTTCACTTTAAGTCTTTAGAAAGGTATACCATCCTGAGTGGGTCTGATTTAATTAATCAGAAAAATGTTAAAAGAGAGGAGGCCCTTCCTGCATTCAGAGACTACAAACTTCAGCTCATGCTCATGCGTAATTTGCCAGCGTAATCATGATTATCTCTTTTTGTGTTCCTTGACAACTTCTGCTTATTTAGTGAGTCCTCCATTGTGTAAACATATACAGTGTAATACATATATATAATTATATACATAATTTATTTACGAGCTAAATAGCAATTATATTATATTTTATTTTATTACTAATTTTATGTTTCTATATAGCCTAACATGAATATATGTAGAACTATTACAATAGTTGTGTTAACTGCTACCCTAATATCTAAATTATGTGATATGCATTTCATCAATTTTCTAAAAAATTGACATATTAACAATTGTTTTCTTCCATAATTAAGAAAGTGACAGAAGAATGACAAATAATTTGTTCTTCTTGATTACTGGGAACACAAAATTCAAAGACAATAAAAGCTAGGTGTGAATCCTGGTTCTACCACTAACTAGGCATATACTCGAATTATATAATTTCTCTAAACTTCAGTATTCTCATCAATAGGAAAGAGATAATAATTTCACAGACCACAAGATGACTACAATACATTGTAGCTCCTCTTATTAGAAAGTAGATTCTTTCTCCACTACTTAAATTTGGGCTGACCTTGTGAATTGCTCTGTTTATTGGAAGAGTTTGCAAATGTATTCTATGAAGTTGCATGAAAATGACTTCCACTTTGGTGTAAATGTGCTCCCTTTGAGACCTCTGCCACTGCCACTATATGAAAAAACTTCAGTTAGCCTATTGAAAGGTGGATGACATTTGGTCCTATAATTTCTGTCACCAAAACCAGGAACCAGCCAAATTATAATACAGAGTCACTGCAGTATATATCTTTCTGTGTCTGGTTTCTTTCATGTAATATAATGTTCTCCAGGTTCATCCATGCTGTCAAAAATAACAAATTGTTGTTCTTCTTTATGGCTGAATAGTATTCCATTGTGTTTATATACCACATTTTGTTTATCCATTTATCTGTTGATGAACACTTTGATTTCACATATTGGCTATTATGACTAATGCTTCAGCGAACATGGGAGAACAGATATCTCTCTGATATATTGATAACCTTGATTTCATTCCTTTGGATATATACCCAGTAGTGGAATTGCTGCATCATATGGTAGTTCTATTTTTAATATTTTGAGGAACCTCCATATTGTTTTCTATAATGGCTCTATTTATTTATATTCCCATCAATAGTGTGTAAGTACAACTTCACGAATACTTGTTATTTTTTGGCTTTTTGATAATAGTCATTCTAACATATCCAAAGTGATATCTTACTGTGGTTTTTATTTGAATTTTCCTGATGATTAGTGATGTTGAGCTTTTTTCATATGACTGTTGGCCATTTGTATGTCTTCTTTTGAGAATTGTCTATTCATATCTTTTGTCCATTTTGTAATATGGTTATCTGTTTGGTTGCTATTGAGTTGTTTGAGTTCTTTGCACATTTTAGATATTAACCCCTTATCAAATATATAGTGTGCCAATGTAAAATCTAAAAAAGTTGATCTCATAGAAGCAGAGAGTAGAATGGTGACTATCAGAGTCATAAATGGTTAGAGAGGAGGAGGTAATAGGAAATGTTGGCAAAAGGATATATAATCACAAATATATAGGATAAATATTTTAAAATGTGTCCAGAATAGCTCAGTATACTGTATGTTAAAAATAGTTGATAAATGATTGCTTGGGTCTGGTTTTGGGAGAGAAGAGGATGGTGTCATGGAAAGGGAGAAATAGGAAATTATTATGAATGGTTATGGAGTTTCTTCTTTGTGTGATAAAAATGTTCTAAAATTGACTGTGATGATGGTTGTGCAACTCTGTGAACATCCCAAGAATGATTGTGTTATATACTTTAAATGCATAAATTGTAAGATATATGGATAATATTTCAATGAAACTGTTTAAAAATTAAACAGAGCCACTGAGCAGTAATTATAGACATACTCATGAGCTCACATGAAACAGCAGATTGTCCCAGATAATCAAAGCCTAAATTATCATTCCCTAGAATTATGATCTAAGAAAACAGTTGTATTTTGCCATTGAGCTTTGGAATCATTTATTCTGTAGCAAAAGTTAACTTATACATGTAATTGGAGGTCTTTATGTTAAGTAAAATAAGCCAGACCCAGAAAGAAAGGCATTGACTGTCTCACTTATTTTGTGGGATCTAAAAATCAAAACAATTAAACATATGGAGACTAGAGTAGAAGGATGGTTACCAGAGGCTGGGAAGGGTAGTGGGGGTGGGGGTGAGGTAAGGATGGTTATTGGGTACAAAAAAATAGTTTGATAGAATTAATAATACTTAGTATGTGGTAGCACAGTAGGGTGGCTATTGTCAAAATAATGTAATTATAAATTTTAAAATAACTAAAAAAGTATAACTGGAGAGTTTGTAACCAAAGGATAAACGCCTGAGGGAATGGATACCCCATTTTCTATAATGTGATTATGATGCATTGCATGCCTGTATCAAAATATGTCAAGTACCCCACAAATATGTATACCTACTATATACCCACAACAATTAAAAGTAAAAAATTTAAACAATCTACTATGTAGCCACAGCAATTAAAAATAAAAAAATTAAACAAATCTGCTAAGGATTGTTATGAGGATTAATTAGTCAAGTATTATATTTGTCATGCTTAGCACACAGTAAGTAATGTTGCCTCTTTCATTTTTCAAATAGACACAGTGATTTGTCAGCTGTTGATCTGGTCTTCAATTGCACTTACAGAAACTTTAGTATTGCTGAATATTTTATAATAATAAAATTTTACAAATATATATAAATTAAAATTTTAACCTTACTAATGGATGATTCTACTACTTGATCTTCATCCTAACACTAAGTAGTTGATGCCATTACTTCCTTTTATGAATAAACTGAAACTTAGGGAATTTACCTTTCTTACAGACAGCTAGTTACTGTCATAGCCAGTCTTCAAGCTAAGATTGCCTAATTCTAAATGGGGAAATTTTTCAATTACACTCTAACTGAACAATGAATCATAATATTCAACTCTGGTACAAAATAATTCATGCAAATACCATCTTCATAACTTCCTGCTTGTTAAAAATGTTCATTTAATACAAAATAATATTAAGGTTGAAGGAAGCAACACATTCTAAGGGCAGAAACTGAGACTATACTGAATAGTGATAATGAATTATTTTCTTTGGGGGAAGGCAAGGGTTTTCTGGGTAAAACAGGGCTTGAAATAGTAGAATTAGGTAGATTGAAACCCAGTCCATGCTGCTAAAAAGAAAATGAAGACAGGGATAATTATATATGTAAATGAAGTAGGGAAAATTATTGTAGGAAGATAATGCATTACTTGTCTAGATTGGGTTTAAAGAAATGGGGTATATTACATAGGTGACAATTTTCTAATCTCCAGGTTAGTACTTACAGTCATTGGTTCACATGTCTGAGTCTCTGTTAGTTTACCCAGTCTTTGAGTGTGACAACAAATAATGTATTTTTAAATTATTCCACATTGTGCAAAGCTACCACAAAGTAATGGCTCAAAAGTATGTGAGCTAAATTAATTTAATGTTTGCTCTATAGTGTTATGACCTTATCCTAATATACTGTGCCTGGAAGCCAATCACATCACAAAAAGAGGTAATTTGAGATTTTCAAAATGGACCTCCAAGGATTGAAAGTGCCACAATCCAAGACAATTAAGTGGAAAATATTTCTATGATTTTTTTTGAAATTTTGTTAAAATAATTTCCTGTTGTTTTACATTAACAAATTGCAATGACAAACACATCATTTTGTATTTTTTCTTTTACTATTTCTAAATTATATTATTGTACATTATGACTTCTTTTACTTAAAATGCACACACACACAGACAAATATATATGAAGATATATATTTAATGGTATCTAACTAGAGGTGCCTGATGCAGTTTCTATGCTTCCTACTAAAATATAATGTAAGTTGAAAAAAAGGATGGAAGTTACATTAACCTCTAAAGCTACCTTTATTGCTAAATTATTTTTAGCGATTGAGTAGATTTTGCAAACTCAGACAATTAACAGCAACTGTGGAACAAAATAGGTAGTTTACACATACTTTGCCAAGAAAAAAGTATAACTGACAATATGATAACAAAGGCCTTGATATCTGTGGAATAAGGGAGGCAGTGAAATGAAAAGAAACTCTACAACTGTAAATAGCTGGAGAATTAAAATGCGTTAATTTTTGTATTAAATTATTATAAAAACATAAGACAATTTACAGTATCATTAAACCTAGTCATGTATATAACTAAAATCCTTTCATGTCTTATAAAAATAATAATTTTCTTGTATTTTATGTAAAAACATACATATTCAGAAATAAACTTATAAAATAAATACCCGAATTAAATAAGTATAAAAATCAATCGTACAGCTTATATATATAAATCATTTATTTGCATATTCAATGGCAAAAAATACATTTGAAAACAAGTGAACATTTAATTATGCTGGACTGGCATTTTGGTATATCAGTGAGTACACATACATATCAGTCTGGAAATTTTGTTGCTACTAACCATGCAGACAATATTATATTTTCTTTTCAAGTATAGACATCTAAAACTACAAATATCAAACCCTTCCATGTGAAAGCAATTGTTTATCTATTTTACATATAAAAGGATCTCTAAGTTAATGATGGTTCGACTTACAGTTTTTCAATTTATGATGAGTTTACTGAGATGTGACCCCATTGTAATTTGATGAGCAACTTTTCATGAACTTAAGCTTTTCATAACCTAACAAGCTCACATGTAGGAAGCATAGTCCACAGAGAGAAGGAGAGATTTGGAACAAGTCAGCTGCAGTGTTTGAGGGTAGTTATTATTCCTTTGGAAGTGTACAGCTTACAAACTTGCAGAGATAACTTTGAAGATTCATAATTTTATTTTAAACATAACATAATCTTTTCTAGAAAAATAATCACAAAATCAAATGTCTCCAGTAGCCTACCAAATAAATACATTGGCCTAGATATAAAAAAAAAATTCAAGTGTCCAAAATATGAAATACATTTTTGTTGAATTTCTGTGCAAAAATTAGTATGTGATATTAGAAATTATCTTTGACATTCACCAGTGAAACACAATTTTCATATTTTAATCAATAGACTATTTTATTGCTGTTTTAGGCATACAAAAATTGCATAAAAAGCACAGAAAGTTCCTATATACATTCTGCCACTCTATATCTTCCCTGCCCACCTCCTTGAGTTTAGACTGTAATTAACATATTGCATTAGTATGGTGCATTCCTTGCAATGATGAATGAATATTGTTGCATTATTATTAACTAAGGTCCATAGTTATGCTAACATTTACACTTTTTTTTTTACAGTTCCATGGGTTTTACCAATACATAACACCATGTATCCGCCATTACAGAATCATACAGGATAGTTTCCCTACCCTAAACATCCCTCTTTCTGCCCCACCCACCAACTCCCTGACAACAACTATCTTATTTGCTTTTCTCAGAATATCACATAGTTAAAAGTATACAGTATGCAGGCTTTCAGTAATGTTTTATTGTACATAATAACATATAATTAAGAGTTTTAAAAAATCTTTTTATGGCTTGATCTCATACCTTTTGGTTGCTGTATAATATTCCATTGTATAAATGCACTCACAGTTGTATTTTAGCCATTCATCTATGGAAGACATCTTGATTGAGTTCAATTTTTGTCAATTTGAATAAAGCTTCAAGTTTATTTGTATGCAGATTTTGATGTTTTCAACTCATTTAGGTAAAAAACTAATAGTGAGAGTTCCAGATCATATGGTAAGCCTATGTTTATCTTTCTTACAAACAGCCAAATTATCTGGCAAAGTGGTTGTATCCTTTTGCTTTCCCAAAGCAATGAGTGAGAATTTCTACTGCTCTATATCTTCTCCAGTTTTTTGCTGTGTTTTGGAGTTTAATTATTTATTTTGGAGCTTAATTAATTATTATTTTAACAAAAATACATTTTAGTATTTCATTTTTATTTTGATTAGAACCCAAATCTAATCCATTTTGTTGGAAATTTAGACATAGTCTAGTAGCTAAGTGCTTTGGTCCTAGAAACAAATTTTGTAAACTCAAACTTCAAATATACTACTTACTACATAAGAAAAAATAGGGTAACTATTCAATATGTGCTTCAGTAACTTGATAGGTAAAATAGAGATAATAATATCATCTACCATTTAGATTTGTTACTATAATTAAGATATGTCATAAAATAATGATAACAGTACCTGGCCCATAGTAAACTCTTTAGTCCTTCAACTGGATAAAACAGTTTCATTCATTTTTAAACCAAGGGAAGCAGTTAGACATATAAGTATACATCGATAGAATTGTTCTAATTATATTTGATTTTAAAAATTAATTTTATGAAGACTCATTCACATAATATGTAAAATACATTTTGTATATTATATATTATTCACATATATACACACACACATATATATATACATATATATATAGAGAGAGAGAGAGAGAAAGAGAGTAATAAATGCTAATTAAATAGTTCAGGAAAGAGTTGCACTAGACCTAGCAGAGGTGGAGTGGTGAGCAGTGGTCAGATTCTGAAAGTTAAGCTAGTAATATCAGGAGATTGTTATGGAATGGATGTGGGAAGTGAAAGAAACAGAGGACTTAATTATAATTTTTTAATATACCTGCCTCAGTGTCCTAAGTGCTGGGATAGCCACCACACCCAGCCTAATTTTTTTGTTTTAAGAGGAAAATAAATAATTCGTTCACCAAGAATACGATTATTGGAACTTGAGTAAAATAGAAACAAAATATCATATTATTTGGAAAATATTTTGTGATTTCTATGCAAACAAAATTTCTCTAGATGCTTTTGCCCGTTAACTTTTTATCCTACTCCCACTTTCTCTGCCCTTTCTTAGTTTCATACAATGAACAATTGGGGTGAATGAGTTTAATGAGTAATAATTGGAGTTGGAAATGAGAGCAAAAACATACGAAGGCCGTGGCGGGCAGATCAGGAGGTCAGGAGATTGAGATCTTCCTGGCTAACACAGTGAAACCCCATCTCTACTAAAAATGCAAAAAATTAGCCGGGTGTAGTGGTGCATGCCTGTAGTCCCAGCTACTCGGGAGGCCGAGGCAGGAGAATGGTGTGAACTGGGGAGGCGGAACTTGCAGTGAGCCGAGATCGCATCACTGCACATTCCATCCTTTAGATTATTTTCTATTTTCATTAATACAATCAATTATCCTACACAATTCATAAATAGCTAAGGGAATTAAGACTCAATAGTGTAATATGACCTTCTTCAAGGTCACTGTCTCAGCATGCTAATAATGCCATAACAAAATGCCAGACTGGGTGGCTTAATCATTTTTGTTCTCACAGTCTAGAGGTTGAAAGTCCAAGATCAAGGTGTCAGTAGGGTTGGTTTCTCCTGAGGCCTCCCTTCTTGGCTTGGAGTTGACTGCTTTATTTGTATCCTCACATGGCCTTTAAGTTGTGTGTGTGTTCACCTTCCTGGTGTCTCTTTCTCTTCTTATAAGTACACCAGTCAGGATGGATTAAGGCTCCCCATACTACCTCATTTACCCTTAATTACTTTTTAAAGGACCACTGTCCAAACACAGTCACATTCTAAGGTATTGTGGGTTAGGACTTCACCACACGACTTATATGGGGGGCACAATTAAGTCCATAACAATCACAGAGCTATTAAATAATATAACTGAATTTACTTACTTTCAGACTCCAATGTACACGTTCCTTCCACTGTACCGCAGTATGTATGAAATCGAACATAGGTCTAAGGCTAAAGATAGAGGTAAGAATACGGAGTACATAGAGAACAGAAATTACCCAGGGAGGCTTGAGTTCAATTTCTTCTTGAATTATTGTCCACTCTGCATTGAGTTAAATTACCTTTATTCCCTCTTTGGATTAAAATAAAAATAATTCTTGCAAAAAATTTCTTATAACTCTTCTGGTAAAAACAAAGTATGATAGCAGCAGTGTAAAAAGATTACAAAATTGACTCATAATTAAGCTATAGTGCTGTTGAAATTCTCTTCTTTCAGAAAGATAATTCTTAAATATTTAGAGCAACATTAAAAATTTATAATAGGATTACTCCTCAAAATATGCTTTGAAACCTTGAATATCCTCATCTTATTTTCTTTTCATGCCTTGGTGACTTTACTTCTTATGCTTCTCTGGACATTGGAATTACCCTTCTGCTTTAACCTTTAAGATAGAGCCCAAAACTTTTTATACCAAAGGGTACATACCAAAGGGTACATGGTAAAAGCTGACCTTAAAAAAAGTCTATATATCAAGTCTCTCTCTATGTAACAGTGATTTTTAATTAAACGAATGTGTGTCTAAAAAAGGAAATTCCTGTTTTCCCAGCACATGGGTAAATGTTAAGGCTGTTAATAAATTCCTAATATTACGTACAGTTAACAGTAACTTTACATGCCTACATCCATTGTTTTTTTTCCCCCTGTTTGGGATGTGTAACGAAATGAACACAGATTTAGATGCAGATATAGAAATTCTAAGATATGCATATATATTTTGTACATGTTAATGTGTAAAGATGAATACATCTATATATTTTTTTAAGCACTTAATTTTATTTAAGATGAGAATTTTATGGTTAACTTAGAGTTTGTTGTCTTTTGGTAATCTTCCATGTATTAAAAATAAATAGTGTGGCTTGAGTAAGAATTTTTGCACAGCTCCATCACTCCAAAAAACTAAGTGACATCTGGGACCCATTCAATAATATAACACTCAGTAATAAACAATTGAATGAAAATAAATCTCCTTTAAATAATCATTGTATTTTTGGAAATTAAACAACAACAAGAAAAAGCATGCCAGAAGCCTTCCTCTAAAGAAAATTAAAATCTACCTAATAGCATTCCTTCATTTTCCTGGGAACTTTATTGCTTTCAGTAATAAGGTAAAAAAGTATTTTCTTTTGGCCAGAAGCTTAGAAAAATGGATCCTACAAAAATGTTTCAGGCCGCTATTTTTATTTTTAGTGTTTCCAGTTGTATATACTTAACATCAGAATCCAGGTGGATTTTTACCGTTCTCGTATTGATTTTGCTTTAAAAGATTAAAGCATTTTACAATTCTGAAATAAATATAGTTTATTAGCACTGAATTTGATTTGTTTAATGATATCACCTACACTTATATCTGAGAGATAAAACATTCATAACACTATATGGCAATTCTTAAATTTTTAGAGAGCGTATTAAAATAGCAATCATACCTAAGTGTACAAATAGGCATGGTGTATTTTAAGAGTTTCTGATGTTTAAAGACACATTTTATAACTAAAATTAAAAAATTACTTTTGTTTTTATGGCATTTGATTTTTGCATAGCTTTTGCTTTACATATTCTAATTAAAAATTGCATATATATGTTTTAATTTAGAAAACACATACTTAGGAGGAAAAAAAATCCATTTCACCCCATTAGATTTCACTTCTCTGTTAGGAATGTTCCTTGAGCCTTGTGTGTTCTTTTAGACCTTTTCCTATGTGTTTCCATAAATAACTTATTATGCATATCTTTTCATTTTCATACATGTCACCATACCCTATATAGTACTGTTATGCCTTTTTCTAATAGCAGTAACATAAATTATATACTCAGTGTTTTAACTTTATAGGAAAGCATAAAACTACCTGGTATTGAAATTAGAACATTCTGATATTTTAAAATGTAGTAAGCAAGGCCCATGGGAAAGGGGAATGATGGAAATCCAGACCTCAGGGCCCTGCCCTAGATGCTGGGTTTTGGATAATCACCATTGGCAGGCAAAGCTAACACAAAGCCCTGAGAGAATAGTAGTTCTGTGATTAAAATAGAGATCAGAGAAAGAAGAGAAATCCCACAACTAGCTTTTTTATATTAAATTTG
This sequence comes from Homo sapiens, assembly GCF_000001405.40. Classification (NCBI taxonomy): domain Eukaryota; kingdom Metazoa; phylum Chordata; class Mammalia; order Primates; family Hominidae; genus Homo; species Homo sapiens. Next base: position 195,263,761 of record NC_000001.11, read on the forward strand.
TGCAATGAAATCTGCCATTATATATGATTACATTGATTAGACAGCCTTCTTCTAATGAGACTTCAGGTACTCAGTTTCTGTCTTCATTATTGCTAATTGTGTTTTTTGTTGTTATTGTGTCCAAAAATGTTAAGGAGCAGTGTCTACAAATAAACACAAGGTAATACAACGTACTTTTTTGCCAGTCTGCTTCTCTCCCATTCAAGGTGATTACCATAATCATTCCATAATTACTGCACGTAAAGATTTGAGTTGATAACCACTCCTGGGTAGGAATATAAGTACTCCTTCATATAATCTTATAAAGAATTCAAACCTTTCTGATTAATCACTCTATTTTTTCATAGTTTTTCTTTTGTTAAAATATCATCACAGAGTAGATTACAATGACTTGAGCAAAAAAGGTTAGTCAAAGGGCCTAAATACCCCCAAGTGGCACTATCTACCTCTATATGCCCCAGGTTTAAGTCAAGAAGACAATAAGTTAAGCAATTATTCTTAGAGATGTAATGATGAATTTCAAACACACTTTTCCATTTTTTTGTGCTACATGGAATCATCTAGTCATATTCAATGTGAATATTTTAGTAAGGACATTTCATCTCATGAGTTCTAAAGCATATAAACAATTCTGAGAATATTTAGCAGGATAAAATCCCAAATTATCACTGCACATAAACACAATTCTTCCTGTCTTTAATGGACATTTCTCAAATGTGTACAATTTGTCTTTCTACAGAAAAAATTCTACTTTGTTATGTAACTCACATCACAATATCCTACATCATAAATCTTCCTTTTTAATGCATAAGCTTGGAGTCACACCAAGAACAAACTATACTTTGCTGAGCTCTTTGAAGACACAGAGAGCTTTGGAAATGAATAAATATCTCTAAAGAAATGTCCTGACAAAGCAATAATGAAAAGATCATGCCATTTTTCATGCTAAGCATTTGTGTTTTTAAATAATAGCTGTGTACTAAAATTAGTTTAAATTACTGATAATTAGAAACATTATATTAAAAGAGAAAATCAGAACTACCTTAATACCAGATTAAGTACACTGATGTAAATATTGTATCAAAATGACATTCCTTTGATAATGACATTCAGATTTATTCTCAAAGCTTTTTAACTTTTCCTAAAGATCAAGGGCAGAGAGTTTTGCATTTTCTATTTTATTGTAACTTGGGGCCAATTTTTAACTATTATTGCTTTAAGAATAATGGCTTATGTCTGATGCTGAAATAAGAACAAATTATACAAATACCAGATTATGAATTTAAATGAATACATGGAGAATATAAGAAGTATAGAGCAAACCATAAAAATAGTAGTGTATTTGTTAAAATACTTTAGAACACTGCTTTGACCAATAAAATATTTAATATCTTAAGTTATCTGAAAAATAAAATAGAAAGCAAAAACTGTCAGGTACTTTTTATTGAATTTCCTTATAAGAGTTAATTTAAGTATCATAATATGTAGTTGAGAGACAGATGACATGGCAGTAATGTTTGTCTTCCTGCTACAGGATTGCTTTGGTCAAAATTTCTATCAACCTAAAACACCTTCAAACAATCGATCAGACACAATTGCAAACTTCAAAATACAGCTGGATTAAAATGCCTGCAATGTATTTGTTAGCTTGCTTACCAAAGTAGGCAACTACTTTCTTTTAATCTGCAGTTCTTCATGTGTAAAATAGAAAAAAAAAAATCATGTGTGCTTTTCAGGGCTGTTGTGATGTGTAAATAAGGTGAGAGCCTGCTGCATGATAGCTTCTCAATAAGTGATATGTCATTGCATCAGTTTTTTCACTGAAGATCCTGGGAATTTTCCCATCCTTGGGTCGACGCCTTATGTTTTTAAATGGTTGCAGAAATACTTGTAGTGGCCCTAGCATGAACTATGAAATAATAAGATATACAGTTTATAAGGTTTTTCTAATACATTAATTGACTCTGAGATTGGAACAAAAGAATGGTTTCAGTATAGAACTACCTGTGGGAATGAAAGGGAGTTTATGTAAAAGGTATTGAACATCCTCTGGCTAAATGCTTGAGAGTTTTGATCTTGAAGGTGACCTAAATATAAAATTACCTAATTTTCATGTTGAAAGAGGGGATGAGGAAATGCCTTTTAAAAAGAAACTTTAACTTTCCTGAGATTAGCATTTTATCAATTGTTGCAATTAATTGCTTATTTCTAGTTTAAGTATAAATACTTACACATTGTAAAAAAGCATTCGTGAACATGAAGGTATAGCAATAGAAACTCTAAAATAAACACAGTGAGAGAAGAACATTAAAATCTCTAGTTTAAGTACATATACTTAAACTAGAAATAAACAATTAATTACAATTGATAAATATATATATCTTATTGAAAAGGGTGAGATTAATAGAGATCAAAAGATTGACACATTTGTCTTATATTTAAACTTACGTATGGCCAGGCGTGGTGGCTCACACCTGTAATCCCAGAACTTTGGGAGGCCGAGGCGGGCGGATCACAAGGTCAGGAGATTGAGACCATCCTGGCTAACATGGTGAAACCCCGTCTCTACTAAAAATACAAAAAAATTAGCCGGGCGAGGTGGCAGGAGCCCGTAGTCCCAGGTACTCCGGAGGCTGAGGCGGGAGAATGGGGTGAACCCGGGAGGCGGAGGTTGCAGTGAGCCGAGATCGCGCCACTGCACTCCAGTCTGGGCGACACAGTGAGACTCAGTCTCAAAAAAAAAAAAAAAACAAAAAAAAAAAACCTTATGTACTATATAAAATATATCCAAGAAAAAGGATAAATACATTTTTGTTTGTATGTATGTGTAAGAAAGTTATTCCATGTCTTATATAGATAGAAGTCTTACTGAAGTGGAGACGGTATTTAACATGTTTACAACTACTCCAGAAATGATTTGAAATGACTTGATTATTGGGCAAAAATTGTGTTATGAACATACTTTACATTGTGTGTTATTAAAATATGTAAGTATTTGTACTGTAAATTAATGTTTAAACCCAATTTTACATAAGATAATGCATTGCTGGGCATGTTGGAGTTAATCTCGACTCTCAGTGAGCTGAGCACAGGTTGAAAAGGTATAACTGAGAGTTCAGGGAGACCAAGATTAATGTCCATAGGTCAGGGGATCAGAGAGAGGAGTTGCACAAAAAGAATTCCAGAGATCTGCAGAAGGTGCCTTCAAGCATTCAGATAAGTAGTGATCAGTGCACGGGTGTGAGGTAACCACTTGAGGCCCCGGAAAAAAAACATCAGAAGGATCAGATTTAACAAAGCATGTCACTTATACAGGGTCAGTATAGGTTAATGTTCTCATCATCCAAACTAAAAAATATCAGTATTTATGAGATATTGGTATTGTATATAGAATAGTATTGCCTCAGTGGTGGAAAATAATTACGCAGAGTATTGAAGAAGTTCCCATTAATAAATCTTAAAAAGAAGACACAGAGGATCAAAAAATTTCCAAATAATTCTAAATCTCCAAATAGAGTACAGGAATATTTATATAAATACATATCTGTAGGACAGAACCATGTAAACTTCACAATGTCTGAAAACCAATAAAAAGTAAGAAGCAAGTATTTAAAGTAGGATAAACAGACATTAAAAGATTTATTTTAACTCAACGGCGTGTGTTCAAAATTAGAACAAAGATGACATTAAATAATGCAAATTAAACTTTCAAACTTCTAGAGATGAAAATTACAATGTCTGAGATGAAAATACATTGGATATGATGAAAGACAGATTACACATTGTAAAAAAGCATTCGTGAACCTGAAGACATAGCAATAGAAGCTCTCCAAAATAAACACAGCGAGAGAAGAAAATTAAAAAGAGAAAACAAAAGCAACAGGATATTATTGATGTAGGTGATAACTTAAAGCAAGCTGGTAAATATGCAGTCCTGCAACGAGAAATGCGAGGTTAGAATCTAAACAATGTTGAAGAAATTATCACTTAAACGTGTCTCCAAATGCGATGAAATCTATACACAATAAGATTTCAGAATTTTAGCAATCTCCAGCATAAGAAAAACGAAGAGAAAACCACAAGGAACACCATAATCAAATAGTACAAAAGCAGTATTAAGGAGAAACATATCTTTTAAAAAGGGCACAGAAAAGAAGATGTTATTTACAGAAGTTCTAAAATATGAATTACATCAAAATTTTTGTTGAAAATGAGTAGATGGAACAATTTAACCAGATAGACCATATTCTAGGACAAAAACAATTTCAAAGTCTTTATGGCATACAAAATTTTTCCAATTACAATGTAAGTGTATTAAAATAAAATTTTCCATAAAATCCACAATTATTTGGAAACTAAAACCCTCTAAATACCACATGACTAAAAGAAAAAAAATGAAAAGGAAAATTATGCATATTTAATGCCTGCATAATAAACGTAGAAAAGTCTCACATTAATGTCTTCATTTTCAAATCAAGGAAAATAAAACATCCTAAGCCAAAAATAAGTAGTTGAAAGAAAATAATACATGAATAATAAATATCAGAGAGGAAATCAATAAAATATAAAGTCAAACTATCTAAAAGCAAGAGCTGTTTGTTTGCTAAGATCAATAATATTGATAAACCTTTACCCAAACTGAACACACAAACATGCACTCACATACCCCTTTAGACTCTTAATTAAAACTCCAATGAGGCATAAAGCTAGACACTTTCAGAATGACTAGAATTAAAAAGCCTAACCACAGTAAATATTGATAATCTAATGAAGAAACTGGAACTTTCCTACATAGTTGTGGAAATTTAAATGGTACAATTGCCTTGGAAACTGTGGTATATATATACCATGGAATACTATACAGCCATAAAAAGAATGAGATCATATCCTTTGCAAGAACATGGATGGAGCTGGAGGCCATCATCCTTAGCAGACTAACACAGGAACAGAAAACCAAATACCACATGTTCTCACTTATAAGAGGGAGCTAAATATTGAGAACACATGGACACAAAGAGGGGAACGACACACACTTTTTGGAGTTTGGGCTTTTGGAGGTGGGAGAAGAAAGAGGATCAGAAAAAATAACTAATGGGTACCAGGCTTAATACCTGGGCCATGAATTAATCTATACAACAAACCCCTTTGACACAAGTTTACCTATGTAAAAAACCTGCACTTGTACCCCTGAAGTTAGAATAAGTTAAAAAAAAAGAAAATAACATTAACCACAAAGGAAAAAATTAATAAATTTAACTACATTAAGAAATTAAACATATAAGAAACAAAGAAGGGACGTGGCCTAAAACAAAATAAAATAAAATTGAAATTAAATGTATACCCATCAAATGCTCCCTACTTGGATCTGTTTATTATTTTGATTGTGATGACAGATTCACAGTTGTATACATGCAATAAAACTCATCAAATTATACACTTTCAATATGTGCAGTTTGTTGTATATCAATACATCTTAACCAAACTGTTTTTGTTTGTTCATTTGTTTCGTTTGCTTGGTTTTTGTTTTGAGACAGGGCCACACCCAGTCATCCAAGCTGGAGTGTAGTAGCACAATCAAGGCTCACTGCAGCCTGGACCTTCCAGGCTCAGGTGATTCTCCCACCTCAGCCTCCTGAGTAGCTGGGACTACAGGCATGCATCACTGCACCTGGCTAATTTTGTATATTTTCAGTACAGATGGGATTTCATGCTGTTGCCCAGGCTGGTCTTGAAATTCTGACCTAAAGCTGTCTTCCCACCTCGACCTCCCGAAGTGCTGGGATTACAGGTGTGAGTCACCACACCCAGCCAATCAAGCTGTTTAAAATATTTATATGAAAGCAAGCAAAGTATGTAATAGATTTTTCTGTCTCTTCAAGCCTGTTCTTGTTAAGAATTGAAACTATCACTTTAATGTTCAAGAAAGCATTTTTGCAGAATTCACCACTGTAGAAGTCTCTATACCTTCATATTTCTTGAAATTAAAATTATAACATCAATTCTAAAAGGCTATTTAATCATTATGTACAAAACTGCAACCATGTGCAGTGAGACAAATACCTATTAATCTCTGGCATATTTTCTTGTGAGGAGAGGTAGTGATGGCTATTTTTCTAGATTACCTTTTCAAATATGTTTATATAGCAAACACCTTGGTAGATATTGTCACTCTCCCCAGGGAAAAGTGTAAGTATGCTGATTGTACAATATAATGAAGACTAGGACAAAGGTTACGTAGGCCCATTATAAAAGAAAACTCAGTTTACATTAATTCAGAGGCCTTTTCTGTAACACATCCTTCTATCTATGCTTGTTTATCTGTCCTTCTTCTCATCACACTGAGAATTTAGGCTTCAATATCCAGCAAAAAAACCTGATACTTTTGTTATAACTATTACTGTGCATAACAACCTGTCTTTTGTCTCTGATCCAGTTGTCTTGTTTCTTCTACCAGCTTCCCTGAAATCGTGGCAAACTGACAGATTAGTTTACAAGTAGGGAAAGATTTTGGACTTTTCATTGTTCTTGATATCACTAAACTTGTATGGAAAGCCAAAAATATGTGGACTAATTTATTGAAAGAAGGCTAGAGTTCTAAAGACTAAACCATATTTTAAAAAATTCTATAAGGCATTCAACTTCGAAGAAAGTTTTTGTAATCCAAAGTTTGTGAGCTATCTGATTTCGGAGAAATTATTCAATATCTCAGAAGTTTGATATCCTCAGAATATTTAAAGTCTGTTGAATGATTAGGATGCTTTCATTTTTTTCCTTGTCCTTACGTTTGTTGCTTATAAGAAATTGTACATATAGATAGAAGAAAAATATCTAAAACAGATTTTAAAAATAAAAGAGCTGCTTTATGTTTCTAACTAAAGAGGACATAAAGTGGTACCTATTTATTTCTCTGCCACCACAAGGAGAATTCCCAGAAATCACTTTATAATCCCATGAAGGGGAAGCTAGACTAGATCATGTTTAATTCTGAAACAGTATGATATCAATTTTATCTTCTATTATTGTGTGAATTATTCTAACTTACTGTAAATCTGTAAATGCATTTTTTTTTTTATGGAGTTTGCTCTGTTGCCAGGCTGGACTGCAGTGGTGCAATCTTGGCTCACTGCAACCTCCGACTCCTTGGTTCAAGTGAAACTTCTGCCTCACCTGCCAAGAAGCTGGGATTACAGGCACGCACCACCATGCCCAGCTAATTTTTGTATTTTTAGCAGAGACAGGGTTTCACCATGTTGGCCAGGATGGTCTTGATTTACCTGACCTCATGATCCACCTTCCTCGGCCTCCCAAAGTGCTGGGATTACAGGCATGAGCCGCCGTGCCTGGCCTGTAAATGCATTCGTTTAGGAAAACTATAGTAGAATGAGTAAAGTTATGTGAAAACAAATATTAATTTCTACCTGACAAGTCTCAATGCATTTGAATGGTCATTTTAACAACAACAAAAAAATGGCTTAATATAAATACTGAATATTTAAGAAATATACAGCAATCCCATTACTGGGTATATACCCAAAGGATTATAAATCATTCTACTATAAAGACACATGCACACATATGTTTATGCAGCACTATTTAAAATAGCGAAGACTTGGAACCAACCCAAATGCCCATCAATGATAGACTGGATAAAGAAAATGTGGCATATATACACTATAGAATAGTATACAGCCATGAAAAAAGAATGAGTTCATGTCCTTTTCAGGGACATGGATGAAGCTGGAAACCATTATTCTCAGCAAACTAACACAGGAACAGAAAACCAAACAGTGAATGTTCTCACTCATAAGTGGGAGTTGAACAGTCAAAACACATGGACACAAGGAGGGGAACATCACACACCAGGGCCTGTTGGGGGGTGGGGGGCAAGGGGAGAGATAGCATTAGGACAAATACCTAATGCATGCGGGGCTTAAAACCTAGATGACAGGTTGATTGTTGCAGCAAACCCACCATGGCACATGTATACCTATGTAACAAACCTGCACGTTCTGCATATATATCCCAGAACTTAAAGTGTAATAAAAATATAAATAAATAAATAAATAAAAATAAAGAAAAAAAAGAAATGTACAATATATTATAATTTTTCATTGGGCAAATAAATTTACAAGATACTAACAAAAGCATTTTATTATCAAATAACATTAATTTGTTTACAAAATAAGAGATTATTTACAAATTATGTTGAGTCCATTTGATAAATTTTTTTACCTGAGCTCATCACTCGGCTTCAATTATTTCATAGGTTTGCTAGACACACACACATACACACACACACACACACACACACACAGCTATATCTAAGTGTCTTTATCTATATTCGTATTTTGCTATCTTATCATTAATTCATAAAACATAAATTTGTTAGTCATCTTAAAAAATAAAGCTCTTCAATATCAAATTTGACCTCCAAATATTTTTTATTTTTTTCCAGTGATCAAGATGCTTGTAATCTTCAAATACAGTATTATACTGTTCTTATTCATTAATCTCAAAAATATCTCAACCGAGGACATATTTAAAGGGATTTCTAACCTTTCAGTAATGCACAGCTCAAGTTATTAGTCCAAGCGCATCATAAATACACAAGATTAAAATGAAAGTCATCTAAAAAATACTTAGGACATTCATGTGGCTGTCTCATGAATTTATAATGTGTCAGAATATATGCTACCTGAATTATTAAAATAAACTACTAGCTCTACTCTTCCAATGTAGTAAGAACAGTTATCTGAGCAGAAGAGGATATGCTGTCCTTGTTAGAGATTGCTATGATAGTGCAGAAACTTAGTAGTATAATATATGTATCCCAGGAAAAGATTCATGATCAAATTTAACCAAGCATTCCAAAAATGGAGCTATCCGTACAAACATGTTATATTTCTTACAAAATTATTGAAAATATTTCATAAATATATATGTATATTCAGGCAATTAAATTTAATGTAAAATATAATACTTTCATTTTATCTAAGACATATTGCATTCTTTAATCACTTTCTCTTGGGCAAGGATGAAGCTGGTCTGAGTTTTCCAAAAACAGAAAGAATTAATATTTGCCTCCTAAACAACGTAGATGTGCAGCAGATGATTTCCTTCCTTGGGGAAAGTTACCTTTTCCTGCTCCACTCCCATGAGTCATTTTTCTTCCCTCGAGAAATTCTTACTCAGAACCTACCATATACCATAAGCTCTTCTAGGTTATACAGATACAGTAGTAGTCAACAAAACAAAGAGTGTTGGAGAAATTTATTTTTGTTTCTGTGAAGGAAAGACAGATAACAAACGAGGATGCAGGTGAATAAACAAGATGGTGATAAGCATACTGATAACTATTAATTGCCTGAGGAAGGAGAGTAAAAGTGTTAATGCAGATGAGTAGCCAGAGAAGACCTCAGTGGGGAACAGAGCTATGAATCGTAATATGAAAATACCCAGCAGGTATTACTCCAAAGGGTAGGGCAAAAATTTTGAATTTGACCCATCTAAAATGAGAGGTCCTTCAAAGTTTTAAGCATGGGAGAATGATATTTTATTGACTCATGTATTTAAATCACATGTATTGAGGTATTTTATATACAATAAAATTCATCAATTTTAAATGTTAAATTCAAGAAGTTTTGAGAAGTGTTACTATGACCACAATCATATTCTCTACCATGATTTAAACATTTTAAGGAAACGTTCTGACTGTCAAATGGAGAATGGATGCAAAGGGCGAAAGTGTAAAACAGACTATTTAGAAAAATATTAAAGTAATTTTGGTGTTAAATATCTGTGAATGGATAAGTATTCATCAATGGAAGTGGCAGAACTTTTTTTATATTCTCTCAAGATATATTTTGTAGATATAACTGACAGCTTTTACAAATGAATTAGATTTCAGTGTATGAGGAAAAGGGAGAATTTAACAATGCCTTGAGGCATAAAAAGCACTTTGAATTATTAGTAACCACCGAAGCTCCCTTCTAGAGATTATTCCAAGAGGATAGAAAGCTGGAAACTATATTTCTTAGACTTCTTGCATATAGTTAATGTTCTGCCAAGAAGCATCACCAGCAAGAGACCCATAGTGCAGAGGGAACGATGTGAGTTGGCAACCACAACTGGGAAGAAGTAATATGTAATGGAGACATACTCTTCTTTGGGACAGCTATAATAGAGGTTTTTCTTCCTAGACCATTTTATCATAGGTGCTCAGTGGTAGGTGGCATTGGCAGTGGGCTTTTTGTTAGAAATAAACTGAGTCTTTTTCTAGACTGTGTTGTTAAAAGCCGTACAGCATCCATGCCTGTGTCCTGGTTTTTCTAGAAATGTTGAAGTTCCTTGTTATTCTCCATAAACCTCTTTCTGCATAAACTAGATAGAGTGGATGTTATTATGACAGATTGAGTGGCAACCAAGACCCTGGATAATATAGAGATAACATTGATTGTATGATAGAATAGTTAGTGACAGATTGAGTAATTTCTCCAAATTCTTGACCTTACCCTATATCCACACATGTTTAACCATGTGATTTTCCAGTTTCTTCCAAAAACAATAAAGTGAATTTTCTCCACCTTTTTGATTTGGCTTGGCCATTTGTCTGGTTTTGGTCCATAGGGTACTAATAGACATGCCATAAACCGGAGCTTTATACGTGTTTGTGCAAATGGAGCTTGGTCTCTTGCACTTAATACATTGCGAAGAGTGGCCTAAATAGCTTCTGCCCCTTTGGGATGAACATCAAATTCAAGAATAGAGTTCTCTCAGCTGATCAGTCTATTGGTCTGCATACAAATCATAGTCATTCCAGATGCCATTGTTTGAATCCGATATGCTCAACCCTGACCAGTCAATCCCAAGATCTATGAAAAAAATAATTGTTTTAAGTTACTGAGTTTTGGTTGTTTTGCTGAGGTACTATCAGAGCAATAGATAACTCATTACAATATTTAGTTGCATACTAGATACAAAACCATTGAATATATTTATTCAGCTATTATTTACTTGTTTATTCATTCAAAAAAAAAATATATATATATATATAGAGAGAGAGAGAGAGAGAAAGAGAGAGAGAGAGACAGAGTCTCGCTCTGTTGTATAGGCTGGAGTGCAGTGGTGAGATCTCGGCTCACTGCAACCTCCACCTCCCCAGTTCAAGCGATTATCCTGCCTCAGCCTCCCGAGTAGCTCGGACCACAGGTGCCTGCCACCACACCCAGCTAATTTTTATATTTTTCTTAGAGACTCGGTTTCACCATATTGGCCAGGCTGGTCTCGAACTCCTGACCTTGTGATCTGCCTGCCTTGGCCTCCCAAAGAGCTGGGATTACAGGTGTGAGCCACCGCACCTGGCCTCAAAAAATAATTTTTAAACACTAGGTACTAAACCCTAAAAACTGTGACTACAGTAGTGAGCAAAAGAGGCAACATGTCTGCTATTATGGGGCTTATAATATATTGAATGAGAGAAAACATTAAACACATCATCATGAAATTTTAAATCAGCTATGCTTTAAGATAGAAAACCATGAGGTCCTGTGAGAGGGTAATATTATCTTAGAGAAAAGTTTTAGTGAGGGCTCTTCTGAAGTGAAATTTACTCTGAGAATCTGTAGAGGACATCTCTTATTATTGAGGAAAGGGAGGAATTACGGTCCTCCTTCAGCTCAGAGTAAATGGAGTGTGAGGTAGTTTGCTTACCTGGTATTCATTGCCCACATAATCCTTCCTGTAAGAATCCACCCATACACACCTCCAGATTCTGATTAGACTAAGCCAACCAGTTTATGGAATCCCTGGTAACTGTTAATTAGTCCAGGAACGGGCCCTTGACCTACATAAATCCTTCATAGTGATGGAAGGATTTATATGCCGAGCTTTGAGGAAGGTTTGTTACCTCTCTCTTCCTAAAATAATCACAAGAGTAAAAGGAAGAAGAATTGAATTTGTAATAAGAGAGGATTAAAGAATCATTTGATATGGTCCTGTCAGATATTCAGATAATCTTCTACATTGAGGCTTTATATTGATGAGTGGGGCAGGGAAAAGCCAAGCATGCAATACTAAATTCACTCTGGACTGAATGAATTATGAAAGTGAGACTCCCATCTGCACCTTCACAATGTGTTTCATATGTTGACACACTAGTTCTGTGACTTGCTAGGATTCATTTAGTTATGCCATTTGAAGGTCAATGGTTCAAAGCTAATTTTGTTTCTCTGCGTGAGTTTTTTCCTTCACTGTCTCTTATGTTCCCGTGTCTTTTATTTGTATCAGAGTCTATAACTGTGCTATTTTCTGTATTTGTATATTATTTGTAATTTATCATCATGCAAATAGATGTTTAGAAGAGCACATTATGCAAACTACAAAGGAAAAAGCCGTAACTTGTTTCCTGAACTCATCTTCATTGATATTATACCAAATAATAATATAGAGATAAATTATTATTTATTTACTTTTTATATATAATATCTTGTCAGAAGAAAATACCTTGCATGCAATGTTTACTTTATTCTTCTCTTAATGCATCAGTTGTCAGAATCGAGCCTAAAAATTTAATATTACAGCCACCAAGAAAAATAACATATTTTACATACAGTATCAATTTAAAAACCTTAAAGCAAATACACGCACACACACACATATGCACATACATTGTTTAAATATATTGGCATAATATTTGCTCTTTTAGAAATTCATCCTGAGCAAATCACCTGAGTTTTAGAAAGAGTTTTAGAAAATGATGGTTGCTATATTATTATTTATGACAGTGATCATCAGAAACAAATGAAATATTATTTTAATATAAAATAGTGATTGAATGCTTATTTGACCTGAGCTACTATTTGAGGTACTGGCTCACAGCAGCAAACAAAGTCCCATCCCTCACAGAGCTTAGATTCTAGCAGAGGAAGAGGGACATAGAAGATACATAATGTCAAGTTGTGGCAAGTGTTCGAAGAAAAATAAAGTAGAAAAACTGGATATTTTTGGATATCATTCAGTAAATATGAGCTTCTTCTACAATAGAAACACAATCATATAGACTCTACATTTACAGCTGCCAAATTTGGGAATAAATACGTTCCCAAATCATGATAAAAGTAATTTTATTCAATAGAAGTTTTCTGCTTCTTCTTCTTCTTATGCATAACATATGCCCATTTCAATTTCTTTCAGAGATTTCAGGAGAATGAAGAAAATTAACTGCAATGAGGAATATGCTGTAATAGGCGCTACCAGAATTAAATGACCTGCATAATGTTTTATTATCAGTCTATCAGAATAAAGACACCAAGACTTAGTGACAAGTTTAAATTAACCTAATCAACATGTGCTAATTCTGCAACTCAAAATTATTTTAATCCAAGAAACTTATCGTTATGTTGAAAAGTTTTGAGAGATATAGTAAGATATTTGTATCTATAATTATTTCTCTCATCTAGTGTAAAAATATAGACTACACTTTAACAAGACAGCTAAAGGGTTTATTGGGAGATAGATTCAGCAATTTGTTTTAGGAAGTATGTATTGTGTCACTGATTATCTACTGCTGCTTTTTTTAATTATTACCTTATATTTCTGTTATACTTTGAAAGTGGTAGATTTGGTATTTATTAGTATTTGGTATTTACTTTTATTGAATCAATATTTTAATTTATCTCACATACTTACAATATGAGCCAAAAAATTTCAAATGAAAGAAATGCACTTATTAAGTTATTTAACATACTAACAATAAGAAAGAAATAGAGAAAACTATGTCAATAGAATTATCTCAGAAGCTCATTATTATTCATTGAAATTTGAAGTAAGCACCATAGCTGTATTAAATATTACTTTTTTCTGATTGAATAATAAAGTTTTATTCCTATCAATGCTGCTTTAAATCTTTCATTATATGTAGGTATTTTTTATTTTTCATTTTTCTGCTTTTTCATTTCTAAGAACCTCAACATTCCGGAACAAGTGCCTTAATCAAAGTCCAAAAGCTTACCTTTATTTTATCTTTCCATCCAGAAAATAATTCCTATCCTGTTTCATCTAACTTCTAGTGGTAGTCACACCTCTACCTCCCTGAATATTTTTCTATTAAAATTCATTATCACAGTAGGTCATCATACATTTTTATAATGTAGCCTTCTGTTTTGTTTAAATTGACCTTCTGTGGTACTTACTTACGTATTTTAAGGTCATATTTTCAGTTTATTTTCTGAGGACATATTTGCTTTTTCTTAAACAATTTTGTTGGATAGAAGACAATTTCAATGTATTTATTCTTTATTTCTATGGCTTCAGTTTATTTTATTAGGTTGGGCAAAAGTAATAGTGATTTTTGCCGTTACTTTCAATGGCAAAAAACCCAATTACATTTCCACCAATTTAAATAGATTTAGGAAATCAGAAAAAAAATTTAAGATTATGTTTCTTACTGAACATATAATTATATTCTACAAAAAATGAAGAGTGTAATTATTAGGGGCAAAAAGGGTGGGTGAAAGCAGACATTCTGTTTCAAGGATTTTAACTCACTCAGATTACTTTAAAACGCTATCTTGACTTATTAATTGGTCAAAAAGGATAGTTTTATAATTTTCTTCATAGGATTTCTGGGAGAATTAATCATTTTTGTAGATATCTAGTAGAATGTGCTACACATAGTAATCTTGGCACTTTTCATTTTCTTATTTGTTTTCCTTCATATCTCCTCTTTTTCCTTCCTCATCCTTCTCTTCTTTCTCATTATGTGATTATTATTAGTATTATCATTACCATTATGAACAGTATCATCACTGATTAGCACCTCAGAAGAGTCAGGGATCTTATTTACTGGATAAAAAATATTTAGCAACTACTAAAACCAAAGTGTCACGCCTGTCCTGAGTTTTAAGAGAAGAAAAGTTACAGGATGCAAAACTATTAGTGTTTTAAGAAGAAGTCTGAAACATGTTTCTTCATTACCTGTCTGTTTAGAGACCTGGAAATGGCCTTTTAAGCTGAAATTATTACCAGAGTTTCCTATGTAAAAAGGTAGCTGCTGGG
Source organism: Homo sapiens (assembly GCF_000001405.40). Taxonomy (NCBI): domain Eukaryota; kingdom Metazoa; phylum Chordata; class Mammalia; order Primates; family Hominidae; genus Homo; species Homo sapiens. The sequence goes on from NC_000001.11 coordinate 195,278,815, forward strand.
TAGGGGTGGAAAGTACTTTCATAAGCAGATACAGTGACTTTGCTGCAGACATATCTCCTACAAAGAATGAATGCACATTCTTTTTCAGTTCTCTGAGATGTTGTTCCTCCTTCTTGATCATTTTCAAGTTTCAGTTCTTATTTTTTATTTTCACAGAATTAACTCTGACCATTTAGTTAAATTAAAATCCCCTTGTCACTAAACTCTTATAACTTAAAAAAGTCATACAAATCATTCATGTCTTTGTTATGAGCAATCTTCTATTTTTACTGATATATTCTACAGTTCTATAAAATTGGAACTATAGACCAAAATAGATTTAGAAAATAGGGTTTGTATATATCCAAAATATTTAATACTCTTCTGGGCTTTGTTGCTGATGCTCAATTATTCTTCAGTATGTAATTCCAATCATACTAATATGAACTTACAGAAAGAAAAGGATATGTATGCATATGAAACATCCTTTGTGCAATCTTTCATGACAGACTTGACATTTCTAACAAAGTTGATTTTCTATTTTGTAGACTTGCATAGGAATATAAAATTATAAGTGTTGTAAATGTGGTTTTCTGTGTGTGTGTGTGTGTGTGTGTGTGAACTCCATATGTTGTAAACCTGTTTTCTAGATACCACAGATTTGTATGACTCTAAAATTATGGCTTTTTTTTTTTTTTTTGGCAGATTCTTGCTCTGTCACCCAAGCTGGAGTGCAGTGGCGAGAGCTCGGATCACTGCAACCTCTACCTCCTGAGTTCAAGCGATTCTTCTGCCTCAGCCTCCCGAGCAGCTGGGACTACAGGCGCGCGCCACCATGCCTGGCTAATTTTTGTATTTTCAGTAGAGACGGGATTTCACCATATTGGCCAGGCTAGTCTCGAACTCATGACCTTGTGATCTGCCTGCCTCAGCCTCCCAAAGTGCTGGGATTACAGGTGTGAGCCACCGTGCCTGGCACTATCCTGGCTTTCTTATAACAGTTATTCCATGAATTCCTTTATTATTTACAGATTGATCTATATAATATTAGCAATAAATCAAAACAAAACAAAATATCAAGTATACTTTGATGAAAACATTTTCATAGAAAGTTTACATATATGTATATGTCTCTCTTTCTCTCTCTCTCTCTGTGTTTGTGTGTGTGTGTGTAGTCAGTTTTACCCAATGGTCATTTGGCATATATTATCAGTAGTAATGTGTACTATATATCTACCCATGTTAAATGAAACTTGATGTGTGAGGTTGACTAAATTAAAATGACAGTTTTAATTTTTCAATGCAGAGACAAAGGAATCATTATAATAGACAGGCATAGATGTGTAATATTAACGTCAGTACATAGCAAATAGAGTAAGAAACACCATAGACTTGTTAATATCATGTGACCATTCACTATTAGTAAGAAGTGCTTGATGTTAATGTTTTGCTGAACACTTATGTTCTTTTTTACTTCACTTTTTCTGATATTCACAAAAATACCCATTTTCTTAAAAAATACTCTCCCTTTTGCACTTCATGTCTGTGGAAATGAATTAAAGAGAACAGAATGTACTGTAAAGAAAAAATCAGCAGGCAGCACTCTTGAAAACCCAAGCTGCATGTGGAGATAAAAGGGAAGAATCAAGCAGCCACCTAATTAAAGCATCTATTCAGAAAACATGAATTGTTTTAGAAGCACATACTTATTTTAAAAGATTTCAAGGAAATTTTTTTCCTGTAAAATTTATAGTAACTTCAGATACTTTTCTTACAGTATAGAGCTTGAAAAAAGTATTAGAAATTACACTAAGAGAATTTTTAGTAAAAGAGAGTCACAAGTTATTTTTCTATAATTCTTCTTACGTATTTGTATTATTTGTGCTTGTTTTGTTTGTTTTTTAGAAATTGTATGAACTTCTTTTTGGAAATAGTAAAGAGATAAATATCATTGAATTGAACACAGACTTGGCATGTGTAGTAATTATAATCATGAAACATATAAACATAAAACTAGTATCACTATTGAAAACTTATGACAAATAATGTTATAAAGAATCCATTCCACACAAATTAAAACCCAGATATATTTTAAATAAATTTAATAACATAAATTTTTAAAGGTAATGTGATAAAGACAGCAATATCATATAATAAAAGATAGTAATAATAATTGTATCATTTCTGCAGTGAGAGAAAATCTAAAGATTAACAAATTTACACGTGTTGAAATTACAATTTAGAAACTGTGGTAATGAAGATATAGATGATTTACTTAGAAGTACCTCAACTTGAGTTAGTTGGATAAGGCCTAAAAGTACCAAGGCCAGATATTAATTGGGCTTTTACCTGTACATCCCAGAATACATTTTGTTTTTCTAGGAAAAGGAGCAGTGGTGTGTCACTCATGGGTACTATTCAATGGCCTGACAACATGGAAATATTCCTTGAGTGCTTTATAGAGGTTATCCAATCTGCCAAAGACTAATTAAAACCAGATATGTGTGAGTTATTAAAGTTATGACCCAATAGTCTTTTTCCACTAAGTAGTCTGCTGAATCCTTATTGCTCAGGGGGCCTTGACACCTGCATTACAATTTTCTTCTTCAATTACTACTGATGAAGGTTCAGTAGAGTGAAAATGAATGTCATTCTTCCTTTGACGCTTTGAAAGTTAATTTATTTTTAAACTTTAGACTTAAACTTCGTAAGCCAGAAGTGTCAGAAATAAATACGCGTTTGTGTATTCTTGTGGGGTGATTCAGCTCATCAATGCTGTGCATAGAGATATACTATGAATCCTCAAAAACAACTGACTTCTCAATTTCTTTCTACACAGTGTCAGAGAAATGAAAAAAACATAAAACAATAATCTAGGAATTTTAAAAACTCAATTGTTTTGATGCTATATAAACAAAATAATGTCTTTGAAAAATATTAAATGAGGTTGAAAATAAGATAAATGGGTTATTTATTGTTTGTATTTTAGAAGATTTTATGTATATTAAACTGTTCATGTGATCTCTTATATGTAGATATGTGAAAGGAAGCCAAGTATTGGTGAAGATGTAGAGAAAAGGGAACCCTTACACACTGTTGGTGGGAGAGTAAATGGGAATAAGTTATTATGAAAAAAGGTAAGAAGCCTGGGCTCAGTGACTCACGCCTGTAATCCCAGCACTTTGGGAGGCCGAGGTGGGAGGATTACCTGAGGTCAGGAATTTGAGACTAACCTGACCAACATGGTGAAACCCCGTCTCTACTAATAATACAAAATTAGCCAGGCGTGGTGGCGCATGCCTGTAATCCCAGCTACTCTGGAGGCTGAGGCAGGGGAATTGCTTAAACCCAGGAAGCAGAGGTTGCAGTGAGCCCAGATTGTGCCATTGCACTCTAGCCTGGGCAACAAGGGCAAAACTCTGTCTCAAAGAAAAAAAAAAGAAAATAAAAATGATAAGGAAGTTGTTCAAAAAATTAAAATTATACCTACAATTTTATAATATAATATGTGATCCGGTAATACTGGTACTGGGTATATATCCAGAGAGATGAAGAAATAAATATGATAAAGCAATATCTGCACTCTCATGTTTATTGCAGCATTATTCACAATAGCCATAATATAGAATTATCTAACGTTTATCAATGGATGAATGGATAAAGAAAATGTGCTATATATCCATAATGGAATACTATTAAACCATTAAAAAAAGAATGAAATCCTGCCATTGGTAACAATATGGATGAACTTGGAGAACATTATGTTAAGTAGAATGTCAGGCACAGAAACACAGACACCTCACGATCTCCCTCATATGTGAAATATAAAAAAGTTGATCTCATAAGAGTGAAGCGTATAACAGTGGTTACCAGAGACTGGGGTGGTTAGGAGAAAGTGGGGAATGGGGAGATATTTGTCAAAGATGAATAATTATATTCAGATAGGAGGAATACCTTTCAAGAGATCTACTGTCCAGCAGAATGACTATAGTTAATGATGATACATTATATTATTGATTATATTCTTAAAACATGTAAAGAAAGTGGATGTGATGTGTTTTCACCATAAAAATAATGAGTATGTGAGGTGATGCATTTGTTAATTAGATTTGACCATTCCACAATGAATTTATACTTCAAAATATAAAGCTGTACATGATAAAAATGTACAGTGCTTTCTAAAATTTTTTGTTAAACATAGAGGATAAGGAAGGGACATTTTCCATACAAATGACAGATCTGGCTAACTTTAAACTGATAATCAGAAATTGTTTTACCAGTGCCGATCATGAAGATTAATTTTAGGAGTTTTTTTTAAGTTTCTTTTAAAGATTTTTTTTTAATTTCAAATTTTATTTTACACACAGAGGGTACATATGCTGGTTTGTTACCTGGGTATATTGCATACAGGTAGCGAGCATAATACCTAATAGGTAGTTCTTCAACCCACATCACACTTCCTCCTTCGCATCTCCAGTAGTCCCCAGTTTTTGTTGTTCCCATGTTTCTATTCACGTATGCTCAATGTTTAGCTCCTACTTATAAGTGAAAATATGCAGTATTTGGTTTTCAATTTCTGCATTAACTCACATAGGATCATGACCTCCAGCCCCATCCATGTCGTTGCAAATGATACTGGCTTGTTATAAGTATAATTGCTCCTTTAATAAAATATTGTGACTTTCTATTTTAACATTATTAAAATAACTGTTCTTATTTAAGCTCTCAACCAATTGGTACTGTGCAAGATGGTTCGTGGCAGGCTTTGGAAGAATTCTTATTCACTTTCTAGCCCCTGCTGCCAACTTCACGTATTCGTTTGAAGCCTTCATGACTACTTATATTTAAAATATGTAATATATTTAAGCTAAAATTGGTCATAAAGAGTTATCTTTGAATGTAGGGGGGTAAAAGGAAAGGTAAAGGGTGAAATTTTATGATAACTATTCAACAGCCAGAAAATCTAACAGTGTAATTAGGTATATCTTCTTTATCAAAATAAATTTATAATAGTTACATGATATAGTTACAAGAGTCTAGCTTACAGCTCTTAAGCAGAACTTCTCAAAATATTTGTTAGACATATTGGGAGTGGACTATGCTTACACACTAGAACCTTGCCATAATCAAGTCTTTCCCTCAGTTTTCATCAACTTAAAAATGATTATTTTAAAGACACGGATCCTCTTTAAGTTTCTTTTAATTTTAGTTCATTACTCAGCAAAAAAAAAAAAAAAAAAAAAAAAGAAAAAGAAAAAGAAAAAAAATGCCTGGAGATTTTTTTATACCTAGAACATGGAAATATGTAAATGTGGTATAGTAGTGAATGTCTTATACGGTTTTTGGTATATCCTTGAGTCACCATATGGTTTCTTCCTCAGTCAGTGGTATAAAAAATTGAGCTTGTATGTCTGGACTCCTCTTTTGACTTGATAAGTTATTCATTCCACCTAGGTTCAACTGGACCTGCTTGTTGATTTGTTTAAGTTCCTTATAGATTCCAGATTTTAGACCTTTGTTGGATACATAGTTTGTAATATTTTTCTCCCATTCTGTACATTGTCTGTTTACTCTGTTAATACTTTCTTTTTTTGTGCAGAAGCTGTTTAGTTTAGTTAAGGTTCTGATTGTCAATTTTTGTTTTTGTTGCAATTGCTTTTGGGGACTTAGCAAACAATTATTTGCCAAGGCCCATGTCCACAATGGTATTTACTAAGTTTTCTTATAGCTTGAGGTCTTACATTTAAATCTTTAATCTACCTTGAGTAATTTTTTTATATGGAGAGATGTAAGGGTCCAGTATCCTTCTTCATATGGCTAGCCAGTTGTTCCAGCACCATTTATCAAATAGGGAGTCCTTTCTTCATTTCTTATTTTTTTAGCCTTGTTGAAGATCAGATAATTGGGTAGGTGAAAGATCTCTACAAGGACAACTACAAAACACTGCCGAATGAGATCAGAGATGACACAAATAAATGGAAACATATTCCATGCTCATGGGTTGAAAGACTCAATGTCTTTAAAATGGCCATACTGTTTAAAGAAATTTACAGATTCCACAGTATTCCTAACAAACTCACCAATGTCATTCTTCACAGAATTAGAAAAACTAGTCTAAAATTAATGTGGAACCAAAAAGGAGCCCAAATAGCCAAAGCAATCCTAAGCAAAAAGAACAAAGCTGGAGGTATCACACTAGCCAACTTAAAACTATAAGGCTACAGTAATCAAAACAGCATGGAACTGGTACAAAAGCAGACACATAGACCAGTGGAACAAAATAGAAAACTCATGAAGAGTTAGAAACTCTCAGTAAAATCTTTCTGTCATCCCACTTGAAGATCTCAGCATAACCAAATTTTCTATGAAGTGTTTGTCTTATGTTAACAACCTGATGTAAAATTATGGTGACCCCAAAGACATCTTTTCTTAGTTAACTCTTTCTTGTAATGAAAATCAGCACAAATCCTTGAAAAAGTAAGCATTCAACAAACTTAAGTTTTGTTCTTAGTTTGAAAGGAAAAGTTGGTATCTCGATGTATTCTATAGGCTAAATATGTTTCCATCAGGAAGTTATTTACTTTCCCAATCTTTTTCAATTTCTATTAATATATCAAATTTGCTAATCAAAAATTAAAATTATTCCCACTTCACAGTAATTAGCTTATTATACACTAAGAAAATCTTGCATACACAAAATATATTTAATAACTATAGATTTTAAAAAACTATAATATTTATTTATTTGTCATAATCTTTAATGCTTATCAGAATGGAGCTATGATGTATCTGCTTTGAGTATTTCTCCAATTGTTATTCTTACACAATATTCACTCATTCATTATCTAAATATATCTTGAATGCCTATTAAATATCATTTACTGTTCTAGGTACAGTAGATGCAAAAATTAAAATAACAAACTACTTATGCCTCATGGGCTTTCTACTGTGTGGGAAAGGAGGCAAACAATAAACGGATATATAGAATATCAGATGGTTGCAATTGTCTTGGAGACAAAGCGGGAAAGATTGGGTAAAAACCATAGAGATTGGTATTTTATATAATACAGTCAGAAAAGGCCTCTAGTAAGACAACAGAAATCACACTGTAATATGAATAGAGAAAATTCAACTTTATGAATTATTAACTATAAAAGGAGATTGGAGTAGCAATGAATTGACTAGCACAAAGGAAAAAAAAAAGACCTGTAAAGAATGTAGGGATTTAGATGTAAGGAGCAGCCCACTGCTGAAATAAAGTACACATTGAAGAGGTTTCACCCACTTCACCCAGGAATGAAATCCAGTCCCTGTTGGAAAATGCATGGCTATAGCTCATTGACTGGCAAACAACGAGCACAACATAGAGACTGATTTTGTTTTTCTGGTCATTGTTACGTAGACCCCTTCCTTCCTTCCTTCCTTCCTTCCTTCCTTCCTTCCTTCCTTCCTTCCTTCCTTCCTTCCTTCCTTCCTCCCTTTTCTCCTTCTTCTTCTTCTTCCTCTTTCTCTTCTTCTTCTTCTTCCTACTTCCTTCTTCCTTCTTCCCCCTTCTTCTTCTTCTTCTTCCTTCTTCCTCCTCTTTCTTTCTTTCTTTCTTTCTTTCTTTCTTTCTTTCTTCCTTTCTTTTTCTGACAGGATCTCACTTTGATACCTAGGCTGGAGGGCAGTGGCACAATCTCGGCTCACTGCAGCCACAACCCTCTGCGTTCAAGAGATCCTCCTGCCTTAGCCAGGCAAGTAGCTGGTATCACAGGCACGGGCCACCAGGCCTAGCTAATAGTTTTGTATTTTTATTAGAGACGGGAGTCTCCTTATGTTGCCCAGGCTGGTCCTGAACTCTTGAGCTCAAGCGATCCATCTCAGGCTCCCAGAGTGCTGGGAATACAGGCATCAGCCACTGTGTCTGGCAGAGCCAGTTTTTCATTTGTTCCAGTTTCTCAGTAAAGTTAAGTAACATTACAATGTTTATTGGAAATGAAAACAAAATGGTGGGAGTGGTGGAATTCTGTGCCAAAATTTCAGCCCAAAAACCACCCTGGGGTTTACATATGCTAAATTTATGTCTTTTAATTTTTATGTTTTTGCTTTTATAAAACAGCTTTTCACTTAAATTTTATCAATTTAAGAGAATCTTAAATCCAAAAAATTTTTTTGTGATTGTCTTGAAAACATGAGAACAATTACATGATGGCAGAAAAGCTAAAATTGTAATGTTAGATTTTATATTAAAGTTAGTTTTAGAATGTAAATACTCAGTTTTCATTATTACAGTACGTACAATTCTGTAATATTGAATTTAATGTAATAGTTGTTATTCTTTATAAATAATTTAAATAATACTAGGTACCAAACAATGAAAAGTGTGTAAAGCACTAAGAAGCCATTAATTGGAATATAATTTCTTCTCTAAACTGAGAGACAATGTGATAACGGAACCCAGGATCCAGATTATCTGTCTTTGAATCCTTTCTGTCACTACTAGCTATGTCACATTCGGTGGTTATTTACTTCTTTTTGCTTCGTTTTGTCATCTATGGAATGGAAATAATTGTTTTCATTCTCCTTGAGGTGTTATAAGAAAAAAGTCAAGATATATAAAACATTAGGATACTAGGAATAATAATAATTGTAATTAGTATTATTATTTCATTATAATTAATCCACACAGCAACCTTGCCAGTTATTCTCTTCATTGCAAATGTTGTGAAGCAGATGTAATACCTTCACTTAATAATCAATGATATATGTAACTTACTGACATATTCAGAAAGTGTGTGTGTGTGTGTGTGTGTGTCTAATCAGATAACTGTAAGTGACAGAGTCAAGACTCAAATTTCAAATTCTGCATGACTCCAATCTTCACTCTATTCACAGCACCACCGCATTCATATTGTCCCATATTCATAATATACTTTCACTTAGATTACAGCTCAGATCTGAAATATAAAATCCTTGTATTATGTTTAGGCAATTGTAAGAACATAAAGAAAATTCGAGAAAAAAAATTAAAGAAGGATAACCTGAAATGTACAAGTTTAGAAATCTCAATGTGTTATATTTAAATTGAAAACAGATGGCACATATATGCTAATAAGTTTTAAATACCACATAGTGTTATTGAAGTTAGTTGGGAGATATGCCAGGTTAATCTTTGATTTATAAAATATGAGGAGAAGATAAAGTCTTAAAAAGTAAATGGATGAAAAAATGAACTCCTGAAAATTCAGTACTTCTAAACTGGTATTTAGTGACACATTAATTAAAAGGAACTTATGAAACTGAATTTTTAAAAAGAGCCTACATTCAAATTTTAAAATAACATTTGGATACAATGCTTGAAGATATCAATGCACATCAAAATTCAGATGTATTTTCTTGTTTTAAAAATCAGTGGTTTTTAAATAAGTAAAAATCAAAAACAAAATACATTAAATAAGTAACATGAAAACATTCCTCTGGGAAAATAGTCATTAACTCTACACAACAGAGCTAATGCATTCTCAAATTCAACTTCTTATTGAATGGTAAGAAAATTAGCAATAAGAATATTAAAGTCAGAAATAGAAAATAATTTTAACATAATATATAGGGTAAATAGTACCTTTTTAAACAACAACAACAAAAATTTCAACAAGTTCTTTATGGTATATAGTAATATACAATATTTATAAACAGTAAAAGCAGTGTCTTGATAAAACCGTATTTCTTTTCATTTAATTTAGTTTTTGCTTTTACTTTAAATTATGGGTATTTGTAATGTATTACTTGAAAAATAAAAGATCTAAGTTCAATTTTTGAGATACTTTACCTCCTATCATGGACTTTCAGAAAGATAGCATGTTATGTTCCAGATGCTAATTAGCGTAACATGTCATAATTCTTCCAATTATGACTTTAAAAGTATTGTGATTATATTTAAATTACCTATGTAATGCAATAATTGATTACTATAATATTTATACTCCAGGGCACTATTCTTATTTATAATTTCACATAAAAATAAATCAATAATATCTTGTTTAAAATTTAGTCCTTAAACTTGATTCAGTTCAGAACATGCTAAACCAAAATATTGTGCCTTGGCATACTGAATTGATAAATGGTGGGTGCAGGAACGACTCTCTGAGTTTTCCTTGAATAGGTCATAAATGCTCACGTGAGATATTCCCTTGCTATACCCAGAAGAAAGGAGCATCCTTATCTCTGAAGATGGAGGAAGGCCGAGAGGCAGCCCAATAGGCTTTGCTAAGTTTCCCCAAGTTTCCTACTCTTTGCTTATACCCCTTTTTACTATCACATTTTCCCACAACGTTTACTCTTTATCAAACCTAGTTCAGTAAGCCCTCTCTTAACATCACTGTTAGATTCTTAAAAACTGTGACTTAAAGCAAAAGAATGTATAAGAAACCAATTTTACTCTAGGCTAATTGATATAAACAAGAGTTAATTTCTTAAGGCCATATTCCTGGTCACAAAACAATCAACAAACTTCTAAATAAAGAACAAAACATTTCTAATGTTAAACGTTAATGTAAATGTGAGCTAAATATACTTCTAGGAAAGAGTAATAAAAACAAGTAAAATCATGACTTACCCAATTTTTAGTAAATAAGTCAATAATAGTGGTTGAAAGGGTGGCACGGTAAATCAAGGAATAAATGTTTGCAAAGCAAAAATTGTAAGGAGCTCGTCCTACCACCATGAGTTCAAACAGAAACAGTAACATATATGGCAAGCTTAATGAGTGCCTTCTTATTGCATAATTTACTATCATGTAACTGTATGATTATCATATGCTTTATGAATTTTTGTGACAATAATGTGTTTTCATCCATTCATTAATTTTTCAAACTGCTTATTCCAGTTCAAGGTCACAGGTGGCTCAAGCCCATCCCATAGCTCAGGGAGCAAAGCAGGAACCGGTCCTGAACAGGCCACCATTCCATTGCAGGGCACACTTCACACACCCATACCAGCTCAGACTAGAACAAATGTAGACATGCCAATGAACCTATCATGCACAAATTTGAGGAGTGGGAGAAAACAGGAGTACTCAGAGAAAACCCACACAAAGATGGAGAGAACATGCATATTCTACACAGACAGTGGCTCTGGCCAGGAATCATTTGAAAATTTGAACTATCTTAATGTGCACGTTCAAAAACAATTCTCACAGATATACTCAGGTATGATTCTAATACTCAATAATTATGTATCCAACTCTCCAAAATTAACATTGACTCTTCTGTGCAAATGCCTTTCTATGTGATTCGGGAAAGTGTAATTAACACATTAATTTATATGCAGATAACCATCTAAATGCCAATGCCTTTTTATTCAACTCTTTCCATCTGACTTTCAAATCAGATGAGCCATATGGCTCTAAATGTATATTAAACACCATAAAATAAGAAATCCATAAAATGAGAAGCAGTGGAACTATCTGAGAAATATTTTAATCTTTTGAAAATATATCACTTTTTATTACAATCCTTGAACAGAGGACAGAGTTACTATATTAATATACTAATTTCTATTTTTTAACCAATCAAAATTTTATTTAAGCATTGGAACTGATTTACAAATTAGTTCAGATATAAATATTCAATACAAACATTTTTTTTAAATTGTAAAGATATATAAATACATAATGATTAATGTCATAGTAATAATCACTGTTCTTTCTGTTCAGGTTTCATCTCCTGCAGGTGCTGAGTCCATAATTTGTAAGATCAGCCTCTGCCAGTTTTACAACCAGTTTTGAATATTATTGGCACCAAATAAGAACTAGGAAATATCTAGCCTGCGATGAGGCATCTGGATGCTCATCACTGTTTTTCTAACTTTGGAGAGAAAAAGACAAATTTTATTCTGAGCTATTAACTCCTTAGAAATTAAATTTCTAATTATACTATTTCTTAAAATGTCAATAATTTGGACTATGTTGAAAGATGTAGCTGAAATTATTATATTTTTTCAATCTGGCACATAAATAGCAGTTGTTTATTCAATATATCTTCTGCTTAACTATTCTTAACCCATCTTGTATATTTTGCATTGTTAGAGTCATCCAATAAAACTGTATTTCAAATTTAGAATTTGTATTTGTTTTTCTTCTCCCATATATAGTTTCACTTATTTGAAAATTGGCAGAAGGTAAAAGGAAGGCAAAATCAAAACAGGACTTAGCTTTAACTATGATATATTCAATACAAGTTACTTCAGCAAAAATGGAAATATCTAGAAAAAGAAAAAAATAGAGATATATAAATGTAGTCTTAACTTTATTCAACAAGAAGTATTTGTAAATAGAACAGAAAATGATCCCTGATGTCACAGAAACTACACTAAACGTAAATAGCAGAATATCTAAAGAAAAAAAATATAAAGAAAGGAAGTGTTTTGTATGTTAGAAAGAGACAGTATCTGAGGATAAGGGGTTTGTATGATCATGGTGTGGGAGATGCAGGTTGCAAAATTAAGTATGGTGGCCAATGAGGGCCTCGTTGACAAAATAACATTTTCTCAAAGGCTTGCAGGAAAGAACAAATGGAAGTAAAACTCCTCAATCAACACTCTGCCTTGAGGCCTTCTAACCTGCTGCCCTGCATGTATAGTTGCCACTCTACAATCTATTGTTATACAGCAGCCCAAGGCAAGAGTTTTTGTTTTGAGTTTTTGTAAGCATTTTATGCTATGAATGGATGATGTAGAAAAAATGACAGCTAACTTCACTGCATAAACCTATTTTCCTCTTGTAAAAAATGAAACTTTGCACAGATGGTGGTAAACTCCATTTTCTTCAGTGTACATTTTTCATGTTCATTTTGATCTGATTGAGATTGGTAACTTGTTTGGTAGGAGACAGAATTTAGTTACATTGCAATCTTGTTTTATTATGCATAAGTTTCCTATCTCTTTCAATAATTTTGATACTTCTTTATTTTTTCCCATAACATTTCCAATTTCATATAGGCCTTCAATTCTTTTGGTCTAAAGTTATTCAAAATGTATTTTTAATGATTTTGGCTTCCTTTATATATGCAATTAGATACCCTTTTAAAACATTTCTGAAGCTACTTATTAGTACATTCTATCTATCTCTTCTCTTTGAGCTTACTTGCCAAAGTTGGTCTATTTTATTTTTATTTTTAAGCACAAATTTTGGACTTTAATTTTTTAAAATTATACCTTTTCATTGTTTGGTTTTTACTTTTATCAATTTGTTACTTAATATTTTCATTTTTATTTGGAAGCTTATTGCACTGATTTTCAAATTTTCATATATTAAACAGGTTATAAATTGCAAAGTTGTCTGTAAATTTCCCATTGCCTACTACTTCATCGAAATTGATATGTTTTGATATATTGTGTTTTCATTTTTATTTCTTTCATCACAATAACATTACTATGGCATTTCACTTTGTATTTCTTTTAATGCTTTTTACACTAAATTCTATCATTATGTTAATAATGCTATAGAATTAAAATATATGTATGGGAAAATTGTTTTCTATTGATTTTTAAATTTTTGCATTTTTAATTTATAATTATAAAAATGCATTGTATTTTATGGGAAAGTATGTTACATATTTTAAGTATCATACATATTTTCATAAACTTGATGAAGGAAAATTAGTATTTTTGTAACATGCATTTCAACAAAATATGATTATACATTGATAGCATTATATGTACCTGTATGTTCATTTAATTGCAGTTACAATTAAAATCAACTCATTTTCACCTTTCTTATAAAAATGATATTCTTTGGTATTTAATATATATTTAATAGAAACTAAATATATGAATCAGTCAAATAACAGTCCTTTCCACTTTCTTCAAATTGTAATGTTTGCTAGTTTATTATTATATACAGACATTGTCTTAAGCATGCACTGAAAGCATTCTCTCAACTCACTTTCAGCAGTAATTTTCCTAATAACTTAAGACAAATTGTTCTGTTAAATGAAATTGCTACATGGTTGTCCATAGACTTTCAAACCTCTGTTCTTCTGTGATATCTGTTAAGTATTTCAACATTTCTAGTTTGCAATTAACGAACTCCAACTTGTATAACTATGTAACTGTCATTCATTTATCAGATTTGTCCCTCCTACTAGAATTGTGCTTTTAGAGGCAATATTTCAATGTTAGTTCATGGGCTGTATTCCAAAACTTCTTTCTGGTGAATATAAATATAGTTGAAGTCAGCTGGTGAGGGGAAAAGCAATTTCTAAACCAAGCATATATGAAAAAAGGCAATCCTCGTCACATATCCAGATACATTTTTAAAATGATCCCCTCAAAGGAAAAGGGTAAAGAGACTTCTATAATTATGTTATATTAAAATTTACAGCAATATTTATTTCTTTACGCTTTACTTTTCTTAGAAAGTGCTGTTTAATTTGTATTTATTAATTTCTTTCTACCTCATTCAGATATAATAAAAAAGAAGCTATGCCATTGAAAACAGTATTAAGAAGAGGTTTAATGATACATTTACTCACTAAATAATGTTGAGCCATTATTAAAGTTTTCAAACTTAAGTCTTGCCTGCCGTTAGATGAAAAAGGTCTATCTGTGTGACAAAATTTCAGTCCTCAGCAGCTGATGCATGATGGAAAGTATGAAGAAACAGTTTATATAACTTTAAATATAATATTTTAAAAATCCAAAAAACAAATGTATCAAATATTAAGTGAGGCTAGCCAAATAAAACTGCACACATGTAAAGAATTTTGTGTTGTTTTATAATAATTAGGTTTGAGATTTAAAACATTATTCATATTTAATGACATTTTGTGAGATAATATATGCATATTTTAGAATAATTTATATAAGAAAACACACATATTGTAGTGTTATTTAGATATATTGTTAACAGCTATTAGAATGAGAAACTTATAAAACTTTGATATGAAAATGTGAAACTGCATTTTATTTTAATTGTTTTATATTTAGCAATGTAGTTCTAACAGATGTAATTCTTGCAAAGATTTTTATATTGGTAGGCTACTTTCAGTGCCAGAAAAATAAAACAAACATGATTAACTTAAAGAAAAAAGAAACTTATTCATAGATTTGGAGTAATTCAAAAAGTTCAAAGGTAAAGATGCATATGTAGACCTCTGGAAGGATGGGACCCAGGCAGTTCTGGAAATCTAGAAACCTCACAATATTGAAAGAGTTCCACAGGATGCGTCCCCAAATGGAAGCAACTCTGACTTTTCCCAATCCTATGTCACTTGTATCATTCAGAGATGAGAACAATTTGATAGGCTTAGCTTGCTCACAATTCCATCTCCCATCGTTGGGCCAACTGGCAGCCTCACCAAGACTGGTTGCTATGGGCAAGGCAGTTTCCCAAAGAAAAAGAGTGGAGAGTGAAAAAATATAAAAATGTCTGGTATTCTTGATGTATTTTGATATAAAATTCAGTAATATGGACTTGGGCAATGAGTTGAAAATAAATTGTATTAAATTTAAATGCTTAAGGTTTATTAATTATAGTAATTTTAGACAAAATTAATCAGATATTTTTAAAGTATTTCTTACTCTAATTCTGAATTTATAATTTCAGTCATGAAAATTTTTACTTTTACTGCACTAATGAAAGAGGAGAAATAAATGAATCAACCAAGCAGATAGGGCAAGAATCTTTGGCAGAATCCTCTTTTAACAAAAAACAGCCCAATAAGCCATTTCTTTTATTTTCAATTTTTATTTTATTATTTAATATTTACTTATGTATTTATTTTCTGAGACAGAGTCTCGCTTTGTCGCCCATGCTGGAGTACAGTGGCATGATCTCGGCTCACTGCAACCTCCGCCTCCCGGGTTCAAGCAATTATCCTGCCTCAAGCCTCCTGAGTAGCTGGGATTACAGGCACCTGCCACAACGCCCCACTAATTTTTGTATTTTTAGTAGAGACAGGGTTTCACCATGTTGGCCAGGCTGGTCTCAAACTCCGGACCTCAGGTGATCCACCTGCCTCGGCCTCTCAAAACATTTCTTTCTAACAAAGGCAGCCTGAAGGATCAGGCTGCAAACACAGATAAGGAAGGCGAATTCTAACATGGAAAGGGGCCTCCTGTATAATCAACATGTTTCACTGACATACAGTGGGCCCAGTGAGCACATTCCATTCTCTTCTTGGAAATACTCAGATGAGGAGGCTTGCACAGTGGGGTACTTGTAGTAGCACTAATAAGAAGAGCTACCCGGGAACAGGCATGTCTACCTTGGAGGGTTCTGCCCCTGGCCCTTAACACATGTGCAGTAGGAAGAGATAAGCAACATGGAGTAACTTAGGTTAAGGAGCCCACATGTGCACTAAAAGTTTGGGGTGGCGACTGCCAAAAATTCTCACCTTATGCAAATGACACACCCAGCCCTAACCAGTATTACATGCCCTATGTAAATCAGACACTGACCCCCAATAGCTCCTCTATAAAAACCTTGCATTTTACTGCAGTTCTGCAACCCATTTTTTCGAGACCCCTCTCTCCACCAGAGAGCTTTCTTCCTTCCTTTTGCTTATTAAACTTCTACTCTAAACTCACCCTTGGAGTGTCCACGTCCCTGGTTTCCTATGTCCTGAGACCAAGAACTTCGGGTGGCATCCCGGACAATGAGGCTGGTTTCACTAACATACATATCTTCCATAGAAGCTATTTCACCAAATGTCATTATTACCATCTTTTTTTCATAGCTGTATATTTTAAACTTAGAAGATTCTCATCCAAACTCTGCCAAATTTGTGATTTTCTTTATCATATTTAACCTGTTGTACTACTATTATGAGTTTTAAAAGAATGAATATGTGAAAAGCACATCTGTCCCTGGAGTTACTTGAAAATGACTTTTTAAATGTCAGTTTCTTCATTTAAAGATAATTGATGTTTGTCATTCAATATTTCTTTGAAGACTTTCCGTAACATTATCATATTCAACATTTTTGGTAATTCATATGCAGGTTTTTATCATTTTGTATAAAATCCTTCAGAAAAAAGTTATTTTAGGTCCTATGAAGATAACATCTAAGCAAACTACCATCAAGCTAAGGTACTCTGATTTTAACTTGTGTGATACCAAGTAGTAAATCTTTCAATTACTCTGATTTTAACTTGTGTGATACCAAGTAGTAAATCTTTCAATTTACATAAATATTGAAAATTATAATTTAAATACAAATAGCCAACCATTATTGCCTATAAGACTGTCAATTTTATAATGCATATATTCATTCATCTTTATTCATTATTTATTCTCACAAATATAAGATTGTGTCTTACTTAAATGTTATATTTCATTGCTAATTTCTCTTTAAAATTTGCAAGTATTACACAATTCTTAATTTGCTACAAGTTTACAAAGTACGGAAATGTATTTGATGAATGGATTGGCCTCTGTCTCAACTCCATGTCAAAACCTTCTCTTGAGAATGTAATGGTGATCACGAGAGAGTCGGAGTGTACATGTGGGGGGGAATCAAGGAAAGAGGAGATGTTGCTCATAGGGTACAAAGTTCAAGTTAGAAATGAGGAATGAGTTTTAGAGATCTATTGCACATCATGGTGACCATCGTTAAAAATTATATATATTAATTTTATATATATATAGTATTTCCATATTGCTAAAAGAGTAAATGTTAAATGTTCTCGCCACAAAATGTAAGTGAGGTAGTGGATATGTTAATTAGCTTGATTTAATATTTCTACAATGTATATGTAACAAAACATTATATTGTACCCAATAAATATATACACTTATTGTCAATTAAAAATAAAAAAGTAGTGTAAGACTGCAGAAAACCTTCTATTGAAACCTCAGATCTAAAAAGCAGTAGATTCAATGGTGGAACATGTAAATCTATTTATAAATCTTACTGAAATTTTCCTGTGAAACAAGAATTGTTTCTTCATTTAGGGTTAAATATTTTTAAATGTATGTGGTGATTATTACAAAGATGATTTAGTTATCTTTTATTGAGTATCTTATATTTGCAGGTCATTTTTCTAGGTATTATTTTTCAATATATTTACCACACACACCAAGTTTTCTGGGGTGAAGAAAAGCCGTAATTGCAAGAATAAAGGTAATAGTCAACTTAGGAAAGGGTCACTCTAATTAAAGTCCCCAAAACAAACTGAGGGATAAAAGCAGTTCAAAATTTTAGAAAATTCTAAAGTAAATATTTAATACAATAAATTCATGAAAGGTTTTTTAAAGTGTTTGTATACTATTTGTTTTTCAACATACCAATTGTTTTCTTGAATTATACAATGTCAACTACATATTTTTACATTGTAATTTAACAAAGTCATTTTAACAGGGAGTTAGGCAGAAGAGTATCTGTATTTTTCATTTTGGTGACCTGACTTATGTCAGGATGATAAATCTGCCTAAAGTAGAGGAGTAAGATTTTCATTTAATTGTTTTCTTTTCTGTTAATTATGATTACAGATCCTCACAAGCAGTTCAGATCACATTTTACTGTTTTCCTGACCTATCTTTGTGCTATTTGCTTTTCAGTCTTAATACTCTCTGGTTCATTAGAACTCTTACTAAAAGAATGTGTTAAGTCTTATGACACTGTTATACCCAATTATTTCTAAACTTCAAGTTCAGTAATTTTATAGGGTTCACACTAATAACTATTTCCAAGTTGTGAACCCTATGATGGCTTTTTATTTGTATATTCTTTACTAAATTTTCATTAAGTGTGTACAGGGTACAGCACACATATATTTGTTGTTCTAATACTGTACATTTTTTCATTTTCAGTGTAAATTTATAATATAGCCCTCTCTCTTATCAATAAACTCCTCTAACTTGCATTTACTTGAAAATTGACTTTTGCTTAGAAGATGTAACATTTTGGCTAATAAATTTTCTAGTCAATAGAATATTTTTTAAAATAATATTGTGCATGATATTTTATAATAGCAAGAATCAGCAGTTCTGTTAAAGTAAAATGCTATGTACATGTAGAAATTCAGTAAGTTCTTACTGATAGAAATAAAGTGGACATCAATTACATTAATGATGTAATCAGGGGTGAAACAAACTCAACCAGAATAGAAGCAATTATTTTGATTATTTCCTGACCTCAGATCCAGAAAGTCAATTTAATCATATCCTTTAGCTCACTGAACTTTTCATAGTTGTTCTTCAGCAAGCCCATGGCTTGGGCTTATTTCCTTATTTATTCACATTTAATACATTCACCACTCTCATCTCTTTCCCATCAAAAGATTGTTTTGAAATACTTTTCTAAACTTCTTGTTTTTTGTAATTGTTAAGATGTGTACTGTTGTATACGGTATTTGCATTTTTAAAATTTACATAGATAGTGCTGGGCTATGTATGCCTGACTTCACTTCACCATAGCCGGAAGCCCCTCCAATACACTGTATTTTTCTACATTAATATATGAAGCAGAGATTGACTTTTTGTCTACCTTCTCCTCTAGATTCTAAGTTATTGAATAAATGGTTCCTAGAATCATGAACTATTATTGGTATATTCTATGTCTAGCTTTTGTCTATACTAAGGAAATTAATACTCACAAAACTAAAGAAAATATACCCTGACATAATTTGGTGTGATTGGATATTTGCACAAGGAGAGCCAGAGGATCTTCCAGGAGAATAAAGAGAAAAGGCCACGTGCAAAGTGGAAGCCATTTTCTACTCCAATATACCACTGCAATAAAATATAAGAATTCATGAAAATTATGAAAGCATGAAAATCAAAAAGTTTTCAGGTGGAACATGGACATTTAAAGATTAATAAATTTTGTGACAGAATAAAGATGTTTCAATTTATTTTTGTTACCATTATACACCTAAAGGCTACTTAGGAGTATAAGTTTTAATTATTCATAACTCAGTTGGCTAAGATTTGCTAAGAATCATTAAAATTGTATTATGTATAATTCAGGTTCCCTTATAATATCACCGTGTTTTGCATATTAGAATTAAATTTACTTAGCCAATAATTACAAATCACTAATTTAATTTTCTTTTAAATATTTTAACCTTTTATAAGAAATGAAGCTAAACATGCCTGCTGGTAAGTAATCCGAAATAATTTGGTTTCTATTTGGTGAAAAATTGAAAATAGACAACCTCATTAATTTTATGTTAAAACCATGCAAAAAATTATATACTGTCCTGAAACTAACATCGTCCGCAGAATTAGACAAGCATTTGCCCATTCACAGGGTTAATTCAGGTTAAAAAGTATTTTAAAATCCCCATAATTGCCAACATAATTTTATCTCATGGAATTTATTTAATCAATGCTACCTTACTAACCTTCACAACTAGTTAATTTGTACTTTTCATGTTTTATTTGTCTTTTTGCATTTATAAGAATTAGAAGTTTTCCAAACGTATTAATTTTTTCTTTTTCAACTCAATGTATTCATCTGTCTCTCTATATATTATCCTACTGTATTTTGCTCTGTTAATACAAATGACATTTATGAACAAATGCATAAATAAATAT
The DNA here is from genome assembly GCF_000001405.40 of Homo sapiens. Classification (NCBI taxonomy): domain Eukaryota; kingdom Metazoa; phylum Chordata; class Mammalia; order Primates; family Hominidae; genus Homo; species Homo sapiens. Next base: position 195,299,315 of record NC_000001.11, read on the forward strand.
TTGTCCAAATATTACAGAAACTTTGGTGGCCAGATTCAACCATCAGCAGTATACTATGGAGACACATTCTAATCTTCAGACAATGCTGAGGCTTTGTTTTTCCCTTCAGTCTCAGTTTGTTTCTGTAATCTCTTCTCAGTTTCAGTAAATTTCCTTCAGTTTTTCAAAAGTCTCTTACTCTCTCTGATGTGCAGAGTCTACACGTCCTCTTCTCTCTGCCAGAAGTCTTTCTCTCTTTCCCTTGCTTTATTTTTCTCTCTTTGCATAGGTTTTATATTGAAAACACCTTCTCTAGGATAGTTTCCCTGATTTCAAAATAATATGATACTCTTTTCCTATTTAATTTTATAGTACACAGTACTAAAACTCTTAACATCTATTCTAAAATTAATGCTCATTCATCTTTGTTCTTGACTGAAACATAAGCAATGACTGTTCTTCTCTGCACTAATGGACCCAATTTACACCCAATATGAACCTTGAACAATAGTTTTCAATATTATTTGTCGATATAATTAATATCATCACAAAATATTCAAGGTTTCTTATTTATCTTTGTATTTCCTTCACAAAGAATTCCGTGAGTGCTTATTCAACAAACAATTTCTCCTCAAAGTATATATTTGAACTTAATAGTGCTATAGTGGAGATATTTATTCATATACATTGTAATGACATGCTATATGCAGATACTGTGCTTGGCACGTGGAATAAAATTGTGAGTAAAAAGATATTTGTTTCCTATTCTTATGGGATTTATGTCTTGCAAAAAATGCAATTCATGCAAATATATGAATATTTGAACTAACGTGCAAAGAATTGATGGTGCTTGAAGAATTTATCATAAAGAATTTAATAAGTTAAGAAGTTAAGAAATGTTTTCTTGAGGAGGTATATTGCAAATATAAAAAGAATTAAGAGTTTAAGAATAGTAAGATGAAAAAGAAAACCATTCAGACTGAAGAAATGGTATCTGCTCAGGCTTTATGATGGGAAGAAGAATGTTAAATTAAAGATGCATGAAGATGTCAGCTGATCTGAGCAAAGGGATGAAAGAGCAATTTGGAAAGATGTTAAGCTATAGAATTAGGTTAGAGTGAGATTATTTAAGGCCCTGTTGCTTGTTTGCATTATTTGCACATTGTTAAAAGAATAATATGAAGATATAAAAGGGTTTCAAGTTCAGAAAGTTCAGTATGTGATGGAGTCAAAAGGGGTTGTTGGTGATAGTGGTTTCTGATGAGAGAAAAATATGATTTGGATTTCGAAAATATAACTTCAGCTACTGAGGATTGAACAGATCAGTTAAAGCATTCTTTGCTGAAGCCTGAGCAAGGTGAAGTTAAGGCAAGCAAGATTAAAAAAATCAGTACATTCAAAAGATATTTAGAAAGTCACTTGGATTTGGATTGATGATGGATTGAATATGGAGATGTAGAAAGAGAAATAAATTAGGGATGACTCTGAAATTTCAAGGTTTTTTGGGGGGTAAATGATGGTGTCATTTACTGAAACAAAGAATAATAAATGAAGGCTGATTTCCTGGTGGGAAAAAGGAGTATTATTGACTTTTTATCTCACACAGGTTGAGCTTGAGAAATGTTTGAAACCCCTAAGAATTCCTGTTGAATGAACTGTAGATCAGAGGAAAGTTCAAGGCTGGAGATAACATTTATGAGCCATGAAAATATTGGTGCTAATTAAAGCTTTTAAAATAAGTGCACTTTAAAGAAAGTAGAAGCTAAGAAGAAAAACCTGTGATAAAATGTTAAGGAACCCTAACATATAAGTTGTGGAGAAAGAGGAGATACCAATATTTAATTCTCAATAGTAGGCTGATTCTTTTTGTTTTCTCCTCTGTAAAATATATAGGTAATCCTATTGCAACCTACAAAGTTAACCATTTTTCAAATTTAAATTGTAAAATGTGAATAATTTTAATTGTAATAACTAGACATTATAGTAATTTGATCATTGTCAATAAAAATGATTTTCTGCATTTTAAAACTATACATGAATAATTATTTAAAATAGCAGATAATCAATAAACAGTTCATTATTAATTTTAATATGAATGTTTAATGTGTTGATTACTTATTCTAACAGCATTTTTTTAAGTTTAGGCAAATACTTTAATACATGTAATTGATAATATTAATTTAACCATTCATATATAATTATTAAAAGGCTAAAACACTATTTTTCTAAAAAATAATCAAATTCAACTGAAATTAAATTTGTAGTAATAAGTCATATTTTGCACTATCATACAAGCTATAGAATAGCTCTATACTGTCAGAAGTTTTCTGCTCTATAAGATTTGATTGATGTTATATAGTAATTGATTGTAAGAATAAAGTAAAAAATATTTAACATATGTTGATTTAAAGAAATATTAAACTATTTTTAGTAAGTCAAAAGTAGAATTTAGAACAACACTTATTTAAGGATTAAATATACTTAAGCAGTAAAGCTTTACAATCTAAATAAATTATCCTTGTTTTATCTCAAATATTATTCAAAGTAAATGTAAACTTTTTCACATTTCTATAAAGGTCAGAGCTATTATTAGATGTCATATAATATTTTACCTAACAATTTTAATAACAAAAGAAATTATAATCAAACATTTAAAAACAATAATATATAACATATAATCTACAAAATAAATGTCATTTATTATTATTATAATATATACATGTACATTATATACATATATGCTCACTCTACATGTGCACACACATAAGCAAACAAATGTGTGTACATATATATGTATGTATGTATTCACACACAAAGTGGTACAGTAAAGGCATATGTAGAAGTATTATCATATATTATGCACACACATATGCGTATTTGTACATGTGAGAACACTCACTGTATACGTATCTACTAGAGGCAACTTCTTCAGAGTCACAGAACATAGCTACCTTTCTTTCTATCCTCCCCTACCCCCACCAACACTTCCATTTCCACACATTAGCACACATCATCTCTTCCCTGGACTTCTTTAATAGTCACCTACTAACCCTTTTGCCTCTCTACTCTTGCCAGAGTCACCATATAACAACATCTAAACCATGACTCTTTTGAGAGTAAATGAGCATTATTAATAATTACACAATATGTAAAATGGAAGCATCAGGAGAAATCAGGATGTATTACTCTAACTTGTGCAATTCTACAGTTAATTCTCCACATAGCAGCCACAAGGAAATCAGATTATATAATCCCGCCTTTCAAAAACTACCAAGGTTTTTCATCGCATTTAAACAAACCCAAAGTCATTACAGTGGCCTAGAGGGCCTGAGGTGAAACAGCCCTACTACATTCTGATGAGCTACCAAAATAGTCTTCTCTTTCTACTCCACCCATGTTTATTTTGCTGTTATTCCTTAAACACATCAAGCACATCACTTCCTCAGAACCTTTGCATTTGGATCCACTGTCTGGAAGACTATTCCTCCAAATTTGTACTTGATTCATGCCTTTAAGTCATTCTGCACTTGAGATGCTTGATATCACCAAAGAAAGGCCCATTACAAATGGAAAGCAACAGTACATAAACTTTTGAATATTAATCAAAATGGGGTAGTTGTGTCATTTGTATCTGAATGTTTACATTACGTAACAATATTTTTCAATAAAACATAAAAATTAACACACATTTAGACATGTCTGGTAATTCATTTAACTTATAATGATAAATACAATTATATAAAGTACCCACTATTAAAATGAAGCTACTTCATAGAGGAAACAATCAATAAGCTCAGTTGTCTGCAGAACATTGTTGCTAAGAGACTCAATTGTCTGCAGAACATTGACGCTAAGAGAGGGAAAGAATAAACATTTATGAGTTTATTGGAATCTTAGTTATTTGTGACTTAATGAATGTTTACAAATTAGCTGCTCATAATTGTGCTCTGCTTTCTGTGACTGCAATGAGAAAACTGAGACATGTGAGTTCCAATAACCTATCCAAAGTCCTCAAGTTAGTCAGTGGCAGAGACAGAACCTGAACCCAGACTTCCTGAATGCACATTAATGTCCTTTGTCACTACACAGTTCTACAGAAGTTTGCCAAGACAATAACACAGATTTTAAAATTTACCCAAGTATTTGTTCCCTTGGCCAATATTTTTGCTGTGAAGGGGCTTCAGATCTGGTTGCATTCTTGACCTCTCTGTCACTCTTACCAATTCTGTATCAAGAGGGATTTCCAGAGAAAGAGCAGTTTATGTAAAGCTCATCTCTCTCTCTCTCTCTCTCTCTCCCCCTCTCTCTCTCCTTTTCTTCTTATTTATTATATTTAGTTATTTTTTGAGACGGAGTCTCACTGTGTTGCCAAGGCTGGAGTGAAGTGGCGTGATTCGGCTCACTGCAACCTCTGCCTCCTGGGTTCAAGGGATTCTCCTACCTCAGCTTCCCAAGTAGCTGGGATTACAGGTGCCCGCCACCACATCCGGCTGATTTTTGTGTTTTTAGTAGAGATGGGATTTCACCATATTGGCCAAGCGGGGCTCTAACTCCTGACCTCAACTGATCCACCCACCTCGGCCTCCCAAAGTGCTGGGATTACAGGCGTGAGCCACCGCACCCGGCCTGTTTCTATTTTTCTTTTTCTCTGGTTCTTCGTGCAGAAAGAGTGTGTTTTTCCTCTGTTTTAGGGCATGCAGTAAATTTAGCAATAAGATTCTGATTGCTGGAGGGAGACTGTGGCTTTGCAGTGTTGCCTGACTGTGATGGTTAATATTCATTGTCAACTTGATTGGATTGAAGGATGCAAAGTATTGTTCCTGGGTGTGTCTAAGAGGGTGTTGCAAAAGGAGATTAACATTTAAGTCAGTGGACTAAGAGAGGCAACCAACCCTCAATCTGGGTGGGCACCATCTAATCAGCTGCCAGCATCGCTAGGATAAAAGCAGGCAGAAAAACCTGGAAGGACTAAAGTGGCTAAGTCTTTTGGCCTCCATCTTTCTCCTGAGCTGGATGCTTCCTGCCCTTGAACATCAGACTCCAAAATCTTCAAGCTTTTGGACTCTGGGACCTACGCCAGTAGTTTGCCAGGGGCTCTCGGGCTGTCGGACACATATTGCAGGCTGCATTGTCAGCTTCCCGACTTTCGAGGTTTTGGGACTTGGACTGGCTTCCTTGCTCCTCAGCTTGCAGATGGCTTACTGTGGGATTTCATCTTGTGATCATGTGAGTCACTATTCCTTAATAAACTCCCTTTCAAATATACATCTATCCTAATAGTCCTGTCCCTCTAGATAACCCTGACAAATACACTGACAATGTGGATCAGTCTGTCTACTTTTGAAGTTCAGTATCAGGAACCTGTTGTGATTCCATACAGAAGGCCTATGTTATGAGCTGTCTCAGAAGTAAAGCTGAAATTGTTTCTGTTTATCCCGGTTCTCTCCTTTCTTCTTGTCTTGATACATACTTAGTTGAAGACAGAAGAATTTCTGTATTGACTACAACAAACCCCAAGAATCGAGATCACAGAAATCACTTTATCAAATTTCTGCTACTATTTAAAGCAATAAAACATAGACACAAAGAGAAATACTTTTGATAATACGGTTAAAATACTAAGTGCAAATGTCAACAGTTATTCTTGAGAGATGTTATATGAGTAAAACACAAAATTAAGTAAGAGTCAATAATCTGAGAGTCCTGATCACATTTCACCTGAGCATCACTTCCTTGTCCTATATCGCCAACTCTGAATTACTTGACTTTCTTAATTCAGACAGCTGTGATCTCTGGAGAAATAGGTATTGATACATTTAGCTCCTTGGAGATTACATTTGTAGAACTGAATTAATGCACTTCCCCCGTGGCTTAGAAAATCAGTAAGAGTGTGTCTTCAGAACCCTGAGTAGAGAATAAAAGGAAAAAAAAAATGAGGTCCTGGGTGGTGTCTGACATTTGCGTGATATGTACTTCAAGGGATGATTTTTATGTCAACTCTGTATGATTACATCAGAGCTTTGTGACCCATGAATGCCAGGTAGATCTCATTGGGGGTCTGGATCTTCAGGTCTATTAGAGTGGGAGTCTGCAAGGAGATGAGAGATCAGAACTGTTTCATGCAGATCTCTTTGAAGAGGACTGATAGCTGACACTTAAGACTTAAGCCACAAACTAAGAATGACTGTTTTTTTTTTTAATCACCTGCAGGAATCCTACTAATAGGAGTATTAATAATAACTATACTTGAGCCTCAAAGAGCTAAATTGAATAATAACTGACCTTCTGAAGTGACTCAAATAGGAGAGAATCATTTTGAACCACCAGAATACAGTTAAATTTAAATGCAAAACGAATATCTGGTGAAGGAGACTATAAAACTAAGAGTCCTTAAACCTTTAAGACTATCCATATGTATAAATACTTTTGTATATGGATGTATATGTATGTACATATGGATGTATCAAATTCTTGGGGTTTGATGTGGTCAATAAAGATGTTCTTCTGTCCCCAACTAAGTATGTATCAAAAAGAAAAGAAACAACGAACCTCTGTAAATAGACAACAAGAAAACAATGAACAAAAAGACAAAATAAAACAACGAACCTCTGTAAATAGAAACAACACTTTCAACCTTACTTCTGAAACAGCTCATAGAATATAGGCCTTTTGTATGAAATTTAAAATGTAAAGAGTTTTGAAAAAAAATTATGAACTTAAAAACAGTAAATGTTAAAACGAAGAATGGGATTTTTTTGAGCATTAAAGTGGTGGTTTGTAAACTACTACAAAAACTATCTCAAATGAAAGATGAGAAACTTGGAGGTATAACAGACACATAAAGTATTCTGAAGGAGAAAAAAATGTAACAATGGAAGGAAGACAAAATAAATACATACTAAAAGAGAGAAGAAGAAAATGGCTCGGAGATGACAATGAAGAGCAAGGGAGGCATAGATCAGAACCACTGGAAAAAGAGGCATAGTGGATGAAATAACGTCTGCTTAAGAGAACTGCAGAAGAAGAAAAAGATGAAAAACGCGATCTTAGGGGAGCATCTGATTTCAGTTATAGCAGAGAGTAACAAACCCCTTGAGAGAACATTGCTGAACTTACAAGGTGGTCTGCTGAAAGAGAGCAAGAGTTCAATGAGGCAGTGTGAATGATTGTTGAAGCAGATGAGGACATATGATTGGTGTTCTTTATATGTTATGTTTCCATGAGGATGGAGTAATATTAGAGGAGCCAGGGTCTGGGATTTGGGAGCTCTTTTATTTGACTTACATTTACAGAAATGTAGGGAATTAGCCTAGATGATATCTTTTCAGGCATACTGTCACGTCTTGTCTAAGAACAGTGATGTCAAGGAGAGGTATTTTTGGAGACACAAAAGAAGGATCTTAGGCCTTCTCTATTGTGAGTCTGATAATGTCCAGGTCAGTGTCACTAGTATCAAGTAGAGTATTGTGAAATTTTTTGAGCAGTCATTTCAAAATTGGTATTGAGACTGGTGGAATGTGTTAACTGGATTCCCTGTTTATGTGTGTGCATGTATTAGGAAGTCATATAGTCATAGTATATACTTTCTATATATAAGCATCTATATATATATAATTGCAGAGTTTCCTCTTAGTAATATATGTATGTAGCTATATAAATATGTATATGTGTGTACATATACACACACATACACACACATAGGATATACTGGGTACATCAGTAAATTACTGGGTTTTTCTGTCAATAAGGTATAGATAGATATACATATACATACATATGTGAAATAGTGGTATCATACACAATTTTATAATAGTTATACATGTCAATAATGAAACTTGTTACTAATATAATTACCATAATATTACTAATATTGAATTTTTTCATATAGTTGTATCTGCATATAGTTGTTTGAATCTGATTGGAATTCAAGAGTAATGTGCCTTATTATAAGAATAGGACACTGCATGATATTCTTGCCTCATTTGATTGGGCCATACATATATTTCAGATATTTACTTGTCCATTTTCCAAATTAAAAAAAGTCTAAATTTACTTTTTAAAACAACTTATTAAAATTATGTTTATTATAAAATATTCTCCATTATAGCTAGGAAAATAAGTTAATCTCTGAGGCCGATAATGTGAACTAACAAACAAATATGCATGTACTTGTCACCTCTTAGCTTATAGTTTTCTATAGCTGAAATGTAAACTTTATAATCAATTACACGTGTTCTTCTAAGTATCTTAAGATTGCATTTCTCTCTAAATCTAATTTTCAGGCATATTTATCTCCTAAAATTGTCTTAAACACCTTCCTACTTTCTAGTGTTTTTAACTGCAAGCAAATTTCCATCTAGTTAAAGATGATACTTATATGTATCTTATTTGAGAATGTTGTGACAATTCAGTCTCAAAGTAATGTAGTGCTAAAACTCTTTAAATATTTTACACCACATACCTTTCTATTTGCTCATGTAAATAAAAGCAAGATACAACACAATCTGTTAAACCTCTGCTTTATGAGTATTTCTTGGCATACATATGCTCTGTGTGTGTATGTGTCTGTGTATGTGTGTGTGCATATGCACATTTCTGTGTATGCCAAGTTAAGAGACTATAGTCAATCATTTCTTTACTTATTAAAAAATGACTGTGTAACTATTCCCACATATAAAGAATAATAAATATTAATGTATGATAACTGAAAGCCCATCAAAATACTAGGATCAGAAATATTTATGCAAAAGATAATGCTTTTCAGTGAATAAATGTAAATCAAATGCAGCTTAAGTTGACAAGTTATTAGGAACTTATAATAGATAATTACAACATCTGAATATATTATGTTTTAAAGTTTTAGGCATTGATAACTAAGCTTGGTGTACTCCCTGAATTAAGGGACTTGATTTATGTAAAGTATCATTTCCACTCTATCCATGAAGATGCAGGTTCCTGAGGTCCAAATGCTATCATTATGGTGATGAGCAATGGTTTCAAAAATATTTGACATAAATGGAAATACACATTTTATTTTATTTTTCCATAAATATTGATACTATCAAATTTTATTTTACAATCCATTTAAATATATTCTCATTATACAATAGAAAATTTTTAAAAGTTAGAAATTTTTATTAAAACTGTGATATTATTGGTTATTTATTGACTTCACTTGGCTCTGATTGGTTTTAAAGAATAATAATATAATGTATTTCAACGCCTAACTTTAGATCAGCAGTTTTTAGAACGGTACAAAACAATTAATTAAATTTTAATTTTATAGCTTTGGTATAAACCATTTTTTCTCTTATGTGTACTTATTGGTGCAATTCTATTATGCACTACTCTGCAATTGAAGTAGCTTTGCCATAATTAGCACTTATATTCATTTTTGAGTTATATTTAAGCAAATTGGAATTTAGGGTTTAAAATTGTTAATCAATAGAATGTTTGTCAGTGATCACTATTCCTTAATGTTGAATGGCCTTTTTAAGACTTGTATTTGTAAAACCTAGTTTGGACATCATAAAGAATACATGCAGGGTTGATATTTAATTTAGAGGGTAAGTTTCATTAAAAATCAAGTGCTAAAATCAATGTCCTACACTGTGTGTTTGAAATAAAACTGAGAGCCAATTCATCTGCAGCCATGAAATAGCCAAATTCATAATATATGTTTTGATGTCAAGTGGCCATTCCATTCCATCATCACCAACCAATATTTATCCCTCTTCCTCAATCCCATGTGGACACATGAGTCTGAAGCAGTCCTTTGCCACAATATTGGCAAAACTTTTTACAGACACAGTAAATGACTGGACATTATGTTTTCTCTTAATTTCAACTAACATTCACCATGGCTAATAATGTAAACTTAGGTTACCTATGTCAGCATTTATATATCTCTTTATCTAGCAGTAGAACATATCTAGACACATTATTTTATCTTCTGAATTCTAAACTTGATATTGCTGTCTATCTTAACAATTTTAGCAGTCTTAATAATCATTTGTGTATGTTCATGAGTGTTTATGTATTTCCACATTTGTAGTTTTTCAGATATCATTGTAAATAAATATATTTTTACTTGTTGACATACTTGAATATGCCTGGAACATAAAGTATCCTATGAGTTTTAGAGATGCCGATATCTAGAATTTTATAAGAAGATGGAGCTTATAAACAGAATTTTAAAAAGTAACCTGTAAATAATAAGGTAGATATTGTGCTTGGGAAGCTCTAGATATCTAGAGTAAGGGCAGGAAATCTAGACTTGGCTAGACAGAAAAATATCCCAGATAAGATGGTTCATTTAATGACTATTGAATGATGCTTGAGAGTTACCCATGCTGATATGGTCTCAGGACAACCAGAGCAACCAGAATGTGAGAAAGCCACATGGTAACACAAGAAATAATTATATAGGATATGCTTATTTGAGAATATTCAAGTATTTTAATATGAATGCAGGGTAGAAAGATGCACAAGAGAGGCAAAAGATAAAATTTGGCAGGTTACCAACAGCCAAATCACAAAGGTTATTCATGACAAAAAATAAAATTAAATTAAAAAGTCTGGACCAAGTGCAGTGGCTCATGTTTATAATCTCAGCACTTTGGGAGGTAAAGGCAGGATGATTGCTCGAGCCCAGGAGTTCAAAACCAGCCTGGGCAACGTAAGGAGACCTTGTCCCTACAGATAATTTTAAAAATAGCTGAGTGTGGTTTCTTGTGCCTGTAGTCTCAGCTACACAGGAGACTGAGGCAGGAGGATCACCTAAGCAAGGAGGTTGAGGCAGCAATGAGTTATGATTGTGCCACTGTACTCCAGCCTGGGTGACAAAGTGAGACCTTGATCCATCCTCTCATCCCTGCCTGCCAAAAAAAAAAAGTTTGAATGCATTCTGAGAGCAATAAAAGCTATGGAAAAATAATATTGGTATCATTGTAGAGGATAGATTGATGGAAGTGTTGAAAATATTAAATGAATATTAAATATAGTTTATTATACTTTTAAGGAAATGTGAGAAATTATGAACTTGAAATAAGTCATTGGCAGGGAATAATTCAAAGTAAAAATGACTCAAAAGTGGAGCATTTTTGGGGAACAACAAAGAAAACAAGTTAAGTTTTTTGTTTTTGTTTTTAATTTGCCATATTTTATCTGCCTATTGAAAACCTAAGTAAATATATCACAGAAGCATTTAAATATGTGAGGTGGTTAATAATCATGGTTTTTGGCACTTAACTGTCATTGTCATCATCTGTTGTTTCCTCTCCACTGTATCACACTGGAGAAGCAATGGGAGAATTTTTTTTTTTCTGGGATTTTGGATATAGTTGGGGATGTGTCCCTGAGATACATACACAAACTTGTGAAGACAGAAGGGGATTAGATAGAAGCGGCATGAGATTTAGTAAGGGCCATTTTCCATTTTTCCATTGTCTGCTCCTTAATTGTAGGCAGTTGTGATGTTAGCAGTGCTTTTCTTCATTTTGCTGGCCTCTAGGTGCTAACAGTAGTTTCCTAATCTTTGGATTGAAGCTGGTAAATAGAACCTTGAAGTTCAGTTAGGAAAGACCTGGTATTTGTACTTTTCCTCCTTTTAAAAATTGTATAAATGTAAAAATCTCCATATTAAAGTCTTTATAAAGTATATTTATATCTAGTAATATATGTCTGCTGCATGTATCACTTAATTTAAACTAACATAGGAAGATGTAAAAAAATCTATTCTTCTACTGAAAAATTTTATAAAGTAGAAATTAGGAAACATTTTTTAAAATGCCAACAGCATGCTAAAACATGGTAAATGTTAAAAATCATAACAAAAATCCTCTCTGGTGTAAATAGCACTCTTCTGTGAATTGTATCATTTGACTTTACAACCACTGAATTCCTGATTCTTTCTACCAAAATTGTCATTCCAACATATTTGTTGAGGCTTTGCCAAGTATCTCAGAATTTCCTTTCTATCCCAACATCAAGAGTATTTCATTGTTCAAGCCTTTGAGTTCACCTACTTATCTAGTCTCATATTTTCTTGACTTTTCTAAACTAGAGTAAATTTCATTTGCACCTCAGTCATTCTCTCTTTGAAGCATCATAGTACATTGCTATTATTCAAAATCTTTGAGGTCTCATCTTAAATGCTGAGTTTACTCTCTGAGAATATCTTTTATTATTTCCGATTAGCCCATTCTCTGTTTCTATAGCTCTTGTACAAATAGGGAGAAACCATCAGTAACATATATTATCCTATAATAGATTATCCTCTTCCACTTAGTCCTATTTTTCCTTCAAAGTTTTTACTCCACAAAAATACGCACATTATTTTTTGTCCCATAAAAGCCACTGTCATAATAAATTACCACAGATTTAGTGGCTCAAACCATGCAAATTTACTACCTCACATTTCTGTAGAGCAGAAATCCAGTCAGCTCCACCATTAGTTTCTCTGCTGTGAGTCCCACAAAACTGGAATCTTATCAGGAGGGTCTGGGGCAGAATCTGCTTCCAGGCTTATCTGGCTTTTTAGCAAAATTTAGTTTCGTGTGGTTGCAAGACTCAGGTCACTGGTTCCTTTGTAGCTGTTGACATAGGTTATTTTCAGCTTCCAGAGGCTGCTAGAATTGTTCAGCTCATAGTTTCCTGCGTCGTAGTTAAAGCCAGCGAGGACAGGTCAAATCCTCATACCTCAAATCTCACTGACATTCCTTTGTGCTTCATCCTCATCTCTCCCGCTTTTTTCTCTGCTACTGCTCTCTGACTGACTTTACCTAGAATATGGCAGAAGAAAAACTGCAATGTATACACAGAGGACTGTCATTAATACTTTAGGAGAACTAAAATGGAGAACATATGGACCAATACTGAGATTCCAATTGTGTATACTGCTGCAATGAACATTCACATTCATTTTTTATGGTAGAATTCTTTATATTTTTCTGGTTATACAACCAGTAATGGGATTGCTGGATTGGATATTAGTTTGTTTTTTTTTTAGCGCTTTGAGGAACTGCCACATTGTTTTCCAAAATGGTTGAACTAAATAAGTATTCCCTTTTCTCAGCAACTTCACCAACATCTGTTATTTTTGACTTTTTAATAATCACCATTCTGACTGGTGTGAGATGGTATCACATTGTGATTTTGATTTGCACTTCTCTAATGACCAGTGATATTGAGCTATTTTTCATATGCTTGTTGGCCACATGTATGTCTTCTTTTGAAAAGTGTTCATGTCCTTTGCCAACTTTTTAATGGAGTTTTTTTTCTTGTAAATTTAAGTTCTTTGTAGAAGCTGTATATTAGACCTCTGTCAGATGCATACTTTGGAAATATTTTCTCCCATTATGTAGGTTGTCTGTTCACTTTGCTGATAGTTTTTTTTCTGTGCAGAAACTTTTACATATAATTAGATTTCATTTATCAATTTTTGCTGTTGTTGTGGTTGCTTTTGGCATCTTTGTCATGAAATCTTTGAGTTCCTATGTCAGAATGGCATTGCCTAGATTGTCTTCCAGGGTTTTCATAGTTTTGGGGTTTACATTTTACTCTTTAACCCATCTTGAGTTTATTTTTGTAAATGGTAAATGGAAGGGTCCTGGTTTCAGTCTTCCGCATATGGCTAACCAGTTTTCCCAGTACCATTTATTGAATATGGAGTCCTTTCACCATTGCTTGTTTTTATAACTTTGGAGACTTCAACTCTCATACAATAATAGTGGGAGACTACAACAGTCTGCTGACAGTATTATTACTCAGATTATCGAGGCAGAAATTAATAAAGATATTCAGGACTTTGGCCAGGAACAGTGGTTCACGTCTGTAATCCCAGCACTTTGGAGACTTAGGCGGGTGGATCATCTGAGGTCAGGAGTTTGAGACCAGCCTGGCCAACATGGTGAAACCCCGTCTCTACTAAAAATACAAAAAAATTAGCTGGGAGTGGTCATGGGCGCCTGTAATCGCAGCTACTGAGGAGGCTGAGGCAGGAGGATCTCTTGAACCCAGGAGGCAGAGGTTGCAGTGAGCCGAGATTGTGCCATTGCAATCCAGCGTGGGCAACAAGAGCAAAACTCCATCTCAAAAAAACAAACAAACAAAGATATTCAGGACCTAAACTCAACATTGGACCAAATGGATATGATAGAACTCTACAGAACTCTCTACTCCAAAACAACAGAATATACATTCTTCTTATCACCACATGGCACGTACTCCAAAATTGACCACATAATCCAACATAAAATAATCCTCAGCAAATGCAACAGAATGAAACCATACCAAACACACTCTTGGACCACAACCCAATTAAAATAGAAGTCAAGACTAAAAAATCAAAACCATGCAATTACATGAACATTACAACATGAAAATTAATTACATGAAATTCAAACAACATACTCTTGAATTGCCTTTGGGGAAATAGTGAAATTAAGGCAGAAATTAAGCAGTTCTTTGAAACTAATGAGAACAAAGATACAACAAATTGGAATCTCTGGGACACAGCTAAGGCTGTGGTAAGATGGAAATTTAACTAAACACCAACAACAAAAAAGTTACAAACACCTCAAATTAACAACCTATAATAACATTACAACTGAAAGAACTAGAGGAGCAAGAGCAAACCAGCCTCAAAGCTAGCAGAAGACAAGAAATAAGCAAAATCAGAGCTGAACTGGAGAAAATTGAGACACAAAAATTGAGACCATTCAAAAGAGCAATGAATCCAGAAGTTGTTTTTAAAAAAAAAATTAATACAATACATAGGCTGCTAGCTAGACTAATAAAGAAGAAAAGAGAGAAGATGCAAATAAACACAATTAGAAATGACAAAAGTGATGTTAACACTGATCCCACAGAAATAAAAATAACAACCAGAAACTACTACAATCACGTATTTGCACACAAACTGGAAAACCTAGAAAAGATGGATAAATTCCTGGACACATACACCCTCACAAGACTGAACCGGAAAAAGTTTCCCTAAACAGACTAGCAACAAGCCCTGAAATTGAACTAGTAATAAATAGCCTACCAACCAAAAAAAGCATAAGGCCAGATAGATTCACAGCCAAATTCTTCCAGATGTACAAAGATCTGGTACCATTCATACTGAAACTATTTCAAAAAATTGAGGAAGAGGGATTCCTCCCCAGCTCATTCTATGAGGCCAGTATTATCCTAATACTAAAACCTGGAAGAGACACATGCATAACAAATACAACTTCAGGCCAATATCCTGGATGAATATTGATGCAAAAATCCTCAATAAAATACTTGCAAACCTAATCCAGCAATACATCAAAAAGATAAACCTCCACGATCAGGTAGGCTTCCTGGGATGCAAGGTTGGTTCAACATGTACAAATCAATAAATGTAATTTATCACATAAACAGAACTAAAGGAAAAAAAACATATGATTATCTCAATAGATGCAGAAGGCTTGTAATACAATTCAGCATCCCTTTGTGTTAAAAACTCTCAGTAAACTAGGTATTGAAGGAACATACCTCAAAATAATAAGAGCCATCTGTGACCCATAGCCAACCTCATACTGAATGGGGAAAAGCTTTGGAAGCATTCCTTTTGAAAACTGGCAGAAAACAAGGATGCCCTCTCTCACCACTCCTATTCAACATAGTATTGGAAGTTTCAGCCAGAGCAATCAGGTAAGAAAAAGAAATAAAGAGCATCCAAATAGGAAGAGAGGAAGTCAAACTAACCCTGTTTGCAGACATGATTCTGTATCTAGAAAATCCCATAGTTTTGACTCAAAAGCTCCTTCAACTGATAAGCAACTTCAGTAAAGTTGCAGGATACAAAATCAATGTACAAAAATCACTAGCATTCTTATATACCAACAATAAAGTTGAGAGCCAAATCAGCTCTTTTCAAATAAAAACTAAAGGCAATTCTAGAACTAAAAAATTCAAAAGAGAAAAAGATAAAATGAATAAATGACTAAAGAAAATTAGTTAAACTTAAAGGAAATAACTTCAGAGGACAGCCCAGATTCATAGAAAAAGATGAAGAGCAAGAAAATGCTAAATGTGTGGGCTAATATAAACATTATTATGTTTTAAATGCATGTATATACATTGATTTTTGATGCAAACAAAATAACAAGTATTATGGAGTTTGCAAAATATTGACAAGTACACTATAAGAAGAAAGTAACACAAAAAGTAGAAAAGTGTTAAACAGGACTATGCAGTATTAAGTTTCTCATTTCTATGGAAAATGGTAATCCAGAATAAAACTGACTTAGGGGACCTAAAGGTGTTCTGTCCTGGGTTGCTAGTTTCAACTTTGTGAATCTGGGAAAATACAAGCCTAAATAATGAGGCAGATACTGTGAACATAGTATTTACAGAAAGCTTATCAGTTTCAATTTGGCATTTAGAAACTTCCTTTTATTTTTTAAACTGACAATCCATATTAAATGATAAAGATTTGTGAAATGTTATACAGAGAGGTAAACTGAGAAATTTGAATATTTAAGTTTTATCAGTTTTTTCTCATGATTTTGTTAATATTGCTCAAGAATGCAGATAAAATCTAAATATATAAATTCTAATTATAATAAAAATGATGAACATTTATTAGCATCATTATATACTAGCCAATAAGATGTAGTCTCATCAGTTATTTAGATATATTATATCATTAATGTTCAAAAGAGCCCAAAATGGTTGAAATTACCCTCAGTTTCACTAAATAGGAAACGAAAATAAACATAAAAATATTAAGTAATTTAGTCATGTTCACTACCAGTTAGTGGTAGAGCTGGGTTAAAAATTAGGTCCATTTAATCAGAAATTTGTCCTAAATTGTTCTACTATAATGCCTTTTTCTTGTAGATAGGTACAATAATAATCTACTTTTGGGTAAGATAATATAACTGGTATCTTGAAAGCCTCTGTAAAATATAACAATTATTAATGGAAATATGCATACATTTAGAACAAAAACCATATATAAGTTTCCGTTAGACTCTATGCTACCATAGGAACTATGAAATAAACCTAGCTGTAGGGTCATGGTTAGCAAGAAAGGAAAAATGAAATGAACAAAGACACAGTATCTGAATGATTCGGTCTATAATCCAAAGTATTGGGAAAGTAGAAAGGCAAATGGCCATTTTTTTGCCGGTCTTTCCATACAATGGCACAGTCTTATTCACTATTTGGATTTCATATGAAGTATTCTAGTTCTAGGAGTATAGCTTCCAGGAACAAGATAAGAGACCAGAAACCAAAGCACAATTTTGGTGCTTAAAATTAGGCTTTCTTATTATACTGATGTGGGTTTGAATTCTGGCACAATCTTGTTTAACTGTGTGACATTGAGAAAGTCGCATAAAATTTTATTCACGATTTTGTATTTATTGAGTGGATATAATAGAGCTTAATTCACAGGGATGTGGTAAAGTATTGTGTTTTTAAATAAAAAGTATTTTACCAATGTTAACCCCCATCTTCCGGCTCTGTGCTCGTGTTTTATCTTCATCCATTCTGGGGTGACTAATTAACATGGTGCGTGACTGGATGGGTGCACTTAGGCTGTTCTAAACATTATATGTTCAATTCAACCCTTTATTCAACAACTGTACATTGCTCTCATATTGAGCAAGGCTCTACCAGGAGTAGTTATTACTGTTCCTTTTTTATACAAACATTGATATTCTCTATTTACCTGAAAAACAGTTTGCTTCTGGAAAACTGCAAATGAAACACCTGCTTGCAAAATACATATGGGAAAGTCTGCAATGGCTCAAATACTGGAGGCAGATTTTGCCTGGCAGTTCCTTTAGGTGTAATGAATTGGGAAAATGTGTCTTTTACAGAAGCATAATGACTTTCCATAGCACAAGTAAGTAGAAAAAATATGAGGAAACTGAAAATTTTAACACCTGTGTTTGTTTAATTCAAGCCAAAGCAAAAAACTGGTGTGTGTTTGTCAGACAAAGTAAAAACATTGGTTGAGAGAAAATAAATGAAGATCTGCTTAGTTTCAAATATGAAAAAATTTACAGTAAGTTTCAAAGAATTTTAAAAATCCCTAAAGGGCACTAAATGGATTTCAGACAATGTTTCACTTTTAAATTGTCTTTGTGAAGACATTTTAGAGAATTCCCAAAACTTTCAACAGATATGCATTTAGTCTGTGGTACCTAATGAAACACTTATGTATTTTTCTATAAGTCAGGAGCCAGAAGTGCAAATCCATACAAGAAAGACTGTGGTAGAAATAAATAATTACTTTCTCAGTTAGATTTACTTAATGTATTCAAGAGTAGACATGATTACATCATTCTTACTAAAGATTTTTTTTTCCTTTTTTTTTGAGATGGAGTCCCACTCTGTTGCACAGGCTGGAGTGCAGTGGCATGATCTCAGCTCACTGCTGCCTCCGCCTCTCGGGTTCAAGCAATTCTCCTACCTCAGCCTCCTGAGTAGCTGGGATTACAGGCGCCCGCCACCACTCCCTGCTAATTTTTGTATTTTTAGTAGAGACGGGGTTTCACAGTGTTGGCCAGGCTGGTCTTGAACTCCTGACCTCAGGTGATCCACCTACATCGGCCTCCCAAAGTGCTGGGATTACAGGTGTGAGCCACTGCGCCTGGCCGCATTCTTACTAAAGATTCTTATTAATCATTCTTTGAAAACTATGATAGTTCTTACATAATGTTTGTGTTCTAGAATCAGAGATAGTTGGCTATGGTGGTTATTAGATGTTTCCTATTTGACGAGTTATGTAACCTTTGGAATTCTTAGTCCCTTCATTCTTATAAGGGTGACTATTCTCACTTCACCGTGTGTGTGTGTGTGTGTGTGTGTGTGTGTGTGTGTGTGTGTGTAAAGTTAGGAAACATGTTTTTACATTTTATTTTATTTATTTATGTATTTTTTTTAAGAGACAAGGTCTTTCTCCATTGCCCAGGCTCTAATAGAGTGGCATGATCCTAGCTCCTTGTACTCCTGGGCTCAAGTGATCCTCAAGCCTTGGCCTCTCAAAGTGCTGGGTTTACAAGTGTGAGCCATCATGCTTGGCCAGGAAAAATATGTTTAATATGAAAGAAGACATATTAAAGTAAGTCTTGATATTAAGTTTCTTTTATGATACTTAATATATGATAAACATCATTTTAATGTATTAGAAAAACTAGGAAAAACTTGAATGCTATCAAATTTATACATTTAAATGGAATAAGCATGACATTATATATCATGAATAATAAACATAAGAACAACTGATTTTGTTAAAAATCCTATTTTCTTTCACTTTCAAATATTTTTTCTCTTTCTGTTTGTTCATTTGTTTGTTTGAGACAGAGTTTTGCTCTTGTTGCCCAGGCTGGAGTGCAATGGCGCGATCTTGGCTCACTGCAACATCTGCCTCCCAGGTTCAAGTGATTCTCCTGCCTCAGCCTCCTGATTACAGGCATGCTCGACCATGCCCAGCTAATTTTGTATTTAGAGTAGAGACGGGGTTTCATGGAGTTAGTCAGGCTAGTTTTGAACTCCCGACCTCAGGTGATCTGCCCACCTTGGCCTCCCAAAGTGCTGGGATGAGCCACGATGCCTGGCCTATTATTTATTTTTAATTAAAAAGAAAACACTATGTGCAAGCTGATGTGAGGGATACAAAAGTTGCATAAGATATGTTTTTACCTCTCAAGGAAATTATATTCTTGTTGAAAATATGAGAATTGTGCTCACCTCAATGGGTTAAACAATAGCAAAACAATACGATAAAGTACTGTGTTGTTAGAAATAGAAAGTACAGGCAATGTCAACCAGAGACTAGTGAGACCCATGTGGTCCAGAGTCACCACGGACAGCTACTTCCATTTAAAACTAAAATATCTGTAATTTATCAATAACTATTATTGACTTCTCCCTTCTTTTTGCTTGCTATTTCTTATAAAAATACGCTTTAAAAATAAGAAATGGATTTTTAGAATACAACATAAATATATTCCTGACCTTGAAATGGTTGTATGTGATTACTGATAAAACAACTGTCAATTAAATAAAGTGATCCTATTAGCAATGGAAAATTTCGATAGCATGCTTATAACCAGAGAAATATTTATGGATCCCAGTAGTTAACATATCCTAAAGAAAGTGTGATAGTATATGGGTGTAGCACTTTTATAAAATTATTCTTCTCAATGGGAGGCGTCACTATTGGCAATTTGGATGAGAGAATTTCTAGATGGTGAAGGGCTGCCCCTGCATTGCAGATCTTTAGCATCCACGCTTGCTAATGTCACTAGTGGACTCTATCATTTTCATAACCCAATCCGACCAACAGGATTCCATATTTCTGCATATGATCCAGCAATATTATTTCAAGAATTTCCCCACACGCATTTTGAGGAAAATCTTGAACACACACACACACACACATGCACGCACACAATTCTTGGTGCTTTTATGTAAAATCATCTTTCAGATATGTTTTTTCCATGCTACATTTTAATTCATCATTGGGGGCCACATTCCTCCTTCCATAACACCCAAACATTAAAAAATATCTTCCAAACAGACTGCAAAGATTCCAGCAAAACACCTATTCTAAAATATTGCTGTCTCTTGTTGTTAGTCTTATTCATAATATTCCAAGGCAATATTCTTTTAATCTCTGTATTTTAACATAGACTAGTGAATTTAAAGAATTCTGTCCAGTGTTTCTTTTATAACTTTTTCTTTTTTTCATTTTTACTTTTTGTGAATATATACTAGGTGTACATATTTATGTGGTATATGGAATATTTTGATACAAGCATACAATGTGTAATAAGAACATCAGGGTACATGGGGGTATC
The DNA here is from genome assembly GCF_000001405.40 of Homo sapiens. Lineage (NCBI taxonomy): Eukaryota > Metazoa > Chordata > Mammalia > Primates > Hominidae > Homo > Homo sapiens. Next base: position 195,320,140 of record NC_000001.11, read on the forward strand.
CATCACCTCAAGCATTTATCCTTTGTGTTACAAATAATCTAATTATTCTCCTTTAGTTATATTTGAATGTATAATTAAATCATTGTTTACTATAGTCACCCTACTATGCTATAAAATACTAGATTTACTCATTTTTTCTAATTTTTTGTGCCCATTAACCAATCACATTCTCCCCACTCTGATAACCCAATACACTTCCCAGCCTCTGGTAACCATCATTCTACTCTCTGTCTCCATGGGTTCAATTTTTTTGATTTTTTAGCTTCAACAAAAATGTGAGAACATGTGATGTTTGTCTTTATGTGCCTGTATTATTTCACTTTACATAATGATCTCCAGCTCCGTCCATGTTGTTGCAAATGACAGGATCTCATTCTTTTTAATGGCTGAATAGTACTCTATTGTGTATATGTACCACATTTTTTAAATCATTTATCAGTTGATGGATACTTATGTTGTTTCCAAGTCTTGGCTACTGGTTTGTTACAGCACTATTGTGAATAGTGCTCCAATAAACATGGGAGTGAAGTTGTCGCTTTGATTTACTGATTTCTTTTCTTTTGGGTATATACCTAGCAGTCGGATTGCTGGATCATAAGGCAGCTCTATATTTAGTTTTAAGGAATCGCCAAACTTTCTCCATAGTAGTTGTACTAATTTCCATTTTCCTCAACACTGTACGGGGATTGCCTTTCTCCACATCCTTGCCAGCATATACTATTGTCTGTCATTGTATAAAAGCCATTTTAACTGTGGTAAGATGATATCTCATTGTAGTTTTGATTTGCATTTATCTGATGAGCAATAATTTTGAGAACCTTTCATATATGCCTGTTTGCCATTCATATGTCTTTTGTGAGAAGTATCTATTTTGCCCATTTTAAAATTAGATTATTAGGGTTTTTTGCCCATTTAAAAATTAAATTATTAGTTTTCTTCCTACAGGGTAGTTTCAGCTCCTTACATATTCTGGTTATTAATCCCTTGTCATATGGATAGTTTGAAAATATTTTCTCCCATTCTGTGGGTTGTCTCTTCACTATGTTGATTGTTTCTTTTACTGTGCAGAAGATTTTTTAACTTGATATGATACCTTTTGTCTATTAGTTTGGTTGCCTGTGCTTGTGGGATATTACTCAAGAAATCTGCCCAGATCAATGTCCTGGAGATTTACCCCAATCTTTTCTTGTAGTAGTTTCATAGTATGAGGTCTTAGGTTTAAGTATTTAATCTATTTTTATTTGAATTTGTATATGGTGAGAGATAAAGGTCCAATTTTATTCTTTTGCATGTAGATATCCAGTATTCCCAGAATCATTTATTAAAGAGATTGATCTTTCCCCAATGCATGGCCTTGGCATCTTTGCTGAAAACGAGTTTACTATAGATGTATGAATTTGTTTCTGGGTTCTCTATACTGTTCCATTGATCTATGTGTCTGCTTTGATACCAGTACCATGCTCTTTTTGTTACTATAGCTCTGTGGTACAATTTGAAGTAATTTGAAGTCAGTTTAATCTGATTCCTAAGTTTTTTAAAAATTTTCAGTGTGTACAGATTTGGCTAGTCTAGATCCTTTGTGGCTCCATATAAATTTTAGAATTTTTTTTCTATTTCTGCAAAGAATGTCATTGGTATTTTGATAGGAATTGCATTGAATCTATAGATTGCTTTAGGTAGTATGGACATTTTCACAATACTTATTGATCCCATCCATGAACATGGAATAGTTTTTCATTTTTGTGTGTCCTCTTCAATTTCTTTAATCAATGCTTTATAGTTTTTAATGTACAGGTCTTTTACTTCTTTGGTTAAATTAAATCCTAGGTATTTAATTTTATTTGTAGCTATTGTAAATAGGATTACTTTCTTGATTTCTTTTACACATTGTTCACTGTTGGCATATAGAAATGTTATAGATATCTGTATGTTAATTGTGCATCCTGAAACTTTACTGAATTTGCTTATCAGTTCTAGTAGGTTTTTTTTTTTTGGTGGAGTTTTTCCCAAATATAAGATTATGTCATCAGCAAACAAAAATTTTGACTTCTTCCTTTCTAATTGGGATAACTTTATTTCTTTCTCTTGCCTCATTGCTCCAGATAGAACTTCCAGTAATATGTTAAATAACAGTGGTCAAAGTGGGCATCCTTGTTGCATTCCTGATCCGAGAAGAAAAGTGTTCAATTTTTCCCCATTTAGTATGATGCTAGTTGTGGGTCTGCTATACATGGTTTTTATTATGTGGAGGTATTTCCTTCTATACCCAGTTCTTTGAGGATGTTTATCATAAAGAATTCTGAATTTCATCAAATGCCTTTTCAGCATCAATTGAAAGGATCATTTGGTTTATGTCCCTCATTCTGTTGATAGGATCTATCACTTTTGTTGATTTACATATGCTTAATCATTTTTGTAAACCTGGGGTAAATTGCACTTGTTCATGATGAATAATTATTTTAATGTATCTTCGGAATTAGTTTGTTAGTATTTTGTTGAGGACGTTTTCATTAATGTTCACTAGGCATATTGACCTGTAGTTTTTTGTTGTTGTTTGCTCTTTTTGTTTGTTTTTGATGTGCGTTGTCTGGTTTTGGTGTCAGGGTATGCTGGCTTTGTAAAATGAATTTGGAAGTACTCCCTCCTCCATTTTTCTGAGTAGTTAGAGTAGAATTTGTTAATATAACTCTTACTCAATTCTTCTTTATATGTTTGGTAAAATTCAGTAGTGAAGCCATTGGGTCCCTGGCTTTTCTTTGCTGGAAGACTTATTATTATGGCTTCAATCATTTTACTCATTGCCGGTCTGTTCAGATTATAGATTTATCTCTAATCTAGTTCAATTTTGATTGGTTGTATGTGTCAAGGAACTTATCCATTCCTTCTGGGTTTTCCAATTTATTGGCATATAGTTATTCATATTTGCCTCTAATTGTCCTTTCAATTTCTGCCACATTGGTAATAATGTCTTCTTTTTCATCTCTAATTTTATGTATTTCAGTCTTCTTTCTTTTTTTCATAATTAGTCAATTTTATTTATCTTTTTTTTAATAGCAACTTTTGGTTTTGTTGATCATTTATACTGTTTTCTACTTTTCAATTTCATTTATTTCTGCTCTGATCTTTATTTTTTTATTGTCTTCTACTAATTTGGGGTTTAATTTGCTCTTATTTCTCATTCTTTAAGATGCATCATTAGGTGAGTTGTTTGAAGTCTTTCTACTTCTTAGATCTAGGCACTTAACAGCTATAAACTTCCCTCTTAGTACTGCTTTTGCTGTACCCCATAGGTTTTGGTGTGTTGTGTTTCCATTATCATTTGTTTCAAAATTTTTTTAAATTTTCCTCTTAATCTGTTCACGAATCACTGGTCATTCAGAAGCATATTGCTTAAATTCCATTCATTTACATAATTACCAAAATTTCTCTTGTTATTGATTTCTATTTTTATTCCAATATGTTCAGAGAAGATGCTTGATATGATTTCAACTTGTTTGAATGTTTTAAGATGTGTTTTGTGGCCTAACATTGGCTTATCTTTGGGAATAATCCGTGTGTTGAGAAGAATGTGTATTCTGAAGCCTTTGGATGAAATGTTCTGTAAATATCTATTAGTCCCATTTGGTATAGTGCAGATTAAGTTCAATGCTTCTTTTTTGATTCATTAGTGCTATCTGGATAAACCGTCTAATGCTGAAAGTCAGTGTTGAAGTCTCTAGCTGTTATTTTATTTGGGTTTTTTTTTCTCTCTTTAGCTCTATTAATATTTGATTTAAATATCTGGCTGCTCCAGTGTTGGGTTCATATATACTAACACTTGCCATATCTTCTTGCTGAATTTACCACTTTATTATCATGTAATGACTTGCTTAGTCTCTTATGATACTTTTTGTCTTTAAATCTATTTTGTCATATATAACTATTCATGCTCTTTCTTGGCATGGAATATCTTTTTACATTCTATTATTTTCAGTCTATGTGTATCTTTTAGGGGAAGTATGTTTCTCATAGACAACAGGACATTGGGTCTTTTTTTATTCATTCAGTGACTCTATGCCTTCTGATTGAAGAGTTTAGTCCATTTACATGGAATGTTATTATTGATGAGTAAGAGCTTACTACTGCCATTTTGTTATTTGATTTTTTGGTTATTTTGTGGTCTTCTTCCTTTGATTCCTGTCTTCTTTTTAGTTAAACAATTTCCTCTGGTGGAATGTTTTAATTTCTTGCTTTTTTATTTTTTGTATCCACTGTATGTGTTTGACTTGAGGTTACAATGAGGCTTGCAAATAACACCTTATAACCCATTATTTTAAACTGATGACAACCTAACACTGATTGCATAGACAAACTAAATAAACAAGCACAAAGAAAACTAATAAAACTCTACACTTTACATTGGTCCCCTTGCTTTTTACCTTTTATTTTTCTACTTATATTATATTGAACTATGCCTTGAAGAGTCATAGTTATTTTTGATTGATTCTTCTTTTAATCTTTCTACCTAAGATATGAGTTGTGTACACAACACAATTACAGTGCTATTATATTCTGAGTTTTTCCATTTATATACTATTACCAGTGAGTTTTGTACATTCAGATGACATTTTATTGCTCATTAACATTCTTTTCTTTCTGACTGAAGTATTTCCTTTAGCATGTCTTGTAGGATAGTTCTGGTGTAGAAATCCCTCAACTTACACTAATCAGGGAAAGTCTTTATTTTTTCTTCATGTTTGAAGGATATTTTCACTGCATATCGTATTCTAGGAAACGTTTTTCCTTCAGCACTTTAAATATCAGCATTGGAGGCTAACATTTTCTCTGATATCCTTCATTTTAAGTTCCCCATTTTCTCTGGGTTTCCCTGGAAACTTCTTTTTGAACATGCTGTGAGTACCTACAGTACCTGCAGTTTTTTTTTGTTTTTGTTTTTTTGTTTGTTTGTTTGTTTGTTTTTGAGACGGAGTCTTGCTCTGTCGCAAGGCTGGAGTGCAGTGGTGTGATCTCAGCTTACCACAACCTCCGCCTCCGGGGTTCAACTGATTCCCCTGCCTCAGCCTCCCAAGTAGCTGGGATTACAGGAACGCGCCACCACACCCGGCCATTTATTTTTTTGTATTTTAGTAGAGACAGGGTTTCACCATGTTGGCCAATATGATCTCGATTTCCTGACCTCGTGATTTGCCTGCCTTGGCCTCCCAAAATGCTGGGATTACATGCGTGAGCCACCGCGCCCGGCCGTACCTGAAGTTTTATAGAGCTGTAACTAGACCTCAGTTTGAGCTGTGACTTCCATGAGTGCCGCTCACCCCGACTCCTGGCTTAAGTGAGAAAGGAAGACTAGAGGAAGCTAGAACTGAGTATTTCCCTTCCCCCAGCTTTGTTAGGTTTGGGGAAACTCCAGTCTGTTTGGCTTTAGTAAAATAATTTTATTTGAAGCAGTCTTGGTTAAGAAGACTAAAATGATCTGGGTGTATGTTAAAATAGACATTTGTTTTTGTTTTTTCTTTCTGTCCCTAATGGAAGCATAACGAGATTTTTTCCCGTATTTCTACTCTGAGAACCTGGTAGGGCTCCTGGAACAAACGAAAGCATATGTATGCTGAGTGGGATAAAACTGACCCTCCTCGAAGTTTTTAGCTTTCAAATGTGTTCATGTTGAGCCTCCAATAATTTCATCCAATATAATTTGAGGTTTTTCTTTGTACTGGTTCCTGCAGAGATACTTTTGCCCCTGGGTTTCTGCTATGGTAAGTTGTAATTTTCTGTATTCAACTGTTTTTCTCTCCAATTTTGGAGGCAGCAATTTGTCCTGCAACCTTAAATCTATGATGAATCTAAAAAGAGTTGTTGATTTTCAGTTTATTCACCTCTTTTTATTATTGTGATCATGGGATTGATAACTTCCAAGCTCCCAACATGCTGGACTGGAAGCCAAGACTTCTTCCTTTATTTTTACATTAAATGAAAACAAAACCTAACATATTAATAAACAAAACATTCTTTAGCTCCACATGCATTCAAAACACTCTGTTTTCTTCATATACTCACTCATTTCACTCATCATCCTCTGCCTGCAATATACCCCTTATAGCCTCAATCCCTAACCTAGAATTAAATTGATTTTACAAGGTTACACTTTCCTAATTACCAAATCCAATAAAAACATTTGATATTTGTTCTTATATAGGTTAATTCATGTGTACCATTTTAAAATACAGGCTATTTTATTGCATAACTATTCTCTTGATTTTCAATGTGCTATTTACTCTTCTTCTCTGGCTACTTTTTCTGAATCCCTTGTATTAAGCCTTGTCTTTAGTGTACTTGTCTTCTTAACTCGTCACCAGTCATCAGGGCTTTGTTCTAAGTCTTCTTCTTTTTGTAGTTTATATAGTTCCTGTAGATGACCTCATATCCTGCTAAAATTTTTTATTAAATCCTCCTACCACAAGCTAGTTTTTCCACATTTGCTTGTTAGCTCAGAGAATGACATCATTAGTCACCCATTTGAATCTTAAATTAATTCATTATTTTTAAGGGTCATAATAATGTTTTTAGTAGTCTGAGATACATGTAGCAAAATATAAATTTAAAAAAACTGCAACATATTTCATTCAAGTTTCTTACTATTGAATTCACTTAACTACTTCAGATTCTCTAAACAATGTGCATTCATGGCACATATTTCATTTCTTCTTTTATACATACAATGTTATGGAATTATTCTTAATAATCCACCTGAATAATCGCATATGGATGCAAAGAATGGAACAGCATAAAAGTAAAACTTAAAGAAGATGTATAACAGAACCACATAAATAAGGCTTTTAATATTAAGCCAAACCTCCTTTATAGTAACTCACAAATCATGTACATGTGCTTTATGATACAGACTTTTTTAGAAATAAAGAGCCCAATTTTGGCTGAGGCCCAATTCAAATATTAAAATTTAGTTTTTATTTTTCTACAGAGAAAATCCTTTTATAAATCTGAAGGATGTTTTTGCACAGGATACAAATGGGACCCTAGTGTAGCATGTAATGTGGTGCTGATTCAACAGATTTTTATCAAAAAACCTTGCTTTCCTTATTTTTACAAAAAGATGCCATAGCCCTTTGCTATAGGTTATTTTTAATTTTTAGCAGCTTGAAATAATGGAAGACAGAGAAGCTAAAACAAAAAAAGTCATGAATAAAACTATATTTCAATGTGAAAATATGTATAAGTACAAACTGTTAAAGTTACTATGTTAGAGGCCTAGTTTATCTTTCTAATAGCCTGATGATTCAGTCTTTTTTTGTACCAGCATCTCTACCTGAATATTGTACATTCCAACTCAAGAACAACAGGATTTGAAGATCTATGAGAGGTTGTTTTCCTTTGAAGTGTTTCTTAACAGTACAGATCACATGAATCAGATCTTCTTTACATACTATGACATATATTCCTAGGAAGTATACAAAAACTTAAAAAATATGTTATGGTATTTGACATTACCTTGAAGACACTTTGGCAGAGACACTTGAGTTGCAGAGGTTTCTAAAGATAAGGAATACTGAAATGTTTCCTACGGTCAAACACAGAATCCATTTTTAGAAGTTCACTGACAGTAGTGTTGAGAATAGTATGAGGAAGAGGCTGTTGAAATCAAGATCCCAGGAAGAAGCTATTAAAATCACAGCAGTGGAAATGAAAAACATTGTTTAAATATATTTTTAGAGGACAGCAATGAGGAGACTTTACAGAATAGGATTTGGAGGGGCAAGACAGAAAGAAATCAAGAATGATTCATCACCTCTTTTCCAGCTGGAAGCACAGAGTGAGTTAAGGAGAGCTAAAAGAAAATGTTAGTTGTGCCAGATATCCTGAATTAAAAACAACTTGATTTTGTAGAACTGAAGGCCAAACTCATGAGAAGAATAATGTGCCCAGAAGATTTTTTTTTTAAATGAAACTGATTGAGGATTCACAAGACGTGGAAAAGCTAAGCACAATCATGAGGAATGTAGGTAAATATATTCTGAAATGAATCAGATGACTAGAATGACAACTTATGAAATGTAGCAACCAGTTTACTTGCAGAACCAACACTGACATTTGTTACCTGGATGAAGGTATCCGTGAAATGAGGTAAAAGGTCAAAAAGTTGCTGCAGCACTCTTGCTTTGCCAAATTTTTAACTGCACTTTGCTAAGCTCAACAAGGTTTCAGTTAACATGCAGAGCATTGTGAAATCACAAATTGCATAGAGTTACTCAAACCTGAAGTTACCAAATATGCCAATTAACAAGTGTTGCTATAGGATAATCAATTTTTTTTAAAATTACACTGTTAATTATTATACATATGCTACCCAAGTCTTTCTCATTGAGTAAGAAGAAAAATTTGATTTATTCTTTATCTGCACAACTTAAGCAGTTTGTTCTTTATCTGACACAATTAGTGTGTTAAGTAGTAAAACTAATAAACAGTACTGTAACCATTTTGAAGTTACATTGCAATTTTAGCCTAGAATACCATGAGCTACTCTGTACTAGCGTGGCACCAATAATTAATTAAATATTTTATGTTAACTAGATATTATTGTAGAATAAAAGTAATTTCAACATTTTGAAAAGATGTTACTTTCTAAAGCTTGTAGCTACTAACATTTTTCTACTATGAAAATGCCATCCATAGCTTCCTATTTTTAGTCAGATTTTGAAATTGCATTGCATAAGTCTTAAATTTAAATAAGTTCGACTCTCTTTCCCTAGGGATTAGCTGCTTTACAAAGAGATACTTCTCTTTCATAGATTGTTTTAATAGATTTTTAAATTCATGTCTTGGCTTTTCAAAAAAATAAGCCATAACAGGATAAAATTTTTAGTTAAATTATAAGCAAAAGAGGTGAGACAGAATACTTAATTATCTAAATATGAAGGACAAATCACTGATAATCAGAAAGTAGTCATTCTGGAGAACAATTAAATAAACAAGTGAGACTCCTAGGTTAATAAAATTGTCACATGTTATTAAGTTGATGGCAGTGTAGATAAAGAGTACATACAATTGATTTCTGTTTTAGTCCTAAACCTCATTATTGCTTATTAAAGTGTCAAATCAACATGTTTCTTATTTATTTAGCATGAAACTCAAGAGTAATTGATAATTTAAAAATGCTTCAAAGGACTGGGGCTGTTACTGAAAGAACTTTTTTATTATATACTAATAAAAAGGTAAAATTTTCAGAGGATTGTTGGTGAGCTGACTTTATTGACATTCCACATTTCTACGCTGTTGATAAGTGTTTTCTAGACGGGGACTGTGGTTTAGCAATTTGCTATCTATAGCAATCCAAATGGGATTTCATAAATTGTTGGAAACTCAGGAGGTCATTCCAGCCTTACACTGTGAATGGCTTAGTACATTTGCCTTTTTAAGTGAGTAAGGAAAACAACACTTGCCAATTCTTGAATGTGTTTCATTGCGTGGAGCAAATGATCCATATTAATGAAATTTAACACTGCTTTAGTGAATATTGATTCGTTCATTTATTAAATAAATTTGAAAATATTAATAGAGTTCCTGGCATACACACTGTGGCTCGAGCTAGGGCACTTGTCCTCTGGTAGAGAATTTTAATTTAGAAACAATCACTACAATAGAGAATAAATAAGAGGGAGCACCAAAATTTCTGGGAGAAATACAGGGAGTTCTTAAAAAAAAAAACCCAGTATTTGTGCTGGGTAATAAAATACAGTTGAACTGTTTCTACTAAAAATGTATTCAATATTATTCTACAAAATGACCCATTTATATGCTTTCAAAATTAAAAATGGGTTTGTTGATTTTCACTTTTGCTTATTCAGGAAATGATTATGATGTCATATAAATGTAGTCTATAGGAATGGACTAAATGTCTCCAAACCCTGTCACTAGGAGGGATGACACCATGGCAGAGGCAAAAGCTTTAGAAAATGGATGAGAGAGAGAGAGCTGGGCTCTGAGGGGGATAACTGTGAGATGCCAATAAGATGGCAGGAGCTACCAGTCGGGCATCATGAGCATACCCCTGCCAACCCAACTGTCAGACTCCAGATCTTCAGTAAAGTCCTATCTACACAATGATTATATTCTCTAGCAAAGAAATGTCAGAGTTTCATATTTGGGTCCACTGAGAGGTAGAATCAGAAGAAACACAAACAGAACCTTGAGATAATAAGCAAGTATTTGGTCTAAGAGTATAGAATTATCATTAACTGGAATGGTAAAGATTTTGAAGATTTGCAAAGAGATATGAAGGCGATATGAAGAGTTCAATTTGACATGTTTTATTTGAAATAACTACCAGATATTCAAGTGGAAATCTCAGGTCTGAAATTCTCTGCAGAAATGTGGGTTGAAGCCAATTGTAAATCCTGTCAAACCAAGAACCTGGATGAGATTACTAACAGAGTGATGGCAGATAGAGAATTGTGGAAGCTGAGCACTCTAATTTTATGAAGTCTGGGAGAAAAAATACCAGCAAAAAATTTAAAAAAATGTATAGAAAGAAGTTAGTGCAGCCCAAACTTGCTCTTCGAGCTTCTCTTACCACTATAACTCATTTGCTTTTGCTTACTGAGGGAAGAGGAGATGTTGATTCTCTTTGATTTTTTTTTTTTTTTTACTTAGATATAGAACTGTGAAAAGTAAGGGGGAAGGATGAGAAACCAAGAGTGGTTCCGTGGAAGCCAAATGAATTTCTAGGTTTCTAAGATGTCTTGCATGTTAAATACTACTTACTTATTGCTCAATTAACATAAAGATGAAGAGCTCACCTTTCATAGCTATATGGTAGTCATGGTCATCATGAACACACCAATTTTAAAGCAGTGTTTAGGAAAATCTTAACAGATCATTTAAGAGAAAAATGGAAAAATGAAATTTGGAGACAGAAAGCCTAAGCAACTCTTTAGGAGTTTTGCTGAAAAATGAACAAATAAATGAATTGAGAGCTCCAGGGAAATGGAGATGAAAGAAAAAAAGGTATTTCTTGTAACAACCAAAAATATAAATTACTTATATGCTAGCTAATGTTATTCAGTAAAGAAGGAAAATTATGAAAATGAAAAGGGAAGAAGTATGAGTAACATTCTTGAATTAGCATAATTGGAAGGGACTTACCTACAAGTAAAAGAAATGGCCTATATAGGAGCAGAAGTTCAGCTATAGTAACATGAGTACTATGGTTTGACTCGCTCTTCTGAAATTGTGTTGAAATTTAATTGCCATTGTAGCAATGTTAAGAGGTGGGCCCTTTAAGAGGTATTCAGCCCATAAATAGATTAATGTCCTTATCATGGGAGTGAGTTTGTTATAAACGGAGGTATTCAGCCCCATCTTGCTCTCTGTCTCTCTCTTGCCCTTCCACCTTCTCCCAAGGGAAGGCATAGTCCTTCCACGGTAAGAAGGCTTTTGCCAGATGCCAGCCTCTTGATCTTAGACTTCCCTGCCTCCAGAAACATAAGAAAAAAAAATACTCCCATTGCTTATATATTATCCAGTCTGTAGTATTTTGTTAAAGCAGCACACAATGGACAAAGACAAAGAGGAAAGACAGGTGTGTAGTTTGCAAGGTAGCTTAATAAAAGTGTACTTATAATTGCTTCAGTGTTCTTCTAAAAGGAAGAAAAATGGTCTTCAGTTGAGTGTAATGATTATAGAGTGATGTTAAAGGTTTTGCAAGAGAGTAGCAGATTGTGGTAGTCAGAAGAGTGAAAAAATTAATAGATTAGAGAAATTAATAATGTTAATTATCCTGTTGATGTTTGAGGTAACATATTTAAATAGAAAGCACTCTGACATTTATTATTATTATTCTTTAGCCACACTCACCTTCATGGGTACAGGTAGGTGATAAGCAGAACATTGGGTTTATCCAGAGTTGTTATCTTGTTAAGAAAGTGCAGTGAAGTAAGAGTGGGGAAGGAGTAGAGAATGTATTCATGAGAGTAGTTTTAATGGTTATTTGTAGAACATCTCAGTAGGTTTATATACCTGCTTCATCTGTCTAGATAGAATTTCTTAAAGAACAAACTGCTATTATGTAGCTGACTGTCAGGCAAGCTGTGAAGCTCTGTGGAAGAAGAAAAAAAGTGGCATTTGTAAGAACTGAAAAAGAGGGTTTTGAGCATTGGTTTCTAAATGACTCCAAAATGTTGCCAAAGAGTCAGGCATTGAGGGAAGACAAATGAGTGTCTCAATGCATGGTTCTTCATTAGAAATTATATATTGTCTCCAATCAACAAAATAGGGTAGAATTTTTGACGATGTTTGAATGGATATATGGTAATATAGATAGAAGCCAATATATTATTCACCTTAAGACTATTTGATTATAGGGTCATATGGTAAGTGTCTAACTTAAAAATAAACTGCCATGCTTGTTTCAAGATTGGCTGTGCCCAGCTCAATTATCTTCAACCACATACAAGAGACTCAGAGCCTCTGCATTCTCACCAGCAGTTGGTATTGTCACTAATTTTTCTTTTAGCCATTCTAAGATGTGTATAATACCTCTTATCGGGGTTTTAGTTTGCACTTTTCCAAATGTAGTAATTATGAACATATTTTTATGTGTTTATCTTCCATCTGTACATATCTTCAGCCAAATGTCAACGTTTATTTTGCCATTCTCTAATTGAATTATTATTATTTTTTACTATTGACTTTAGAGAGTGTTGTGGTCTGAGTGGTGTACCCACAAAATTTATGTATTGATGCCCTAACCTCCAGTACCTTAAAATATGACTGCATTTAGAGAGTGGAACTTTAAAGAGGTAATTAAGTTTAATGATGTCATTGGGGTGTGCCATAATCCACTGTGACTGGTATCCTCATTAAATAAGAAACTGGGACACAGATATGGGCAAAGGAAAGACTGTATGAAGACAGGGAGAAGTTAGCCATTTACAAGTCAAGGAGAGAGGCCTCAGAAGAAACCATCTCTGCTCACACCTTGATGTTAGATTGCTAGCACACAGGATTGTAAGAAAATGAATTTATGTTATTTGAGCTACCAGTCTGTAGTAGTTTGTTATGGCAGCCCTAACAAACTAATTCAAAGAGTTTTTAATATACTTTGAATGTCAAATATGTGATCTACAAATAGTTTATCCTAGACTGTGTCTTGTCTTCTTAATATACTTAAACGTGCTCTTTATGCAGTGTAAAAAAGCATTTAATTTTGAGGAAGTCAGTTTACATTTAAAAAAATTATTGATTATAATTTTGGTATCATGAGTAAGAATACTTCACCTTGTCCTAGATACTAAAGATTGTTCTCTTATTTTTTTTCCAAAGTTTTGTTGTGTTTTGCGTTTAAGTCTTATACATCTTGAGTTAATCTTTGAATAAGATGTGAAATTTGGTTGAGTTTCATTGATTTTTTCTATAAATATCTAATACTATTTGTTGAAAAATCTCTAGTTGTTCTGTTAAGGGGCCTTTTGTATATTTGCCTAAAATCAGTTGACTGTAACCATGTAGGTCAATTTCTAGCTTCTTTATTCTGTTTCTTTTATCCATGTGTTTATTTATCTGCCAACCACCACATTCTCCAATTTACTAGAGCTATAGTGTCTTAAATTCACATGCTCTAATTCTTCCAAATTTATTTTTTCTCAAAATTGTTTTGTCTATGTTAATTTTTTTGGTTTTTCATATAAAAGGTAGATGCAACTTGTTTATATCCACAGAGTATTGTTGACATTTTAATATGAATTGCTTAAAAATATAGATCTGTTTAGGGAGAATTGACATTGTTACTAGTTTAAATATTCCAATCCACAAACATGTATGTCTTCCCATTTATTTAGTTCTTCTTGGATTTACTTCTTTAGACTTGGTTTTTTGACACTCAGATATTGTACATGGTTGTTTATATTTACATTTTCTACTTTTTGCAGAGTGAGGACAATTGATAGTGTGATTTTAAATTTGTTTTTTCCAAATTTTTTTTTAGTATTTAGAAAACGTTTTCTATTTGTCGACCATGTATCCTGGAACCTTGCTAAACTTATTTATTCTAGAATATTTATGGTAGATGTATTAATATATTCCATATAGGTGAGAATGCCATCTGCAAATGGGACAGTTTATATTCTGTATACTCTATAACAATTACACTATAATTATTTTTCTTTATTGCTTTGGCAAAGACTTACTGTATGATGAATATAAGTGTCCAATATGTACTATCCTGCCTTATTTCCAACTTTAGAGGGAAAAGTCTCAGGCTTTCTCCAGTAAGTATGATGAAACGGATATTTGTAGATGTACTTCAGCAGCTTGAGTATATTTTTTCTATTTCTACTTTGTTTAATGTTCATCATAAATGTTATTAAAGTGTATCAAACGTTTTCTACAGTGATTGAAATAATCTTTTTGTATCTGTTAATATAATAGATTACATTTATTGATTTTCAAATATTGAAACAGCCTTGTATTCAACTACGAATAAAACTACTTAGGTATTTTTGTTTTTATTAAATGCTTCATTCAACTTAGGAATACTTTGTTGAGTATTTTGTATCTAGGTTCATGAGGAATATGACTCAATAGCTTTTTGGCTTTTATTTTTGGTTTTCTGCTACTATGTTTGTCTGGTTTGGGCATGAGGATAATGCTGGCCTCAAAATAGAATGGAAAGCATTCCCTTCTCTTCTATTTTCTTAAATAGATTGCACATAATTTGTGTATTTCTTAAATTATGTGGTAGAATTTGTCTGTAAAACAATCCAGACATGGATATTTCATATTTGAAAGTTTTTAAACTAGTATTATACTTTATTTAATAATTATAGGATTATTCAGATGATCTATTACATTTTGGGATGAGATTATGGTTTCCAAGAATCAATCCATTTCATCTAAAATTACAATGTATATGAGTAAATATTTCTTTATTAATGTTTTAATACGTGTGAGATTTGTTGTGGTATTTCTTCCTTTATTCTTTGATTGTTAATTTATGTTCTCGCTCATGTTTTTTTGGTCATATTTGCTAGAAGCTTATCAAAAATGTAGCTTTTTTGATTAATTTTCTTCATTATTGTTGTTTTTAATTTTACTGATATCTGCTCTTATCAAGGAACTTGAATTTTCAAGTTCATTAATTAAAAAAAATTGTAAGACAACATTCAACTCTCTTTTGTATAGAGTTTAGAAGAATGTTTTCCATTGAATATTTTCTATTTTTCTTATTTCTAGCAATATTTTACCCTTCTTCAGACTATCTTCAAGGCACCCTTTTATTTCTGACTTCCTACAATTTTAAATAAAAGTGGTTTCTCTTTCTTAGCTATTGGAAAATTGTTGTCAGACAACATGCTGAAAGCCACCTAAGTGCAAATTACCTTATATTTCCCTGAGTAATGTTCACAAAATTAACCCAGCGAGTTGACTCTATGCATCTGTCTAACAAATAGCGCATTAATCAGCATCCATAGGAGCTTAGCTATGATCCCATCAAAAGAAGGTTAAAACTGGATCAAATTCACTAATTTGCTTAGTATATGAGTAACAATTTCCCATGTAACAATGCTACTTAACCCCTCATTCCTGAAATTTCAAACTGTAGATGTGGAAGTGATTATAAAATACTTTGTATTGATGAATAAGCTCTTATGCAGTTCTCTGGAATTCTGAAATTTCAGGTTAACATAGCTTTTTTTTTTTCTTTCTTCTCTTTTTGGTTCTTCATTTTTTTTCTGCATACAAAATGCTTAAGTTCCGCCCTCAACACTTAAGTTCCGCCCTCACCACTGATCACTATCATCCAACTAATCCAACAGCCTCATAAAAGATCATTCCCTAGTAGTAAGGACAAGATAAGCAACCATAAAGATCTTCAATTTGTACATGATCAGGAAGATAATATAATTAGCCACAGAGGAACTATTTTCTATTATTTTATTACTTTGTAATATTAAATATTCTAATATATGAAAATATTTAAATATTAATATAACAAGTGCAGATTAAAGTAAGAGTATTAATTTTTTTGGTGTTCTTTTATGTCAAGTTTTTTTCTAATTAAAGATATAGTCTCAAGTTAATTCTATCATTTTTCCAGAAAAGCAATTTCTCTTCTAAACTCAGTTTGTATAATTTTTATTAAAAAAGTTGAGAGAATATATCTTCTTTAATTTATCATACCATGTACTCTAATACAATATACAAGATGGCATTCTGTATTTCTAATATGATTATCACTCCAGTTTAAATAAATACATAATATTCTAATTTCCACAAATTTATGTCACTAATATTATACTGAAACTGTTTTATATCTAATACTATATCTTAGGAAATAATACTAAGCAGTTGCTCTATCCGAGCAATACATTGCTTATCTCAGAAATTAGAAAATATTAAGCTTGAAGGCAGCTTAAGATGCCACCTTCCCCAGATCTGGGCTTTGAGGCAATGAAAATTAGCATTGTTAATTACCTAGATTCAAACCATTCGATTACTTTGTGAGCAGCTAAAACAAACAAACAGAAAAAAACAGTTTCAGGTAATCTCTTTTCTGGTTGGGCTTTGATTAATGTATTGATTAATGTAAATCAATCAAGGTTATTTAATGTCCCTTTGTTACAGGTGAACCCCCAAATTGAGGCTCATCCCAGGAAGCCACATGCTTTATTGGTTCCCAGCAGGAAAGAATTCAAGAGCGAGCCCACATAGTAAAGTGAAAGCAAGTTTATTGAAAAGTAAAGAAATAAAAGGATGGCTGCTTCATAGGCAGAGCAATGCTACCCCATAGGCAGAGTAGCACTGATGGAGTGCTGCTAGCTGGCTACTTTATGACTATTTCTTCATTATGTGCTAAACAAGGGGTAAATTATTCATGAGTTTTCTGGGAAAGCAGGGGTGGAGAGGGAGGCTTAAGGACCAGGGTTTCTCCCCTTTCCAGGCCATATAGGGTAACTTCTGGATGTTACTGTGGTATTTGTAAATTGTCATGGCACTGGCAGGAATGTTTTTTAGCATGCTAGTGCATTATAATTAGTGTAAAAGGAGCAGTGAAGGTCATTTTTCCTGCCATCTTGATTGTAGCTAGTTTATGCCGGTTTCTTTACTGTATCCTCTGTTATCAGTGGGATTTTGTGACCTGTTGTTTACCGTTTCCTGTCTTAGCAGGATCATCTTGGGAAATAGTCCTGATGAATTCCTGTCTCCCCTTCATAGGTTTTCTTTTTTGTTGTTTTTTTTATTTTTTTGCTGTGGCAGAGAATGTAAGCCTAATGTTGTAATTCAGTTTTTAGCAGAGGCTAGCTCAGTAATAGATACATACTCTGACCTTGTAAATAAGATCTGAGAAATATTTCCTCAATGTCAAAATAATGAATAGACAGTCGTTACAAATTTGAATGAGAAAATTTGGCCTGTACACTTCTGGTGAATATCCAACAATTACGAGAAGACAGAGATTTAGCATGAAGCCAATATTGTGGATATCAGAACGAAAGGATGAAAATAACTCACATTTCTAAGCATGCAACTTAACTTCAACACTGACCAGTCACACAGCCAATTTTCACTATAGATTTTCTCTTTTTTGAGGCAAAATATACTTAGATTTTAAGATAACTTTTTTCTGTTCCATGTAGTTGAAAGAATCCTGACTGAACAGAAATTAACATCTTTAGAATGGATACAGCAGGAAACAACTTGAGAACACATGCTAGTACATAAAAATGTGACAGATGGAAAATATCAGATTTCCAAATTCATAGTATTGATATTTGTAAAATGCTATGTATGGAATAGAAAAAGAGAAGGATACAGATGCCCAGGAATAACTGTGAAAAGCTGAAGAAGATAGAATTGAGATGAGAACTGAAGAACTGATAAGATTTGAGGATTGGCTTAGGATCATATACACTATGTAGTTTAGAATGCATTCTACGTTTTTCTCCCAATCAGAATTCATATAAATAATGTGGATATAACCCAAATATTGCAATTAGATTTTTTTAAATCAATGTTTGTATGTAACATAAGAATTGCCCTCAGTTTTGATATAGAGATATAGAAATTGCTTTTCCATGGTGCGCTCTCCAATTTAATCAGTCATGTAACAAAAAAGATTTGTGTATGCAAAATTCAATTATTTCTCATGAAAGGGAGACCCATGTATTTTTTATATCTAAATGTGTAGCTCAGAACACAAAATATCTGCATGATATAGAATGAAAAGCACCAAAATTATTCTAAGTTCAGTGTTATAAACTGAATGTTTTCATGCCTCCCTCTTTCCCTACCAAATTCATATGTTGAAATGCTAACCCTCAATGCGACGGCATTAGGAGGCAGGGCCTTTGGGAGGTAATTAGGTCATGAAGGTGGAACCCTCAGAAATGGTATTATTGCCCTTATAAAAACAACTTTGGAGAAATCTCTTACCTTTTTAATGCCATTTGAGTATATAAGGAATATAAGGAGAAGACAGCAGCAGTCTGCAACCTGGAAGAAAGCCCTCAGTGGAACTCTTCTATGCTGACACCTTGATCTTGTACTTCCTGTATCTATAACTTTGAGAAACACATTTCTGTTTTGTATGTGCCTCCTAGTCCAAGGTACTTTGTTAAAAGGGCCCAAACTAAGACAAGATTTTTTAAGATTACAAGTTACTGTAAGAACTATGGTTGATAAAGTTGTTTTTGTCTCCCTTTACATATCTAATTTTCTTCCTATATTCAGCCATTTCATATTGCATTTCAGTCCCTAGTATTTTCAACAAAATAAATGGGAAAACAAAGTAAGGTTATACCAAATATCTCAAAAGTAAAATCCAAAAAGAAAAGAGGAAAAGTTTTTCAATTATGTCTTCTCAGACACACGATTGACATAATTATCTCAAAATTCCTCATGAGAAAGTTATGTTTGTCCACAGCTCTAGTGAGAACATTGTATTAGTAAAGCAGACATTGACCTTTATGTTTTAGTTCTCATTTCTCTAATAATTAAAAATCTGAGTCTCCACTGCAAGTAATAAATGAGGTTAATTTAAAAAATAATAAACAATAGACCTGAATTTTTCTCTGATAATAAGTAATAGTGCTATATATAGAGTTCTGGTTGGCAGGCATCTCTGTTATTTCTCATTACAGTCATAGTGGTGTTTCACTTTTTTTTATCCCCAATGATAGCTCCTTTGCTTTACATACTTCATTAATCTATCTATCTATGTATCTATCTATCTATCCATCCATCCATCTATCCATCCATCTATCTATCCATCAATCAGCATTTTTTAAACACCAAACTATGTCATGTGCTGATATTTGTTCCCATAGAATATGGTGCATATATCTGTCTCATTACTATACTATATTAAAATATATCTATTTATATTTTATGCCCTATTACATTTGAATCCCCTTAATGATTAAGACCATATGTTATTAAACTCCATATCCTTCAAGTTTTGTCCCCAAGAGTCTAGCTATCTTGGGAAAATTGCGAGAAATATGTTGCTGATCCCTGAAGATAAGCTTGGAGAGATGCACAAAACAAACAAACAAAAACCACAAAAGTGGGGCTTCACATGACTATGGAATTTCTTAGATGGTAAGAAAACATACTCTCTTTTTGTTTGTTACTTTTCTTTTTGCTATATAACAAATTTATTTTCACATTATCATTAATTCATTGTGTTTATTTAAAGTATACAACATGATGTTATGGGATACATATAGATAGCACAATGGTTACTATAGCAAAGCAAATTAATGTTTCGGAAGCTTACAGAGCTACCTATTTTTTTGTGTGGCAAGAGCGACTATACTCATTTAGCAAAAATTTCAAAAGTAATATTATATTATTAATTACAGTCCTCATGTTTTATGTTCCATTTCTATATTTGTGTATGCTGCATATTAGCTACATTGTATCCTTTGACCTACATCTCCCCATTTCCTCCTCCCAACCTTTAATAACCACTGTTTTATTATCTCTGTATATTTGACTTGTTTTTTTTTTTCAAAGATTTCACAAAAAGTGAGAGCATACACAATTTTTATTTCTGCATCTGGCTTATTTTACTCAGCATAATGCCTTCCAGATTCATTCATATTGTGACAAATAACAAGAATTCCCTTTTAAAGGCTGAATAATACTCCATTATCCATTTACCCATTTATCTATCAACAGAAACAAGTTGTTTCCATATCTTGGCTATTGTGATACTTCTGCAAAAGGCAGGATATCATTTTTTAAGGTTGAAAAATACTTCATATTTAAGGCTGAAAAATATATATATGTACACACATATAATTATATGATATATATATTTATGACATAATATCCAATATTATATAGAATCATAACTATAGTATGTTATATTAATATGGAATTATATAATACATATTATATACATAATTATACTATGTAATACATACAGAAAACACATATATTCTACAGTTTATCAATCCATTCATCAATGGTAATTTATGTTGGTTTCATACCTTGAGTATTCTGAATGATGCTGCAATCAAAATGAGAGTGCAGGTATTTTTACGAGGTGTAAATGGTGTTTCCTGTGTGTATATATGCAGAGAAGACACAAAAATGGCCAACAAGTATATGAAAAGGAGCTCAATATCACTAATCATCAGGAAAATCAAAATAAAAATCACTATGAGATATCACCCTACACTCACTAGAATTGCTACTATCAGAAAAACAAGAGAATTGACAAAGGTATGGAGAAAAGGAAATCCTTGTACAATGTTGGAAATATAGATTGGTGCAGCCAGAAATCCCTCTTCTGGATATATATACCCAAAGGAAACATAATATTTTCTTATACGTATGTTTCCAGTTTAATTATCTAACTTTGACATCAAATGTAAAACTAAATTAACATTCGTAAAAAGGTAATTTTCTTTTATGTTGAACACTCCCATGCTTATGTGCAAACTGGAGATTATAAACATTTTTTATAATGAATTTCAATGATACGATATTGCTTCCTATTTATTTTTCTTTGAATGATAGAGTTACCATAATGAAATATATCTAGGCTAAACACTTCATAGAAAAAAAATTATAAAATAATAAAGAATAATAAATGTAATAATGCACACACATACAGGCAGTAGAGATTTTATTGGTGTTTCTTTGATGTAGTATTCATCCTATTACTAATAATTACCTTATATTAGTATGTTGCATATGATATTAGCAAAAATGGGACTGTTTCTCTACAAACACAGGGAAAGTGAACAAAAACTCTTTTTTTGGCCAGGCACGATGAAATATGCCTGTAGTGTCAGCTACTCTGGAGACTGAGGTAGGAGGATCACTTGAGGCCAGGAGTTCAAGGTTGTAGTGGACTGTGTTCATGCTTGTGAATAGCCACTGCATTCCATCATGAGCCAAATAGACCCCATGTCCAAAGGAAAAAAAACAAGAGCTTTCTTTTTCTTTTTTTTAGAACTCTGGGAAAAAGTCAAAGATTTGTAGCAACCAAGTGAACAGTAAATCATGAAGTCAACTTTAAAACAGTAGGAGAGCTTTGAGATACTTACTTGTCTTAATCCTAATTCCCTCCTAGCTCAATAGTGGTTTCGAAGATAGCAACCATGTTCCCACTATGGCACCCTTGTCCCTAATTTCATATATATCAAAGTTGACCTTGTGCTTAAAGCACTGTGCTAGTTTGTTTTGACCTGTCGGGCAGCTACCTGGAGGACTGATGCAAATACTTCCCTTTGTTTCACCTAACTGAGAACTCTCTTAGGGCAGAAATGTGGGTACATAGAGGTTAATCCTTGAACACTTTGAAAGGTAAATGAAGAACCCACTACTTCTTGTTGCAAAAGACTGCAATTTGAGCTTAAAAATCTTCATGCAAAAAGCTTGAGAGGAAACGTTGGGGAGAAAGAGTCTTTAAAGTTCATGGCACTGAAAAAGTTTGTTCATACTGGGGAATGTAAAAGGTTATGTGTATACCAGGGCAAGATGCATAATCAGAAAAAACCTGAGAAGACTATAAGCTTTCAGTTTAGACTCAGTTTTAGGCTGAGCCAAAGCAGGAACTGAAGAGTAATTCAGTGTGGAAAGAATGCCCCAATAAAACGCCAATCTGCAAAGATTGAGAGAGGTGTTTGTTTGCTTGTTTTAGGCTCAGAATGTGTCAGAACACCAGCTAAACAAAAGCTAAGGGGACAGAGATGTCAGAGACCACACATAACAGATAATACAGTCTACATAAACATAGTTTTAAAAAGTCACTAAACAAAAAACCAGCTACAAGGCAGAAAAGTAGCAGAAACAAAAACAGCATCCTGAGGTAAAGAAGAATATGATTTCCATGATTTCCAGAATTAACATATTATGGTGCAGGTTGTGTATCCCTAATCTTAAAATTTTAAATGCAGAATATATATCTTTTCCACAGAGGCCCAGATTTCCCCACACAAATATGATCAAAATGGGTATTAAAATGGTGTGTATAGGTTGGACATGCTAGTGGCAGGTTTCCCATGATATCTCACTTGGAGCTAAGACCTACATGCATTACTCACTGTGATGTTTTGTTTGTTTGTTTCCTACTCTCTGCCCTGTGGTATAAAGGAAGATATTGGTGAAAATGTCAGAAAGACCTGCAGATATCCCTATGAGTAATCATATATGCTTATCTATACCACAGAAAAGCTGTTGGAGAAGCTAGACAGCCATGTATGAAATGTCTTATGGAAGAGGATAATGTTGGAATTACCACCATACATAACCTGAAGATAGAGAATCATAAAATGTTGAAATTCTATGTAAAAATTATGAATAGAAGTTAATGAAAATTAGAAAAATGTACTTCAATCATGTATTGAAAAAGTGGATCTATCATTATTGTGAGCATAGGCTACTTAATGATATGCTGATTATGAAACAAGCAAAGACTTATAATGAACTAAAAATTGAAGGAAAATGTGATTATTTAATAATTGCAGAAATTTAAGAAAAGAAAATTAAATTATTAAAGATTTGCATAATAAAGCATGTGCTGATGAAACAGCAAAGAAATATGCTGACAAATTTTTCAAGGCCTATGTTAAGAAAAATCTGATGCCAGAGCATGTCTATAAGGCTGAAGAAATGTCAGTGTTTTGGTATTATTGCCCCAGAAAGACACTGACTACAGTTGATAAGCCATCCCCTACAGGAATCAAAGATATCAAAGACAGAACAATTCTGTTGGAATGTTCTAATGCAGCAAGCATGCGTTAAGTATAACTTAACTCTCTTTGATAAGCAAAACTTTCTTTCTTGCTGTTTTCAAGAAATAAATTTCTTATCGGTTCATTATTATGCTAACAGAAAGGCTTGGATCACCAAGAAAATGTTTTCTGTTTGGTTTCACAATATTTTGAACCAGTGGCTTGTGCTCACTGCAGGAAAGCTAAACTGAATGACAACTGCAAGATTTTCTTATTCCTTGACAACTCTGCTGCTCATCCTCCAGCTGAAATCCTCATAAAAATTAATATCAATTTCATGTACCTTCCCCAAAATGTTACTTCATTAATTCAGTCATGTGACCAGGTTACCCACAGATCGATGAAGAATAAATATAAAAATGCTTTCCTGAACAGCATACTGGCAGCAGAGAAGAGTAGTAGGTGTGAAAGGTTTTCCAAAGCAATATAGCATGAAGGATACCATATATACTGTTACCAACACTTGGATCACAATGATTAAGGGCACAGTATGTATGCCTGGTAAAATGTTTATCCTGAAACTATGTTCAGTGATAATGAGAAACCAACACTTGGATCACAGTGATTAAGGACACAGTACGTATGCCCGGTACAATGTTAATCCTGAAACTATGTTCAGTGATAATGAGGAACAAGATGGTCGCTCTGAAAGACTCTTTGTGTCAAGTGATTAAAATAATGTCTGACCTCCTTACATATGCAAAAAATACACATTTAGTGTTTGTTAGTATGCTCCAAGAAGAGGATATTGAAAAAGTTTTTAACGTCAATGAGGCTTCAGTTATTCATTCATTAACCAATGATGAAATAGTTAAAAGGTTTCTCAATCAAGGTGATTATGCTAATGGTGATGATAATGACATTAACACTGCACAAAATGAGCCTATAGACAACATGGAAAAATTATTAAATGTGCTCATTAAAGGAGTAGAGCAACATGAATTCATAACAGAAATCATGTAAGAAATCATTTATAAAACCAAAAGGAGACTTCTAAGACAAAAATAATGAGGGAGATGATTCTGGAGAAAATATTTTGAAAAGCAATCCAGCATTTACCTCCTCATCCTTATGAGACTCACTTTCTGGTCTCTCAAATACTTATGGTGTGTCTTCTCATCTAGAAAAATACAGTGCATAGTACTCTTTTAATCAAAACACAGCATTATAGGTGAAGACTGAAAGCCTGCTCTACAGTTGTTTGTTGTTGCTATGGTTTAACATCTGCTATTTGTTCTACAGGTATTCTGGTAATGCTACTGTGCTGCTTAGTTATCCTGAATACATTACTTTTTTCACTGTATTAAGGGCATGTGATTTTATTTGCTGTTACGTACTTATGTGCAAATAAGTAAGCAAGTGATTGCTTGCTGGTAGCATATAAATTCAGAATCAGGATGGATGGTGATAACAAACAACTACAGATTGTCCACATGGATGGTTAAGATAGTGACACTTTTGCTTTCTGATGGTTCAATATGCAAATCTTATTCCATGTACACAATTATTAACATAATTGTATAAAATTACTCTGGCTATGTACATAAAGTGTATATAAAACATAAAAAAAAATTCTATTTAGACTTGGGTTCCACCCCTAAAATACCTCATTATGTATATGCAAATATTCTAAAATTAAAAATAATTAGAAATTTGAAACATTTCTGGTCCCAAGCATTCCAAATAAGAGTTACTAAAGTTGAATTGGAAATGTCCAGTTCACAAAAAAAATTATAAAGATGTGAGGAAAAAAAAAAGCATGACCTACTCAAGAAAACTAATAAACTATCTCTGAGGAAGTACAGACATAGTTCTTACTAAAAATGCAAATATTTTATTTTACTTTAATTGTTTTTTTTTTACTTTTTTTCTTTTTTTGAGACAGGAGTCTTCCCCGTCACCCAGGCTGAAGTGCAGTCACGCAATTTCGGCTCACTGCGCCCTCTACCTACCAGGCTCAACTGATCTTCCTACCTCTCCCTCCTGAGTAGCTGAGACTACAGGCATGTGCCACCACACCTGGCTAATTTTTGTATTTTATACAGAGACCATGTTGCCCAGGCTGCTCTTGAACTCCTGGGCTCAGGCAATCCGCCCGCCTCGGCTTGGAATTAGAGGTGTGAGCCACTGCGTGCCTGGCCAAAAAATACAAAAACTTTAAATGAAAATAAAATCTCATTTGTTCAAAGAGCTAAATTAAACCACAAAGAGACATTAAAAGAATAACATCACAAGAAAGAGAATATCAATAAAGATAATTTATAAAAATGAACCAAATAGAAATTACAGAGTTGAAAAGTATAAACACTGAAATGAAAAAATTATTAGACAGTTAAAACAACAGAATTAATCAAGGCAGAAAAGCAAATCAGTAAATGTAGAGATAAATCAGTAGAATCTATTTAGTCTGAAAAGCAGAAAGAAAAAAATAATGAAGGCAAAAAAACAGATCATAAGAGACCTGCAAGACACCATCATTTGTACCAAATAAGCATAGTAGGAGTCGCAGAAAAATAAAAGAGAAAGAAGATGGCAGACAGAATATTTGAAGAAATAATGGCTGAAAACTTCCCACGTTTGATAAAATTACATTAATTTACAAAACCCGAAGAAAGCTCAATGAATTTTAAGAAAACTGAACACAAAGAGATTCACATTGAGACACATTATAATCAAACTGTCAAATTCAGAAACAAAAAGAGAATCTAGAAAACAACAAGAGAGAAACAATTTGACATAAACAAGTGGTTCTTAATACGATCAATAGTCAATTTATCAGCAGAAAGAATGGAGGTTAGAAAGTAATTAGATGGCAAAATTAAATTGCTGACTGGAAAAATACACCTGTGAAACAATAATTCTGTATCCAACAAAATTAAATTTCAAAAATGGAGTAGAGATTGAAACATTCCTAGGTGAACATAAACTCAGGCAGTTTGTTATTAGTAAAGCTTCCATATGAGAAATGCAAAAGTAGTTATCTATGTGGAAATAAAAGAACACTATACAGTAACTTGAAATCATACAAAGAAAGAAAAATGGCAAAGTTAACTATGTAGGTAAATACAAAAGGAAGTATTAGTGTATTTTTGGATTGAATTCCCTCTGCTTTTTTCTATATGATTTAAAAGACAAATGCATAAAAATATATATAAATTTAGGTTCATGGGAAACATTTGTAAAAAGATGTAATTTGTGACAACAACAACAATAAGGGAGAGATACTGAAATACACAGGAGCAATGATTTTATGTCCTATTGAAGATAAAAAATAGTTTGTTATAAGTGTAAGAGGTTAATTGTAATCCCTAGCATGAACATTAGAAAGTAATCTAAAAATACATATAAAAAATAAATGAGAAAGGAATAAAAACATGCATTACAAAAAATAAGTAAAAAAGAAGGCAGTAATTAAGAAAAAAAGAAAAAGTTGTGCTATATAAAAAAACAAATTGCAAAATTGTAGAAGTAAGTCTTTCCTTACAAGTAATACATTTAAAAGATTAATATCTCTAATGATAAGGCAGAGATTGGTAATGCAGATTTAAAAAATATGATCTAACTATTTGTCATATACAAGACACTCATGTTATATTCAAAGACACAAATTTTTAGAAACTGAAAAGGTGGACAAATATATTCTATGCAAATAATAACCAAAACAGAGCTAAGGTGACTGTACCATTATCATAAGAAACAGCTCTTAAGTAAAAACTGTTACAAAAGACAAAGAATGGCATTATATATTTATAAAAGTGTTAATTTATCAAGAAGACGTAACAATTATAAAGCTAAACTATGGTTCCAATTTATCCACAGGGGATACTCTAGTGAATGCCTGTAGCTGCAAATAGTACCAAACCTTACAAATACTGTGTTTTTCCCTATACAAACATAAATGTGGTAAAGTTTAATGTATAAATTAGGCACAGTAAGAGGTTAACAATAAGTAATAAAACAGAACAATTATAAAAAATACGACATAAAAGTCACAGGAATGTGATCCCTCTCTCTCTTTCCCAAAATATCTTACTGTACTCCACTCATCTATTTTTGAACAACATTGACCCTCGGTAACGGAGAAGATAACTGAAACCACAGAAGGCAAAACCGTGGATAGGAAGACTACTGTGTGCAATTAAAATCAAGTAGATATTCTAGAAGAGAAACTTTTGCCTTTTGATTTTTCTTTACAATTGGCATTCCCTTATATTTTATCTGTAATTGAATCATCTGCAAATAGAAATTGTGTCTCCTTTCTGAGTGATGAAACTCATTTTTTTCAGTTGCATTTCTTAACTTTGAATGTGACTATACCATGTAAAGTAATAATGTGATTGAACATTATTATGGGCTAAATTGTGTCTCTTTCCAAAATCATATGGTGAAGACTTGACTTCCAATATGGCTCTATTTTGAGAGAGGACCTAGGTTTCAATTTTTACTTAATTATTCTTTGGTATATAAGTTACTGTGTGGGTTGTTTATTTTTTCTTATAATTTAGACTTTTATCATTTTTGTTATTAAATTGTAAGGTTCATATTTATATATGTATGACTGCATATTTGGTATGTGTCAATATAACATAAAAATAACATTGCTTGAAAAAATATGTTCTATAGAGAATTTTTTCAGGCTTTCTCAGTAACCTAACACATAAGATCATACACACTTATATACACCCACACACATTTCATCTGTAGTACTAATTATTATTTGTTATTTTGCTGGAAATGGATGCCAGAGACCCAATGATTTACTGGGGCTCATGCTTACAAGACATCACAATTATAGAAGTTGAAGCAACATTTGGCTGTCTGGTGGGACAGACATTGTGGACATGATGTGCCCAGCAGATAGTGTGAGTTAGGGCCAAGATCCTTTTCCTACATTAATGCTACTGTTTTGACATCTCATCAACTAAAGTTGAGAGTATGGCCTACCCCAAAAACTAATGAGAAAGAATGTCTGTATTTTCTTTTTTCTGTACTTCCTCTAAGTACACCTGCACTTTCTCACAATCCCTAGAATATGGTAAATATTGATGAAATGCAGCAAAATCAAGAAAGCCTCAGAACAAAACCTGGCAAATAAAAATGTATTTCATTTCAATAGTAAACTGAATTTTCTACAGTGCATTTTCAGAAGTGCAGTAATATTGCCCACAGAATTAGTATTGCCAACTGACTTGAGGGTCTCACTTAAACAGCAGGTGATTTATATCTCTACTTTATTTATTTTTTTAAGTCCTGCTGACTCATGCTTTATGACCTTGGCCAGAGCTCCATCCACCAAAAAAAAAAAAAAAAAAAAAAAAAATGCTATCACAGGTTCAAAAATAAGTGAAGATAACTTAAAACTGACTTGATTTGCTTTAATCGCCAAATTAGCACATAATCACGAGATAAATTATATAAGTTAATGTTATATGAGATTGTAATTATGCTCCAGTATATTCAGACTTTCTCTTAGAAGTGACTGTGAAGTTGGTTGTCCAATTGAACCCAGGTGGAATGAGTAACTTATCAAGTCAAAAGAAGAGTACAGACGTACAGGCTCAATTTTTTATACCACTGACTGAGGAAGAAACCATATGGTGACTCAAGGATATACCAAAAACCATATAAGACATTTATTACTATACCACATTTACATATTTCCATGTTCTAGGCATAAAAAATCTCCAGGCATTTTTCTTTTTCTTTTTCTTTTCTTTTTTTCCTGAGTAATGAGCTAAAATTAAAAGAAACTTAAAGAGGATCCGTGTCTTTAAAATAATCACTTTTAAGTTGATGAAAACTGAGGGAAAGACTTGATTATGGTAAGGTTCTAGTGTGTAAGCATAGTCCACTCCCAATATATCTAACAAATATTTTGAGAAGCTCTGCTTAAGAGCTGTAAGCTAGACTCTTGTGACTACATCATGTAACTATTATAAATTTATTTTGATAAAGAAGACATGCCTAATTACACTGTTAGATTTTCTGGCTGTTGAATAGTTATCATAAAATTTCACCCTTTACCTTTCCTTTTACCCCCCTACATTCAAAGATAACTCTTTATGACCAATTTTAGCTTAAATATATTACATATTTTAAATATAAGTAGTCAGGAAGGCTTCGAACGAATATGTGAAGTTGGCAGCAGGGGCTAGAAAGTGAATAAGAATTCTTCCAAAGCCTGCCACGAACCATCTTGCACAGTACCAATAGGTTGAGAGCTTAAATAAGAACAGTTATTTTAATAATGTTAAAATAGAAAGTCACAATATTTTATTAAAGGAGCAATTATACTTATAACAAGCCAGTAATTGAAAAGTTACCACACTCATTCAATTTTACAGTGGGAGAATAAAACAGTGATAAAAAACACTTAAAATACAATTTCAAAACATTAACCATTTAATATTACATATATATTTCACTACTCCACATATAAAATTTTCATTTTTCATTATTTCATTGATGAAATGTCCAACTCATGCACAATTATTAAAAACATCCAAATACCTTTATTTTCCTTCTTATAAATGTGATTTTTCTTGGTTCTATAAGTCACCTGGCCAATCTATATTCTTTTTCTTTGTGCAATTTTGGACTTTGGGCCTTTCTGCAAAAATTTGATTTAAGTAATTTATTTTTAATCATGTCGTTCATTTCACTTTGACACAATTAAGAGAAAAGAAAAACTGCATAAGATGCAAAATGAAGCAACAAGATCATAACTTAAATTGTAAAAAGTAATATATAATATAGAAAATATTTTCAAATGCTCTAGTAAAAAATGGTAGGCTCAGATTATCTCAAAATAACAATAATTTACAATGAAGTTCTGCTAATAACAGAAAATAAGATGGCCATGTGACTTTTGATTCTCAATTTATGTAATCATCATAGCTTTTTAAAAACTCTAATAATTTGAATAGCCATGGGGTCAAAATGGGTCTCAAATGTAATGAGAATTTATAAAAGCAAAATGGACAAATTGAGAATGCACGACATTTGACACTATAAAGGTGTGTGTGTAAGAGTATATGATTTTCCCTTAACACATCTTTAAAGATTTTTTTCTACTAAATATCTATAAAACATGTTTTTCAAACCCAACCTATACAATATTTTCACAAGAAAAAAGCAACTGAAGCTACTTTATTAACTTTATTTCAATCTCATGAATAGACTGGGAATTCAACCATTTTCAAGAGTGCATTTCCTTTTAATAATGTTGGCCATGTAATAAAAACTAATATGTAGGATAAAATAAAATAATTACATTAAAGTCATCTTACAGAACATTGACCATAGTATAATGTCTATCTTTTATTGATTGCAACATATGTGCATATACATGTACAACTAAAAGGCACCAGGACTCCAAAGGTCATTTTTCTACTAAAGTTTAACATCTTTATGTATCTATCAGCTTTGGAAGGTGATTAATTCTTGTCATTTTTATAACAATAAAACACTTGTTCAATACTTATGTATAAATGAAAGTATAAAGAAATAGAGGAATCAATCAGTTAAAAGTTTAACTTTTATCAGTCATAAGAATAAAATTTAAAAAGTTTATTCTTTAAAGAGCAAAATTGATAAATTAACAACTTATAAATTTATTTTCAAAGGATTTGGATCTTTTTAAAATTTATCTGAAAAATGAGAGAAATATGTTAAAAATACTAGAAAAAATATATATATACTGGCCCCCTGGAACTCTGAAAATAACATAACAGGCATTTCCTGATGAACACTAGCAAATTGCTACTGATTTATTTAATTTACATAGTGACACCACGCCCTAGTCTATTTCCCAATAATATAACTAAAATAGTCACATACACGTAAAATGCTTAAACCAGTTTTTTGATGACTAAAGTATTAATATATTATTAACAGTTGCTTTGAATGTTTATAACATTGTTTCCCTTTCCCTTTGCCTTCTTTTGCCCAAGTTTATTCTTGTGCAACATTCTTGAGTCTTTTGATATCCATTGCACACTTTAACAAAAATATGGTCTAAGTATGCAAGACAATGTAGAAATGCATTCTGAACAAACACACAATTGCAGATAATTATTTCACTGGGAATGACATTGTGATGTTTTTCTTAAAGCCAACAAAATTCAAGATAGTAAAACCTTAGTTAACACACAATGAGTTTTTCAAATAGCTAAATGGAGTGACTAGTTGTCACCAATTGAATTTTAAATGCAGTTCTAGAATTTCCCCATATGTATTTAATATTCTGTTTATATTTTGGGTTAAAATATAAATTTTCTCATATATACATTATCCCAAAAAACTGGATTGAGAGATATAACTGAGAGATATGTATTTTCTGTGATGTATGGTTACAAAAAGTCAAGTGATCATTTACTGGATTAAATATTAACATGCAATCAATAGGATACAGACATTATACCATGGTCCATGTTCTGCAAAATGACTTTAATGTAATTATTTTATTTTATCCCACATATTAGTTTATTTTTTTATTTATTTTTTTTTGAGGCGGGGACGGAGTCTCTCTCTCGCCCAGGCTGCAGTGCAGTGGCGCAATCTTGGCTCACTGCAAGCTCCGCCTCCCAGGTTCACGCCATTCTCCTGCCTCAGCCTACCGAGTGGCTGGGACTACAGGCACCCACTACCATGCCCGGCTAATTTTTTTGTATTTTTAGTAGAGACGGGGTTTCACGATGTTAGCCAGGATGGTCTCGATCTCCTGACCTCGTGATCCGCCCGCCTCAGCCTCCCAAAGTGCTGGGATTACAGGCGTGAGCCACTGCGCCCGGTCCTACATATTAGTTTTTAATTACATGACCAACATTGTTAAAAGGAAATGCACTCTTTTTCTCATATGTATTTTCCCATACTTGTTTAATATATTGCTTTTACCTTGAGTTAAAATATAAATTTTCACATATATACATTAACCCAAAAAACTAGATTAAGAGATATAACTGAGAGATATGTATGTTCTATGATGTATAGTTACAAAAAGTCAAGTGATAGTTTATTGGATTAAATATTAACATGAAAGGGAATTTTGTCTCATATTTGCTCAAGTATATGGAATTTAAATTACATTCATATATCATATTTAATATAATAAGATGGAAACATTGGCAGAAGATCAAAAAGGGAGCATATGCTAAGAAATGTTTGGAAATCAGCAATGATTAATTTTATACCCAAGGACATCGGTTCTGCCATATACCTACCTCTGTTCAAGTCTAACATCTTTTGAAGCAGTATTTAAACTATGTCTTATGTAAAGTAACAGAAGTCTTCTCACAAAGAGCTTTATTTATTTTAATATTCCCTTCTTAAAGTCAGACCATCCTGACTGACATCCTATTTCACATGACACTTCTAAGCTGTGAATTTGCCATACATTTGTATAAATAGTGTTTAATTTAAATAACAAAATGTATGTTCTAACATCATTGGGGGCATTAAATTAGCTAATAAATAAAAAAAAGGTCTGTTTTATAACCCACCAGAATAATGACTATCAAGAAATATTATTACCAATCCCTGTCTTTTTTTAAATTTTCTGTCTCATTTTGACTATTTGGCCTGGAAGTTTTCAAATAAAATTCACAATTTTTTCTACCATGAAAAAATGTTCATTTATTATTATTCTTCCAAACATGTTTGCAGCACCATAACTAAGTCTATGTTAATGCATATATATTTGTTCAGTTTACAATTTAGTACGTGAAGGAAACTTTGCCACACAGGTAAATGACTACAATCAATTAAATAAAATACATGTCTTCCAAAGACTATTTGAATTATAATACTGATGGAATAAATATCTTTCAGTTTTGCATAGATTATCTTTAAAAATACAAAAAACATATTTAATATTACAATATAGTACAGGGTAAAATCAATCACATATTTGACTTTTAAATTTTTTGACAGGTATTAATTTTATTATTTTATTTTATCAGTTAGTATAAAAATTTCCATTGATTTTGTCAGATCCATAATATGGACTTTATTATAGCAAATAGTGCTGAGTCTTTATTTAAATACAGTTAAATTTCTACTACAACTTCTGTGCACATAATAATCGTTATTATATCAAATTGGCAACTTTAAAAACATGTTGTAACTAAGTAATATTGTTTTTATTATTACTAATTTTTTTAAAAATTAAAATGCAAGCACAGAGTTAATAGGGGAAGGTATGTGAAGGGGGAGCAAAGGTCACAGACACAGTGGCTCCTTTGGGCACTCTGACCTGGAACCCAAGGATATGGGTCTTCCATTGCCCACTGAATGTGGACCTTCATGCCTTATGTCTTGATAGTTCGATGGGAGAGGCCTCGATGATCCTCTGATCATCATACTTCTATTACATTTATCAAAAATGTAATTCACAATGTTTCAGGACTGATGCCGTTTTCTCACTTTGTTGATAATTTTGTCCATAAATTCTACCCAATAAATATTTATTGTGCACAAAAACCTATAAAATTTCACAAGTCTACTTGTTATAATTTAATTAAATTATAAAAATTGGAATACTGATCTATGATACTCTAAATTTTTAAAGAAAATTTTCCTCATTTAGAAGAATAATTTGATATGTAAATATGTGTGGTTTGCTTAATAATTAAACTAATTTTGTAAAATATAGAACTAAATTCTCATGTTGAATAATATGAAGGTAAAGAAGAAAACACTAATTGGCAAACTAATAACTGACAAAACATAATGTAATGCGAACTGTAAAATATTGAGACTTTGAATCAATCAAAAAGATAACACATTACTTAAAGCCAAAATTTCCCAAGCATAATCTTACCTGAAAATAGCTTCATGGAATGCATAAAATAAAATAATTTGTCAATCATACGAAGTTTAGAGTGTAATTTTTTAATACTTTAGAGGAGATAAGCATACTAGCAATTTTTCAAATGTATGAAGAGAATACATAAAATGTGAACAATTTACTGCTAAAACTGAACTTCCTAAGCTTTTTCTTAGTATAATGTCCATGATTGTCTAGAGATTTGCATAAAAAGATCAAAATGATGAAGTGATTATTCACAGATTCAAAATTTCAATCATACCATCTGTAGGTGGTCTCAATAATGAGATCCTCATTGCCTAAAGGGAGTGAAAAAGCGGCTGGCTGGATTCTTGCAAAATTAGTGGAAATAGTAGATGTAAGGATAGTTTCTCCAATCATGAAATTAACTTTTGTTAGTACATGTCTCAAACAATTAGCTCTTTTTAACATGAAAATAAATACTATACAGATAAAACTATGAGGTTATTTGCAATGCCACTTATACATTATATGATTAACTATATAAATATCTTGATGTTTGCAATTTATATAGAACTGTCATCTTCTCAATTTAATCTTGATTACAAAGACTTTACTCATAAACATATTTTAAAACAGGCGTATAAGAAATACCAGCCAAAGCCCCCATCTCATACAAATTTCCCCTGTGTTGCTCAGACAGGAAAATGAATATGATACAGTGATCATTAGATACTGGTGAGAAAATAGAGCCATAGGCCTAAAATCTTTAGGAAGAGCTTAAGTTATGGATTATAATTTATCATGCTAGAATAGAGACTAAGAACTAAACATATTATAAAGTCAATTGGCAAGCTTGGATCTCTTAGGACAATAATCACCAATAAATCCACTTCATAGTTCAATGAATATATTATATTACATGGACAAATGATGGGGGAGTCCATCACTTACATGATATAGTGTTTACAACGTAAAAATTTATTTAAACAAAGAATTATCATTGGTCACAGGTCAATAATAGTCCCAGGGCATCTATCAAAATAAAATTCAAATAATTTGGAGAATATTTCTAAAACTTAGATTATACCACAATCCTGGTGAATAAAAGTAAGTATTTAATGAAATATAACTTTTGTTTAAGACAGAAATAACAATTTTTAGTGATTATAGTATGTAGAAATTCAAATGAATTACAGCAATGTCAAAGAAGGGAAAGGAGTGATTGGGAATATTCTTTTATAAGATATTTATACTACACATGAAATATTGGAGGACTTAGATTATCAAAGAATTAGTATTATAAACTCTAAAGCAACTTTCACATAAAAGGAGGTAAAATGGAATTATATAAAATATTCAGTTAAAACCAGAGAACAGAGAAAGGAAACTCCTGGCAATAAATAGAAACCAAGTACAAACATAGTTCATGTTAATACAACTGTATTAATAATTGCTTAAATATGAATGGTCTAAGTACACCAATTTAAAGACAGATATTGTCAGAGAAGATTATTAAAAAAAACCCAATTTTATAAAGTCTGTATATAATAATTACACTTTAAATATAAAGACTCAGATAAATTAAAAGTGTAGACCTGCTTTTTGAAAGATTGTGTCATTATTTTCTTTATTGCTCTTCATAAACACAATAAGAAACCCTAGACATTATATATTTGGAGAAAAGGCGGACTAGCTAGGGGTTCTGGGTCCTGAAGAAAGACATGGTTCTCTAGGTTTTCCTTTTAGGTCTTATAATGTAGACTTGGGACTGAGGAATCCAGGAACCTGGGATTGCAAAGTGGAAGAGATAAAAAAACACCTCTACAAAAGCCTGCTCTTTCTAGCTAAGGGATCAGGAAAGGAGCAGCCTAACAAGACAGAAATTTTAGAAAACACTGTTACTCTTGACATGCACCTATGACGGCAAATGCTCTATGGGGAGCCTAGAAATCTACCTTTATGAGCCTGTAATGAGCCACTTCAACATTATTGCCATAGTATTGTCAGATAGCTCCCATTAGAGAGACAAGACTTCCATTTGCAATGGCTAAAAATAAGGTTCTTCTCCCTCTATGGTGTCCATGGAAACATTATGAAGAGCTTAGACTTCTACACAAGTCTGGATATAATGTGGTGCCCTTTACCCTACCATTGGGAAGGTATCAGAGAAGGCCTATAGGATAGTCAGAGTCAGAATATTTTACATTGCCCAGTGGAAACGTGGTCACATCCACAGTGGTGTCAGTGGCGATCACATAAGTAGCCCAAATTTTCATGACTGGCCAGTGGGAACAGTAACAAGGCTGTGCCTTATTTCCCTTGCTAAAGTGCTGTTTGAAAAGTCAGCTTACTCAGAAGGCTCAAGAAAGATCTAGAATCGCACAATTTAATACAAAACTGTTCAGGTTTCCATCTTCACATAAGAAAAGGGACATCTCCAGCTGAATGAAAAGAGTCAATCATAGATACTGGCACCAAGAAGAAAGAATTATTAAATTATCTAATAAGACTTTTAAAGCAACCATCATAAAAAGCAAAAATCTCAGAAGGCGATTGTAAATATTTGAAACAAATTGTTTTAAAAACCTCACAAAAATAAGTCTCAGAAAAAAAAAGATGATAAAAAAGACTAAATGAAAGTGTTGGGATTGAAAATCCAATATCTGAAATAAAATCTCAATAAATGGGTTCAAGAGCAGATTGGAGAGAAAAAGAGTGAATCAGTGACCCAGAAGTTATAAAAATAACAATTACCCGATTTAAACAGTAAATAATGAAATTAAGGCAGAAATAAATAAGTTCTTTGAAACCAATGAGAACAAAGACACAACGTACCAGAATCTCTAATTCCCCTCTAATGCAGCGTTTAGAGGGAAATTTATAGCACTAAATGCCCACAGGAGAAAGCAGGAAAGACCTAAAATCGACACCCTAGCATCACAATGAAAAGAACTAGAGAAACAAGAGCAAACAAATTCAAAAGCTAGTAGAAGACAAGAAATAACTAAGATCAGAGAACTGAAGGAGATAGAGACATGAAAAACCCTTCCAAAAATCAATGAATCCAGGAGCTGGTTTTTTGAAAAGACCAACAAAATAGACCGTTAGCCAGACTAATAAAGAAGAAAAGAGAGAAGAATCCAATAGACACAATAAAAAATCATAAAGGGGATTTACGACTGATTCCACAGAAATACAAAATACTATCAGAGAATACTATAAACACCTCAACACAAATAAACTAGAAAATCTAGAAGAAATGGATGAATTCCTGGACACATACACCCTCCCTAGTCTAAACCAGGAAGATGAATCCCTGAATAGACCAATAACAAATTCTGAAATTGAGGCAGTAATTAAGAGCCTACCAACCAAAAAAAAAGTCCAGGACCAGATGGATTCACAGCTGAATTCTACCAGAGTACAAAGAGGAGCTGGTATCATTCCTTCTGAAACTATTCCAAACAATAGAAAAAGAGGGAATACTCCGTAACTCATTTTATGAGGCCAGCATCATCCTGATACTGAAACCTGTCAGAGACACAACAACAAAAGAAAATTTCAGGCTAATATTCCTGATGAACGTTGATGCAAAAATCCTCTGTAAAATACTGGCAAACCGAATCTAGCAGCACATCAAAAAGCTTATCCACCACAATCAAGTCGGCTTCATCCCTGGGATGCAAGGCTGGTTCAACATACGCAAATCAATAAACGTAGTCTATCACATAAACAGAAACAATGACAAAAACCACATGATTATCTCAATAGATGCAGAGAAGTCCTTCGACAAAATTCAACATCCCTTCATGCTAAAATTTCTCAATAAACTAGCTATTAATGGAACGTATCTCAAAATAACACTATTTTTATACATTTTTTTCAGAAAATAGAAAAGAAGAAAGTACTCTTAAATTCATTTTATAAACTTAATGTTATCAAGATATCAAAACTCAACAGAGAAATAAAGAAAGAGAAAACTACAACCAAATATACTTGCTGAATATAGACACAAATATTCTTAACAAAATATTATCAAATAGGCAGATTCTGTACTTCTGGTTTCCAGTTCTCCACGTAAAGAGATTTGAAATCACCATTAAGTTAAAAACCAAACAGGTTAAAAAAATAAGTACCTCTTCTTGATTTATAAAAGAGACGAGGACAAAGGCAAACTGAAGCCCCAAGACTGAAAAGTCAGACAAATACAGGGAGTTATGGCTGGAGCAGAGGCTTGTGAGTGAAAACTGCCACAGGATACAGTGCTAGGGTAGGAAAACACAAACTGTAATTAACAAGGTGCTGGAAGTTCAGTGTGGACAAGTATGAGAGTTAAAAACTTCAAGTGGCCGGGCAGGATGGCTCACGCTTCTAATCCCAGCACTTTGGAAGGCCAAGGTGGGTGGATCACTTGAGGCCAGGAGTTTGAGACCAGCCTGGCCAACATGAAGAAACCCCATCTCTATTTACAATATAAAGATTAGCTGAGCGTGGTGGTGCATGCCTGTAGTCCCAGCTACTTGGGAGGCTGAGGCAGAAGAATTACTTGAACCACGGGAGGTGGATGTCGCATGAGCCGAGATCACGCCACTGCACTTCCGCCTGGGCGACAAAGTGACGCTCTCAAGAAGAGAAAGAAAACTTCAGGAGAACCCAGTCATAGGGGGACACCACAGTTTTGTGGGTTTTGCCTCTAGGAGTGTGACCAGATTCTCACAGTAAATCCCGCTGTGTTTTAGCAGAAGACAAAAAGAGATTATTTTGAAATATGCCAGAGCACTCTATTCCTAACAAGTTCTGCCCTCAAAAGAAACTATTTAACCCAGAGTCTAACCTCGTGGTGTTTTATCAAGACTGCCCTGAGGATAAAAAAACACTAAACTTCACACAGCTGTACCCTTCCATGTGAGAAAAGGGAAATACAAAACTCTAGCTACTCAAGCCATCCTGTTCCACCTAAGAAGAATTGAGAAGCATTTGTGAAGTTCACAGTCCAGAGACAGGCTCACTAAGAGACTGAAGTCTAATCATAAGGCTGTAAAATACTTTTCCTCCCCTCACACCTTATGACCACATTACCAAAGACCTATTTATAGTTGTTTCTTTCACCTGATATATTATGTCTGGCTATCAAGAAAAAATTACAAGTTTTATTAAAAGGTAAAAAGCATATTTTGAAGAGATAAAGCATCAGAACCATACATGGCAGAGATGTTGAAATTATCAGGCTGAATGCATATATATATATATATCAATAAAAACTTCTAAAACTAAAAAGCAAAGAAAATAGAGGCTTAAACACACACACACAGACACATACACACCAGAAAATCAAAGGACTGTGTGACAACTACAAAGGTGTAATTGGGAGGCAGAGAAAGATGGCAGAACAGAAAGCTCCACCCACAAAGACACCAAGTTAACAACTATCTACACAGAAAAAACACCATTATAAGAACCAAAACTCTGGTGAACAGTCATAGTACCTGGTTTTAACTTCATATTGCCAAAAGAGGCACTGAAGATGTTGAAAAAACAGTGTTGAATCATCAGTGCCACCTGTGCTCCACCCTTGGAAGCCATGGCATGGTGTGTGGAGGGTCTCTGGGCACTGGGGGAGGGAGAACACAGCAATTATGAGTCCAAGTATTAAACTCAGTGTTTTCCTATCAAATCAGAAAAGAAAACCAGACCAAACTCAGCTGATGCTCACCCACAGGGGGAACATTTAAACCAGCCCTAGCCAGGGGAAAACTGCTGATCCCAGCAGACGGAACATGAGTGCTTGCAACCTTGCCACTGAGAGCTACAGTACTGTGTGTCTCCAAGTAAACTTGAAAGGCAGTCTGGGCTATAAGGACTGCAACTTATAGGCGAGGCCTAGTGCTGAACTAGGCCCAGAGACAGTGAACTGGGAGGGCACACAACATACTGAGACGCCAGCTGGGGAAGCCAAGGGAATGTTGGCATCACCCTTCCTTAACCCCAAGCTGCACAGCTCATAGTTCCAGAAGAGACCCATTCCTTTTGCTTGAGGAGAGAAGAGGGAAAAGTAGGGACGAATTTGTCTTACATCTAGGATACCAGCTCAGCCACAGTAGGATAGGGCAACCAGCTGGACGAGTGAGGCCCCTGCTTTAGGCATTAGCTCCCAGGCAACATTACTTGACACAACCTGGGCCAGAAGGGAACCTGCTGCCATCAAAGGAAGGACCCAATCTTGGAAGCATTCCTCACCTGCTAACCCAACAGCCACTGGGCCCTGACCCATTGAGGGCCTTATGTGAGCCTTTGTGACTTGCTGGCTTTAGGTGAGACTCAGCACATTACCAGCTGTGGAGGTTACTGGGCAAAACTCGTCCTGCTTTAGAAAAGCAGAGGGAAAAGTAAAGGGCACTTTTTCTTCCACCTTAGGTACTAGCATGGCCACAGTGGGGCAGAGCACCAAGCAGGCTCCTGGGGTCCCCTATTCCATGACTTGACTCTTGGATGGCATTTCTGAACCTGCTCTGGGCCAGAGGGGAGCCCATTCCCCTGAAGGGTGAGTTCCATGCCAGGCAGCATTCACCTTAGCTGACTTAAGAGCCCTGGGGTCTTAAGGAAACATTGGCTGGTAATCTAGTAGTACTCCTCATGACATGATATACTAGTCTGTTTTCACACTGCTACAAAGAACTGCCTGAGAGTGGATAATTTATAAATAAAAGAGGTTTAATTGACTCACAGTTTTGCATGGCTGGGGAGGCCTCAGGAAACTTACAATCATGGCAGAAGGGGAAGCAGGCACATTCTTCACAAGGCAGCAGGAGAATGAGAGAGCACAGGAAAAGCTGCCACTTGTAAAATCACTAGATCTCGTGAGAATTCACTCACCACTACGAGAACAGCATGAGGGAAACTGCCCCCATAATCTAATCACTTCCCTTCCTTGACATTTGGGGATGACAGGTTCCTCCCTTGACATGTGGGGATTACAAATGGACAT
This sequence comes from Homo sapiens, assembly GCF_000001405.40. Taxonomy (NCBI): domain Eukaryota; kingdom Metazoa; phylum Chordata; class Mammalia; order Primates; family Hominidae; genus Homo; species Homo sapiens. The sequence goes on from NC_000001.11 coordinate 195,361,172, forward strand.
GAGATTTGGGTGGGGACACATAGCCAAACCATATCACCCAGTGTGGCAGTGGCTACAGGGTGAGACTTCTCCACCTTTAGAAAGGAGAGGGAAGAGAAGTTAGAGTTGCATCCTGTGGTTTGAGCGCCAGCTTAACCCCCAGAAAATAAAACACCAGGTATACTTCTAAGGTTTTTACTCTAGTCTCTGACTGTTGGACAGCACCTTAATCAACAAGATAAACAAGATTCTAAATAAACAAGATTGAAAATAAACAGTCTAATGATGCAACTTAAAGAACTAGAAAAGCAAGAGCAAACCAAAACCAAAATTAGTAGAAGAAAAGAAATAATAAAGATCAGAAGACAAATAAAATAAAATTGTAATAAAAAAAAGATTAAGGAAACAAATAGTTGCTTTTTGAAAAGGCAGAAAAAATTGACAAAACATTAGCCAGACTAATGAAGGAAAAAAAATAGAGAAGATCCAAATAAATAAAATCAGAAACGAAAACAAAGACATGTCAATGAATACTGTAGAAATTTAGTGACAGAATCATTAGTGGCTACTGTGAACAACTATATGCCAAGAAACTGGAAATTCTAGAAGTAGACAACTTTCTGGATACATATAACCTATCAAGATTAAACCAGGAAGAAATCTAAAACCAGAACAGACCAATAACAAGTAATGAGATCAAAGCAATAATAAAAAGTCTCCAAGTATAGAAAAGCCTGGGACCTCATGACTTTGCTGCTGAATTTTACCAAAAATTTCATGAAGAACAAATAGCAGTTCTACTCAAACTAATTAAAAAAAATAGAGGCGGAAGGAAGCCTTCCAAATTCATTCTTTAAAAAAAAAAAAAAGAGATAGAACTACAGGCCAGTATATCTGATTAATATTAATGACAAAATCCTCAACAAAATACTAGCAAACCAAATTCAACAATACATTGGAAAGATCATTCATCTTGACCAAGTGGGATTTATCCCTGGGATGTAAAGATGGTTCAACATATACAAATTAATCAATGATATATATCACATCAACAGAATAACGTATAACAAACATATGATCATTTCAATTGATAATGAAAAAGCACTTGATTTCAACAAATTTGACATCCCTTTGTGATAAAAACTCTCAAAACACTGGCGATAGTATAAACATATCTCAGCATAATAAAAACCATAAACGACAGACCCACATCTAGTATCATACTGAATGGGGAAAAAGCCTTTCCTCTAAGATAGGAATGTGACAAGGATGCCCACTGTCACCACTGTATATTCAACACAGCACTGGAAATCCTAGCTAGAGCAATCAGACAAGGGAAGGATACAAAGAGCATCCAAACTGGAAAGGAAGAAATCAGATTATCCTTGTTTGCAAATGATATGATCTTATATTTGGAAAAACCTTAAAAAGACATGGGTGCAGCACACCAACATGGCACATGTATACATATGTAACAAACCTGCACGTTGTGCACATGTACCCTAGAACTTAAAGTATAATAAAATATATATATATAAGACATGATAAAAAAATTAGAACTAATGAACAAATCCAGTGAAGTTGCAGGATACAAAATCAGTATACAAAATTTAGTAGCATGTTTATATGCCAACAGCGAACAAACTAAAAAAAATCAAGAAAGTTTTCTGATTTACAGTAAGCACACATAAAATTAAATACCTATGAATTAACTTAACCAAAGAAATGAGAGATCTCTATAATGAGAACTATAAAATACTGATGAAAGAAATTGAAGGGACACCAAAACATGGAAAAATATTCCATGGTCATGGATCGAAAGAATCAATATTTTTAAAATCTCCATAATACTGAAAGTAATCTACAGATTTAATGCAACCTTTATCAAAATACCAATGATATTCTTTACAGAAATAGAAAATAATTCTAAAATTTATATGGACCCATTAAAGATTCATAATAGTCAAAGCCATCCTAAGCAAAAAGAACAAAACTGGAGGAATCGCATTACCTGAATTCAAATTACACTACATAGGTATAGTAACCAAAACAGTATAATACTGGCATAAAACAGACACATAACCCAGTGGAACAGAATGGAGAATGCAGAAACAAATCCAGACACCTATAGTGAACTTATTTTCAACAAGGTGTCAAGAACATACATCACAGAAAATACAGTCTCTTCAACAAATGGTGCTGGGGAAACTAGATATCCATATGCAGAAGAAGAAAACTAGATGCCTATGCCTTGCCATTTAAAAACTCAAATAAAAACGATTCAAATCTTAAATCTAAGACCAAAAGCTATGAAACCATCACAAGAAATCCTTGGGGGAGATCTCCAGCATATAGGTCTGGGCCAAAATTTCTCAAACCATACCCCAGAAGCACAGGCAAACAGAGCAAAAATGGACAAATAGGATCACATCAAGTTAAAAAGCTTCTACACAGAAAGGGATAAAATCAACAAAGTGAAGAGACAACCAACAGAATGGAAGAAAATATTTTCAAGCTACACATCTGACAAGGGATTAATACCTGGAATACAAATGGAGCTCACACAACTCTATACGAAAAAATCTAATAATCCAATTTAAACATGGATAAATGATTTGAATAGACATTTCTCAATGGAAGACATACAGTTGGCCAACAGGCTTATGAAAAAGTGCTTAACATCACTGATCATCAGAGAAATGCAAAACAAAATTATACTGGGATATTATTTCACCTCAGTTCAAATGGCTTATATCCAAAAGACAGACAATAAAAAATACTTGTGAGGATGTAGAGAAAAGGGAACCTTTGTACACTATTGGTGGAAATGTAAATTAGTACAACCACTACAGAGAACAGTTTGGAGGTTCCTCAATAAACTAAAAATTGTGCTATCATGTGATTCAGCAATCCCACTTCTAGGTATATACTTGCAAAAAGCAAATAGTTACATTGAAGAGCTATCTGTGCTCCTATGTTGATTGCAACACTGTTTACAATAGCTAAGTTGGAAGCAACCTACGTGTCTATTAACAGAGGAATGGATAAAAAATATGTGTTGCATTGGGAGGTCAAGGCAGGCAAATCGCTTGAGCCCAGGAGTTCAAGACCAGCCTGAGCGACACAGTGAGACTTCATCTCCACAAAAAATAAAAATATGAGTCAGGAGGATTGCTTGGGCCCAGAAGCTTGAGACTGCAATGAGCTGTGATTGCACCACTGCACTTCCACCTGGGTGATGATAGTGAGACTCCGTCTGGGAAAAAAAAAAAAAAGCGGTACATATCCACAATGGAATACTATTCATCCACAAAAAAGAATAAGATCTTGTCATTTGTAACAATACAGATGGAACTAGAGATCATTATATTAAGTGGAATAAGCCAGGCACAGAAAGACAATCATTGGATCTTCTCACATATTTATGTGATCTAAAAATAGAAAAAAATTCAATTTGTGGACATAGAGAGTAGAAGGATGATTACCAGAAGCTGAGAAGGGTAGTGGGGGAATGGGAGAGAGGTGAGGATGGTTTATGGGTACAAAATATAATAGTTAGAAAGAAAAAATAAGACCTACTATTAGATAGTATAGTAGAGTAACTATAGTCAATGTTAACTTAGCTGCACATTTTTAAATACAGAATATAATTGGATTGTTTGTAACTCAAAGGATAAATGCTTGAGGGCTTGGACACCTCATTCTCCATGATGTGCTTATTTCACATTGCATGCCTGTTTCAAAACATCTCATGTACCCCATAAATATATTCACCTACTATTTACCCACAAACATTAAAAATTTTAAAAAATGTGTATTTAATGAGAATAATGAAAAAAGAAAGAGAGAAAGGAACATAAGAAATATTAGAAAAAATAATAACTGAGAATTTTCTCAAATTAATGACAGGCACCAAACTGCAGGTCTGGGAAGCTCAAAGGATACCAAGCAGGATAATTACACACACACACACACACACACACACACACACCCCACTCACAGACACACACACAAAGCAAAACAAACAAAAAACTACACATAGACATGTCATTTACAAATACAGAAAATCAAAGGTTAAAAACAAATATTGTTTGAAGTCAGAGAAATAAAACACCTTAACTATAGAGAAATAAAGATAGGAATTACATCCTGCTTCTCCTCAGAAAGCATACAGGCAAGAAGAAGGTAGTATAAAATGTTTTCAAAGAAAGAAAAAAAACACATACCAACCTAGAATTCTGTGCCCTGAAAAGTTATTCTTCAAAACTAAAGGAGAAACTTTCTCAGACAAACAAAAATTGAGGGAATTTTAGAACTGTCTTGCAAGAAATATTTAAAAAATGCTTTAAAGAGAAGGAAAATAATATAGGTCAGAAATTCAAATCTTCATAAAGAAGGAATGAGCATTAAAAAAGAATAAGTAAACATCAAATAAGAACTTTTATTGGTCTTACTCTTAGCTTATCTAACAGATAACAATCTGTTCAAAATAATCATAGCAACAATGCATTGGATTATGTATTTTATATATAATAAAAATGAATGAAAACAATGATAAAGGGGATTGACAGAAGGAATTAGGATCATTTTGTTATTATAACATACAGTACCCATGAAGCAGTATAGTGCTATTTAAAAGTGAACTTGGAGTAGTTGTAAAAGGATATTGTAAACTTTAAGGCAACCACTAAAAAAAAAAGTTAAAAAAAAGAAGTGTATGTGATAATGTAAAGAAAGGAAATGGCATCATGTAAAATGTTCAGTTAAAACCACATGAAGAAAAATAGCTTAAGACAAAAATATGATCCAAGATTAAAGACAAGCAAAAGCAGTTACAAATACGGTAGACACTAATCTAACATTATCAGTAACCACTTTGAATGTCAATAGTGTAAACTCATCAATTAAAAGACCCAAATTGTCAGCATTAATAAAAAAATAAGATTCAACGGTATGTGGTCTACAAGAAACCCACCTTAAATATAAAGACACATGTAGATTTAAAGTAAATGAATGAAGAAAAATATAACATATTAGCACCTTAAAAGAAATCAGAAATAGCTATATTTATTTCAGACAGAGCAGACTCCACATCAAGAATAGTTACCAGGGATAAGGAACGGTATTATACAATGACAAAGGCATCATTCCTCCAAGATGACATAATAATTCTTAACATATATGTGCCTAACAACAGAGCATCAATCTACATAGGATAAAAATATTTAGAACTGCATGGAGAAACAGATCAATCAACTATTATAATTGTAGACTTCAAAACCCCTATATCAAAAATGAACAGATCTATCAGGCAGTAAATCTGTAAGGACAGAGTTGAACTCAATCATGATATGAAACAACTGGATATAATTAAAATAGTCACACTACTTTAAGAACGACAGAACACACATTCTTCTCAAGCTTACATTAAAAATTCACTAAGATAGAACACATTCTGGGTTATCAAATATACCTTAACAAATTTAAAGTAATAGAAATCTTAGGATGTTTGCTCTTACATGACAATGGAATTAAACTAGAAATCAATAATAGAAAAAGGACTAGAAAATCCAAAAATACCTGGAGATCAGACAACACACTTGTAATTAAACAATATGTTGGTCAAAAAATAAATCTCTAGAGAATTAAAAAATATTTTGAACTAAACGAAAATGAAAACACAACATTGAAATTAACGTGATGCAGCAAAAGCAGTGCTTGGAGAAAAAAATATTAAATGCATATGTAAGAAAAGAAAAATTATTTAAAATCAATAATCTTATTTCCACCTTAGGAAATTAGAGAAATAAGAGCAAATTAAATCTAAAATAACCAGAAAGTAGAGAAATAAGAATTAAAGCAGGAATCAATGAAATTGAAAACAGATCAATGGAAAAATCGGCAAAATCAAAAACTAGTTATATGAGAAGATCAGTAAAGCCAGGCTAAATTAGAAAAACAGAGTTAGCACAAAATATACTAATATCGTAAATGAAAAAGGAAACATTACTACATTACTACGGAGAACACGGATATTAAAATAATAACAAAGGAATGTTATGAACAACAAATGCTCACAAATTTAATAACCTAGATGAAATTGACCAATTTCTGGAAAAATACAGTTTGCCAAAACTCATATGGGAAGAAATAGACAATCTAAACAGGCCTATATCTATTAAAGAAAGTGAATCAATAATAAATAATTTTTCAAAACAGAAAACACCTTGCACAGATAGGTTTACTAGTGAATTCTATGAATCATTTATGGAAGAAATTATGCCACCTCTCAGCAATATCTTTCAGAAGATAGAAGAAGTGGAAATAATTTATTATTCCCTCAGGTCAGCATTATTCTAATACCAAAAGCAGATGAAAATATTACTAGAAAAGAAAACTACAAACTGATATCTCTCATGGAGGTACAGGCAAAAATTCTCAAAATATGTTAGATAAAATACAAAACAAAATGTCAAATCGAATCCAAAAATGTGTAAGGACACATTTTTGTACACCACAATTAAGCACAATTTAGCAGGTATGCAATTAATTACACTAATCAAATACGGTACTTGAACAAATCAATAGGCTAAAAGAAAAAAAGTCACATGATAATATAATAGATACAGAAAAGGCATTTGACAAAATCAAGTACTCATTCTTGATAAAAATACTCGGCTAACTAGAAATAGAGAGGAACTTGCTCAACTTGATAGAGAATGGTTTGAGAAAATTGAAGCTTTTTCACTAAGATCAGGAACAAAACAAGGAAGTTCTCTCTCCCCATTCCTTTTCAACATCATACTGAAAGTTCTAGCTAATACAATGAGACAAGAAAAGGAAATAAAAGTATATAAATGGCGGGGTAACAAATTAAACAATCACATGTTCACAGATGTCATGATCGACTAATAAACAATTATAGCAGGATTGCAGGATACATGGTTAAATATGCAAGAGTCAATCAATGTCTGACATACCTGCAATGAACAAGTAGAATTGTACATTTAAAGCATAGTGACATTTATGCTCCCCCAAAATGAAATACTTAAGTACAAATCAAATAAAATATGTTTAATATGGGAAAAATACAAAACTGATAAAAGAAATTTTAAAAGAACCAAATAAATGAAGAGATATTCCATGTTCACGGATAAGAAAATTCAATATTGTCAAGATGTCAGTTATTTCCAAACTGATATATACATTTAATACAATCCCAAACAAAATTCCACTAAGTTATTTTGTGGAGACTGACAAATTTATTCTGAAGATTATATTGAGAGGCAAAACACCTAGAGCAGCCAACACAACACCTAGAGAACAAAGTTGGAGAACTGACAATACCTGACATCATGAATTACTATAAAGGTAAAACAGACTAAGAGATCCTTGTAACAAAAAAAGAGTGCCCAGAAATAGACCCACCTAAGCTGATAAAGATCGACTGATCTTTGACAAATGAACAAAGGCAATACAGTGAAAAGAAGATAATCTTTTATGCAAACTGCTGGAATAACTGGACAGCCACATACAAAATAATTAATAAAGACCCAGGACTTATACCCTTCATTAAAACTAACTCAAAATGGATCATAAGTATTAAGATAAATTATAAAACTGTAAGACTCTTAGATGATAACATGGAGGAAAACCTAGATCACCTTGTATACGGCAATGATTTCTTAGATACAGTACCAAAGGCACAATTTGTAAATAAACAATTCATACATTAAATTTCGTTAAAATTAAAAACTTCTTCTCTGCAAAAGACAATGCTAAGAGAATAAGACAAACCATATACTGAGAGAAAATATTTGCAAAAGACACATCTCATAAAGGACTGTTATCCAAAATATATTTTAAGACCACATAAAAATGATGACATAGAAGGCATATATTTCTTCATCCCACAAGAGAAAACAAAGATAATCAGAAACTTCTGGTGAAAAAAAGTAAAACTGTACAGAAAAAGCATCCTCCAAGTACCAGAGATAAAATGCTGCAGGATTTTGAACAAATGATGAGCTTCTAAGAAAATGGGCTCATTTCAATGCTCCTGTGACAGCACGTGGATCAAGACCTTGGAGCCAAAGGAAAGGAAGTTCATCATAGCACCAAGCTTGGCTATTCAGTGAATACGATTCAATTAATCACAGTAATACAAATACTATTTATGGTTTTTATTGTTTAAGGGCACACTTAATTATGGTTACAAAGTAGAATGCACATATTATTTACCATGTTTTAAAAATACAGCTGAAAACACAAGTGGGAATGCTGACAGGGAGGCGAAGGTAAATGAAACAGTTGTAATGTCCTTATTAAGTAGAAAATTGAAAGATATGTTCTGGTCCTGAGGCAAAAAAAGACATTTTATTACAATATAGCCAGACCATTTCTAAAATCATAATACAACTGTATTAAAAAGGGAGAGTGGTACGGGAGAACAGTATGAAGTCAACAGGAAATGCCTAGAGATGGAGAGTTCAGGTGGGCAGTTTTAAAAAATAAAGTGATAGAATACCTGATGTATTTGAATATAGACTAAAGAGTTTTAATTTTTCAGAGAGTGTGGAGAAAATTAGTAATCTGCATATTTTTCAAAATTAAGAAAATAAAACTGAGGTAATTATGAATCCCAGGAATAATAAAAATCCAAAAACTACTTTGTATACCTCAACTGTGAGCAATACCAGTCAGGTAAAGTCAGTCATAATTATGTAAATACTGAATACTAATTTAACAATAAATGATTCTATAACATTGGAAGGATGGGAGAGAAGGGAGATGTGTGTGTGTGTGTGTGTGTGTGTGTGTGTGTGTGTGTGTGAGATGGTGGAAATCAAGATCTAATATTGGAAAAGCCCAAAAAAGCAGTATAATTTTTTTAAGAAAAAAACTACAATAAGAACTGCTAAGAGTTAAAGGTAGTTGTCTCTGGGGGAAATAAAATCAGGGGCAGGCAGAGAAACACCAAAGGCTTGTGGTTTTTCGCTACCAATCCAACAGTATAATTTGGTTTCTTTTAAACTATGTATATGCTTTTATTTGATTAAAAGTTAAAATAAAAATCTACATATAAAAGATATACTGATGGCAAATGAATATATGAAAAGATTCTCCAAGTCATAGACATGTAAATTAAACCAACAAAGAGATACCACTACACATATTTTAGAATGGCCAAAATCCTTGAACATTGAAAACACCAAATGCTGGCAAAACTGGAGCCATAGCCACAGTAACTCTCAATAATTGCTGGTGAAAATGCAAAATGTTACAGCCACTTTGAAAGATAGCTGTGGTAGTTTATTATAAAATTCGGCATGTTCTTACTCTATGATTTAGCAAGTGCACTTCTTGTTACCTACCCAAAGGAGTTGAAAACTTATTTCCAAACAAAAGCTGCACATGATGTTTATAGCAACTTTATTCATAATTGCTAAAACTTGAAAACAACCAAAATGTTCTTCCAGGGGGTGAATAGATAAGTAAACAGTGGTACATCTAGACAATGGAATATTATTTAGTGCTAAAAACAAATAGGGGGGTGAAGACAAAAAAAATAAAGACATGGAAGAATCTTAAATTCACATTACCAAGTGTAAGAAGCCAATCTGAAAAAACTACATATTTTACATACTTTATGATTCCAACTATATGACATTCTGGAAAAGGCAAAACTAAGGCGATAGTAAAAAAAAAAAAAGTGATTGCCAGTTATTGTTTGTTTTGTTAGTGTGTTGGGGGAATGGGTCACTAGAAAGGGCACAGAGAATTTTTAGAGCAGTTAAAATAATCTGTATAATATATTACAATGGTGAATCCATGTCATTATGCATTTGTCCAAATCTATAGACTACCAGACCTAATATAAACTACAGACTTCAGGTGATTATGATTTGTCGATGTAGGTTCATCCGTTGTAACAAATGTACCACTGTGGTGATGAATATTGACGATGGGGGTGGCTCTGCATGTGTTAGGGAAGGGGGTATATGGAAAATCTCTGTACTTGCTCTCAATTTTTCTGTAAACCTAATATGGTATTTTTAAAAATCCACATTCACGTCCCTACCTTCAGTTATTCTGTTTGAGTCAATCTAGAGTAAAACCCAGGAATCTGTCTTTGAAAAAGGACATACATAAAAGCAGGGGTGGGCAAACTACTGTCTGTAGGCCAAATCTGGCTTGTTGTCTGTTTTTGTACTGCTTTAAGATTAGTTTCATATTTAAGAAGATTTATTGATATGTAAATATTAAAATTTCAATGTCCATTAGTAAAGTTGTAGTGGAACACACAATATGTAATACCAAATAGAATTCAACAAAATAAATATTAGAATGATTCCCAATACCAAGTCAGGTTTTTTCAAAGGATGCAAGACTGATTGATTTGAAAATCAATCAGAATAATTCACCACATTCTCAGTTTATTAAAAAAAAGTGGGAAGCATGATTATGTAACTGTTGCCAATATATTTGAAAACACGACTGAAAAGAATACTTTAACATGCATCTATTTCAGCTCTTCCAGAGTAAACAAGTGTTCTTTGTTCATCCTACTTGGTGTCACTTTCTTCTGCACTTTTGTGTATTTTGTTGGTGATTTCACTATTTAAAATTTTCCCCCACATTCCTCACCAAACTTAGTAGGAAAGTGCAATCCAATTTTCCTAGGCACAAAGAAAGCTGCAGTTGTGACAATGAGTACATTTTGGACATCATCCATTGCTAAAATCCATATTTATGATATCTATTAATGAAACTTAGGCAAATAGAGTTTAAATAACTTGCTGAGATTGCACAGCTAGTAAGTGGTAGAGTTGAGACATAAACTGACTTTGCACCTTCAGTCAATATGCTGTTTGAAATGTTAAATAAAACCCACCAGGAGAGAAAAACTGCCCTCTCAAATGATGTTATCTTGATAATTCTAAATATAATGAAAGAAAGCAAAAGCTAGAAGAGAAAAACATCTATCATTTTGCAATTCAAAATGTATTCATTCTCACAATCATAAATTCATTTTTGAGGACAACGTATTACTTTTAGAAATAAGGATTAAATTCAAACATTTTTATGTTTTCAGAATTGTTAGATTAATTTTTACTTAAGCATAGTTGATTTTAAATAGATTTCACTTTAAGACTATCCAACTACAGAAATATTCTATTTTATTTAATGGTATTTACATTAGATGTTTTGCATGCATACTAAAAAATTTAAATTAGGGACATTAGTAAGATACATTATGATATTTAATTCAACTTCACTAATTTTGTTATGGCATCTTAAATTCAACATAGTAAATGAAAATTCAACATGCTATATTCATTACTATAAATTATTTAAATACTTGCTGAGATATAAAATAATTTTATAAAAACAAAGTTATTCTGAACATAAATCAAATTTGGATCCACATCTTAATTCAGTTCTCATAAAGCTCTACTAAGCAACTCTGAGAGTAAATGAACTACTGCACCAAGACAACATAAAATTTATAAAATTATCTCATGTATTAAGAAGATAAAGCCTTACTTTGTTGCATTAAAATTATTTTGTGATTACATGGCCATAAGATAATATAGTATATTCTTCCCCAAGTACACTCACAAGAGACAAATAAGATATATTAAGTATATATAAATTTTTAGTTGCATAAAGTATTATTCCTTTATTAAAATTATGACCTTTTAGTTTCATTATCAATGAGTTCCACTTTCTTAATGAGTAATTTCTTCTCATTAGAAACTATATTTGATTTCTAAATATCTTAATCGGTAGGTTAGGCAAAATATTAATAACACATGATCTATATTACATTTTACAATTTTCTGATTTATGAAAATGTTTAATATTTAAACATGCTAAATAATGCTAGGGACCTTTAGATTTTGAATATATATATATCTCTACTTGTATAAAAATTCACCTTATTGATACTATAAAAGCCTTCTGAATTTTTAGGGCAAAACCATGCCAAGTTTTGATTGCCCTTTGAAAAACTGAAGACATTATACAAATTATTAATGTTTTCCTAAGTAGTTAGAAGAAAATCACATTTAATCCCATGTTCTTCTTACATTTCAAAAAATGTAATACACTCGTATACCCAATCTACTCCACCTCCCCCTTGCTGCTGTTTTCCGCCAACAAATGACAAAGTTCTCTCCTCTCAGAAAATCAGAGGAGTTCTAGGTTATTCCCAGAGTGAAAGATTTTTGTGTTCCTGTGAAAGGGAGGGCTGTAATGTGTAACGGTTGAGTAAAGAAAGCCTATGAATAGCTTAGGAAAATCAATTTCTCTTGAGAGTGAGGCATGTTAGGTTTCACCTAAAACTCGCATTTCTAAGCTATGGAGAGTGACAATTAATTATGAAAGTGCCTACATGTATAGACTACTAAGTCCACAGTAGCCAATGATCATCTGGAGTGCCTGCTATTCAGGAGCAGATTTTTTGTTTTGATGGGAAAAGCTTGAGGTGAATCAACATACTGGAACATCCTATAGGAATACCAAAGTGCAAATCCAAATTTTCTTTCCTTATGAAATAAGTATACTAACCGTTAAAAAAAAAATCATTATTAGATCATGCATCTAAACAGGAAAAAACTGCCTCACAGGCTGCACTTCTGAAATGTATGGGGACATTGTTGATCATGTCACTTGGATTTAGTTGTTTTAGGACAGGAATGCTAGAAAATGTGCAAGATAGGAAAACTCCTCCTAAATCAACGGCTTACATTACGTCCCACATGAGAGTTAAATCTTTGCCAAACATTCAAAACATCTGCCAGACCTGCTTAGCCGAACTCCATTTTACATATTAATATAAGACATTTTGGCACAGTTTTACTAAACACTGAATTTTCCAAGACTGTAGCCACTATGTAAATTGGGGACAGATTGTACTATTTACTACAGGAGTGCATGGTGGGAACCCATTACATATTTGTACAAATGATTGAATAAGATACAAGGAAAATAAACTAGAGCAGTGAGGTTCCCTGGCAACAGGCTAAATATCATACATCAGTAAGATCTCAATCTGTTCATAATCTGTTAAACAACATGTGTACATTATCATGCTAATTTTTATCCCACTCTGGAAATGGAGTGGCTTAAGAGTTGGCATATTCCTTATTCAACTTTGGGTTCCCAGAACTTGTCATATTTATGATAGCATGGAAAACAACATTGAAAAAAGAAGAAACAGGAAGGACAGATTAAAATCTAGACTTTTCTGCTTATGCTATGCAAACATGCAACTGTACACATTAGGCTGTTTATTCACAACTTACCCAAAATATCCATACATTTTGTTTTTGTATTATTTAGAATTATAAAACTACTGAAAATTTTATCCCTGCAGTAGTGTCATTCTCAAATTATATTTTACTTACACACACAAAAAAAAAATTTAAAAAAAGAGGAGAGTATTAATTGTAGCTAAAATACTATCAGTTAGGCCACATTATTGAGTGTCTGGCCATTTTAACTTCTCTGGGAAGTGGCTGACATCCCTTCACACATGCATGTGTGTATATTGATATTCCTCTTTTGCACTCTCTCTGCCTGACCTTAAGTAACATAAACAGAAATCATGGAGAGCGGCAGAGGAAGCCCAGTGGAGCAATGCAAGTGTATAGACAATAACCCCTCTTTCCCAGAGCTGGTTCCCATGCTGCTTGTCAGGCCTGAGATAAGAAGAGGGATGGAGTATAAACTTTAATTTAGATTTTAGTTTAAAATTTAATTTATACTAGATTTTTTATAAACACCTAGAAGTTGATCAAATGACCTTCCTCAAGTTAACCTACCATAGAATATGACATTTTCTCCATATCAATCCTTCATATCAATGTCTTCTCTTTTTTTGACTAATCAATATAAAGAATATGACTTTTATTAGTCAAACATTTCAAACAAATATGGAATATGTTTAGATGTTTTGAGCCCTCAGTACACAGAAACTAATAACATGATGCATTGAAAAAAAGTGCTTGTCCATTGCAGCCCTTCCCCTTGATATAAACAAACATAATTGTTATCAGGTAGATCATTATGAATTTGCTATTGTATTGTGACATAAAACTGCTCATATATTTTATTAAGAAAGGATTTGATTTGAACCTCACATTAAGGTTTTTCACAACATAAATATGCTTAAGGAATTTATAATTTGGATATATAACACTTAAGGAATAAACAAATAAGTAAATAATAAACAACAGTAATTTCAAGTCCCCTCAATAATTAAAACATAAATTCAAATTTATAATTTAAGGGTTCTTTTGCTTTACACTTTTATTCATGTAATGATTACATGAGAATAGGAGTACATGTCTTAAACAGGATTTTTTTTTTATCATGAAGCTTCACTTTTACTCTGGTAAAAAACAAGCAGGTGTTATGCATTTTGAGTCAACCACAGAAGTGGTTACTGCAGGTTAACCAGTGGACCTTTGATTAATATGACAAGAATAATGTACCCAGACAAGCTGGTTGAAATTCATTGACTACTAGAACCCAGAATTTTCTTACTTGAAAATTCTAATCTGCTTCTTCCCTCACAAACAATAACAACAATAAACTCTGTTCATGGACAATTGTGCTCATGGTTTTCTTGTTCTTTTTTTTTTTTTTTTTTTCTAAACTTCATAGTAAAGGTTTTGGTCTGATATCTTACACATTGTGACAAATGATAATGATCTGGTAAACTTATTGCAATCCATTGGATCTTTTTCTTTTTAAATCACAGGGATAGTACCATCAGCACCTTGTTATCAGGGCAGCATCTTATACATCTGCAATATTTTAGTTGGTGCAAAGCTCTAAAGAAAGCATAGATTGTTTACCCTGAAATATATACATACATATAGTTTTGATGAGAGACATTCTATCAACACAAACACAGGTCCATTCTAAAATCATCTCAGGAAGTATAAGTAAAGAGTTTAAAAAAACTGCCCTGAACCCTCCATGTGGCCAAGCACCAGGTTGTAGGGCCTTGAGAATGTGGACAACAGTGTCACCTGTTTCAATGACCTGAAGTAAAAAAAAAAAAAAAAAATACTGTGAATAACCCACCCAAGGACAAGCACTAGAATCTCCACTGGCTTCAAGCACTAATGTGAGTCTGAGACTTGCCTTCAAGCTCAGACTGACCCATTTTGAGCACAGACACATGATATATATGAATCACTGATGGAATTAGGAAACCATCCTAATTGGATGCCACCTTGTGGTCATCATCATATTTCATTTAGCTGTTTTCCAAGACTACTGCCATTTTGAGACAGTATAAATAATACTGGACTCTATATCAGATATATGTTTTGTAGACCTAAGATAAAGCTGGATAGCTGGCTTTATGAAGAACATCTGGAATTGTGTTGGTGAATGTGTTTCCACAGTACTTTGAAGGCCCTTCACACTTGCTCAGGGAAGGAGGAGCTGGGGTCCAGAGTGTCTTCCACAGCAGCCAGCTTTGGAAAAGGGTACCAGGCAGAGGCAGCACCTGTGGATACAGTCACCAGCAGCCATGTTGCAGCACAGGGAGCAGAGCCAAGTGCACTGGGATGGAAGACAGGGCATTGTCACTGCTGGCAATGCCAGTTGCCATGGGTAAACTTTACTCTCAATTCCTATAAAGACATGAAGCACCTCTGTCCCAATATCCTTTCAAATGCGAGAAGGCAGTTTCCAACAGAGCACAGTGGTGGAAGAAGAAGAAAGATCTTTTATTATTTTGTCTTATTGAGTTTAGTCAATTTAAATAGGCTAGTTTCAGTAGTAATAATGCCAATAACAATTATTTTTATAATGCTTACTAGATAATTTTCATCAATTTAAAAATGGGTTAGGCTCAAGTGTCCCAAATTCCTCACATAGCCACTCTTTGTTAGCTACATTACCTTGAACCTACTGCTTTAACCTTGAAGCTCCTCAGTTTTCTCATCTGTAAACTGAGAATAATGAGTGTCATCTGCACAAGATTATTGTTAAAATGGAATTAAATGATGTAAGTTCTCAATTAACATTATTTACTACTGTTAATTCTCCAAACAACACTAGGAAAGGTATCATTTTTACCAATAGAGAATAAAAATATATCTTTCAAAAGAGTCTACAAAATTCAGGATTTGAATGTTATTTGTGTTATGACTGGGCCCAAATTATTATTTATTTATAGGCTTCCCAAGGTCTCCCTGCTTTTTCTCTTGTCCTGACTGAGGACCACAGAGTGCCTTGACTTCTCTGTGGCTGGACCAGCTGTGTAAATTTTCCTGGAGGCTTGAACCCAAGCTAGAGTCTTGAACATTCCTAGGCACTTATAAAGGTGTCTAGAATATTGCCCCAAACAATGAAAGAAACTAGCCCCCGCCAGAAGTAAATTCCTTAAACCCTCATATAAATTCCGTACCCTGAGCCCTTGGACCAATATACCTATGCAGAACATTGCTTTCTTTGCTGTCTGTTGGGAACATATACAGTTAACACTCTAAGGAAGTTCCCCTAATAAACGCTTTGGATTGATCACCCTGGCATTTAGTGCTCCTTCATTTGGAATAATAATTGGCACACCTCCAAAAGTTTGGGCACTCCCTTGAGGGAACTCCAGCTGCAGCTTTTAGGGTGACTCCAGTAGAGGATCAGTCTGAAGGACATGCTACTGAAAATGCTGTCGTTTTTAGGTCAGGCACTTGAGGGATGCTAAAAAACTAAACTTCGACAGAAATGATTTTTTCTAATGCTATAGAAGCTTTAGAAAGCATAATAAGTCAGGGTGATAATTCTGTGCCACAGTCAGAAGAGATGGATTTAAACAAACAGAAAAATGTCCCTGATAGACTTTTTTATTTGATATTTTCATAGGTCTGTAATAGTGATTGTTAAACAATTTTTAAATTTCCTAAGGATAGTCACACACTAAAGCTTTTAACTATGGAGTCAGCATGGGACATATTGCACCTGTAGTCAAATTGATTGAGGTCACATCATTTATAAATGTTCTCTTGCCATGTTTTATGGTTATCTGATTGTTTTAATTAAAATATTTTAGAAATGCAACCAAAGTTTAAAATAGTCAATATATACTATATTTTAAAGGCATTGTATGTTTAGCACACAATAAAAATAATTTAGTTTTCTTTTGTCTTATTTTCATTACCATGATGAAAATTAAACAAATATGTTTTATACAAAGAACAAAAAATAAAAACCCTCCAAACTTTCACCAAAATATACGGAATCATGAAATCATATATTGCTTCATGGTAGTTGAATTTCTAGTAGATTTTCTATAATGTATAAATATATATTAATAAAATGACTAGCTAAATATTTAGTACAAAATTATAATATGCCAGAAGTTGCATAAGAATCAAGAGTACTAAGGCAATTTGAAATGACTCTTGCCTTGAAGAGATCCTATTCTAGTTGTTGAGAAAGACACTCTTGAAGGAATAATTACAATACTTTGTGATAAGGGATTTTTTTTAAGTTCTAAGGGAAGACAAAGAAGAAATTGCCTGAATAATTAAGGACATGTTATATCCTTAAGATAATTAGATCTCTCTCGAGTAGACAAGAGGAAACAACTCCAAATAGAGAGCAGGAAGAAATTTGAATGAACAATGTGATGCCTCAGCAATTGATGGAAAAGGTTGACTGTGAGGAAGCCTGTATGACAAGTCCAGTACAGAAAGAAGTGTTAATGAAATGGCAGGACTTCAGTTTTGTGTGTATAGGAATATAAGGCAGACTTGAAATCTGTCCCAGTTTGCAAATGTCATATCTCAATGATGTTTGGAAATGACCTGCAACAATCCAGCCTGCAGTGTTTACTTTAGGCTGTGCTGAACTGATTTGGACAATTGCTCATGTTAGGGGGGGAAATAAATATGAATATTCCCAGGGTAACATGTAGTTATGATGGACAGTCATGTCAATTGATTACGACTTGTACATTTCTGCCAGGCTAGAAAGTAGTGAGAATCCCCCAAAGCCTCTCATAATGGTCACAGGAGTACAAAGTCACCTCCTCTCTAACACTTTAGAAAAGACACAGATTGAACTTCTTACAAACATCGGATGGAATTCTCACTTCAATCAATCTATGTGTGCTTTCCAGGGAATTTAAGAGGCGAGGACTTGAACCTCTAAAAACAAAAATGAAAAACAAAACTACATGTGTCTACTAAACTATGTAACCACTTACCCAGATATATGGCATTTTTATCAATATTTTCTCCTCTATGAAATGCAAATGCTACTACTACTAATATCAATGATTATTACTGATAATAATGTGTATTTTTATAGTTATTTTGAGGTTTAAATATGCTAATCATTAACAATGATTACAGCAGTGTCTTATAGAGATAAAGCACGACATAAATGCTACAATTATTACTATAATTTATTAATATCAATATTATGAAAACTTTTATTTTGCTTATCTGCTGGTGTCTTTCTTTCATTTTTCATCAAAATTGTAATAATAATTTGAGGCATAAAAGTGGTTAGATACAAATCATAATATGTGTTTGGAAATTACCCTATGTTAATAGATATATGTAGCATTTGATTTTAGGGAAATGACTCCTGAAATCCTACAGATATAATTATAGGTATGAATTACTACGAGCAGAAAGCCTAGTCAGAAACAGTCTAATAAAATAATAACTAAAACACAATATAAACCTAAAGTTAGGTAGTGGAATGAAAGCTGCACCGTCTATAGAAAATTAATCAAATTGGAGGACAGAGGCCCCACAAAGAGAATACGGCAGATGAACCTCCTTAGGGTGCCTTGCCAGGGGTTAATGTCTCTATGATTAAGGATCTTTCCTATCTTTATCAAATATGTTTAAGACCTATCATATTGCCGAGTCATAGTAGTATTTCTTTATTTCTTTTAAAAACTTAAATTTTAATTATATTAAACTAGATTTTTGATCATTTGGATCTGGAAAGACCTGGGGAAATTCAAAATAAAACAACACCTAAAACATTTTTTTCAAAACTACAGATAATTAACAATATAGATTTTGACATCACTATAATCTAGGTGTTAAAGTGATGAGTAGATAATATAAACCAATACATTTTCTTCAAATGTAGGTGGAATGTTTCAGAATTTCCAATTTGAAGCAGCTCACTGTGCAAAGCCTATTAATGTGTTCCTTCTATCATCCACATATGAAGGAATTAGAATTCTTTGGTTGTAGGCCTGGAAAAAGATTTGTGAATCATTTAATTTGAAGCATGTCAGTTAACCTGTGTGGAATATTCTTTCTTTGAAAATAATATTATTTTGAACTTACATTCAAGTAGTAAAGAGAAAAACGATATAAACTTTAGAAAAAAAGAAACTAAAGTTTTAGTACTAAAATAAAAATAAAAATTAAGAGAATACTAATAAACAATAATGAGACGGGGTTTAATATTAATATTCATCTTACCAAAATCAAACAGAATTGGCTAACGTGCAACAAGAACTCACACAAGGCATCTTTCCTCAGTCCTCTTTGCTTTCTTCTCTTATGCCATCTGTCCAACTCAACATTATAGCCTATATATGCTACAACTACTTCTCCACTTATTAATAGCTCATCAATTATTTTACATGTAAATATTTAATGCATACTATATATCTTTTATGTTCCAATGATGAAAATTTGAAATGACATCCCCTTTTGTCACTTAAAGTTTAATGCTAAATATTTGGTGTGGGTTTTGATTTTATCCTACATAAAAAGTATAAAATTATTACTATTTCAGGGATAGTGACAGAAGACCCAAGAATCACAGGTGAAGAGTCATACAATTTTATTATTCTTGGAAAAGTACACGCCATGAGTGTCATGCTAGCATTGGTTTTCTTTATCTTCTATGTTCTGTTGAGATCAAGTGAAAAGCCTGCACACGCAGTGGGTTATAGGAGAGAAGTACTGAACTTGGAGGATCTTGTCTTATTTATAAGCAAGAAATAAGCAATCTCTTTTCATGTTGCAGAAAGAGACATTGCTTCATCCATCAAGATTGCTCTTGGCAAAATCCAAAAGCAATAGCCAGGACCTTACAGTCTTTATATACACAGAAAGCCAGGTAGAACTGTGAGAGACAAATGGAGAACTGTCTCCCAAGAGTAAAATAAAGAGAAATAATTTACATTACAAACCATTGTGATAAATTCTGTGAATGGAGAGGATTAATATGCTATAGATGCAGATAGCAGGTAAGTAACTTGAGAGTTGATTGCGCCAATTTTCCTGAAGGAACTAGCTTTTAAGTGAGGACCATAAGTATGATTATAATAAATTTAAATTAATTTGTAGATGGAGAAAAGATTACAGAGAAAGGCATCAGAAAAAAACTGTAACATGGTGAAGAAAAGTTGAATATTATTTTAGCTGGAAATTAGAGTGTTAGAATATTGATATAAAAAAAGAAGCTGAAAAGAAAGCAAGTGCAGAATCATATAAG
The DNA here is from genome assembly GCF_000001405.40 of Homo sapiens. Lineage (NCBI taxonomy): Eukaryota > Metazoa > Chordata > Mammalia > Primates > Hominidae > Homo > Homo sapiens. The sequence goes on from NC_000001.11 coordinate 195,381,653, forward strand.
AATTTGTAAGCTATATTTAGAAACACAGATATTACATTAAAAATCTTAAAAACCACTAAATATTAACATCTATCCATCCATTAATCCATTCCATATTCAATATATTCACCTTAGAATTTTATGTGCTTAGAAAGTGTGCTTTTGTCAAAGAGAAAAACATGAATATCAGTGAAACAGATTAGATAACCCAAAAATAGGCCCCATCAAATATACCCAACTGATATTTCACAAAGAGGAAAAAGCAGTTCAATGGAAGAAGCAGAGCTTTTCAGCAGGTAGAACTGGAGATTTTGGACATCCATAGGCAAAGACACAAAAGTCACACTTTTTACATTACATGATCAAAAATTGATCATGGACTTGAATGTAAAATGTAAAACCTTAGAACTTTCAGCAAACAAAAACATGGGAGAAAATCTTAGAGATCTATGGCTAGAAAGTGAGTTCTTAAATTTCATACTAAAAATATCATTCATAAGAGGAAAATTTGATATAATATTTCATCACAATGAAAACTGTTCTGGGAAAGACCCTCTTAAGAGTATATAAAGAGTAGCTATAGATTGAAAGAAAATATTTGTAAACCACAAATCCAACAAAGGATGAGTATACACTTTTTTAAAATTCTCAAAACTTAATAGAAATAATCCAATTAAAATATGGACAAATGACATTGACAGACATTTCATTGAAGAGAATATAGAGATGGCAAATATGCATATGAAAAGATGTTTTATATTATTAACCATTAGAAAAATGCAAATTAAAACCACAATGTGATGCCACTACACACCTACCAGAATGGCTAAGATTAAAAACAATAGTAATGCTGGTGAGGATGCTGAGAACCTGGCAAATTAATACCTCATGGTGGAAATACAACATAAAATAGTTATGCTGGAAAACTAGCAGTTTACTAAATAACTAAATATGCAGCTACAATTGGAACACAAAATTTTCTCCCTGGGCCTTTGTCCTAAGAGAAATGAAAACTTATGTAAAAACTTTGCACACAGGCCAGGCACGGTGGCTCACGCCTGTAATCCCAGCACTTTGGGAGGCCGAGGTGGGCAGATCACGACGTCAGGAGATCAAGACCATCCTGGCTAACACGGTGAAACCCCATCCCTACTAAAAAAATACCAAAAAAAGAAAAATTAGCCAGGCGTGGTGGCAGGCACCTGTAGTCCCACCTACTCAGGAGGCTGAGGCAGGAGAATGGCGTGAACCCGGGAGGCGGAGCTTGCAGTGAGCCGAGACTGCTGCCACTGCACTCCAGCCTGGGCTACAGAGCGAGACTTCGTCTCAGAAAAAAAAAAAAAAAAAACTTGCACACAGATGTTCATATTAGCTATACTCAGAATAGCAAAACAATGGAGGCAACTCTGATGTTCTCCAATAGGTGAACAGTTAAACAAACCCATGTATATATATGTATATATGCACATGCATATACAGGTATGCACATATATATGCATATATAGGTATGCACATACATATGCATATATAGGTATGCACATATATATGCACGCATATATGCCTATATATCTATATACACATGCATATATATTTACATATATACACGTGCATATGTATGTACCTATATACACATGCATATATGTGTGTGTATGTGTGTATATATACATATACACACACATGCACACATACCCACACCATGGAATACTACTCAGCATTAAATAAACTATTATTATACATGCAAGACATGCATGATATACATGCAAGACATGCATGATATACATGCAAGACATGCATGATATATCATGCAAGAACTTAGATGAATCTCCACAGAATTATGCTCACTGAAAGAAAAAGTCTCAAAATCTTACTTACTTGTAGGTATAATTTCATTTACCTACATTCTTGAAATGACAGGAGGTCAGAAATGAAGAACAGGTAATTGCCAGGCATTAAGGAAATGGAAGCATGTGTGGCTGTTGAAGAGTAACAAGAGGTCTCTAGTGATGATGGAATTGTTTTATATTATGATTTTATCCAGTTAGAATTATGATTATGATGTTGTATGATAGTACAATATACAACTATAGTATGATAGTATTGCTAGACGTTTACACTGGAGGAAACTGAATAAAGGGCAAGCAGAATCTATCTGTATTATTTATTACAAATGCAGGTAGATCTACACTTATCTTGAAACAAACAGTTTAATTTGAAAATAAAAGAAATGCATGTATTTGGAAATAGTCTATTGCTATTTCGCCAGTACTTACATGAGTTCTGTGCTAATGTGGAACATACTTGATGTGGTTTGGTTCTGTGTCCCCACCCAAATCTCATATCGAATTGTAATCTTCACATGTTGAGGGAAGGTCCTACTGGGAGGTGACTGGATCATGGAGCCAGTTTCCCCCATGCTGTTCTCATGATAGGAGGGAGTTCTCATGAGTTCTCATGAGATTTCAAAGTTTAAAAGTGGCAATTTCCCTTGCATGGTGTCTCTCTCCTGCTACCATATGAGACATGCCTAGTTTCCCTTTCACATTCCACCATGATTGTAAGTGTCCTGAGGCACCCCCCAGCCATGCAGAACAGTAAGTCAAGTAAACCACTTTTGTTTATAAATTACTCTTTCTCAGGTAGTATCTTCATATCAGTGTGAAAATTGACTAATACAGAAAATTGGTACTGGGAGTTTGGGCACTGCTATAAAGATATCTAAAATGTGGAAGCAACTTTGGAACTGGGTAACAGGCAGAGGTTGGAATAATTTGGAGGGCTCAGAATAAGACAGGAAGCTGTGAAAAACTTTGGAACTTTCTAGAGGCTTGTTGAATGGTTTTGACCAAAATGCTGATAGTGATATGGACAATGAAGTGCAGGCTGAGGTGGTCTGAGATTGAGATGAAGAACTTATTGGGAACTGGAACAAAGGTAACTCTTGCTATGCTTTAGCAAAGAGATTGGTAGCATTTTGCCACTCCCCTAGAGATTTGTGGAACTTTGACTTGAGACAGATTATTTAGGGTATCTGGCAGAAGAAATTTCTAAGCAGAAAAGCATTCAAGATATGACCTGGCTTTTCCTGAACATGGACGGTTATATACATTCACAAAGAGAGGATTTGAAATTGGAACTTATGTTTAAAAGGGAAGCAGAGCATAAAGATTTGGAAAATTTGCAGCCTGACCACGTGGCAGAAAAGAAACACCCATTTTCTGGGGAGAAATTCAAGCCAGCTGCAGAAATTTGCATAAGTCACAAGGAGCCTAGTGTTAATAGCCAAGGCAATAGGGAAAATGTCTCCAGGGCATGTCAGAGGTCTTCGACACAGCCCCTCCCATCACAGACCCAGAGGGCTAGAAGGGAAAATGGTTTTCTGGGTGTTGCCCGAGGCCCTGCTGCTATGTACATCCTCGGGACTTGGAGCCCTGCAACTCAGCTGCTCCAGCTTCAGCCATAGCTAAAAGAGGCCAAGGTACCACTCTGGCCATGGCTTCAGAGGGTGCAAGCCCCAAGCCTTGGCAGCTTCTATGTGTTATTGGGCCTGTGGGTGCACAGAAGATAGCATTTGAAGCTTTGAAGCCCCTGCCTAGATTTCAAAGAATGTATGGAAACACCTGGATGTCCAGGCAGAAGTCTTGCTGGAGGGGCAGAGACCTCATGGAGAACCTCTGCTAGGGCACTGTAGAAGAAAACTGTGGGGTTTGATCTCCCACACAGAGTCTCCACCAGGGCATTGCCTAGTGGAGCTATGAGAAGAGGACCACTGTCCTCTAGACCCCAGAAATGTAGATCTGCCAACAGTTTGCACCATGTGCCTAGAAAAGCCATAGACACTCAATGCCAGCCCATGAAAGCAGCCACAGGGACTGTAGCCTGCAGAGCCACAGTGGTGGAGCTGCCCAAGGCCATCAGAGCCCACCTCTTGCATCAGTGTGCTCTGTATACAAGACGTGGAGTCAAACGAGATTATTTTGGAGCTTTAAGGTTTAATGATTGTCCTGCCCAGTTTCAGATTCTCATGTGACCTGTGGTCCCTTTGTTTTGGCCAATTTCTCCCATTTGGTATGGGAACATTTACCCCAGTGCCTGTACCCCTATTGTATCTTGGAAGTAACTATCTTTGTTTTGATTTTACAGGCTCATAGGCAGAAAGGACTTGACTTTTATCAGATGAGACTTTGGACTTGGACTTTTGGGTTAATGATGGAATAAGTTATGATTTTGGGGGCGGTTAGGAAGGCATGATTGGTTTTGAAATGTTAAAAGAACATTAGATTTGGGCAGTGCCCGGGGTGGAATGATATGGCTTGGTTCTGTGTCCCCACCCAAATCTCATGTCAAATTGTAATTTCATTGTTTCCCCCATGCTATTATCGTGATAGTTCAAGAGTTATCATGAGATCTGATGGTTTAAAAGTGGCAATTTCACCTGTATGCTCTCTCCTGCCAGCATGTAAGACACCTTACTTCCCCTTTGCTTTCTGTCATGATTGTAAATTTCCTGCAGCCTCCCCCACAATGTGGAACCATGAGTCAACTAAAAATCTTTTGTTTACAAATTACCCAGTCTCAGGTAGTATCCTTATAGCAGTGTAAAAATGGACTAATGTAATACTCTTGGTCTTTTTTCCCTGAATATTATTGTCCAAATAATTAAGTCTGAATAGACTTCCCAGAAGCCACATTACAGTCTTTAGAATTTTGAACAAAAAGCATGAGAGTCTCACCATTAGTTTTGTTTTTGGACAAATTACATATCCTTTTTCTGCTCCAATGATTTAAATATATAATTGAAAAATCCTGTAAATAACATTATTCATTAAAAACCAGTTTTTCATTTTATATTTAATACATTGAAGATGAAAAACTATTCCATATTTAAACCCTATAAATTCCAAATTCTGAGGGTTCTCTCTTACAAACTAGCAATTCTTTTTTGACACAAATTTCTTTTAAAACTTTAAAAAATATACTCAGTAGCTTCCAACACATGCTTCCAATATTCAGTTTTCCTACCTCTTCGCTTAAAGCCACAAATTTATTAAGCCTAGAATCTTTCTTCTAAATTATTGCAGACAAATTATAACACATATTTCACAACTTTATGTATGGATGATTGTTTTTCAAGCCGCCAATAATAATTTTCTCACTACCCCTGTCAGGTCCTGAAGTCAATACCATATATTTTAGCATTTTTGTTACTGCAGGATCCCATTTCTAGGAATGTACTTTTGAAATAGTTTTTACTAGATTGTGCTAGAATAACAAGTAGCAAGTGACTCCAAAAATTTCAATTATTTCTTACACAAAACAGAGTGGACATGAAGCTTTTCGGGACATAGCACTCTTTAGAGATGGTAGAAACATGTAAATTCTCTTAAGCTTCTGCTCAGTACTGACACATTGACATTATACTGGAGTATGATGAATCCATGAATGGCACTGCCAAAGCACAGTAAATATATTTCAACTTCTGGGATTCACACAGCAGTGGGATAAGATGCATAATCATCTTACTTGAAAGGGACGACTTGGTGGAAGTGAAATTTAATTACCACAAATTATTATGTTTTTTGTACCTCACCATGTTCATATTTATATAGGTTGCTTGTTAGAATTTAGATATAAAACTCAAAGTAATATTTTCTTTTTGTAATAGGGTGTATGAAAATTTAAAAATTCCCCAAATTATTCATTATATGAAAAGTGTTTTTGACACATCTCAGTATTTTCCATTTAATATATCATGAATCATTACAATTATTATTAAAATAATGCGTGCATTGTTTCAGCCCTCTGATTATGGTATTTCTGTTCTTGAAAGAATTCAAATGTCTAAGACTGGATACCTTGTTTTGACTATTTGAAAAATAAACTAAAGAAAGTTTCCCATCTCTAGTCATACTTCTTGTACATGACCTGGTTATCACTTATTTCCTTCAGAGTGCCCTTATTTATTATTTACATTCAAGATAAATAAAAACTGATAATACCAACATACTTTTTCATTTTTATTTCCAGCACTGAAAAATGGGTTATTTAAAAGAAGTTATAAAAATGTAGGAAGTTTAAGAAAATTATAATGTCATAATATAAGATGTAAATAACACTGAATTTTATAAGCTTTGATATTTATTTTAAAATTTTTATTTAAATTATTTTCTGACACTAGAAAATCCTAAGCCTGGTTATATCATGCTCATCTAGTAACAATTTCCAAAGCATATTTAATGGATTAAACAGTTATTACTCAACGACGAAGGGCAAGGGTAAATAAATCCTTAGGTAAAGGAAAATATTCGAAGGTTCTCTCTACTTTTCATTCAGTACATTTTACTAAATATTAGAAACAAATGGGCACAATGCAATTTGAGGATAAATTAATTCTAGGGTTAAGCCATCTTCTAGAATGAATGAAGGGGAATGATGTTCATTTGCCTAAGCAGCGTTGTAATATTTAAGAATAATAGAATCCAGTCAACAATTACAATATTCCAAATAGATTTTTTAAAAAGTTTTACTCAATCAGCTCTGTGACTTTTATTCACAAGTTTTATTTGGAAATAAATTTGCCTAGAAATGGTGTTTATTTTCAACATTATGTTCTCTCAGTGTTCCATATTACCAGATAAAATTGTTTCATTTTGTTAAATTTAAGATAATTTACAAACTATTATACGTACAAATTTGCTGTAGCCTAATGATCCAGGCATGATTCATCTAGAGAATGTACGCAGCATTTACATGCATGACCCAAAGTTTTACAATAGTTATAAAAAGCACTATTTTTCCTTCAGTAACTAAGTGATTTCTAACAATAAAGTTCTCTATAACCTTTGAAACCACAGCTATTTTTGGGGTACTGGGTACTTGCATTGGTTTAAATTAACAAACAATAACAACTCATTATTTTTTATTGTCAGATAAGGGGTTTAATATTATATCTTCATTCTTATCCATAAAATGAAGTTATGTATTTTTCTAAAATTTGTAAAGAACAGGAATTCAGAGCTTGAAAACTTAAACAGTAAACTAACTACAGATTTGACAATGGTATACAACAGCTTGTGCTGATAATTGTTAACAAGTACATTTGTACAATTGATTGGAACAGTGAAGGTGAACTGACACTCCTGAGGATGATCTATAGACGTTTTAACTCCCAGGCAGATCTCAATTCTTTGGAGCAATTGAATGTCTGCAGAGAGAACCAAAATATACTTGAATTGCTATCACTGAACTCTCTAAGCAACTTATGATTTTTCTCATGTGGAAGAATGAAGTGCACCCCGTCATTAATTTTAAAGCACCATTTCCTCTTGTAAGAGTCTATAAAAGTCATTGTAATTATCCTGCTGATTTTACTAAAATTACTATTCCTTTTTTCACATTTAAACAAAAATAATTATAAAACAATTATCCCACTTTCTGGCTCCATCACTGCCAGAGAAATATGTTGAAGTAGCACGGTAACCTCCTGGTCTCTTAAGGCTAAGGAGAAACATAAAAACATAAAATAAATATCTTAAATTCCCATTGTCTACAACTACTTGCAAAGTAAAACTTTATAAAATTTAACTATAATTATGTTTATTTACTTTTTTATGTATTTCTTTTTAAAATTTTTAAATTTATTTTTTTAAATTGATATATAATAATTGTATATATTGAGGTAGAAGGTGATCTTTCTATGCGTACATATAGTGGTTTGATCACTGTAATTAGGTAGAAGGTGATCTTTCAATACATACATATAGTGGTTTGATCACTGTAATTAGCATACCTATAATCTCAAACATTTGTTATTTATTTATATTGGAAACATCCAATATTCTCTTTCTAGCTGTTTGTAATATATTATTGTTAACTGTAGTCATAAACAGTGGAATAGAACACTAGAACTTATTCTTTCTAGTTAGCTGTGATTTTGTATGCTTTAACAAATGTTTTTCTATTCTCCCAATTCTCCCTACTCTTCCCAGCCTCTGCTATCCTCTATTCTACTTTTCACTTCTATGAGATCAACACGTTTTTTAGCTTCCACATGTGAATGAGAGCATGCAGCATTTAACTTTTTGTTCCTGGCTTATTTCACTTAACATAATGTCCTCCAGTTCCATCCATGTTGCTGCTATTACAGGGTTCCAATTTTTAATGGCTGAATAGTATTCTACTGTAAACCACATTTTCTTTTTCCACTCATCTGTTATTGGATACCTATGTTGATTCTGTATGTTAGCTATTGTGAGTAGGGCTGCAATAAACACGGAGGAGCAGCTAACCCTTTAATATACTGATTTTCGTTTCCTTGCATAGATGTCCAATAGTGAGATTGCTGGGTCATGTGGTAGTCCTATTTGTAGTTTTCTAAGGAACTTTCACACTATTCTCCATAGTGGCTGTACTAGTTTATATCCCCACCCACAGTGTATAAGACTTCCCTTTTCTCCACATCCTCACCAGCATTTGTTGTTTTTTGCTTTTTTGATACTTACCTTCCTAATTGGGGTGAGATGATAATTCCTTGTGCTTTGGATTTCATTTCTCTGATGATCAGTGATAGCATTTTTTCATGTATCTGTTGGCCATTTCTGTGTCTTACTTTGAGAAATGTCTGTTCAGATCATTTGCCCATTTTAAAATCTAATTTATTGGCCGGTTGCAGTGGCTCACGCCTGTAATCCCAGCACTTTGGGAGGCCGAGGCAGGCAGATCACGAGGTCAGGAGATCAAGACCATCCTGGCTAACACAGTGAAACACTGTCTCTACTAACAATACAAAAAAATTAGCTGGGCGTGGTGGCGGGCGCCTGTAGTCCCAACTACTCGGGAGGCTGAGGCAGGAGAATGGATTGAACACAGGAAGTGGAGGTTGCAGTGAGCTGAGATTGTGCCACTGCACTCCAACCTGGGTGACAGAGCGAGACTCCATCTCAAAAAAAAAAAAAAAAAAAAGTCTAATTTATTGCATTGTCTTTGCTGTTGAGATGTTTGACTTTCTTGTATATTTTGAATATCAATCCTCTGTCAGATGGATAGTTTGCAAATATTTTCTCCCATTCTGGAGGTTGCTTTTTCACTCTACTGTTTCCTTTACTATGTAGAAGCTTTTTAGCTTGACGTAATCTCACTTGTTCTTGTGGCCTGTGTTTTTGAGGCCTTACTCTTAAAATTTATTCTCAGACCTTTGTTTTGAAATATTTATCCTATGTTTTATTTTAGTAGTTTCCTAGTTTCAGGTATTACATTTAGGTCTTTGATTTACTTTGAGTTGACTTTTGTACTGAGTGAGAGGTGAGGGTCTACTTTCATTTTTCTGCATATGAACATCCAGTTGTCCCAGTATCATTTATTGAAGAGATTCTTCTTTCCCTAATGGATGTTCTTGACACCTTTGCTAAAATCAGTTTTCTGTGGATAAGTGGATTAATTTCTACTCTGTTTCATTAATCTATATGTCTGTTTTTATGCCACTACCATGCTGTTTTAGTTACTACAGCTTTGTTGTATGTTGTCTGGTAGTGTTTTACTTCCAGCTTTGTTCTTTTTGCTCGGGAATTTCTTTGGCTCTTCCAGGTCTTTTTTGGTTTCATACAAATTTTAGGATTTTTCTTCCCTACATCTGTGAAGAGTGTCATTGTATTTTGACAGGGATTGCAGTGAATCTGTAGATTGCTTTGGGTAGTATGATCACTTAAACAACATTAATTCTTCCAATACCTGAGCATAGGATATTTTCTCATTTGCTTTATCCTCTTCAATTTCTTTCAACATTTTGTAGTTTTCCTTGTTGATGTCTTGCACTTCCTTGCTTAAATAATTCCTAAGTGTTTTTTTTCTTTTTTCTTATCTGTGGTAAAGGAGATTACTTTTTCGATTTCTTTTTCAGCTAGTTCATTGTGCATATAAATGCTCACTATTTTTGTATGATGATTTTGTATCCTGCAACCTTACTGAATTTGTTTATCAGTTCTAAGAGTTTTTTGATTGAATCTTTAGGTTTTTCTTTTTTTTATTATACTTTAAGTTCTGGGATACATGTGCAGAACATGCAGGTTTGTTACATAGGTATACAAGTGCCATAGTGGTTTGCTGCACCATTCAACCCATCATCTACATTAGGTATTTCTCCTAATGCTATCCTTCCCCTAGCCCCCCACCATGTCATCTGCAATCAGGGAAAATTTGACTTCCTCCTTTCCAGTTTGGATGCCTTTTATTTCTTTCTGTTGCATAATTCATTTGGCTAGGACTCCCAGTACTATGCTGAATAAGAGTGGTGAGACTGGGCATCTTTTTCTTGTTCCGGTTCTTACAGAGAAAGATTTCAGCATTTCCCTGTTCAGGGTGGTGTTAGCTGTGGAGTTGTTATTTCACACTCAGTTCTCAGTCCTACTCCACCATTTATCCATATCCCCACAGTTTTAATCTAAAGTAAATTTATATTTAATGTATGTATTAATGCGTATGCTCTCTTCTACTTCGAATGGTTTACTGACAGTTTGAAGAAATAAAGCAATGCATATCTGGTCTCCATGATAATTTCATTGTAATTCTAAAGTGCTGCCAAGGTCTTTGAATTGCAATGCGATCATGTGTGAATAAAACAATACCCATACTTTATTGCATCTAGTAAAAAAGTATAAAAACTAAATATGGAAATCCATGATATAGTGGCAAATATTCTCCAGGCAGATAGTCTTTAAAGTGAATGATATCAACAGGCTAGTGTTAAATATAGATAAAGATAATTGAACACATATATTGAAAACTCATCGGTTAATTCAGGTTTATTGTTAGAAACTGTCACATCAAGGGCATGGAAAATAGAATAATGATATCGCTTATTCTTTGTGTTTTGTGTATGGCTTTCACTCATACTTATTTAAGATTTAGAGAAGGGACTCTTGCATACATTATTTGCTGTTTTCTTGACTGATACAAAAGCATGTCTGAGCATGCTTTACATATAATACAGTATATACACTACATGAAGATAATATTACTGTTAATGCTATTTTATTGATTTTAATTCCTGTGGTCATTGTGGTAGTTAAGTGAGTTTTTAAATCCTTCTTTATATATCCTCTAACTGTGCCACATTCCCAACATTCTTCTAATAATTTTCTTCAGTAGATTCTTCTCATTCTCTTGCATTTTATTTCTAAATTTTTATTTATTTATTTATTTATTTATTTTGAGACAGAGTCTTGCTCTGTCACCCAGTCTGGAGTGTAGTGGGGCAATCTAGGCTCACTTCAACTTCCACCTCCTACGTTTTAGCTATTCTCGTGCCAAAGCCTCCGGAGTAGCTGGGACGACAGGCACACACCACCATGCCGGGCTAGTGTTTGTATTTTTAGTAGAGATGAGGTTCACCATGTTCGCCAGGCTAGTCTCAAACTCCTGGCCTCAAGCAATCCACCCGCCTTAGCTTCCCAAAGTGCTGGGATCACAGGTGTGAGTGACCGTGCCCAGCCCATCTTGCATTTTATTTAATTCAGCATTGAAAATCAACTCCCTGATTTTCCTTCTCTGTAATTCTGATTAAGACTTATTATATAACTGCCAACTTGCAAAAGTTCCCTGAAAGTTATGGTGGATTATATATTCCTAGTACCTTAAACTTGGCTAGCATAAAATAGACTATAATTAAATATCTGTTAAATGAATAAATGATATCCAGCTATGTTATTTTCTAAAATTGGCCACAGTATCCAAAGTAATCCCCAAATTCAGCTTTCTCAACATTTTTATGGCTTGAAGCCTCAGCAAAGCTACTGTCATCTATTATCTGAACTATTGCAAAACACTCTGATTGATCTTTTTCTTCCCACTAACCTAGAGATTTACCAGCTATAAATATATATATTACAGCTTTCTTAAAGCCTAATTGAAATAAAACAAACTATACTTAAAGTACAATTTACATTTTGATGTGTGTAAACACCTCTAATACTATCATCACAATCAAGTTAATGAAGACATCCATCACTCCAAATGTCCCTTGTGCCCATTTTTTAATCGCTAAATTCTGTATCTCAGCATCACATACTGGAACCCCAGGCAACTACTAATACAGTTATTGTCAATGAGATATGTTTTTACATTTTTAGCAATTTTATATAAATGAAATCATGCAATGTGATGACTTTTGGATGTGCCAACTTAGTCTGAACTGGTGCCCAGAAATCTTTATTTTTGTTTGTTTCTGATTATAGAGGAATATAAATCATCTTCGATATTTCTTCCTCAGGCTTTGTTACTCACCTGAACACTTGCTGTCTAGTCTGCAAATCTTTGGGGTCCTCTTTCTTTGAACTTCCTTTTGTCTGGAACTCTCTTCTGTAAGCCCCAGCCCCTTTGGCTTTCTCAGACACAATCCTGTATTTTTGACCCAGTGAAATCGTTGTGCTCAACATGTGTTTCCCTTCCCCTTGCTGAAACCTGGATACTCTTTCACGTAGTAAGCTGCAGCAATTGTAGTGATAATTTCCTTTGTTTCCTATTTTTCAAGGACCACTACCCTTCATTTTCTTATGTTCAATGTCTTAAAAAATACATTTTCTCATTCTTGTTGTTGTTTCAGACTGCAGGGTAATGCCAGTACTGGTTATTCCAACTTGAATGCAAGTAAAAATCAATATTGTTAAAAGTGTAAATTTAGCCTAGTGTAGTGGCACATGCCTGTAGTCCCAGCTACTTGGGAGGCTGTGGTGGGAGGATCACTGGAGCCTGGGAAGCTGAGGAGGCAGGGAACTATGTTTACGTCACTTCACTCCAGCCTGGGCTACAGAGTGGGAGTCTATCTCTAAAAAGTTAAATTAAATTAAAATAAGTTATTTCAATCGACCCCTTTTTGAAACTACCAATAACATATTAATAAATATAGAATAAATTCAAACTTAGTTTTTATTTTAAGATCTGTAAGATTATTTCTCCAAACTCATGTACCACAACTTCAACTTCTCAATTCTGTTCTAACCACAGTGGCCTTACTACCTTCAAACAGAAAACTCTGCTTTCTAATTCATTGTTCTTGTACTCACTTTTTCATAACTCATTGTTCTGTACTCAGCTTTCCTTCTATGTGATATGCTCTTTCCTCAGATTGCCACAGTTGCCTTTGTGCTATCATTAAGCTGTCAGTTACATTCTTGTGCTTCTAACCATGATGGAGCAGATTGTATCAGAGTAACTCACTAACTCCCCCACAGAGATACATATCAACTATGAAAACTGGATACAATATTTGGAACTGATATTTGAAGTCTTTAGAGAGCATAAAAACAGCGAGGACTTGAGAGGTTATGATTCCAGAGAAAAGAGAAGCAATTATTCTCCATGGTTTTTGCCAATTCTTATCATAGAGAATAAAAGTTGAACAAAGAGTGGCCGACTGGGACTTGACAAGGTCTCACTTAATAAAGAAGACAGACCTTGCTATGAAATAGAGAGACCCTAGCTAACACCCTTGCTTTCTTTGAGACCAGATAATGCTATGCCCTAAGGGCAATTCTGTGCTCAAAAGAAGGGATTATACCCTGGATGTGAGGGCAAACAAAGCAAAGATCAGTTTCAATGAAACCTCAAATTAGCTTTGAAATGATCAAAGTTATTTGCTTATACTTATTCTGCATAGCAGGTACTTAATAAGAGCTTTAAAATAACTAAGCGTAATGTAACAAATAGATAAAACATGGAAAATGTATCAAGACAACTTAATTTATAAAACAGAGCCAGTGAAGATAATAGAGGTGAGTAATGACATAAAGGAAATTAAGGAGCTGATAGATGGGTTTAATAGATTAGAAAACTCAGAATTTCAGTAGAGAATATCAGAACTGCAGCATACAGAAAAGTAGGAAAGAATAAAGATAAGAAGGTAAGAGATTTATGGGTTAGATATCTACCAATATGTATAAATGATAACTCTAAGAAAAATAATCATTATCAATGAAAGTGTCACATAATTTTCCAAAATGAGCAGGAAAAAAAGACACAAATCTATAGATTTAAGTTAAAGAAAGTTTATGAACCCCAAGCAATATAAACACAAAGGAAAGCACACTAACATGCATTAAATAAAACTTCTGATAGCCAAAGAAAATAATCTTTAAAACTAGCAAGAGGCTGGGTGTGGTGGCTCGTGCCTGTAATCTCAGCACTTTGGGAGGCTGAAGTGGGCAGATCACTTGAGGACAGGAGTTCCCAACCAGCGTGTCCAACATAGGGAAACCCCATCTCTACTAAAAATACAAAAAATTAGCTGGACATGGTGGTTCATGCAGGTAATCCCAGATACTCAGGAGGCTGAAACACAAGAATTGCTTGAACCCACGAGCCAGAGGTTGCCAGGAGCCAAGATCATGCCATTGTACACCAGCCTGCACAAAAGAGTGAGACTGTCTCAAAAAGAAAAAAAAAGAAAAGAAAAGAAAAGAAAAGGAAAAAAAAGCTAGAAATTGATAATTTACCTTCAAATCAGTAATAAAATGCCTAGGAGCTAACTTCTCAAGAAGTGATCCAAGGCAAAAGAAATTGCTGTTGTATCTTTAAAGTGGTGACAAAAATTAAATTTTTAAATAGAGTTCTATACGCAGTAAATATACTTTAGATATAAAATGAAATGAAGGCATTTTCAAAAATAAACAAATCTGAGAAAATTAATAGCCAGCAAAATTTTCACTAAGACTAATAAGGAAAGCTCATTAGATAGAGGAATTATGTTCCAAATAGAAATGTGATAATAAAGAATAGAATGTAAATCACCAGGAAGTGTAAATATGTGAGAAGTGTAAATTAATATTGACATTTTAAAACAACATTTAGAAATTTATGGTGAGTGTTAAACTATAGGTGGAATGAATATAAAATACATGTCAATGACAGCACAGCAACCATTAAAGGAACAAAAGGAATATAATGTTGTACGGTTCCTACATTACCCGAAACATGGTAAAAATGCCAACATAAGGTAGACTTTGTAATAAGACAATGTCGTTGTTGTTATCTTTTCAGAAATTGCTAAATGAATACCAGAGAGCTAGAAAAAAATGAATTGATGAATCAAAAACAACGCAAGAAAAGTGAAAGAAATAAAAATATTTTTGACATATAGGAAATGAATATTGATATGATGGATTTAACCCAAATATGGGAGTACTTACATTAAGATGCAGGCACAAAAATAAAACAAAATTTGTTGGAAGTTGTTGGAATTGATTGAAAAATACATGCTGCATACAAGACTGATATCTTAAACATAATGACTCAGAATGTTTCAAAATAAAAAGATGAAAAAAAGATATTTCACAAAAAGACAAATAAAAAATCACTAGTTCACTGGTTCAGAGACATAATCCCTTCTCAGAAAGGTCATAGTATTTTATTTATTTATGTCTCTCTCCACCTGCTTGCCAACAAGAATAAAATCTACCTAAGGAAAGCTGTACATGGATTCTCTAACTAAATAATCTAGAAGACTACTTGGCACATAGGAAATGCTCAGTAAGTATTTAAAAACATTTTGTTATTTATTACCTGTATACCAGTCTAATCTTCATTTTTATCCCCAAATGCTATTTCATTATACTAATTATTCTGAGGCATCTCTCTCTTCTCCTTCTCAACCTGCCTAGTCTTACCTGCACTTTTCATGTGAACCCTTTATTCTTTAATATATGGCTAAACTCTAATCCTGGATGAAATCTAGTTTGTCTTTCCCTTATACTTGGGTGAGTTTGAACAATGCCTGATGCTCTTACGATGTCCTATAATCAATTCAATATGATATTTTAAACTCTTCTCCATCTTTATATGGTCTACCATCTCACTTCTCTGAATATAAGATCACTTTCTATAACTGAAAAAATGTAAATAGAAAATAAAAGAAAAAAACTATTATCTATCTATTGCCATACCAGATTTATATGTATGTGGATAGAATTTAAGCATATGAAAAATTTCAGTTTCTATCCGCAATAGCTTAAAATGTTCAGAAAATATATGCAGTTCAAATAGACTTAAAGCAAAACTGATTCTCCTTAATGAAGACTAAAATCAACCTTCAGCAAAGTACAAGTGCTGATTTTCTTTAGCCTAGGATGCAGAAAATTGTGTGGGCCAGGCCTAGGACCTAATAGTCAGAGTGTCCAAACTCTAAGAACGGTTAATGCCCAACCAAGGAAGCTCTGTTATGTGTATCAAAGTCCAGCTTTTCTGTTGCACCAGTAATTGCGGTTTTAGACCATGAATTTTAAATCACTGTAACTAGGCTCAAACACAACTTTATTAATCAAAATAGGAACCATTACAATCAACACATTTTTGCCAATGAGAAATAAGTTTGTTTATTCCTGTAGCATAGAAATTCATGCTTTGGGATTTGAAGAATTCTTGGAAAGCATTTTCTGCATCCTGCTGGTTGTGGAAACATTTTCCCTGCAAAAAGTTGTTGAGATGTTTGACGAAGTGGTGGTTGGTGAGAGGTAAGGTGAATATGGTGGATGAGACAAAACTTCATAGCCCAATTCATTCAACTTTTGAATGGATTCATTCAACTTTTGAATGAATTCATTCAACAACTTTTGAATTCAATTCACTCAACTTCTGAAGTGTTGGTTGTGTGATGGCCATTGTTGTGAAGAATTGAGCTCTTTCTGTTGACAAATGCCGGCTACAGGGGTTGCAGTTTTTGTTGCATCTCATAGATTGCTGAGCATACTTCTCAGATGTAATGGTTTTGATGAGATTCAGAAAGCTGTAATGGATCAGACCTGCAGCAGACCACCAAACAGTGACCATGAACTTTTGTGTGTGTGTGTATGCAAACTTGTCTTTGGGAAATGCTTTGATGTTTCTTCTTGGCCCAACTACTAAGCCAGTCATTGCTGGTAGTTGTATAAAATCCACTTTTCTCCACACATCACAATCCAATTAAGAAATAGTTTATTGATTTTCTGTAGAATAAGAGAAAATGACACTTCAAAACGATGATTTTTAAAATTTTTGCCCAGCTCATGAGGTACCCACTTTTCGAGATTTTAACCTTTCCAATTCACTTCAAATGCCGAATGACTATAGAATGGTCTATGTTAAGTCCTTCGGCAACTTCTTGTGTAGTTGTAAGAGGATCAGCTTCGATGATTGCTCTCAACTGGTCATTGTCAACTTCTAATGGCCAGCCACTGTGCTCCTCATCTTTAAGGCTCTTGTCTCCTGTGCAAAACTTCTTGAACCACCACCGCACTGGACATGTGTTAGCAGTTCCTGAGTCAAATGCATTGTCGATGTTGAGAGTTGTCTCTGCTGCTTTACGACCCATTTTGAACTTGAATCAGAACATTTCTCAAATTTGCTTTTTGTCTAACATCATTTTCATAGCCTACAATAAATATAAACAGCAAGTAATAATTCTCAAGCAAAAAAAGCTAGAAATGTACATTAAAATGATATATATCATAACCACATTTATTTAAGAATGTATTTCAATATCAAATGGCAAATTTCAACAATGCAAAAACCACATTTACTTTTACAACAACCTAATAGAACTCCGATAACTGAGATGGGTACATCTAAATGGATGCCTAAGAAAATTTTGAAACTCTGGACGCCTAAACCATTGGAGCTTGGAAAAGTAGCTCATCTCTCTCTTAAGTAACTACAGAATGCTGACTTAAAGGCAGTGAAAAGGCCTGTCTCCTATCAAACAATATTTTTTCCTTCAGGATTTGCCCATCCTTCCCTGCTATACACTGGACTTAACTAATGTTAAGTCACAAAATAACCCAACTCACAACTGTGCAGCCTCATGAGGAAGGAAAGTGACTGTATCAGAAAAATATCTAGTCAGTATGTAGCTGGGGGAGCACAAGTAGAATTTGATTTTGATAATTCTTGATCCGGGGAATAGAATACAAGGTTGAATATGACATAATTTACTTATTTAGGATAAAATTTTCAAGATACAAATTTTAATACTCTGTCAAGGGTCCCAAGGGATAGTATAAAGTGGTTACTAGGATAGATCTAGAAGGTGGAAAAGGAATAAACACGCTAAATGAAGTCAAAATTCCAACATTCCCATTGCAGATACTAGAAGAAGTCATTTAAAGGGTCAGGGAAATTGAACTGCTTGAATGGTTTTACTGTAGAAAGTCTTGCCAGATGACTATATTCCATAGGAAGACCTAGAAAAGTCAATATTTGTCAAGGCCATAAAAAATAGAATCATTAAAATGTTCATTAATGAGAAGGGCACCAGCATGTTCACTGGCTTCTCTCCTCTCCATCAGTAACTCAGGGCTGATGGCAGGAGAGTCAGTTATAAAACCAGGAACAATAACAGAAGTAGAAATTAGTGAATGCCAAAACTGTAGTGATATAGTAAATGTGCTTAGCAACCAGAAGCCAGGTGGGTGCAATTATTGTAAAGAGCAGCAGAGTTAGATTAGCAGCCAAGAGTCCCACCTAACCCACAGATATTTACATAGGCAGCAAAAAAAGAGTATTATTTAGCCTGTACAATGAAGAGAAATCAAGGAGAGATGACCTTTGATTTTTGTATCTTAAAGCACCACAATTACCTGCTAAGATTGCAGATCTGATCTCATTTTCAGACCCATAACAATTTTATCAAATTAAGGCCAGATCTTCAGAAGACATAGCCTGCAACACCATCACAAAAAGACATGCTAATGATTCTTCCAGCCTCCCTTAAGAAGGACTCATGACCATTTACTTGGGCAACTCCATTAAAAAAAGGAAAATGCCCAAACATTTAGAGAATTGTTTTCCTGAGGGTATCCTCTGACATTAATACCTGAAGATTTGAAGCACCATTGTGGCTCCCTTTTAGACTAGAGACTTTTGATGCCAGGTAATAAGTTTGTTCCTTGACATGATGCAGCAAACAGTGGGTCCACTAGGTCCTGAAACCCATCTGTTAGTCATTTCCCAGGTTCAAGACTTTATGATTGGGGTTTTTATAACTAGTTGTTGATGTACTTCCCACATTAGGCACTTGGGCTGTAAGATAAGAGCTATCAGAAAGAGTGATACCAAATGGAAGCCTCTATAACTAACAACCAAGATAATAAACTAAAAGTAATATTACATCCTGGGGTAAGATGGCAGACATCATTGCACCTTGTACGGTCTAAAGAATACAGGGGTGGTAGCCTTCAACATTTCTTTAATAAATTTATCGTCTGGTTGCTGCAGAAACCAGATTGATCCCAGAGAATGACAATAGACTATCCAAAATTTAGTCAAGTTTTAGTCCCAATTGCAACTGCTGTGTCATATGTTGTATTGTTTTTTCTCGAGAAGATTAATACAATCTCAAGTACATGCTAAAAGCCACCAATTTGAGAAATAATTATTTTCCATTCTGATTAGAAAACAGATCAGAAACAGCACTCACATGAAATGGACAACAATATACATTTACAGTTTTGTTGTAAATCAACCTTCAGCAATACTACAGAGAGAACTGAATCTTCTAGATATCACTCTCAACATCACATTGATTCATATGACATTGATATAGCAAGAAGAAAGAAATAGGAGATGTGCTTATTTGGACCTTTTTCTCCAGGTAATATTGTATCATTTAAAGCTTTTAAGAAGAAGAATGGCTTGGTTGGAATTACACTTTAAATAAAATGCTGAGATCTTCATGGGGAACAGGTTTTACCTAAATACAGCTTGAGATGTGATAAGATAATCAGGAAGAAAGAGAGAGAGAAGAAAGAAAGAGAGAAGAAGGAAAGAGGAAGGAAGGAAGGCAAAAAGGAAGCAAGAAGGGAGGAAGGAAAGAAAAAAGGAAGGGAGGAAGGGAAATATCTCAGTGAGTTATAATAAATAGCCCCTGGTAGATATAAATGAATGTTGTGTCAAAATCTTAGCAAGGCATGGGACCTGGCATACTCAATTGAGATGAAGAGGAAACAGATATATACTCAATATGAACAAAGATAATTTAATGAAGACACAATTTCGAAGTATTTAAAGTTATGAAAAATAAGCAAGCATTGCTGAGGTACTTAATAAGAACTCCTAGAAATTGGAAGTCTTAGTATATTTGGCCTGGGGGCAGGAGGAGGGAACAGGGCAAGTGGAGTTTAGATGAGAACTGTGGGAGAAGGGTCATCAGAAAGAGGTTCTAGTCTTAAAGATCCCAAACTACTGTCTGTGCCATGTGGTAAATTGGAGAGGATATATGTATTTACACATGTACACACACATACATACACCACACACACATATACACACGTGTTACGTATATATATGTGTGTATATATGTTATATACTTATATAAATAATTTCTAGTAGGGATGGACACTGTAGGAACGATAGAGAAACAAGTGTTTTCTCTCTTTCATGTTTACCCTTTTCTCTCCAACATGATGTGTTTAGGAAGGGTCAGCAAGAAAACTATCAGCTGGGAGAATACAGCAGGATAAATCTCTGCCAAAGCCCTGAGGGAAGACAGTGTGTCAGAGGAAATCTTGAAACAGAGGCCTATACAAAATACGTTTTCTACTGGGAAAGGTAGGAAGGTCTGGCAGCTCGCCTCTGCCAGTGTCATCTGTGGTATCACACATGGTGGAACTGGTGAGAGCCACTATGTATCTCAGCCCTCATAAGCTGATAATTAAAATCATGCTTGCACACCATTTTAGATGACTTATTTTTAATACACCATTCTTTTGAATGTTTTCAGGCAGAACTTATTAAAATGTCATATCATGCACTGTAACAATTGTTGAACAGGGTCTTAGACCAAGTGTTGCTTGATCTTGATGTCATCTGCACATTAATAGCTATTTTAAATTGAGTAGCTATCTACTGTATTAAAAGTACGGTAATGAGTGCTTTTCATTCTTTATCTGATTCAATCTTTACCATACTTTGAGGTATTTATTATTAACTATAGTAGTTTCAAGTGAGAAGACTAAAGCTAAGAGAGGATAATTGAAGGTAGTATAGAAAGTAAGTAAACTCATTGATTTTTGATTCAAGGTTTTTATGTTTAATGACTCAGCAACAGTTTTTATATGACCAGATTATGTAATGCAATTAAAAAGATAAACATTTTACTCAAAAATAGTTATGCAAGACTGTATGTAATCAAATAAAAACAGTTTTGCCCAGAAAACAAATGATTATGGGGTTAACTGATAACAATACAAAACAAAGACGTTAGCATTGTTAGAAATAATTTGTGAGATGTTAAAGAGTAGACATTATTCGATTTTTTTTTTTTTTTTGACGGAGTCTCACTCTGTCGCTCAGGCTGGAGTGCTGTGGTGCGATCTCGGCTCAGTGCAAGTTCCGCCTCCTGGGTTCACGCCATTCTCCTGCCTCAGCCTCCCGAGTAGCTGGGACTACAGCTGCCTGCCACCACACCCAGCTAATTTTTTGTATTTTTTAGTAGAGACGGGGTTTCACCGTGTTAGCCGGGATGGTCTTGATCTCCTGACCTAGTAATCCGCCCGCCTCAGCCTCCCAAAGTGCTGGGATTACAGGCGTGAGCCACCGCACCCGGCTGCCCATTATTTGAATTTGTAAGAATGAGTGAGATGGTTTAAGAATCTTTAAAGACAGAATAAATATTGTTGATGTCTTGGACATTCTCCTTCCTAAAGCTGATCTCAAGTGAGTCACAATTTTATCTCTGTGATTTCGTGTTTTATTGTACTTACATTTTCCTTAATTTCTTACCAAAATTATTTATTTGTCCTTGGTAAATAAGAAAACATTTGTAATGCTTGCAAAATTGAGATTTTCCGATTAGATATAAAGGAAAGAAACTTATCCTATGCCTATCTGTGTCTTATTTGTTCAACCTGATGAAATTTCGTAAATCACAGAGTACCTTTGGGCCACAATAATCAAAGAGCTTCCCTAAAAGTAGACTACAATAATTATACTATAATACTTGCTATTTAAAATATCTTATATTACATAAATGATAAACTATAGTATTTAGTAATAAAAGGCTTGATTCTGTTATTTTTATGAGTAGGAATATTTTCAAAGTTGAAATTACTTTCCTATGCCTTTTCCTTCATAACAATCTGACAGCTGATCTGTGAATTTGTGTCACAGTTGGATGGTGTGCACCCATCTAAGAAATGACAAAAATAGAGACCTCTTGGAACAGATGGAAGGCACCCATGGATGGTTTCATCCACCTAGGGGATTGATAAATTAACTGAGGAGTTTGGGTTCTGATATTGAAATAGTGGCTTGCTAGCATTGCTGCAGAAGTAAGTCATCGATGACAGCTGCTGTTTTTAAGTATTTTAAACTCTTAGGGATGTCTGAGTTCTCAAGGCTCTTTATTTTACATTTGGAAGTTTCTTGTTTGCTTTTGTTGCTTTTTTCTTTGTTGCTGTTTTCTTTTTAAAATTTTTCTTAAGTGTTCTTATGGTGAGGAGGAAATATGTTGGAGTATGAATGGGAGTAGAGATAATACATTATGGTTAAGTAAAAGAAGGGGCTATTTATAAACTAAATACAGTAAGCAGTTTTGAGTGTTGCATTTTCATTGATTATTCTATTAAAACTTCTCATTCATAAGGTTCTTTTGTTAGAAACCCTCTAATATTACCCTATGACACCTGCCTCTCCTATATTCCTAATTGTACGAAATCCAGTATACCTAATTTGGGATTTCTCTGCCTCCCACCATTTCATTTCCTTTTTTCCCAGAATGTCTAGGATTATTTCTATAATGAAAACAAAATTACCTTATATATATATCATCTAGCCTTGTTTTATTTTTTAAGAAATTCCTAACCCTATGATTCCACCCTGATTTTGTGTTTAGATTATTTTTGATTGCTTTGAAGTCTGATTTTAGGCCGTATTGGTCCATACCCTCCTTTTTAAGTTCTTAATGAATTAGGATGATAAATTTAAGCATTTTTTAAGTTATTCTGTCACATCTCACTTCCTTATCTACCATCCCAATTAGTAATATGTAAAGCTAAATTACACATTAATTAAATTCATGGATATTTCTAAATTGGGAGTAGTCATTAACTGAAGAAGGAACAGTAACACAAAGTGTTATAATGACATAGAAACGTGAGAAGAAAAAATTTTAAGAATTGTTCAACTTGAGAAAATGTGATTTGTTAAGTAAAGAATAGAACAGGGCTTTTAGCTGTCTTTTCTTTTATTAAAAATGTTTGCACATATATAAATTCTGATTACAACCCTAGAGAGTGATGAACAGGTAATGATTGTTTACTTGAGCTTTGGAATATAGGGAACCTTTGGTTGCCAGTACATAATACCCTATCTGCATAAGACCATGTGGAGTAAATTACAGCTATCTGTCACTACACTGATTGCTCGTTTTCTTTCAGGTTGCATTTAAGGTGTAATTTATTTGAATATATAACACTATCTCACTATTTGGAGCAATGTACATGATCTTTAAGACAGGAACTGTAGCTCACAGCTGTTGAAATGAACAAGATTTGTGTTAAAGCTAATAACATTTATTTTTACCTCAACTTCCCTCCCAATGTATGTTGATTTAAAGAAATACTAGGGACACATATTTTATTTATTAATTTTCCTAATCATGGTTATCTTAATCAAAAACATTAACAGAAACATAAATAAACAACATAATTTTCTAAGGGTAATTGGATAATAATAATACCAGAACATAGTAAGTGCTTACATGTTAAGCAGTTATAATAATGAGAAAAATGTGCATAGCACATATATAACAAATGTATACAAATTGAGATGATCAAGAAACAATCTTCATTTAAGTATGAATAAACAATTACATTCAATTAATGAAATAATGAGAAAGTCATGGCATTTTGCAACTTAAGTAGGTGACATTAAAAAACAAAAAAAATTTAAGAGCTGAAAGAGCTACAGGGAAATTCAATCTACAAAATAATAAAAGATTATATTAGTAAATAATCTTAGTTTTTGGCTAAGAGAATTGTGACAAAGAAGTGAATTATCATAGTTTATGGGTAGAACTAAAGCCTCCAGTTAAGTACCTTGAATTACATTTTAATGCTATAGCCACTGTACCCTATGGCCATCATACTGCATTCCATAGGGCCCATATTTCTCTTATAACTAGATGTTAATAACTCATCACTAAAACAGCAATGATCTGTAGCTCATTGGAACTTGGATGAATCTATCAACCATGAAAACAACCTTTTTCTCAGCAACTTCCTGAAGATTATAATGTATATGGTATTCCTGTTTTGAAGAACTTGCAACTAGGCTCTACGGATTTAAAAATTTCGAAAAATACAACAAAAATAAGTAGTGGTAGTTGTTCATCTCTATATAACTATTTTTGAAAAAATATTATATTTAATTTCAGAAGAGAAAGAGTTCACTAAATAGAATCATTGGTTAAGGCTTTATCATTTGATAGATAAACTTCAAAGCACAGTAAACTACAAATCAGTAAAAAAGAAGAGAAAAGCATTATACACGGAGGGACTTGAATTAAAAACTACTTAGCTATAGAAAAAGTATTTTATTTATCATGGATAATTTTATTTAAATATATATTATTTTAGATATATTATGAGGACTGTTCATAAAACAGTTTTAATTAGAGAATAATTTATTACTTTAAACTTTCAGATATCTTTGAGTTTTTGATATCCAGAAGGCAATGTTCTAAGTCTTGCAAGGAAATTAAGAGCAGCTTTGTAGAAAAAATTTGGAAATACATTTTATACCCTGTTCAAACATTCCACCTGAGCCTTCAGCAATATGAATGATTTCAACAGCAATGGCCTTAAAATTTGACCAATGAAATAAACTGAGTTCTCAATTAGGTAGTAACATCGCCATAGACTATTACTTTGTGGACATGCATGAATTAAGCAGATATATAATTAAATTTTTGGTATTTGATCAGATGGATTGCTACTCATTAAGGCTGAACAGAGCTCCATAAAATGGATTTGCAAGGAAATTCCATGTTGCTTCCATAAATTGTGGCATTTAAGAGAAAGTCTGAATCAGTAAAACTCATTTTTGGGAGCATACACAAGCAATTACTTCTTGGTATAATTTAGCTAACTCCTCATCTTCTCTGTTTCTTCAGTGTCATTCTTGATCTGATGACTATGTTTCTCTTATTATATTTCAAAACCTACCCCATAGACAAGACCGAGACCAAAAGTTGCATTTGGTATATTTATTACTTGCTTTCTTCACGTGCCTACATGGTCGAGTACAGCTAAATCTACCTCCATTATTCTTTATTCAGATACTAACACTGATTTAATAAAGTTGAGTTCTTTCTTATTTATAGCCAGCCAACTTCCAGCTTCTACTAGCAAATTGCCCTAATTTGAACTCTGACATTCAATATAAGCATTTAAATTTTGTGGGCATAAGTATGGAACAAGGAAAGTAATATTTTAGAAGATTAATGTATGTAAAATGTGCAGAATGAATTGAAACAGTGTGGAAAAGAAGAAAATAGTCTGTTACAACAGTTCAAACCTGGGGTGACATTGGCCTGAGCTGAGTGAATATTGTAACTGTACTGAGAAAAGCACAGATTTAAGTGCAATAATAATTTAAAGGGAAAAATCAACAGGACCTAGTGCTGACTACAGGAAAAAAATATAAAAGAAAAAATGCAGCCTTGTTTTGGAACCCTGTAATTAACAGGCACAAGAATCAAAAGAAGAAACTGAGAAACCCAGAGAAGCACGTGATTCATGGTAACAGATAGAGTTGACTTATACATGCGGAATTTCAGGCTAAAGCATCCAGGTGGAGACATTCTGTATGACATTCAAAATCAGAATTATGAATAAAAATTCAGGACTGGAGATTTATACTTGTAAGTTATAAATGCAGGAATAATACACAAATCTACTGTGGTAGATAAGATCTAAAAATAAAAGAGAAGGTACTGAAAAGGGGCTGAAAATTAAGGGTTTAATTGACAAAAGTGGTAAGACTAGAGCCAGTAAAAGACACACAGAAGAAAGACCAAATGACAAAAGGAAAGCAAATATAGTGTGATTTTAAAGATCCCAAGAAGGAATATCAAAAGCAAAACAAAAAATGGAGTTGGGGAAGAGAAAGAGAAAGAAAATAAAGAAAGGAAGATAATAAGATTCAACAACTTTTAAGGCATCTGGCAGGTTTCAAGAAGTGAAGGCTAAGGAAGACCAGTTTCTACTTGAAGATCAAAAGTAACACTGAAATTCTGGGTATAACATAACAGTTATATTTAGCATTCAATTTACATGTATTAGTGATCATATCTAGAAATAAGGAATGCATAGTATTAAAATGAACAAAAAATCCACAGACATACACACATATGCACACAAAACCTTATTGTGAGTCTTACAAAAAATTACAAGCAGTTGCATTGATTGGTTGTTGTCTTAACTTCTTTAGGTTAATTATAGAAGCTTAAGGGTGTCTAGTAAAGAACAAAAAACATTATGTTAAGAACATTTTTTTCTATTAGTGCTTTCTTTTAATTGTTTTTAAAAAAAGTTCTTATTAACAAAATTGTATCTTAGAAATGTTGCAATTAAATGTAGTTAATTGAAATTTTAAAATAATGGTATAAAATATGAAAACAGTAAATAATAAATGATATTTTGACCTGGAAGGTAGCTGAAAAGTTTAATAATAGGTTAGAATGAAACTTTTGAAAATATTTTGAAAAACAGAAGTGATTAAGCCCTCACTTTTTTTTATTTTTTAAATTTTATTTTTCTATTTATTTATTTATTTATTTATTTATTTATTTATTTATTTGAGATGGAGTCTCACTCTGTCACCCAGGCTGGAGTGCAGTGGCACAATCTCAGCTCACTGCAACCTCTAATTCCTGGGTTCAAGCGATTCTCTCACCTCAGCCTCCTGAGTAGCTGGGATTACAGGCATCTGCCACCACACCTGGCTAATTTTTGTATTTTTAATAGAGACGGGGTTTCATCATGTTGGACCAGGCTGGTCTCAAACTCCTCAGATGATCCGCCTGCCCCGGCCTCCCAAAGTGCTGGGATTACAGCCCTTGATATTTTAAATAAAGTACTATGTTGACCTTAGTTTGAGAAAATATGTATTATATTTTGCAAATTATACAGGATGCCTAAGTAATTAGCTCTAGGTTGAACAAAATCAGTAATTAATTTAAGAATAAGGTTTTATGTATCCTAGTGAAGGCACCTTACAAAAGTTATTTTTACTTAAAAAGATCAACCCCTACTTCACTCTCAAGTATTTTGAGAACTTAAAACAGAGTTCCTATTCAACCCAGCAACCCTGGTACTGGAGAGATACCCCAAGGAAAATAAACAATTCTACCAAAAAGACACACGCATTTGTATGCTCATTGCTGTGCTGTTTCCAATAGCAAAGACATACAATCAACCCAGGTGTCCATCAGTGGCAGACTGGATAAAGAAAATGTGATACATATACAACATGGAATACTACACAGCCATAAAAAATAATGAAGTCATGTCATTTGCAGCAACATGGAAGCAGTTGGAGGCCATAATCCCAGGAAATTTAAGGCAGGAACAGAAAACCAAATACCACATGTTCTCACTTATAACTGGGAGCTAAACACTGAGGACACGTGAACGTACACATGGGCACAATAGAGAGTATAGACAACCAGAGGAGGCAGAAAGGGAAGGGTCATAGGTTGAAAAACTACCTATTGGGTTCTGTGTTCACTACCTGGGTGATAGGATCTATACCCCAAACCTCAGCAGCATAAAATATTCTCATGTAACAAACCTGCGCACATATCCCCTGTGTCTCAAATAAAAGTAGAAAGTTAAAAAGAGAAAACTTATTTGGCTCCCAGGCACACTCATAACATACATAAGATTTTTTATAGCAGAGCAATAGAAAGGGCTGAAATTATGTCAGGATTTACAAATTTGTTTATATCATTCAAAATGATTATATAAGTCCTCTCAACAATAAAAATAATCAAATTTCTGATACATGCCAACATAGATTAATCTCAAAAGCATTATGCTAAGTGAAAAAGTTGGACTCAAAAGGCTACACACTGCGTGATTAAATGTGTATAAATGACATTCTATAGAAAGAAAATCTATAGGTCTGGGAAATGAAATGATCATTTCCAAGTTGTGGGGAAGAGCAGATGTAGTGCAAAGGGGCACAAGAGTACTTTTTGAGGTGATAGGAGTATTCTGTACCCTGTGATTTGATAGTGGCCACTCAACTGTATGCATTTGTCAGAACTCTTTAAACTCTTTTTAAAGCAGTGAATTTTATTGAACTTTTTTTGAACTTTTTATTGAACTTTTTTTATTGTAAAACTTACTTCAATACATTTGATTTTTTTTAAAGAGTATGTGCTCTCAGGCATGAAGAAGAATGGTGTATCTGAGTATTATTTAATTGCCAATGACATTTATCAGTGATTATCAGTGACCTTGCACATATTAAGCTTGTAATAATTATATAAGAGGTGAAAAATAAATATAAACTGTTTTACATGTAAGATTTTAAATTGTTCTTTTAAGATTAAAGGCTAGACTGCATTATATAATCATCTATTTTAGTAGCTGATACAGTGAAAGAAGCCAATCCTTGAATTACTAGACCTCTACTCCAAACTGTTAGCCAAATGTTCTGGATTAACATGAACTCCTGAACATAAAGATTAATATACAATTTTCTCCTTCCTTAGAAAAAAAAGTGTTCTCTTTTCCTCATGCTCTAAAATTTCATTAAATTTTCTGTAATGTCTTTAAGCAGGAAATTCTATTAATTTATTTTCTTTTAAAGATGAATAATATAATGTGAAAAACAAATTTGCCATTTGTACAGGGCTTGTTTTGTGGTTGAATGTTATTAATACTATTATAATAGTTTCATAAAGCAGATAAAGACTGGGCTTAATATCATTAACATAATTATATAAAATACACTTCATTTAGTGCCTTTTCCACTGTGGGGGTTCTTTTATTACTGAGGCAGTATGGAAAGGCTTTTTCCTAATTTATTCCACATTTTATTTTCAACATGAAGTGCTAAACCTATTGAACCATAGACCTTTGGTGAATTGATCTCTTCACTTGCAGTATTTACCGCTCCGGTAAATTAGGTGTACATAATAACCAGCCGTCGACCTCTAGATGCAACAGAGTCAAGCTGCATAAATTCCCATTCTTTCAGATACATATATTGCAATGCGTTTATCTGAGAAGTTGGTCTACTGCTGCTGTAAATAATTTCATACTGTGGAAACTAATTTCATGCCATCTTTGCTTTCATTTATTTAAAAATAAGGAAAATTTGTGATAAAAGTTCAGCCATAGCAGCAATATTGTCAAAGTTTTAATTGAGGACATTTTGTATTACAGAAGTTCCACATTTAAATTATATACACTAAGATTATATATTTGATATCTGAGGACCACCTTTTCTTGATAAAATCATCTATATTTTAGAGAGAGAATTGTCCATTAATTGTGTCACAGTACTTTTTATACTTTAATTTCAATTCTGCCAATGAATAAATAACTGGAAAAACTCTTTCAAAAGTTAGAAAAGTCATTCCTTGAATAGAGCTGATTGGGAAAATAAGTAATATAAATGACTATGGCAAGTAAACTCAACAACCAGGGAAATAATATTTGTCAAAAGTAAAATTTTCTGAATTTCCCATGTATGCTTGGAAGACAAAACAGAACAACACACACACATACACACACAAACACACACACATTCATTGAATAGTATGGTTTACCACAAAGGTACAAGAGATAACATAAGAGGGTAAGCGCAGTTTTACTGCATACAAACCTCTAAGAAGAAGTCTTCATTTTAAAACAAGAGAATCATTTAATCTGTTGTTGCTCCATTGAGGAAAAATCTACCTAGGCAAAATGCTAACAGCATGAAAGGTAAAGTTCAGCAAAAAGAACTTAAGGGATTATCGAAAGTTCCAAATTTGCCATTTTGGAATAGGATTTTAATTTTAAAATTTGATGGTATTATGGTTATAAATAGATTAATAAATTCATAGCAAAAGCTGACTTTGACAATCAAGAGCCAATTGGTCTTTTCTCAGTCAGAATAATATGGAGCAGAAAACTGAAATGAAATTGCCCTAAGGAAATTTTTTTGATTGACAAAGAAATCATGATATGAAATGCAATTTTATGTGCGTATTCTTGACAATTATGGAAACATTTTTTACAAGTAAGTATTGTGTTAACAGCTTAGTAAAATTAAAATATTAGCAAGGTAGTAATTAGCTGTGTTTCATTTTAAATAGGTGTTCTAAAATGAAGGCATTGTTAAAAATTCCTATTTTCAATTTGTTAAAAAGAAATGGTGAAACAATGTCTACATGTATTTCAGATTGCTGGTGAATGAGTAGAGCCAGGCCAGGTGCACATTAGTACTAGCAGACAGAGCACTGTTTCTACCACAACATTATCTCTTTCCCATATGTACAACATAGCACTGATGCCTCTGTTCTGGAGTATAAAAAAGAAACTTAACTCTATGCCCTAAAAGAACCCGAGGGTGGGGGTTATTCCTGTCATAGGTGAAAGCTATTTAAAAACCAAAAATCAAAAGCAAGCAAAGACCTCGACAGGTAATCATTCTCTGAATTGTGCACAGCTAATTTTTCAGTGAAACCAGAATTTTCTCCCCCAAAAAACTGATAATTTGAAAGTTCTAGTGAAAGACATAGACTGGCTGTTGCAATAATAAACTCGGATTTACTATATATGTGGATTTTACTGGTGAGAATCCAGTAGTCAATAGTTAGGTTTTAGGCAAATTGAATAAATTCAGATAATTGATTACCCCACAAACTCACTATGACCATGTTGCAAATGTCATACTGACTTGTAAGAGTGGTGAGCACAAAGTAACAGGTACAAGGAAAAATTAAGCATCTCTTCTCTCATTTATACATCTAATTTCAAAGCATGTATTTTAGATGACATACCGGAAAATAATATTTGCAATAACAATATATTGGATTATATAAAAGACATCCCTTTCAGGCCACATTTCCCAGTCAACAGATCCTGAAGGTTATGGTGTAAGAATTCCCGCTGACTTTTCATAAAACCCTATATGACCAAAATTAATGAACCATCAGATTCTTATATACTCACATTCTAGTTAGATGCTGCTGAGATCTTGGTGAAATCCTATAAGGACAGGGAATGTTTTACTCCTCCCAAAAACCTTCCACCCAAGTTTAATTCTAAAACTATTATTTTTAAAATAGTTTGGTATTTTAAAAAATTACATTAATCCATATTTTCTCACTCTGATTAATGGTATATAAGCACACATTGAACGAATCAGGTATTAGATAAGCACTGAAACTGAGATATTTCCAGCCTACTGAAGACAAGTTGGATTTGATGAAAGTTAAAATAATGAGATGCTTCCTTTAATTATTATATTATTCATCTGACAAAAGCAGCCTTAGTTTAAAATGTAATAAACCTTTTGGATAAATATTATTGCAAGATTTGGGTAAAGGTAGGTCAGACTCTGAAATCTCAGTTCTTATAAACAAACTCTCATTTATATATTTAAATATTGAGTATTAACATCATAAAAGGCCTTCTGAGTTCTATTAGGAATTTGGAAAATGTGATTCGGCTTCACATTTTATTACATCGAATGTTATCAAAAGCCAGAAGAGCTTGAACATGTGAAATTATGTTGTTCATAGTTGGATAAGAAGAAATGTTATTTATTTATCTCTCAGAACTTAACTTCTGGACTATTATTGAGAAGTTGAAAATAATATAGTAAGTATCTTAGGATGTCAGGTTAGGACAAATTTCTTATCAGAGAAATACTTTGATTCCAGAGCCCTTGCTGAAATGTTAGGACAAATTTCTGATCAGAGAAGTACTTTGATTACAGAGCCCCTGCTGAAATGTTGGAGTGGATATTGCAAGAGGGAGCATTAGTGTCCATGTTAGTACCACATGAATATGATTCAAAATAAACAGTCTGGATAAATTATTGATATATGTTTATCTTAATCCACTTTTGCTGTTTATAACAAAAGTACCATAAACTAGATGTTTTGTAAACAATAGAAGTTTATTTCTTATACTTCTAGAGGCTGAGAAGCTTGAGGTGCTCGTGTATTCAGTGTCTAATGAGAACTTGCTTCCTGGTTCATAGATAGCTATCTTCTCACTGTGTCTTCACATGGCAGAAGGGAAAGTGTTTTCCATGTCTCTTTTATAACGACACTAATCCCATTTTTGAGGTATCCATCCTCATGACCTAATCATCTACCAAAGACTTCACCTATCGATACCATCACACTGGGACTTCGGAGTTCAACTGAGAAATCTTGAGAAGACACATTCAGTCTATGGTAATATTATAAGATAGCTCAGACAATATATCTTAGCCTTTCAGTACTGAACAGGGAGACATAAATTAGTCCTTCTAGGTTATCACTTTAGAATCTGACCACAAGAGTATTCCAGTCTGTTCCAGTTTCAATGAGAACACAGAGAAGTCCAATTGCTTGTCTCAATACTTTTATTGCTTTCTCCCTTTTTCCCAACAATTCTTGAGGTTAGATATGTATAAAACACTGGTAAGGTCACATCTGAACAGATGTCTAAAATATGTGAAGAAATAGGACAGTGAAGCAGTTGGATATCTACAGAAAAAACATTTTGTGTAGGGAAAACAGCAAAAGAAGGACCTTGAGATAAAAGCATGTTTGATGTGTTTGAGAAAGAGCAAATAAGACAGTGTTGTTTGAGCAGTGAGCCAGGAGATGAGGTTGATGAGGCATTAGATTGTTCAGACACACAGTAAGTTGCAGACCTTCATAAATACCTAGGCTTTTACTCTTCCTGAGCTGTAAAATCAATGCAGAATTTTGAGCAGAGGAATTGTGCGATATAAAATATATTTTCAGAGGAGCACTCTGTCTTGGCGAAAATATACTGTAAGAGCTAAAGAACAGAAGTGGAGCCACTTATGAGACTGTTTTAATATTCCAGAAGACAGAGGACGGTGTATTGGACCAAAGTGCTAGCAAGGAAGTAGGTGAACTTGTAGTCAGATTCTGGATATATGTTGTACTTAGACCCAACAAAATTTGGTGCTGAATTAGATGGTGTGTGAAAACAGAAATAATTCAATAATGACTGTAAAATTATTTGCCTGAGAATATTGGATAGTGGACTTACTTGTCAAGAAATAGAAAACTGCAGTGAATACAGGACTACAAGATTTGGGAAGAGGTCGATGGTATTGTTTTAAATATTTTATTTTGAAAATCTTATTAAAAATCCAAGGGGAGGTGTTTGTTATCCATTAGATATACAAGATAAGATGTTATAGTAGACTACAGGCTGAAGTTATATATTAAGGAGTTGTCAAAATGTGTAAGTATTTAAGCCAAAAATATAAATGAGTTTGTTTATGAGAAAAAAAATAGAAAAGAAGTAGTCCAATATTTAAAGGTAAGAAAATGTATAAAAGAGACAGAATAAGAACAAGCAGGAATTTTAATAGATTGTTTCGTTAGCTCTTTTGTTTTTATTTTAGTTTATTTGTTTTAAGATGGTTAAGATTGCATATTGATAGGTTGAGAGAACAGATTTGCTAGAATGATAAAACAGATAATACAGCAAGGGAGAAAATAATTGTTGGGGCAATGTCTGAGTAGGTAATAGTGGAAAATTGGTTTCAAACAGTGGTATGGATAATTCAATGGCACTAATAGGAGAGAAGGCAGAATATGCGGACATAAATGTGGGTACACTGATAGTTACGGTGGTGAGACCATGGAGACTTATCTTCTGATTGCTTTATTTCCTCTGTTCAATAGCAAGCAGAGCCATTAACAGAGACTGAAAATTAGAAAGGTTGAATTTGGGGCTTAAATAAGGAGATTTAAATTGTAGCCCATTAGAATGAAATTACTGGGGAAATACAGCAAAACTTTCAGATAATAAGAGCCCACTGATGGTCATTAATTTTGAACTAGGACCAGTCACCATGGTTTTGTGATGTTTCTCTAGTCACATTTAGCTGTTTCTGTGTAGGTGTAGAGTAGTCAGCATTGGATGAGTCAGGGGTTTCATCTTTTTCATGTGACTATGACTTATGCAGACAATACTGATTTAGAATACACATACATGCATGGATTGTGACATCTCACTCATTAAGGAGATATATAAAGATACAGGGTAGGTGAGAGACAGTAGAAAGTCATGTAGAGTAATCTTAGGAGGAGGAGGAAGATGAGGGACCGGTCTTACTGTCTCAGGGTGGGGACAGAGGTGGAAGAAAATTCATATATAAATGGACCCATGCAGTTCAAAACCAGGTTGTTCAAGGGTCCGCTGTACTATAAATGAAAAAATACTGTAGAAATTTTTGAGGACATGTTTCTTTTCTGTTTTTTTTTTTTTTTTTTTTTTTTTTTTGTGATGGAGTTTCGCTCTGTCGCCCAGGCTGGAGTGCAGTGGCATGATCTCAGCTCACTGCAACCTCCGCTTACCAGGTTCAAGCAATTATCATTCCTCAGCCTCCCAAGCAGCTGGGATTACAGGTATGTGCCACCACACCCAGCTACTTTTTGTATTTTTAATAGAGACAGGGTTTTACTATGTTGGCCAGGCTGGTCTCAAACTCCGACCTTAGGTGATCCGCCCTCCTTGGCCTTCCAAAGTGCTGGGATTACAGGTGTGAGCCACTGTGCCCGGCACGTTTCTTTTCTAATATATTAAATACATATAAAATACAATTCCATAAAGAATTTTATTTATTTATTTATTTTCTATATGCGTGTAGGGCTGCAAATTGATTTATAAAGATACTTATGTACGTAGGTTATAATATCTATGATTTTCATTTCAGGTAATTAACCTAACCATGGTCTGACACAGATGAGAACTGGTTGCAAATTCTTCCACTTTGTTCCCTCCATTTCCCATCTGAAATCGTGGTGTCAGCAGAGCTGTGCTCCCTTTGAAACAACCTTGCTTAGAGAACTTTGCTAAAACTCCTTCTCTCTACCTTTTCTTACCATTATGGATTTATTCTATTTCTATTTCAGTTCAGATTTCAGGAGGTATGGTGCATAAATCAAAATAACAGCAACAAACTGTCAGCACAATCAGAATGGTTAGTTAAGGAGTGTTTAATAGAGGGTCTTTCTGCAAAGCATACATAAGGTTGAGTAAATCAGCAAGGCAGATGTAGTACTCCAGACTAGCAAGGTTAGGTAGTCACAACAGCTGCTCCTCATGCCATGAACTCAGAGACACTGAGTTCATGAATAGGATAGACTGGAAGGCTCAAGCTGTTGTTGTTTTTCTACACATCTGATGCCTTGGTGGCTTTATTAGTGTCCTAGGGCTTCCATGACAAAGTGCCACAAACTCTATGGCTTAAAACAAGAGAAATTTATTGTCTCACAGTTCTAGAAGCTGGAAATCTGAAATCTAGGTGTCAACAGGCCTATGCTCACTTTCAAACTTGGAGAATCCTTCTATGCCTCTTCTAAGATCTGGTGTTTGCTGGCCATGTTGGAATTCCTTGCCTTACACATACATTACTCCAACCTCTGCCCCCATTGTCACATGGTCATTTTCTGCTGTGTCTTCTCATGATATTATTTTCTTATGAGGATGCCAGTTATATTGGATTAAGAGCCCACCCTGTGCAATATGACCTCATATCAATTGAAATAATTTCATCTGCAATTACTCTACTTCAAAAGAAAATGCTTGCATTCTGAGATAGTTGATGTTAGAAATTAAGCATATATGGGTGGGACACAATTAAATTTCTAACACTGAGGATAATTAGAAGCCTGGGCTGTTTGGACTCTTGATACAATGGCACCCTTGAGATAGCCAGATTTCTTATTGAAGCTGGTTTCGTCCAGAGTAAATGTTCCAAGAGACAAAAAGTGGAGCTGCCAGACACTTAGAGTTTAAGCTTTTAAACTAGTACAGCTTTACCTCCTTTCCGTTCTATTGACCAAAGTTGTCATTAGATCCAGCCAATTTGTGAGAAGTTTCTACTTCATTCTTCCAAGGGAGAAGTTACAAGGAGTTAGAAGTGATCTTTAGTCTACCTCATATCTCAATTCAGCTGACCTAAACCTTAATTCCAGGATTAAAGATTATAGTAGTTCGATCTTTAATGGTATATGGCAGATTCCCATTGACTAGTATTAGCTGGCAACAAAATATTAAGAAATGCTGTTATGAACCCCATAAAATCCAGACACAGTCCTTCTTACCCTATGAGGAAGCAATGCAATTGCTCTTTACATTTGAAACCAGTCAACCAGCCAGTGCAACGAACCCTTTACTCTGTCTACCAGACATGTTGCATGAAGAATGCAAATAACTGCATTTAGTCTTAGGTTCAAAATCAATGTCACTGGAACAAGAATCAAAATATACTTAAAGAGTCCAGGCATGGTGACTCACACCTGTAATCTCAGCATTTTGGGAGGCAGTGGCGGGTGGATCACTTAAGGTCAGGAGTTTGAGACCAGCCTGGCCAACATGGTGAAGCCCCATCTCTACTAAAAATACAAAACGTAGGTGAGCCTGGTGGTGGGTGCCTATAATCCCCATTACTCAGGAAGCTAAGGTAGGAGAATTGCTTGAACCTAGGAGGCGGAGACTGCAGTGAGCTGAGATCGCACCATTGCACTGCAGGCTGGGCAACAGAATAAGACTCCATCTAAAAAAAAAAAAAAAAAAAAAAAAAAAGCTTAAACTATAAGGCCCATATCTGTTGTTTTTTTGACTTTTCAATAATAGCTATTATGACTGGTATAAGATGATATCTCAGTGTGGCTTTAACTTGAATTTCTTTGATGATTAGAGATGTTGAGCATTTCTTCATATGTTGGTTGGCCATTTGTATATTTCTTTTGAGACATGTTCACGTTCTTTGCGTAGTTTTTAATGGGGTTATTTTTTTTTCTTGTTATTTGAGCTCCTTTTAGATTCTGGATATTAGTCCTTTGTCAGAGGCATCATTTGCAAATATTTTCTCCCATTCTGTGTCTGCTTAGTCTTTTGATGATTTTTTTTTTTTTGCTGTGCAGAAGCTTTTTGGTATAACAAAGTCCCATTTGTCTATTCTTCTTTTTGTTGCATTTGCTTTTGGATTCTTATTTGCTTAGGTCGATGTTCAGAAGGGTTTATTCTAGATTTTCTTCTAGGATTTTTATAGTTTCAGGTCTTATATTTAGGTCTTTAATCCATCCTGAGTTAATTTTTATATGGTGAGAGATAGGAGTTCAATTTTATTCCTTGTCATATAGGTATTCATTTTCTAATTACCATTTATTGAACAGGGAGGTACCTTTTCCCCATTTTTGTTTTTTCACTTATTGAAAATCAGTTGGTTGTTTATACATTGTTCTTGGGAATGTAAATTAATCCAACCTCTATGGAAAACAATATACAGACATCTCAAATAACTAAAAATAGGACTACCATTTGACCCAGAAATCACACTACTGGGTATTTACCTAGAGGAAAAGAAAAAAAAAATTACATAAATAGCTGCAAGTGCTACCACGGAAG
Source organism: Homo sapiens (assembly GCF_000001405.40). Classification (NCBI taxonomy): domain Eukaryota; kingdom Metazoa; phylum Chordata; class Mammalia; order Primates; family Hominidae; genus Homo; species Homo sapiens. Next base: position 195,419,263 of record NC_000001.11, read on the forward strand.
AATTGAAGAAAGATTCAATATCACTACATTGCATAGCTCTTCTTCAAAGGGATCCTTTATCTTCTCATAAAGGAGACCAAGGTCTATAAACTGCTTTTGCTTTGGAAATGGTATAAGAAAGCATGAAACACCTGTATAGTCAATCAAGTCAGCTTCCCCAACAGACCTAGAATTTTATCTGCTTATATAGGTTCGCAGCACCTTAATATACTGCCAACTATTTATTTCACATGAACCTCATGATAAATCATCCATTGTTGCAGATTTCTGGGGGATCAAGGGTCTATTATCCACTCCATCCGTGTTTCTTATAATATTAGTCAACCTATCTTCTCTTACTCCCTCAGGTGGTCTCATTGACCAACTCCAACCAGAAGACAACAAAGCCTGCCTGATGCAGAAAAAATAAATTTGTTCTTCAGACAATATAGTATTTAGAGATAGAACATGAGAGTGCAAAGAATACCTTTCTCCCCAGATGTAAGAATTCTCTTTATAAATGCATTTCCCATATTATTCAAACTTTCTTATTTAAGTTATTTTGTTTTTTATTTTATGATTTGATTATGATGGACAGAGTGAAAATATACAATTTATTTCATGACTAATCATGAGAAGTTTATTTTCAGATCTGTTTGACAGGCATTGACCGCACATCAAAATACTAATATAAAAACCAGATATTCCCTCATGGATATAGTTTTGAATTGCATACAGGACTATTGAATTGGGTTATCTGTGGTATTTTTCAAATTAAATATGAAAGATAAATATTTATGTTTCTCTGTTAGTATGTGTGTGCACATGCCCGTGTGTGTGTGTTTGCGTGCACACGTGCACACACATGTATTTGAAAAGCCAAAGGCTGGACAGTGGAAGACATCTCTAATTGTATTGTTTTTTAGAAATTTAAACTTATAAAAAATGGGGAGTTATTTTCTGGTGATAAAACATAAAAAGGGCCGGGTGTGGTGGCTCATGCCTGTAATCCTAGGACTTTGGGAGTCTGAGGTGGGCAGATAACCTGAGGTCTGGAGTTTGCGACCAGCCTGACCAATGTAGGAGAAACCCTGTCTCTACTAAAAAATTAAAAAAAAAAAAATAGCTGGGCGTGGTAGCGCATGCCTGTAATCCCAGCTACTCAGGGGGCTGAGGCAGGAGAATCGCTTGAACCCGGGAGGTGGAGGTTACAGTGAGCTGAGACTGCACCACTGCCCTCCAGCCTGGGCAACAAGAGCGAAACTCTGAAACTCCATCCAAAAAACAATAAATAAATAAAATAAAGTAAAACATAAACAGTTTGAACCTAAGTGTTGTTGGTAGCATGGCTTCTGCTATGTTGAAATGTGCAATTGATTAAGAAGTAAATTAGCCACAATATAAGTGGCGATGAAAATAATTTGTTTTGTTTTGTCGTTGTTTTTTCCAAGGCCTTGTTTCTAGTAATCACCAAGGCCAAACTATTTCCATTCTTTTCCATACAACCAGTGATCATTCTAATTAAATCACCTGTTTCTCTAAGTTAATTAATATGGATATCTGCCACTTATATATGAGAAGTAAAAAATAATGTATAGAAGGTAACTTTAAAAATGTTCCCAATAATAATTGTTCAACATCCTTTCTACAATTCCAGGGAACTCACAAACTTATTATACACCTTCTAGCAGATCTCCAAAAAGATAAGTGACAATGAGTCTTTGCATCTGATTATTAAGTAATTGCTTTTTGTCTTTGAGTGCATTTTGTTAATCGCTATTTCTAATTGAAATTTAAGACAATATGATTTTAAATTAACATTGAAAAATCCAAATGTAATCACGGAAAAAGTATTAGTCTCTTGGAACTGTGTTTAACAAACAAGTATACTTTTTATTCTTAATATATGTGACTAAATATTAGCATCAGTTTCCACAATCTTCACAGCAGGAATGCAGACTTTACATTCCTGGAAAAGTACAGCTTCTGCCACTTTTGCATGTAAAAAATGATTTGTTTATCTTATTAGTAAAATCAACTAAGTGAAACCAAACTGGATGTGCCTGAAGGATCCTTTTGGTGCATTTTTCAAGTGGTACATATATGGTAGTTGCAGTAGACTGCAAAAACTAAATCCTTTGTTTATATCAGATTTTCCTATACACATTGAGACCTGCATAAAAATCTAACCTAAATCATTCATTAGAGCCTCATAGAATCCTTGCCAAACTTTGAAATATACTACAATATATTATAGAACTCTACTGAAAAACACGAAGGCTCTATTTGTGAAAGAATAAAAAAAGTAGCACATACATTAAAACTTAGCAGGGAAAATAACTTGAATATTTATGCATTTTGCACATTTTGAAATATAATTTTATTTTATATGCTTTACAAATAGCAATTGATTATAGAATAGTTATATATCTCTTTAGGTTTTAAATGAGATTTTATATGTGCTCATATAATATTAATATTGATTACACTACTATGACAACATAAATGTACACAATAAGTTTATAATTGTCTCAGATTTCTCATGTGCCCTACAAATATATACACCTACTCTATACCCAGAAAAATGTAAAATAAAAAAATTAAAAATAATAATATTTAAATTGAATTTTTAACATTTACTTCTCTATAAATGGGAATATCTTCTCTCACAAACCTTCTATGAAAACAAATAAACAACAAAAACTAAAAACACTGATTGTTTTAATTTGTATTAAATCCACCCCCAGGGATGGCTGTGCAATCAATATTGGCCAAAATATAGCAGTTATATTGTATGGCAAGAGATGGCATAGATATGGGAGGGGGATCAGGATAAGATATCTCTTAAAACCATTACTGTATCAACACTACAAAATATCTACAAAGAATAAATATGATTTAAATAATTAATACTGAGACTAGAATTCATACTTATTGAGAATAGAGTAGGTAAGGATGACTGAACTATAACTGTAAGGTTTTGTGGCATTTATGACATCTCTTAGAGAAATAAGAAAGAAAATAAAAGGTATGGGAGAAATTTGAGAAATTGATAAGAAAGAAAAAAAATAGTTATAGGAATTTAGATGAATTGATGTTGATTATGAGGTGACAATGAGTCACATAGGGAATAAGATATACCATAAAATGTATATATTGAGAATACAGAAGTAATATCTGGAAAAAGGACTAGTTACTAAATTCATTTTCAGAGTCAATAAAAGCTTATAGAATATTCATCATATATTGAGAATAGAAGTATAGTTCTATGCATGCATAAAACCAAAGAATCTCTGAAGATTCAAGCAGCATAGGTTAAGTGTTCAATACTATGAAAATGTCAAGTAATACGAAGAAGAAAAACGTAGACATAGTTTTCAGGAAGACGCACATTTTTCTATAAAATGGCAATGTTGTTATTTTAGCTCAATTACAGGTATAATTTCAGTGGCAAACATGTAGTCACAACAGATGTACAATTTGAGACAAAAAATACAGTCTATCAAAATCTCACGTTAAAATTCATTTTAAATAATGGTGTCCTGGAAATATTTAATGCAGAGAACACAGAGATAATGTGGAGAAAGTGACTGAATGTGAAGGAAAAAATATTGAATATGCGATCTTCATCCCAGAGTAATGGGAAAAAATGGAACATCAAAGAATTTACAGGAGATATCAGACTTTTCCAATTGATAAGTGAAGCATGTCAGTGCAAAATGTGAACGTAGGTTATTATCAGAATGGAATATTAGGATTAGGAAATCTATATAACAAACGACAGGTTTTACACAACTGGTCTAGATATCAGGAATTTGATTTAAGGGATAAGCATCTATCTACTAAACTCATAGTCCTAAAAACTAGTATTGTATACTTCATAATAAGTACTAGACATATGCACAGACATCTAATAGCATAAATTGTGCTATAGAATACCACCATAATAAAGGAATTTTGTCTAATCTGAGAGGAAATGAATTTAACGGGAACACACTGAGAATGAAATGAGCTACAATAGCCAAGCTTCTATAAACTCTCAGGGCTCAAGGTTTCTATTTAGGAGAGAGATCCACACGGAGAAGAAGCCCATGAAATTAGAATTAAAACTTAGCATTGCAGGCCAAGGCAGGAGGATCACCAGGTCAGGAGATTGAGACCATCCTGGCTAACACGTTGAAACCCCGTCTCTACTAAAAAATACAAAAAATTAGCCAGGCGTGGTGGCAGGTGCCTGTGGTCCCAGCTACTTGGGAGGATGAGGCAGGAGAATGGCGGGAACCCAGAAGGCGGAGCTTGCAGTGAGCCCAGATCGAGCCACTGCACTCCAGCCTGGGCGACAGAGCTAGACTCCGTCTCAAACAAACAAACAAACAAACAAACAAATAAAAACTTAGCATTGCAGGGAAAATAAAGTCGAATTAAAGAGGAAATCCAGATAAAAGTGGTAGAGGGAAACACCCATAAAATCTCAGAGAATTAATTAATATTTTTCATTACACACACACACAGACACACACGTACACTCACACATATACACACATACACATGCATAAGTAGTTACTATAAAATTAGAAAATATAGCATCTGCCTTAAATTCGGGACAATTAAATTCACATAAAGATGAGAAACATAAAGTAATAAGGTCAATATCACTTTGAGACACTGAGAAAAATGTCCTTGGTACAACATTATGGTGGGAATTATAAATACATATTTTTCTGTGTCATATAAAATTGCAATTTTGTGTTTCATGTAATATATTAGTCAAAGCTCTTTAGACAAACAGAACTAATAGGATATATATTAATGCATAGAGAGAGATATATTATGAAGGCTTGGCTCACATGATTAAGAAGGCAAATAAGTTCCCCTATAATTTGAGTCTGCAAGCTGGAGGCCCAAGGAAACCAGCGACGTAGTTTCAGTGCAAACCTGAAGGCCTGAGAACCATGAAGCCAGTGTTGCAAGTCCCAGTCAAAGTCTCAAGGTTAGAGCACCAGGAGCAAGGATAACCTAGGGCAGGAGAAGATGGATGTCTTAGCTTAAACAGGGAGAGAAAATTAAATCTCCCTTCACCTTTATGTTCCATATGGGCCCTCAAAGGATTTGATGATGCCCGTCCCCATTGGTGAGGGTGATCTTTACTCAGACCATTGATTCAAATCCTAACCTCTTCCACAAGCAGCCTCACAGACAAACCTAGACGTAATGTTTTACCAGCTATCTGGTACTCTCTTAGCCAAGTTGACACATAAAATTAACAATTATACATGGAAACCTGACACCTTGTAGGCTCCAACAACAGTGTCTAAGATACTTGATAGCTTAAAGAATATGAAGTATGAAGGGATTTAAAGGATCTAAAATTATTAATCATGAAGACAAATAAGAGATTGAAAGGTTTTAGTGGTTTTAATTATGGGAGTCATGTTTCTATAAGCCTCACAATATTAGCATGTAATAGCTTATGTTGAAAAGGGAAGAACTGGGCCGGGCACGTTGGCTCATGCCTGAAATCTCAGCACTGTCAGAGGCCATTGTGGGCAGCTTGCTTAAGTTCAGGAGTTCAAGACCAGCCTGGCTAACATGGCGAAAACTCATCTCTACAAAAGGTACAAAAATTAGCTGGGCATGGTGGCTTGTGCCTGTAGTCCCAGCTACTTGGGAGGCTGAGGTGGGAGGATCATGAGCCAAAGGTGGGAGGCAGAAGTTGCAGTGAGCCAAGATGCACCACTGCAATCCAGCCTGGATGACAGAGGGAGACACTGTCTCGAAGAAAAAAAAAAGAGTTGCAATAAGATAGAAATCTTTTATTTGTTATGAATCTTGCAAAAAAAATGCTGAAATAAGTTGTAAAGTGCAATTGTAAGTCTTACATAATACCAGATCATCAGGACTGGCTTGATTGTAATTGTCCCTGAATTCTGAGTGTGGGAGGTAGAATTGATATGGCAATTTATGTCACTTTAAAGACTATAATATATCATCTGTTCTAAAAATTATACCTATTGTTTTGTCATTGTATTTTTTCACCAGTACAATTTAGCTCTTCACATTTATGCTGAATTTTGTGTATATGTATTTATAATACAAACACGTCTTACAATGATTAACGAGTATACATTATTTTATCCATTTTTGAAAGTTCTAAATGATTAAAAGTGCCCATTGCACATGTCTCACAGATTATTTTTTATTCTTATATTTATAGAGGAGATGACTATAATCAAAAGTATTATTTTGACTTAAATTTTTTTCCTAGTTTAAGAATGACTTCGTAAAGATGATTCACTTAAATGCAAAGAAATTCACTGGGATATTTGTATCAGCAGAATAAATTAGAATTGTCCTTCATGTGAATGTAATTTTCCAAAAGAGTGGGAAGTGAGTTGAATAGCTTTCCATGATTTAAAAACTCTCAGGAGTGTTTGAAGAAACAGTATAGCTTTGAAGAATAGAAGTGAATATTTTTTCCTTGTACAATTACAAAGAAAAGAAAAATTGCTGCCTATAGTGCTGATTTCTCTACATTGGCTCTGGAGCAAACAACCACAGGAACAAGAAAATTAGATGGTTTTACAATTTAATACATTCAATTCACCAATAAACACCTTAACAAAAGAACAGTCACAGATTTTTTAACTCAAAGTCAGAGATAATGATTTTCCTCCCTTCAGAAAATTTTAGATATCAAAGAAAGCAGTAACTGTCTACTTGTAGGAAACACTGCTATGATCATCTTTCTGAATTAAACCATGAACAAAAATATTCCAAAAGCAGTTTGTAATATTAATACAGATACACTTCGTGAAGCTTTTTGTAAAACAGGTCAAAAATATAAATAAGACATGTTTAAACTTTTACCTTTGTCAAATTATTTATATTCACATTTTTGCAAGCTTGCTTAAGATGTACTAAGGAAAATTTCCTCAGTACAATATTCTAGTGAAAACTGCAAATACTTATTTTCTGTTCCTTATGTTATAATGAATTTCAATGTCTTGTTCTTTCAGCATATTTTCTTCCTAATACCATCCAGTAAGCAATTGTTTAAATCTATTTTTCCTATTTATATGCCCTTTCTACTCAATTGTCTTTTAGACAATTTTGACCCAACCATTCATCATACCTAAATTGCTGATAATATCATTGTGATCTCAATTCTATACGTTTTTTTCTAATCCACATAATATGTCCTATGTAAATTATTAGCCATACCTCTATTTACCATCAAGCCTGGTTTATTTATAACTTTTGTCTAGGCATAATTAATAATAATGCCATGTTTTTCCTCAAAATTTTTCTAGTTTTGTGGAGAAATTTATGGTCACCCTAAAGCAACTATATTAACTCCTACCTACACTTCTGAAATTCTGCCACGATTTTTCCAAGTACAAAAACTACTTGAACCACTTCAGCCTTACAATATTTTCCCATTCTCTGGAATTTGTTGTAGGTCACTTCAAAAACTAGATAAAGACTTCCTATTTTTAAAGAACTATTTATTCGTTAAACACTCATCAAATCTTTTCTCACTTATAGGTCTTGATTTTCCAGAGTAGATATCTAAGGTTGCGAAAGCCAAGTACTCATTTGAATTTTCCACCACTTTCTACCACTATGGTGATTTCACATATGCCTGTGCTGCTATGACACCTATATCTTGTGTTTCAGATTGCTCGAGTAGTTATTTCTTTTCTCATAAACTTATTTAGAGGAAATTTCAGAATTACAGAAGGAAGACAATAAACAGAAACCACCAACCTTGTCAACCAGAATTAATGATTTTAACCATATCTGTTTCCTTGAAATAACTTTAAAATAAAGTATAATAATACAAATACACTTGAAGTGATCTTTAATCGTTATTTTAAAGTACTTTCACTTAATCCTATCCTAAAGAAGCCAATTATAAGAAATTTTGTGGATCTCTTCCCAATATATGCATATCTATGCAGAATATAAAGTGTTACGGAGCTCTACTTGAATTATTATGATTGTTGTCCAAATACACTCACAATTTATTTCTTGAACAGTATTTTAATGATGGGCTGGAGCTGGCTAGCATTGGCTTGGAAAACCTCATATTTCTACTCGTAGCTTGAAATGAGCTACAGTGGAAGTATTTATACCATGCTAATTGGCAAACATTATAAGTTAAAACTTTTTAAGTTGAAGAGTTGATTGACTAGCATACCACTGATTATATCTCCAATCTATCTCATTTTCCACTTAACTGTTATATTGTATTTTTTATACTTACAACAAAATCAAACTAGCTATTACCTTTACTAGTGTAAATGTCATGGTCCTTCCTTCCTTTCTCCCTCCCTCTCTTTAGTTCTTTCTTTCTCCTTTCCTCTCTCTCTTTCCCTATCTTTCTAATTTGCTGCTATAGACAATAACACCATGTATATTTTCCCTTGGCACACAGAAGTTCTGTGTCTCCCTTGGGAGACAGAGGTTCTGAGTTCTAGAGTGCACTACTTTAGGTTTCAACATGACTAGCTATAGAGTGGTTGACTCTATAATACAATTGCGGGAAAATAGTTTATACATTATTCTACTGGAAGGTTGTGATTTCTCTAAAACGAAAGTAAAGACTTTCACCAGGTGAACCAGGTGAATTTATATGTGGCTGAAAATGCATAAATAGGAACAATATATTTATATATTTATGAAGGAATATTGACCACTAAAATAGGCAAAATAATTGCATTTCCTTTCTACTACCAGTGGGAGAACTTCCACTCTTTAAAAATAATTTTCTCATCTGCATAATTTTCTCTACATAATATTTTACTTACCAATGCTTAAAATAAATGTATCTTTAATGCACTTAATTTAAGGATGAGGTTATTTACTTTTCCTTCATGGTTTTTAAGAATTTTTAAAATACACATTTTTAATATGGAAGAGGAAACTTTAAGCAATTTTTTAAGTGGGAAGGGTACTTCTGAAACACTGCTAATATTTACTTCTCTTATTGCCCAGTTGGTTCTTCTTGCTTGCTGCACAAAAAAGCCAATACAATGAAACGGTAGGAATGTTGCAGCAGAGAAAGCATTTAATTATGGCAAAGCAGGTAAACAGGAGGACAGACGATAATTCTCAAATCTGTTTTCCTGAGAATTCAGAGGCTAAGAGTTTGCAAAGATAGTTTGGCAAGCAGGGGGTTAGGGAATGAGGAATGCTGATTAGTTGGGTTGAGGATGAAGTCACAAAGAGCCAAGCTGTCTTCTTGAGCTGAGTCAATTCCTGGGCTGAGGTCACAGGATGAGTTCAGTCAGTTTCTTAGTATGGGTTACCTGTCCTGGTGGCAACAGCTGGGCTATCAAAATTCAAGGTCTGAAAAATACCTCAAAGACCACTCTTAGGGTTACCATAATGATGTTATCTATAGGAGTAACTGAGGAGTTTGCAAGTCTCTGCCTAGATGACTCCTGAGCCATAACTCTAACCAAGTGGACAATTTATTAGTTTTGCAAAGGTCATTGAAGTCCCCGAGCATGGAGGGGTTTAGTTTTGAGAAGGGAAAATTATTATCTTTGATTTTAAGTTTAATTTTAAACTAAATTCCTCCCATAGTTAGCTTGGCCTGAGCAAAGACAGCTTGTGGGGTTAGAAGCAAGATGGAGTTAGCTATGTCAGATTTCTCTCATTGTCACAATTTTTGCAAAGGCAGTTTCACTTCCAAGTGACAGAAATGTCCTTAATTGAAATAACAGATCTCTCTCCACCTATTATTCTGATTGTTGAGTATGAAACTTTCAGTCTTTCAATCTTTCCTTTCTCCTTTATTTTGTAAGTAAATCTGTCTACAGAAAGGGTTTTTCTGCTCTGATATTTTAGGTTTAACCACCCTGCATGGAAGGCCACCTGTACATAGCACTGCCAACACTTTGTGGCTGTGGTGGAAACTTTCAAATGCTCATCGATATCTATATTCTTCTTTTCCTTTGCACACGCACGTGCTCACACACACACACACTATACGTTGAAATTCTAGCTTTTTTTTCTCATTAGGAATGATGGTGTGAATAATTTTTTTGTAATGAGAGGTGAATAAAATTGATATGCAACATTTCAGCACCCTCAACCCCAATAAACAATAGAAAACAAAAAAGAAACTTTCATATGCTCTTTCTTATGCTGGCTGACATGGAGAGGATGGCCAGGATAATTTAGAAGCTCAATGTTGAAGATAATACCATTTTTATACTGGAATAAGATGGCCTCACCAATCTGTGCAGCTTCTCTCCAGCTTTAATGAACAGAAAATAAATCTACTATGTGTTGGAACCATTATATATTTTTGGCCTCCTTGTAACAGCAATTAGCCTATCCTAACTAATAAAGTGGGTGAGTTTGTCTAATCTAGATTTTGGTATTAGGATGTGCAAATGCCACTGACTATAAAATATTATTTCAAACTTCAATAGTATCTTATGAAAGATAGATTGAGGCTATGTATTTGAAGTTTATACCCAACATTATTTTTCTCTGGGTTCAGTACCTGAATGGAGAATGTAAGTACCATTTATTAGGCCCACTCCGAGATCCCAACAGCAGCACGATATATTATTAGTTCTTGCTCAGTGGGGAAATTTGCCCTTATTTCCTAGTTGTTAGAATTACAGTCATTAGTGTTATTAATAATAATGGTCTTACATTCATATGACCTTTTAAAATTTTGCAAAGATATCTTATACAATACCATGTGATAGCATTTAAACAATTAAAAAATATTGCACACCTGCTATATGTAAACATGAACTAGATACATTAAAAGAGCAAATGTGCTAGATATTTACAGCAGATATTAAATCTTGTTTTTAATTAGGCTCACCTGACTTTTTGTTAAAATAATATTAAACTAGATAAAGTGGTAATGAAAAATGTTGCAACATCAAGAACATCAAAACATATGCTTCAGGAAAACAAGACTGAATATTACATATAATAAGTGTAGGAAAATAACTTGTCAGGACTTTTCAAATTGTAACATATTATTATCATAAATAGCCTTTTAATCTTCAGTTTAACTTTTTAAGCTTTATTATTGGACTTTGCAAATAAACAGTTTTATGCTAAATAACTGAAAAGTTAAACATTTCAAAGAATAACGTCAAATATAATTAATATTGTATATATTTTTATGTACAATAACTCATTAATACTCACCAAATATAAATATGTATTTAGTAAAGTATAGATACAATTTAAAGTTCTGTCTTTTCACTTCAACAACTCTTTTACTTCCTACTCTTTCCAGAGGCAATTACTAATGTTATAATTTAAATTTTTCATATATAAATATGTCTTTTCAAAAATATGGTTTTGGATTTTGCTTACATGGAATAATAGAATATCATTTTTTACTAGACATGGTAGTTTTGATGTCAACGTATACATAGGTTTATTTTTACTGGTATATTAGTCATCACATGGTATAATATTGTTTATAAATTATTTCCTATTCATAGACTTTTGAACTCTGTCATGTTTCTTCTGTTAACATTTTCAGAGAACATTCTTATACATGTCTCATTCAGAGTTTTCAATGTTTTTACATTTTCATTTTGTTTTAATTTGACGCATAACAATTGTACCTATTTATGAAGTGCAGTGTGATGTTCCAATACATATATACATTGTGTAATGATCAAATTAGGGCATTAGCATATGTACTACCTCAAACAACTGTAATTTCTCTGTGGCAAGAACATTCAAAATCCTTTCTTTTAGCTCTTTTGGAGTGTACAATACATTAATGCTGACTACAGCCATTCTAGTGTGCAATAGAATATCAGGACTTACTCCTTCTCTTTTCTAACTGTAACTTTGTATCCATTGTCTAAACTTTCCCTACATTCACTTTCTTCTACTCTCCCCAGCCTCTGGTAATTAGTATTCAACTCTACTTCTATGAGATCAACCATATGATCCAACAATCTCATTATTGGTTATATATCCAAAGATGATGAAGTCAGTACGGCAAAGAGATATCTGCACTCATATCTTTATTGCCACACTATTCACAATAGTCAAGACATAAATCAACTGTGTCCATCAACAAATGAATGAATTAAAAAATTGTGGCATATATACACAATGGAATGCTGTTCGTCTGTAAGAACAAAATCCTGTCTTTTGTGACAATTTGAATAAAAGTAGAGGACATTATGTTAAATAAAATAAGCCAAGCACAGAAAGACAAATATCACTCATATGTAGAATCAATATTTTTCTTGTATCTTCTTAAGATACTTTTGCTCTAGTGAGAATTTCATTTGCCACAAAAATTCTGGGAATTTTCATTGAATGTGTTTGAGTATATAAATTATTCTGTAGATAATTAACATGTGTATAATACTGAGTCATCTCAAAAATGAACATCACATATTTCTCCATTTATCAAATTTTTCTTTCATGATATGCAATAAGTTTTTTTCTATAAGGTCCTTGCACTTTTTGTTATAATCTTAAAATATGTTTCTACTATAATTCCTAAAAAGAAATTTCTTGTGTGTAAAAAGGCTATTAATATTCCTACATTGATTTTATATTCAATAACTTTGCAAAAATTGTTTTATTGGTACTTTGCTTAGATTTTCTGTGATATTTTACATAGACCAACATATTTTTAAATATTAATCATTTGTTGTTCCTAATTTTAATATTTTCTTATATTTTCTTTCTTTTACCAGCTTGATCTCTGTTACAATATTTTATAGTCACACTATGCTAGTCATGTTATTAAAATTTTAATTTCCATGTGTTAAAGCAACTTGGATGATACTTATGAAGTTGAGAAGATATAAATAAGTTCTATTTAATATTTCAAAAACTGAAATATTAAATCATCAATAACATTCATATTTAATAGTATATCTACTAATGATAAAAGGCAAAATATGTTAAACAAAACAGACAGTATACTCAATATATAGTAGCAAAATTATTAAATATACATTTTATGACTATGGTAGATCTTCATATAATGAAACTTTTATATAGTAAATATGGATTTGTACTCTGGAAAATAGTGTCCTACTTGGGCTGAAGAGATCCTTTAATGAGAAAAGTAGCAGATAAATTTATGATTCAGTATGAAATCTACAAAGTTGTGATTCTAACTAGCTCCCTAATGCCGGAAAGTATAAGCTAGGAATTTTAACTCATTTACATATTTAGTTTTTTGTTATCTATACTTTGTGTACATGAATCTTTATATTAAATTCAAACATATTATCAATGTGTTCTAAAACTATTTATTTAAATATATAACTTGAATTTTCCGTGTTTTGAAATTCCATTCAATAATCACCCAATTAATTGTTCTAAAGATTAAAAAGTAGTGGAATATCAGTTTGTTTTATAAAGATGATTAGCTATAGATTGATTTCAAAATATACATAGCTGAAAGTTATCCAAATTATTTAGTTCATCATGAACTAGTTAGCCTCTACTATTAGATACTAAAAATATAGGCTTAATTCACCCTTCCCTTAAAGCATTTCTCATGGTCTCCCTGGTATTATAACTAGTTTGGTACCGATCCTTTTTTCCCTTCTTACGTTAGGCACTCCTTTTCAGTATATTAACAAAGGCCTAATTAATCTTTACATCTTGTTGAACAAAATAGCCCTTAATGAGAGTTGGTAAGATAAATACATAACTGCTATAAACTGGTTTTTGATCTTTTAACAAAAAGTGAATGACAATACATATTGGTTGATATAATGTATAAGTTAAAAGCACTTAAAATGGCACATGTTAAATTAATTATTTAATAAGACTTGTTAGTGCCACTTGGAGAAATGTTTTCATTAAAAGTTTTTAAAATTATCTAGATGACTGGCTAAAAAGAAGTTCAAATAATAGTGTAATTAGCTAACTTGCATTAGATAGATTATGTATTCTATGTACTTATTTTTCCAGCACTACTTCAATTTTTTTTATACATATTGGTGCATGTTGATAATTGAAGCCAGTTGCTTCATTGCTGCCTTGCTTCCAATAAAACTCTAGATGTCACAAGAATACAGATTGAATGAATATCATTTCAAACCATTATGTGCAGTCATATTAAAAAGCAGGAGATAAGAGGAAAATGTTGATAATTGTACTCCACCCACTATAAAATTTAAATTGATTTGACTTTAAGGTGAAGGCTAAAAGCATATTCAATATACTAAAAAGCATAAATCTATACTATATTGTTCAGCACACTGTTATTACTACTAATACATCATTTTCACTTCAGACTTTCACTGCAGAAAGTTTTAAGAAAATGATCGCAATCAATCTTTTAATAACCTGAGTGTAGTTCAACTTAAATCTAATATCTATAGCCCAAAGAAAGATATTTAGTCTTCTTTGCCTTATTTCCCTTATGAGTAATGAAAAACAGTTTTAACTAGATTTCTACTTCAAAATTTCTTTCCTTCCCACTCCTCTGAAGTTATAACTTATTACTCATAGTCAGAAGGTACTGATAGAGAAGAAAAAGGATTGTCAAAAGGGTAGCAATCTACTACCCTCTACCTTGTCCATTTCAAACCAAGATGCTCTTGACTATTCTTTAATTGTAAGTCTATGTAAAATTTATTGAGAGTAGTGGTTGCTGGGAAAGAAAGGAAATAATCGAGAGAAGGAAAGGAGGATGGAAATTCAAACCACTTAAATGAATTCGATTTCTAATTTTCTCAAAAATTTAAGCTATTATGATTTAATCACAAATTAGTAAATATAGTTTTACTGATATTTCCCAAACTAGTTGTTTAGTTAAGAAATTTACTCATTCTGATACAGAATTAAGCATTTTTAATATTCTAAACATGTATTTTTTAATTTCAGTAATTACTACCATAAAACAGAATAAACCAACGCACATCATCTTTTTTAGGTCTTTTATATATTGCCCTAGAGTGTTAAATACCAGAATCAGGATGTCATTGAAACTGGGTAACTGAGTAGCATTTCAGGCTAATGTTTTTTTTTCTTCTTCTTCTTCTTCTTTTTTCTTAATCCCATCAGCTTTACTGTCTTTTCTTGGAGGTGGGGGGAATGAAAGGGAATTTATGCAATAATACAATCTTTAACTGTGTCTCTTAAGAGTTTATTTTGGCTAGGCGCGGTGGCTCATGCCTGTAATCCCAGCACTTTGGGAAGCCGAGGCGGACAGATCACCTGAGGTGAAGAGTTCAAGACAAGCCTGGCCAACATGGAGAAACCCAGTCCCTACTAAAAATAAAAAAAAATTAGCCGGGCTTGGTGGCAGGCACTTGTAGTCCCAGCTACTCAGGAGGCTGAGGCAGAAGAATCTCTTGAATCCCAGAGGCGGAGGTTGCAGTGAGCCAAGATCGTTCCACTGCACTCCAGCCTGGGCGACAAGAGAGAAACTCTGTCTAAAAACAAACAAATAAAATAAGTCCAATTTTATAGTCCTTCTCTTCCACTTACCCTTGCCAAAGGAAACACATGTAACAGTACATCTACAATTTTCTTCTACTGTGCATATGCATGCTTTTGGTGGAGTTCCCTCAAGATGTTATTAGGCAGAAGATGAGGGAAAGTCATATTCAGGGGAATGAATACAGCATTGTTAGCAGTTTATCACTCTGTCTTCCTTCCTCATCTTGATCTTCAGTTATTGGCAAATATGGCTACTGTTGTCTGTGTCCCCTCATTGTCCTTCTACAGCACAGAGATTTCCTGGATCCCTGATGCTTGAAAAGAGTTGAGGGATGTTGACATAGGTTCTCAAAGTGATAGCATTGTGTCCGGTTGCCATAGGGGATGCAAATTGGATGACTCACTTTCCACTCTAAAATATTAATTAGCTCTGAGAAGATTTGATTTAAACTATGTTATCTGACTTGCTTGCTGGGTAAGGAAGGATTGGAAAAACCTGCCCTCTTTTAATAGATGGGACCATATCTACCTCAACTTAGCTTCTTAAGTATGTTCCTGCATCTTTTTAGTTATTATTACTTGATTATTAATTATTAGTTTACAATTAGCTATTTAACAGTGAGATTTCAAATAATTTTTCATGGTAGCAGCATAGATCAATTATTGGTTATAACTGTCAATCACTTGATGCAAACACTACTATGCCTGAAATTTTAATTCTACTTGTAATAATTCCATGTTATTCTCATGGTAATAATTTTCTTAAAACATATGTCCCCAGGTCACTGATGCAGTTTTATTTGTTTTGTATATTAATCTCTTTCATTTACTCCTTCCATGAGTCAGTCTCACAAGATTTAAGACTTAAGACATTAAATCCCTAAGTAGACTTAATGTGGAATTCTTAAATTAATGAAGTTATTTTCCTGCTATAAATGGTATTGGCCTCTCTAGCATATGTGAAGTAATTTTCTAGGTGCCTGAGCATAGTACTCCTGAGAATTTCTCTGGATCTTATAGCAAATAACTTAGATTTACCCCCACCAACACTACCTATTATCTGGTCTTGGTCAATAGACACAAGTAGAAGACATAAGGTTATCTAAGCCAGAGGGATATTGGCATTGACCCTTCTCACCTTCAAAAAAAAAAAAAAAAAAAAAAAAGGCTGCAATTGGTTAAGGTACTAGATGTCAATGGGGTTTTGGAAATTAGAACAACCTGATGAAAACAAACCAAATCAAAATTCTCTTCCTAAATGTATTGTTTGCCAAACTCTGTACTTTTCAGAGATACTGCAGTAACCATGATTGCCCAGTGTTTGCTGCTAAGTTTCATGCCACTGTTATAAAAAATTAACAGGTTTTTCAGAGTCTCTTCTAAATTCTAGAAAAAAGAGGTTACCATTAGTATTAATATAAAATTCCTACTGACAATTCAATCTATAAAAATTTTAAATGGCATATTTAAAAAATTCAATATTTAAATGAAATGCACATATATGTATATGTAAACAGGTATATATAACTATGTATGCATATGTATATTTTCATATGTAAACACATATGCTGATATATCATGTATAAAGTTTTAATGTGTATGTATAGGTATATATTCATGTATATGTGTATATATAAGTATGTAAGCATATTTACATATATTAACATTTAATTATTGAAGTTATTCTTACTTTACCTGAGTGAATTAAAAGTTAATTTATACAGTTTAGAAATTTAGATTTTAAATTTTTAAAAAATTTTTATGAAAAACTGAAAAGTCTACTCCTAGAAATGCTGCTCTTCCGCAGCTCATTTTGTAGTTTGTTTTTGGACAGATTATATTTCCAAATAGTATGTGTGAGCCACCTGCAACACTTACTGAGATATCGTTATGGAAAACTTAGATCTAAGCTAACTTATTCATTGCCATCTCTCTCTCCAGGCACACATGTTACATGTTTTATAATATTCATATTGTATAATATTCATATTTTATAATATTTATATAATATTCAAAATTATAATTTAAAATAATATGCTTAACTCTCTAGGTCTTGACCCATTTACTTTAGACATTATATATTTACTAATTATATCTTAGATTAAGTATTTGAATGCCTATACTTATTTATTCCCCTTTTAAATCTTCTTCTGGGTCAGAAAGTCACAGAATTTCTTGTTTGTATTAACTGTCTTTAATTCAACCTCTCAGCTGACTTTTAATTAACAGATACATTGCCTCCAGATAGAGGGCAAACTCTATGATTTCTGTTTTCCAAACTTACATCTTCAAAAGCCATCACATTTTATATCTGCAATTATGTTGGCCATGCAGTAATAAGTGTGAAAGATAGGAATAAACCATAATTTGGAGTGGGTGAGCAAATAATTAGAATATGCTAATTTATCATTTCAAAATTATATTTCCTATTTACAATAATATTCAAGACTTCTCAGAATTATGCAATTTGTGTGGTGATAAGAATGGGAAGCGAGATGGCATCTCTGGAAATGAACATCAAAATAGAAATGTTTATAGGATTGATCAGAATGCAAACTTAAGGAGCAGCTTATTGTGGCATTCAGCAAAACTTAATTGCCATTATATTTGTTGTAAAGAGTTCTACAGATTTAAAGATATGGCATTTGAGTATGTGTCTTCCATGATTATAATCCATATGTAGTGGAATGTAACTCTCATTTTAGAACTTAATACTATTAGGAAAGACTTAGTGACAATATGTACATTCCAGAAGTTTAAATTAAAATATAAGAAATATACTAAACATATCTGCATGTCAGTAACATCATTTATAATATTAAGTCTAAAGTAGAGACCCTTGACTTCCTTTAATATTCCTTGTATCTATTTTGTTTAAAAATATTTATTTTTTATGATCTTTAGCAACATTACATTTTCATATATTGAGGCATGAAATTTTTATATTTTTCTAATTTTCAATCAAATTTATCCTAGTATCAATATGGGTTTCTAGTGTTAAGTGTTAAATTTATATAAACTTTATGCACAATTTTAATATGTATGAAATATTTATAGTGAATTATGTTAAGATCATTCTTGCATTATGTGACTTTTATTCATGCTTTATCACATACCTCTTGTTTGTCCTTTGTCTTACAAGCTTCCAAGCTGTTTTTTAGCATTCTAAACATTTAAAAACACATTTGCAATATAATTATACATACATTTTCTAATACATATTTATACAATCATTTATAAAACAGCTTATGAAAACACATACATTTTTCTTTTTCATACCCATGCCTTTCATTTGATTGAGAGCAAAGATTATGCCTTTTAAAAACATACACACTCAATGTGTGGCCCCTAGTGGGTGGTCAATGATGTTTATGAATGAATAAACATTTCTGCAACCTCATTAACAAAAAATGCAGAGTTTTTGCCTTTTGGAATTGTAAAATGCTATCAAATATAATTTTGGGTGAATACATTAAAACAATATGGGTATTCCACAAAGTTATTTATAATATTTTGAATAAAAATAAATATTTTGATCAGTTTTTAGGGAAAAAATTAATGCTGATACACCTGACTCTTTTCTAATAAATGGCAAAACTACAAAGCATTTGCTAGAAAGCAGAAGTCCCTAGATTAGCAAATACACAATGCATTGAATGCACCTTTTATAAAGGATTCTTTCAAAGATGTGGGTTACTGACACTTTTAAGTTGATGGGGGTAGATATTGTGTCTTACTGAGAGAAAGTTTCTCTATTTTAAATCACGTTGGAATTCAAAAAAAAAGAAAAAAAAATCAAAGTGAATTTTCCCCTTAGACTGGGCTAGTTATCTCACCTTTGGATAAGAAAAAAAAATTCCATTAGTAACAGGATCATTAAATAAAAGTACTAAATATAATCACTGAGCACTTTATATCCGCCTTATATTATTATTCTCAGGCAAATAGATGCCAACAAACAAGCAAATGCAGTTAGCTAATGTATTAGTTCATTCTCACACTGCTATGCAGAAATACCAGAAACTGGGTAATTTATGAAGAAATGAGGTTTAATTGACTCAGTTCTGCATGGCTGGGGAGGCCTTAGGAAACTTACAATCATGGCAGAAGGCACATTTTCGCAGGGCAGGAGCAGACAGAATGAGTGCTGAACAAAGGGCAATAGCCCTTTATAAAACCATCAGATCTCATGAGAACTCACTACCACAACAACGGCATGGGGGTAACTGCCCCCATGATTCAGTTACCTCCCACTGGGTCCTACCCATAACATGTGAGGATTATGGTAACTATAATTCAAGATGAGATTTGCGTGGGGACACAACCAAACCATATCATTCTACCCTTAGCCTCTCCTGCATCTCATGTCTTCACATTTCAAAACACAATCATGCCTTTTCAACATTTCTCCAAAGTCTTAGCTCATTCCAGCATTAACCTGAAAGTCCAAGTCCAAAGTTTCCTATGAGACAAGGCAAGCCACTTCTGCTTATGAACCTGTAAAATCAAAAGCAAGTTAATTACTTTCTAGATACAATAGAGGTATAGGCTTAGGGTATATGCTTCCATTCCAAATGGGAGAAATTGGCCAAAAGAAAGGAGCTGCAGGCCCCATGCAAGTCAGAAATCCAATAAGGAAGTAATTAAACCTGAAAGTTCCAAAATGATCTCCTTTGACTCCATGTCTTGCATTCATGTTATGGTGATGCAAGAGGTAGGCTCCCATGGCCTTGAGCAGATCTGCCCCTGTGGCTCTGCAAGGTACAGCTCACCATCCTGTCTGCTTTCACAGGCTGGCATTGCGTGTCTGCAGGTTTTCCAGTTGCACGGTGCAAGCTGTCAGTGGATCTACCATTCTGGGGTCTGGACGATGATGGTCCTCTTCTCATAGCTCCACTAGGCAGTGCCCCAGTGGGGACTCTGTGTGGTGGCTCCAACCACACGTTTCCCTTCTGCAGTGCCCTAGCAGAGGTTCTCCATGAGGGCTCTGCCCATGCAGCCTCTGCCTGGACATCCATGCATTTTCATACATTCTTTGAAACCTAGGTGGAGGTTACTAATCTCAGTTCTTGTCTTCTGCACACCCACAGGACCAACACCACATGGAAGCTGCCAACGCTTAAGGCTTGCACCCTCTGAAGCAACGGCCTGAGCTGTCCTTTGGCCTCCTTTATCCACAGCTGGAATGCAGGGCTGGGGTGCTGGGCACCATGTCCCAAGGATGCATACAGCAGGAAGGCCTGGCCCTGGCCCAGAAAACCATTTTCCCTCCTAGGTCTCCAGGCCTGTGATAGGAGGTGCTGCTGTGAAGACCTCTGACATGCCCTGGAAACATTTTCTCCATTGTCTTGGCAATTAACATTTGGCTCTTCTTTACTTATGCAAATTTATGCAGCAGGCTTGAATTTCTACTCAGAAAATGGATTTTTATTTTTCTATTGCATCATCAGGCTGCAAATTTTCCAAAATTGTATGCTTTGCCTCCTCTTGAACACTTTGCCGCTTAGAAATTTTTTTCTGCCAGATACCCTAAATCATCTCTCAAGTTCAAAGTTCCACAGATCTCTAGGGGAGGCATGAACTGTTGCCAGTCTCATTGCATAGCAACAGTGACCTTTAATCAAGTTCCCAATAAGTTCCAAAACTCCATCTGAGACCACCTCAGCCTGGACTTCATTGTCAGTATCACTATGAGCATTTTGGTGTAAGCTATTCAACAAGTCTCTAGGAAGTTCCAAGCTTACCCACATCTTTCTTCTGAGCCCTCTAAGTCTCTAGGAAATTCCAAACTTTCCCAAATATTACTGTCTTCTTCTGAGCCCACCAGACTCTTCCAAATTCTGCCTGTTACCCAGTTCCAAAGTCACTTCCACATTTTCAGATATATTTATAGCAGCACCCAACTCGCTGCAGTACCAATTTACTGTATTAGTTTGTTCTCACCCTGATATAAGGACATACCTGAGACCATGTAATTTATGAAAAGAAAGAGGTTTAATTGACTCACAGTTTCGCATGGCTTGGGAGGCCTCAGGAAACTTACCATCATGGTGGGAGCATCTCTTCACAGAGTGGGAGGAGAGAGAATAAGTGTCAAGCAAAGAGGAAAAAACCCCTTATAAAACCATAAGATCTTGTGAGAACTCACTCACTACCATGAGAACAGCATGGGGGTAACTGCCCCCATGATTCAATTACCTCCCACTGGGTCCCTCTTATGACATGTGGGGTTATGGGAACTGTAACTCAATATTTGATTTGGGTAGGGACTCAGCCAAACCATATTAGCCAACAAATAAACATATTTTTCTGAACATCAGTCTGTATATTTAATAAAGTATAGCATTAATTTATTTATAAAATAAATATTGAGTTTTTCTCTAATTTTCATCAGGCAGTATGCTAGGTACTGAAAATGAGAAAACAGTGATATACAGTACTGGTGAGATGGTTAATACATATGATAGAATCACTGAAATGCATGCAAAATTGATACCTGAACAATACTACTAATGATAATAATAAGGTGCCTTGAGATTTTAATAAAGAAACAAAGAGATATTTACTTAGCCAAAGGTGTCAGAAATAGCCCTGATACTTCACTTCTTTAAAGTGGTCAAACTAAGATTATTTGCTTGTCAACTTGTTTCATATTTCACCAACCCAATTATATTTGAAAAATAAAAATAATTATTTTTGTAATTATGTATTACAATTATAACAGCAAAAAACATGGACTTTATACTTCATTTTTTCTTCCCTTTATTACTTGAATACTGATTAAATCATTGATTACTATTTCAGCACCTTTTTATCTCTCCTTATACCTTACTATTTGTTAATCTTCAATTTTACTTATGAAATTTTCACCAAGTTCAGTATTCCCCAAACCTTCTGTGGTGAATAATCACTAAACCCTGCCTTCCAAGTCATAATGGGAAAATGATTTTGTAAAATGCAATAAAGTACTAGAAAAATAAAATTAAAAACAACGAAGACATATACATTTACATTCATTTTTATTAGATGCAAGAGACATAGAAACATTAAATATATGCAGTACAAATAAGAATAAGAAGAAATAAGTATAAAATTTTATTTTACATATTGAACACAGAAAGTAGGCAAACAGTGATTAATATAATCATTTTCATAACTGATACATTTTGCTTTCTATAGTCATAATTAAAAAAATCAATGAGTCTCCACATTAAACACCTCTATACACACACTGGATAGGCCCATTTGTCACACTAATACTCAAAATATTGATATGCACAGTATTTATCTAACATGTGCATATAGTGTGACAACTATAACTCAAATGTGTATGAAATCTTGCTTGTTAACTTATCTGTTAGGTCAATGACAGCACCAGTCCTATAAAAGAAACATATCTATCTAGAAATGATTTGTTTTAATAACTCACATATTAGACTGCTTATTCTCATAGAAATATATTGATGAATAATGGGAGTGATTTTATAGCAATATTGTGATATTCATTTTGAAATTTTAAACAAAATGAGGCAAGTGTTGCTGAATTTTCACAATTCATCTTTATCTTCTATTTAGTTGAAATAATTTTCTTATTTAATTATAATTGATTGACGTGTCTATGTCAGAAATAAATACCAGATTTTATATGCTTTTAAGGTATAGTTGCCAAAGTGACCTTAAAATATTACAAATTAAAACGTGATCCTACTGCTGGTGTCTAGTAAGACTATTTTGCCACAAGCAGCTGTCAAATTACTATAGACATTTCCAGATGATTACTTTCAATTTCTTTTCTTATGTTAGTGCAATAACAAATTGTTTGTGGACTAGCAATAATCCACGAACCACACTTTGAATAGCACTGAGCTAGAATAAAGCCTCAGCTTAGTTTTTTCTTTCCATTATTGTACTGCTTTGAATGATTATGAAATTGCAGCTAGAGTTTCATTTCATTCTCTAACTTCAAATTTTTCGAAGGCTTTGTAGATAACAAAGTGGCATCCCTTGAACATAGAACATAGATATAAAATATATAGGACTTGTGCTTTATTAAAATAAGTTAGACAACAAACAAAACACATTTTATTATAACTTAGTGCCACTTTAACTCTTGACCAGGAAGAGAAGTAAACACCTTGGAAAGTACGTCAGTTTTTTTAATAAAGACATCCTTGAACTGTGCTGTTTGTTCCTGGAGGTGGGGACAGGAACAATCTAAGAATGAAAAAATCTTTGTGCCATTAGTGGTTACAAATTTTCCATTATTACAATATAAATATTTTGATCAGCCAGATATACCACATTCCTCCATTTCTTCTTGCTCAATCTTCAGCCATGTCATCTCAATTTTTCATGTAAATTTTAATTATAGAAAATGGTGTAGAGCTTAAGTTAAGGAGTCAGTGATGGAACTCAATAAATGCAACAACAATTCTGCTTCTTCAAATTGGCTAATAAATATAAGCCAGGCTCAAATCATTTACCATTATGATTAATTACTCATTAGAACTACCTAATTTGTAAACTAAAAATTAAGGAAAATTGAACATCCGTCAAACACATACTTCCAAAAGTTGAGAGCATTTTGCTTTGGTGTTGAGGAGAAAATATACCAGCCTTCCTACATCATATTTATGCTGGGTACCTTTCATTTTTTCCATGAGATTTCTTCTCTAGCCTTCTATAAACCCATTTTGTGCTCCTCAAAGCAGCCTTTAAGGACTGCGTAAATAAGCCGCCTTAGGGCCTTCTGGCTTCCTTGCTGTGTTTGGCCAATGAAAGGTATCTTCAGGAGAAGATAAAGGAGAGTGAGAATTAATTATTTATAACTTGTCTTTTTATCTTCCATGTCACCATGGGCTGGCTGCATCACCTGATTGCTCCTGTCAAACAATCTTCTGTACAGAACTTACTTTTGCTCAATGTTCCAATAATTGCTTCCTGTTCTTTCCCCTTTGGGCATGGTAATAATGTCCTACTAAATTAGTAGTACATAATAATGGATTCTTTATTTTGGTTCCCTATACTCTTCCAACAATGTGTATATAGTTAAATATTCCATGAATCCCTCGATTCGATTATGCCATCTATGCTCTGCCAGGCCACTGACTGATACAATAATTAGTATGAGGTGTGGCTTTGGGAAAAATAAAAATTCAAAATTGGGTTATATATTTGAGTTTCATACACTTTAAGATCACATAAATACATTTCTTATGAATCGGTCTAAAGCCATGATGATGCAAACAATGTGGGATTGGCCCAAGTATAGAAAAGCAGACCCACAAAAAAGAGTCAAGACATTGAACAAGATATATACAGTCATCTGCTTTATGACAAGGAGCCACTGAAATTCAGTAAGAATGGCCTTTATAATAAATTCTGCTGAGAAAAAGTGATATCTTATAGACGAAAATAAGACCTGACCCCTTCTTATTTCCTCACACAAACAATTAAGAGGAATCACAGACTTAAATGTGAAAGGTTAAAAATAAAGCTTCCATAAAAAGGCATTGGAAAATATCATGACTTTATGTAGGAAAATATTTTGAATATGTAATATAAAGCACCATATGAAATTAAAAAATAAGTTTGGCATTGGTAGAACATAGTTGGAATGCATAAATCAGGAGAAAATAAACTGGCTTATATGTTTATAAAGAACTCCTACAAATCAAAACCCAAATGTCTGACTGTGGTGGTTAGTTTTATGTGTCAACATGGCTAGAACATAGTACCCAATTACTTAATCAAACACAAATCTAGGTGTTTTGTAGGTTTTGTAGAACTGTTAATTTCTACAATCAGTTGAAGTAAAATAAGTTACCCTCAATAATGTGAGCAAGCTTCTTCTAATCAGTCTTTAACAGTAGGAACTGTGACTCTAGGCATCATGGCGATGGGAGGCAGGACTAGATTGCAGCTTCTACTCCGGTGGACAGAGCAGTGTGCGGAGGCTTGCATGGTGAATTTTAGCTACAGAATAACCGCAGGAATAAATCAGGAAACCTGAGAAGACCTACAGACTCTGAAGAAAGTATATTGCTCCCGCAGGACCTGGGAGACACCCCAAATACGCTGGGAGGTGGGTAGCCTGGAGCAAGTTCTCATCCCTGCTTGCCCACTGCCTGGAAACAGACTTGGTGCTGTTAGCAGGGGCAAGGGAGTGAGACCAGCCCTTCAGATTGCATGGGAGCTGGGTGAGGTCTGTGACTGCTGGCTTTCCCCCCACTTCCCTGACAACCGGCATGACTTAGCAGAGGCAGCCACAATTCTTCTAGGTGCATAATTCTATTGACCTGGGAATCTCATACTTACCCCCACAGCAGCTGCAGCAAGACCCACCCAAGGAGTGTCTGAGCTCAGACATGCCTAGCCCTGCCCCCACTTGATGGTCCTTCTCTACCCACTCTGGTAACTGAACACAAAGGGCATATACTCTTGGGAGTTCTAGGGCCCACGCACTGCCAGTTCCTCTCCATACTGCCACAGCTGATGCTCTCTGGAAAGTGTCACTTCCCAGCAGGAGGCCAACCAGCACAAAAATAGAGCATGAAACCAACAAAGCTCACAACCCTCACAGAGTCCATTTCACCCCACTGCCACCTCCACTGGAACAGGTGCTGGTATCCACAGCTGAGAGACCCAGAGATGGTTCACATCACAGGACTCTCTGAAGATAACCCCTAGTACCAGCCCAGAGCCTGGTAGACTTGCTGGATGGCTAGACCCAGAAGAGAGATAACAATCACTGCAGCTGGGCTCTTAGGAAGCCACATCCTTAGGAAAAGGTGGAGAGTACTACATCAAGGGAACACCTCGTGGGACAAAAGAATCAGAACAACAGTCTTCGGCCCTAGACCTTCCCTCTGACAGAGCCTACCTAAATGAGAAGGAACCAGAAAACCAACTCTGGTAACATGACAAAACAAGGCTCTTTAACACCCCCCAAAAATCACACTAGCTCACCAGCAATGGACCCAAACTGAGAAGAAATCCCTGATTTACCTGAAAAAGAATTCAGGAGGTTAGTTAAACAAAGGAAAAAGAATAAGAAAATATGAACAAAGCCTCCAAGAAGCCTGGAATTATGTTAAACGACCAAACCTAAGAATATTCAGCATTCCTGAGAAAGAAAAGAAATCTAAAAGTCTGGAAAACGTATTTGGGGGAATAATAGAGATAAACTTCCCTGACCTTGCTAGAGACCTAGACATCCAAATATAAGAAGCACAAAGAGCATCTGGGAAATTCATTGCAAAAAGATCATCACCTAGGCACATTGTCATCAGGTTATCTAAAGTTAAGACAAAGGAAAGAATCTCAAGAGCTGTGAGACAGAAGTATCAGGTAATCTATAAAAGAAAACCTATCAGATTAACAGCAGATTTCACAGCAGAAACTCTACAAGCTAGAAGAGATGGGGGCCCTATCTTCAGCCTCCTCAAACTAAACAATTATCAGGCAAGAGTTTTGTATCCAGTGAAACTAAGCATCCATCATATATGAAAGAAAGATAACAGTCTTTTTCAGACAAACAAATGCTGACAGAATTTGCCAATACAAAGCCACCACTACAAGAACTGCTAAAAGGAGCTCTAAATCTTGAAACAAATCCTGGAAACACATCAAAACAGAACTCTTTTAAAGAGTAAATCTCACAGGACCTATAAAACAAAAATACAATTTAAAAACAAAAACAAAAATCCAAGGCACACAGGCAACAAATAGCACAATGAATGAAATGTCACATCTCAATACTAACATTGAACATAAATGGCCTAAATGCTCCACTTAAAAGATACAGAACTGTGTAATGGAGAAGAATTTACCAACCAACTATTTGCTTCCTTCAAGAGACTCACCTAGCATGTAAGGACTCACGTAAAATCAAACGGGTGGAAAAAGGCATTTCATACAAATGGACGCTAGAAGCAAGAAGGAGTAGCTATTCATATGTCAGAAAAAAAACAAACTTTAAACTAACAGCAGTTAAAAAAGACTAAGGGGGACATTATATAATGGTAAAAGGCCTTGTCCAACAGGAAAATATCACAATCTTAAACATATATATGCACCTAACACTGGAGGTCACCAATTTATAAAACAATTACAAATGGACTTAAGAAATGAGATAGCAGCACAATAATAGTGGAGGACTTCAATACTCCACTGACAGCACCAGACAGGTAATCAAGACAGGACGTCAACAAAGAAACAATGGATTTAAACTATACCTTAGTACAAATGAACTTAACAGATATATACAGAACATTCCATCTAACAACTGCAGGATACACATTGTATTGAACAGCATGTGGAACTTTCTCCAAGATAGAACATGTGATAGATCACAAAATGAGCCTCAATACATTTGAAAAAAAAATGAAATTATATCAAGCATTCTCTCAGACCACAGTGAAATAAAACTGAAATTCAACCCCAGAAGGGACTTTCAAAACCATGCAAATACATGGAAATTAAATAACCTTCTCCTGAATGATCACTGGGTCAGAAACAAAATCAAGATGGAAATTAAAACATTTTTTGAACTGAATGACAATTGTGACACGACCATCAAAACCAAAGGCGGTGCTAAGATGAAAGTTCATAGCCCTAAATGCCTACATCAGAAAGATTGAAAATGCACAAACTAACAATCTAAGGTAACATCTCAAGGAACTAGAGAAACAAGAAAAAAACAAACTCAAACTCAGCAGAATAAAGGAAATTACCAAGATCAGAGCAGAACTAAATAAAGTTGAAACAAACGAACAAACAAAAAAATACAGAAGATACATGAAACAAAAAGCTGGTTCTTTGAAAAGATAAATAAAATTGATAGACCGTTAGCAAGATTAACTGAGAAAAGAAGAGAGAAAATCCAAATAGCCTGAATAATACATGAAATGGGAGATACTACAACTGACACCATAGACATACAAAAGATGATTCAAGGCTACTATGAACACCTTCACACACATAAACTAGAAAACCTTAAAGAGATGGTTAATTTCCTGGAAAGATATAACCCTCCTAGCTTAAATAAGGAAGAATTAGATACTCTAAACAGACCAAAAACAAGTAGAGAGATTGAAATGGTAATTTAAAAATTACCAACAAAAAGAAGTCAAGGACCAGACAGATTCACAGCGGAATTCTACCAGACATTTAAAGAAGAATTAGTACCAATCCTATTGACACTATTCCACAAGACAGAGAAAGAGGGAACCCTCCCTAATTTATTTGATGAAGCCAGCATCACACTAATACCAAAACCAGGAAAAGACATAACAAAAAAGAACACTACAGATAGGTATCCCTGATGAACATAGATGCTAAAATTCTTAACAAAATACTAGGTAACTGAATCCACCAACATATCAAAAAGATAATCCACCATGATCAAGTGGGTTTCATACCAGGCATGTAGGGATGGTTTAACATACACAAGTCAATAAATGTGATACACCACATAAACCAGAATTAAAAACAAAAATCACATGATCATCTCGATAGATGCAGAAAAAGCATTCGACAAAATCCAGCATCCCTTTATAATTAAAACTCTCAGCAAAATTGGCATACAAGGGACATACTTCAATGTAATAAAAGCTATCTAAGACAAACCCACAGCCAACATAATATTGAATGGGGAAAAGTTGAAAGTATTCCCTCTGAGAACTGGAAAAAGACAAGGATACCCACTTTTACCACTCCTCTTCTACATAGTACTAGAAGTCCTAGAGCTATCAGACAAGAAAAAGAAATAAAGAGCATCCAAATCAGTAAAGAAAAACTCAAACTGTCACTGTTTGTTGATGATATGATCGTTTACCTCGAAAACGCTAAAGATTCCTCCAGAAAGCTCCTAGAACTGATAAAAGAATTCAGCAAAGTTCCTGGATACAAAGTTAATGTACAAAAATTAGTAGCTCTTCTATACACCAACAGCAACCAAGTGGAGAATAAAATAAAGAACTTTTACAGTAGTTGCAAAAAAAAAAAAAAATACTTAGGAATATACCTAGCCAAGGAGGTGAAAGACGTCTACAAGGAAAACTACAAAACACTGTTGGAATAAGTAATAGATGACATATAAAAAATGGAAAGACATCCCATGCTTATGGATGGGTAGAATCAATATTGTGAAAATGACCATACTGCCAAAAGCAATCTACAAATTCAATGCAATTCCTATCAAAATACCACTGTCATTCTTCACAGAATTAAAAAAAAAATTCTAAAATTCATATGGAACTAGAAAAGAGCCCGCATAGCCAAAGAAAGACTAGGCAAAAAGAACAAATCTGGAGGCACCACATTACCTGATTTCAAACTATATTATAAGGCCATAGTCACCAAAACAGCATGGCACTGGTATAAAAATAGGCACATAGACCAAAGAAACAGAATAGAGAACCCAGCAATAAACCCAAATACTTATAGCCACCTGATTTTCGACAAAGCAAACAAAATCATGAAGTGAGGAAGGACACCCTTCTCAACAATTGATCCTGAGATAATTGGCTAGCCACATGTAGGAGGATGAAACTGGATCCTCATGTCTCACATTAAACAAAAATCAACTCAAGATGGATTAAGTACTTAAATCAAAGACATGAAACTATAAAAAATATAGAAGATGACATCAGAAAAACCTTTGTAGACATTGGCTTAGGCAAGGATTTCACGACCAAGAACCAAAAAGCAAATGCAATAAAAACAAAGATAAATAGCTAGGACTTTATTAAACTAAAAAGCTTTTGCATGGCAAAAGGAACAGTCAGCAGAGTAAAAAGACAACCCACAGAGTGGGAGAAAATCTTCACAATCTACACATCTGACAAAAGACTAATATCCACAATCTACAATGAACTCAAATAAACAAGGAAAAAAACAAACAGTCCCATCAAAAAGTGTGCTAAGAACATGAATAGACAATTCTCAAAACAGGATGTACAAATGACCAACAAATGTATTAAAAAATGCTCAACATCACTAATGATCAGGGAAATGCAAATTGAAACCGCAATGCAATACCACGTTACTCCTGCAAGAATGGCCATAATCAAAAAATTTAAAAAAACAGTAGATGTTGGCATGGATGTGGTGATCAGGAAACACTTCAACACTGCTGGTGGGAATGTAAACTAGTACAACCACTATGGAAAACAGTGTGGAGATTCCTTAAAGAATGAAAAGTAGAACTACCATTTGATCCAGCAATCTCACTACTGGGTATCTACCCAGAGGAATATAAGTCATTATTCAAAAAAGATACTTAGACATGCATGTTTACAGCAGCATAATTCACAATTGCAAAATTGTAGAACCAACCCAAATGCCCATCAACCAAAGAGTTGTTAAATAAACTGTGGTATGTATATATATATATATATACACACACACACATATTAACAGTATTCGCAGCAACCTGGATGAGATTGGAGACTATTATTATAAGTAAAGTAACTCAGGAATGGAAAAGCAAACATTGTATGTTCTCACTGATATGTGGCTGCTAAGATATGAGGACACAAAGGCATAAGAATCATACAATGGACTTTCGGGACTTGTGGGATAGGCTGTGAGGTGGATGAGAGATAAAAGACTACAAATAGTGTGTAGCGTATACTGCTTGGGTGATGCTTGCACCAAAATCTCGCAGGTCACCACTAAAAAACTCATGTAACCAAACACCACCTCTACCCCAATAACCTATAAAAATAAATAAATAAACTGTGATTCTAAGTGCAACAATGTAAAAAGAAAAAAAAATGTAAAAACTGAGTTTGTTCTGAAAAAATAATTCTGCCTCAACACTACAGAATCATTATTTGCCTGAGTTTTTCATCCTGCCAAACTGCCCTATAAATTTCAGACTTTTCAGCCCCTGCAATTATATAATACATTTTCTCTGAAGAAACATATTTCTCTGGAGAGAACTATCTAAGAAGTTATTATAGTAGAGACTCTGAATATTTAATCAAGGAATACCAAGTTACCACGCAAGTTGCCTGTTATGAACTAGGTATTGTTTTACTCATGAAGATGTACAATTCAGCATGTGCAGAAGCACTCCATCATTGAATCAAAGCAGTATATACAAGATCAGGCTCCAACAGCCCCTGAAGGCACAAATAAGTTACCTAAGGAAGTGGCCCAAATGACCGTAGCCCCCAGTCTTGCTATATTACCTTCTTTCTCTCAGCCTGTACCTATACCATCATTGGGAGTTCTCTACGATTAGTTTACTAAGGAAAGGAAAACACAAACCTGGTTTCCAGATGCTTCTGTATGATATGCAGCCACTACTTAACAGTGGACACCTGCAGCACTACAGATAACAGTGGTGAATTGTACAATTAGTTGATTTTAAGGAAAGGAGATAACCTTTGATAATATGAGTGGGCCTCATGTAATCAGTCAAAAGCCTTTAGAGTATAAACTAAGGTTTCCTAGAAAAGAATGAATTCTGCCTAGAAATTGATGTATATAAATCCTGCATAAGTTTCCAGCTTGCCAGCCTGTCCTACACATTTCAGATTCATCAGTCCTCACAATCACCTGAGCCAATTCCTTAACATAAATCTCCTAATATATATGTGTGTGTGTGTGTGTGTGCGCACGTGCGCGCACGCACACACACATTCTGTTCCCCTGAAGAATCCTGCCTAACAAATTTACAATCCTAAAAAAAAGGAGGAAAAGGAGGGCAAAAGTTTAAACCAGCACTTTAGAAAAGAAGACATCCAAGGGGCCAATAAGCAAATGAAAACATACTCAATCTCAGCAGTTTTCAGATAAAAACAAATTAAATGCAGAAGAATGTCACTGCACAACAATCAAAATGACAAAATGTAAAAAGACACTATCAAGTGCAACCAAGGTGGCATGGAAAACAGTGTGGAGATTCCTTAAAGAACTAAAAGTAGAACTTTTCTCCTACTAGGTAATGCAGAACACTAACATTATAATGCATTACCTAGCATTATAATGCACTAGCTAACACTAACAGGAAAACAGGATTATTTAGGTGTGTGAGTCACTCTTATTTTGCTTTTTCTTGTTTTTATTTACCTTGTTTTTTAGTAGGCAAAACTAATCTAAATTCAACAAATGTAGTATTTGGGTTCATATCACCTAAATATATTCCTCTTTTATCCAAGGATTATCTAATTATTAATACCAAAATATGCCTTTAGCACTAAGTAGATAAAAATTAAGAAACATGAGAAGAAATAAACATAACATTACTAAATATTAAAACATCTTTGAAAAATAATTAATTTTTCAATAATTGACATCATAGTTTAAATAAAAACAATATAACAATGAAACATGATGATTATAGCAAAGGTAGAAGTAAAATGTGTTTCAGCAGTAGCAGGAGGGCCAGGAAGAAAGCCCTGGAAGGAAGCAGATTGATGCAAAAGAAGTTGGGGTTTTGCCACTATTTTCGATGGCAAAAACCCCAATTACTTTTGCACCAACCTAATACATTACGGCAAGCCTTTTATCATACATGAAGAGATATGATATCAGTTGAAGGCAAACACTTATGTTAAATATGTAATTATAAACCTTATTGCAATCACTAAAATAACAAGCAAAAACTGATAGCTAATACATACAAAAAAAGAATCACAAAAAATACTATATTCTACATAATACAGAAAACGGGAAAACTGGGAACAAAAAAATAGAGGTAACAAAAAGCATACAAAAATGAGTGCATACTATATGATTTCATTCATAAAAATTTCTAGAAAATGCAGACAATTTATAATGACGGGAGGCAGATCATTGTTCGACTTTAGATAGTAAAAGGGGATTAAGGGAAAGGCAGAGGGAAAGATTAAAAGGAGCACTAGGAAGATTTTGAGGAAGAGGGAAATGTTCATACCTTCATTGTGGTAATAGCATTTTATTTATATCTAAAAATTCTGGCGGTTATCTCCATTTTCAGATTACATTGTATGAAACATTGGAAAAGAAAAGACAATATATCATTGCTAAATGGTAATCAGAATTTTCCTTTTTGTAATGGTTAATTATGCAGTGTAGTTAAAATGCACTTTTTATTGTAATGAATATTAGTTATTGAACAAATTACTATGTATTAAACAGCTTGCTATATGTTTTATATGGTTTGCTTCCCTTAATAGGTGTCTTAATAATACATTTGCAAAGAATGCATAATTTATTTAAGAAAGGAATTTGCAGCTTCTAGGGGTAGCTTATACGATACAGGAAGACATGAAGCAGATTTTGGTTTCAAAGTGGTTTGCACTTTCATTACAGTGTAGAGGACTTGTTTAGTTTTTGAATGTGCATGGGAACTTCACAATTTTTAAGAATTTAAAATGATGCAATATAAGCAGTTTGGTTTTATTTATTTAAAAATTATTTTAAAAACACGTATTTTTGTGTTTTATATAGCTTTTTCTATTTTTTCTTTTCCTGTATCCTCCCTCTTAAAGTCTTATTGAATAACTTGCCATTACTCTTCTTTCTCTCTTTTGAAGCAATCTATTTCATTTTTCTTCTAGCCTTACAATTTCTATTTCTTTACAGATCCAGGTTTACTATTCAATAAACTTGTGAAAATCTTCAATGAGCAATGATGAAGCAAAGCATTTATATATTGATAAGATACACACATGGTTAATACTCATCTAGAATATTGATTTTGCTTTTAGCTAACTCCTGTGGGAAAAAAATTTATAACCTGCTTGACTAGAAATTATCAACAAAAAACATTGTAAGTAGACTAAAATTGTTCAGAAAAAAATAAGAAATAATAGACTTGCTTGAGATTGTTAAACCAATGTAAGAAGGACTGAAAGATTTTTTTTCTTAATTCAGAGAAATAAAGAGCTCGCTCTAGTTCTCATACATTACACACATAAAACAATTTAAATGTCTGCAGATAATTTAATTAAGCAATAATGTAGATTATGTTAATTGCTTTTATTGAAAAAGTAGAGAGAATTCTACTGAGAGGGAAAATATCTTCAGTTTTAAGGCGATTACATAGAAATATCCTCTATATTTTAAATTTTTTTTATGTATAAGTTAACCCACTCAACATTTTTGCATGAGGCATTATGGTAGGTTTAGAGGGCATAATAGCAAAATTGTAGTTCTCTATTCCAAAATGCTCATTCTCTAGTGGATTGGAAAGACAGGCCATAAGGTATTTACGAACAATGAAAAGGGGTGTCATGGAGATGCGAGCAGATTGCTGTGGTTTATTGCTGAGTTCTTACCAACCAAATAATTCACTGAGTTTAAGGTAGATAATAAATTTAAGAGATGACTAATCATTAAATGAATAATATGACACTTTAGAGTTAGAGTTCTTATTTATATCATAGAAACCCATGATCAATTTCATTTTTCTTCAAATTGGCATTCACTCTGCTGTGCATTCAAAACTTCCCAAACTGCTAATTCAGCTGTATAAGCTCATCTGGCCTTCTCTTCGACAACCATGGCTATTCTAGCCAAAATATAAGCTCACTCCCTCACTTTTGACTATTCTTTCTTGTTTTGTCATGATTAAATAAGTTTCATGTTTCAATCTACTACTGAACTGTGACACAGGCACAATTGAAAGAATGAACAATGTTTGGCCTGATAGAGGACAATGAATCGTTACTATAAGTAAAATAGATCAGGCATATTCTGCATGAATCTGAAAAGTCAAATTAAAAGTATGTTGAAATTATTGTAGAATTTAACTAATAGTTTGGCCAATATTAAATATCGATCAGTGTACTAGATGCTTTTGAAAATATTTTATTTATTACAGAGATATTAACACATTTCATAAACACAAGATTAGGACATGAACCACTTTAAAAATTAAACAAAGCTGAACAACTTAAAGACATTAGTAAGAAAATAAGTCTTTTGTAGTCTCTTTTTTGTAGAGATTTAAAAGGGTAAATTTATAAAAATAAGTATATGTTGCTTGTAGAAGAAACACTGGTAACTATCATTCTACCCTATACCACAATGAGACCAACTTTTTTAGTTCTCACATCTGAGTGAGACCATGCAATATTCGTCTTTCTAACTTAATTCACTTAACAGAATGACCTCCAGTTCTATCTATGTTGCTGCAAATGACAGAATTTCATTCTTTTTTTTATTGCTGAATAGGAGAAATACTGAATAGCACCCTAAATACACAGCAGTATATATACTTCATTTTTTAAATCCATTCATCTTTTAATGGACATGTAGGTTGATTCCAAGTTTTTGCTACTGTGAATAATGCTGCAGTAAAGATAGAAGTGCAGATATTTTTGACATACTGATTTAATGTCCTTCCTGCATATACATACATAATAAGTGGGATTGCTAGGTCCTATGACGAGAGTGGATTGTTGACCCCAATTATTATTCTTTTGGACTCCAGCTCTACCTTTGATCTAGTAATATTTGCTTTACATATCTTGGTACTCTGGTCTTCAGTACACTTATATTCAGAATTGTTATATCCTCTTGTTGAATTGACAACTTTATTATTATATAATGACCTTCTTAGTCTCTTTTTACTATTTATGACTTAAGGCCTCTTTTATTTGATATAGGTATAGCTATACCTGCTAACTTTTGGTTTGCTTTTCCACCCCTTCACTTTCAGTCTATATGTGTCTTTACTGGTGAAGGGAGTTTCTTGTAGGCAGCATATAGATGGGTCATATTTTTTAATCTATTCATGGAGTCTACATATTTTAAGTGGGGAATTTAATTGATTTACATTCAAGATTATTATTGATAGGTGAGGAATAATTTCTATCATTTTGCTAATTGTTTTCTGGTTGCTTTGTATATCCTTTGTTCTTTACTTTCTCTCTTATTATGTATCATGAGGTTTGGTGGTTTAACATAATGGTAACACTTGAATCCCCTCTCTTTCTCATTTGTGTATCTGTTGTGCCTATGGGTTTTATACTTTGCTGTGTTTTCATGATAGTAGATATTATCCCTTTACTTCCAGATGTAGAACTAACAAGCATTTTTTATAGGATCAGTTTAGTGGTGATGAATATCCTCTTTTTTTTTGGTCTGGAAAAGACTTTATTTCTCCTTCATTTTCAAAGAAAACCTTTGCTGAACATAGTGTCTTTGGTTCACTTTTTTTTTCTTTTTAGGACTTTTAATATATTATCTAATTCTCTCCTGGCCTGTAAGGTTTCAGCTGAGATATCAGCTGTTAGACCAGTTGGGATTTCCTTATATGTGACTTGAAGTCTTTGCTACCTTTTTATAGAATTCTCTGTTTACTTTTGACAGTTTGAGTATAATTTGCCTTAATAAGACCTCTTTAGATTGAATCTATTTGGAAATCTTTAGACTTCCTGTATCTGGATGTCCATATCACTTTCAAGACTTGGAAAGTTGTCAGCTATTATTTCATTAAACATATTTTTATGCCCTTTCTCATCTCTTCTTCTGGAACTCCCAAATTTAAATATTTGGTTGCTTTATGGTGTTCATATGTCATGTAGGCTTTATTCGTTCTTTTTATTTACTGACTACATTATTTTAAAAGGCTTGTTTTTAAGTTCAGAAATTCTTTCTTCTTCTTGATCTAATCCATTGTTGAAACTCTAAATTGGTTTTTTCCTCTTTGTTGAAATCCACAGTTCCAGAATTTCTGCTTTTTTTAATGATATATATTCTCTTTGTTAAATTTCTCACTCAGATCATGAATCCCTTTTCTGATATTTTACCTGTGTTGTTTTTCTGTGTTATCTTGTATCTCACTGAGCTTCTCTAACATCATTATTTTGAATACTTTTTCAGGCATTACAGACATTTTCTTTTCTGGAGAAATTATTGTGTTCATTTGGAGGTGTCATATTTCTTTGCTTTTTCATGGTTCTTATGTCCTTACATTGATATCTGTGCATCTGGTGTAACAGTCACTTTTTCCACTTTCATAGATGGGTTTTCAGAGGAAAATACATTTTTCTAGGTATTTATAGTGCTGGTTAGGTAGGGTGCTTTGGCTTTGATTATGTCCTATCCTCAGGCTCCCAGATGATGTGTGTGGGTGCCTGTGGTGGTGGATAGGGCAGGTGGATGCTCAGGCTCCTGGAAAGCATGCTCAGGAACCAGTGGCAGTTGCTAGAGCAGACATGTTCACAAATTCTTGGACAATCATATGGGTGTTTAAAGCAAATGTTTAAATTTTCCTCTATGGTCTCTCGCCCAACAAATCATTCTAATACATCCATTGCATCTTATCATATACTTGTTTAAAAAGTGTC
The DNA here is from genome assembly GCF_000001405.40 of Homo sapiens. Lineage (NCBI taxonomy): Eukaryota > Metazoa > Chordata > Mammalia > Primates > Hominidae > Homo > Homo sapiens. The sequence goes on from NC_000001.11 coordinate 195,456,957, forward strand.
AATGTCTATCTGTTACAAAGAAGGTAGAGGTCAAACTATTTAGCTCATCAATTTCAATCTCTCCTAAACCTAATCCACTCTTTTTAACCAATCTCTAAATCTGCTTTTCAATTCTATCAAGTTACTCCAGAATCAAGACATAATTGAATGTAAGTCTTTCTGGTTGCTTTATCTTTGGTGTCTATTTGTGGCTCTTTATCTAACTAAACACAACCTTCAAGATATTATTTGAATTTCACTTTAATTTGCCCCCCCAATTTTATAATATTAATCTATATAATCTCCTTATAGCTGACCTTAGATTACATTTTTCATCCTTACGAAGCTTTTGGTAATTATATACTTCTTTAAGTTTTTAAATGGCTAATTTAAGTCTTATCTATGCTATCAAATTGTAACTAATGGACCTACCTTCCATTTATCTTATTTTCACTGTTATAGAAAATAATTCATTTGGTGTATAATAAATAAATACAAACTTGTTGAATGACTTTTTGCATTTAAGAAACATAGCCTATCCATATTTAACACTGCATATTGCTTACTTTCTATTAACTCCATATTTTCCAAAAAATTCATATCTAAGAGAATATAGAATTCTTTTAAAGGTAAACTTCTATAACTTAAGGCAATTTGATGAATATATATATATCATATTCAAAATGCTATAAATGACATTTTCTTTAACTCCATCAGTTTTCTTATGCTCAATTATTTTTATTGATATCACTTTCTAAGTCCCATAAGTTTTGAAATAATTTTATTTCTCCCATATTTGGTAGGTATCACTCAGATCCAGTGAATTGCCAAGATCCATAGTTTTCAGCTTCAAAATAATCTAATTTGTTTTCCTCTACATAAATTAGAAGACAATGCTCATTTGTCTTTACTTAAATGCCATACTCTTACTCTAAGCTATATTCAAATATCCATAGTCAGTGTTATCTAAATGCATATTCTAATCCATATATCAAACTCATTTCCGACTATAATTTGGACTGTTGAAAATTTGTTTCTATTTTGAAGCTATTCCTTGTGGTCCAACCAGATTTGAATAAATTCAGTATTTAATTTTACGTATGTGTTAAATCATGATAATGACATTTAGCATTCCACATGCCCCTACTTTTAACCTAGCATATTTTATTGCCTAAATAACATTTTGTTGTGAACAATCACAAAATCTCAGTGGCATACAATAATAAATATTTATTTTACTCACAAATGCATGGTTTGATCTAGGCATAGCTAATCTCTTATTTATGTACCTGTATATGTATATATATATATAGATTGATTTATTTTACTTATGTGGTTTAATGATTATAAATTAAATCATTCAGTATTATGGTTATTAAAATAAACTTTATTCATTTAATCAGAAATGTCTTTATATATGATTATCTTTGCATTCAAATAAAAATATTCCTATGTACAAATATATTATTATATCCCATTTTATTACCAGCAACCAAATTATCTGTTGGGATTCAACATGCTGTATCTACTGAAAATTAAGCAACTACATCATTTGGCTTCATTTATACTTTATCTTCTCTACCACTAAGAACCTTATCTAACATGCCAGCATGAACTTTAAAATGCTTTATCTTGAGCCAAGGATTCAGTGCATACTGACAAAATATCCTGATTTCAGTTGGTGAAATTTCTAAAAGGCAATCTGCAGTGGCCATTATCTCTCTAATAGTTTTATTGGAAAATTAGATAATGTTGGCTGTTCTAGTTAGTGTTTGTCATTTTCATGTTTTAAAAAATTTTTATTCATATAGACTTGACAGGAGAAATATTATTTGTTTAAAAAATTGATTAAATGGTACTTTAACTTATTTTTCTTTTCATCTTTCTAATATATCTTTCAATCAATTCTTCTGGCTAGACTTATTTTAAATTTTTGCCATCTTGTTGAATGTCCTAACTTCAGGCCTCATAAAAGTTAAATCCTGTTATCTAAGACATCCATGAAGAAAATTTAGGAGCAAGAAATTTGCAGGTCTTCTCATGGGATTAAAAAAATAAGAAAATAAAAATCTCAATATAATTCTAGTCTACTTTATGCACATAATCCATTGCCCATGGGTTGAATACATAGCAATTATAGAAAAATAATGGATTAAATGTGTAAACTGCACAATTCCACTCTAATTCTCACAAAGTATTAAAAAAAACCTCAAAATTATAGTTGTTCTAATGATGTGAATTATTTGCATGTCTTTTTGTTGATTACAGTTCATTTCATTTGATATTCTAGCTATTTTGATTACATGTATATTTCGTAGTAGAAATATATAAAGACTTAGCCATGATTCATAAAATAAAGGCATATATTAAGTATCTCTCAAATATGTTATAAACATGAACTTATTATTAGGTCTTGAAATTTCTTATTCAATCAAATATGACCATAAGCAGTTTACTGTAACATAGATTTTTGAAAGCAAATTTTAAGTTATGAATGTAATTTCATTAATTTATGGAGATATATACAAATTAATAAATATGTAAACATTTACAATTATACAAAATATAAAATAGCAACGCATTGCTCACTGTGAATATTGCTTTTACATTCAAATAAAATGTGATGGCTAAAAATATTTTCTTATTTTTAGTTAAGATTTTGAGAAAATAGTGATATTGATATTTAGAAAGTTGTTGTAAAATGCAAACAACTGGCTCATTAGACAATTATTGTATACTGCAATCAGGTCAGAGAAAAGCAATTGCAAAAGAAAGATACTTTTGGTCAAGTCAATCTTAGCAAGTGATCCATGGCAAAGAATGAGGCAAAAACTCATCTCTTTTGACAAAACAGGAGAAAATGTTGTCCCTGTTGTTGCAGAAGCAACAGGGGTAGAAATAGTGAGTGCCAAAACCCAAAGCAGATAGATTAATTTAGTCAATAAGAGCCTAAAAGACCAGCAAGTAACAATAGCAAAAAATGATTATTTTTGCCTTGAGAAACAATATGTTATGAAGTTCCTCTTAGGCATAGCTTGGCTTAGTTTGCTATGGTGTGGAAGCTAAACAATGCTATAAAAAATATCAAGTCCAATAAATAAGAAAATGTTTGACTTTCTGAATGATAAATACAAAATTCATCTAAGACATTCTCTATGTAAAGAAAAGGATAAATGAATTTAAACAAGTATTAATTATGAGAAAGTATGAGTGCTTTCAGAGGATAACATAAAGGTGACCTCCTAAGTAATAGATTCCACTGCTATGGACTTTCTATATTGCAGAGGGTACAATTACCAAACTAATCACTGCAATTGTTTAACATTCGGCTAGACTGCCTCCTTGGTAACAGCTTGTATTTTTATTTTAACATGCTGTGAGGTCCAGTTTTATGTTATATCTTAAGATCAGCTGCAGCTGATGAGTCTTAATTTTAATTAAAGTGTCTTTTATAAAAACAAGTAAAAAGATTGAAGCCTACTGAGACAACAAACATGGACAATGAAAGCCCCAGGTAAATAATCTACTATTGACAAAGGCATTTAGTCATATAATCTTTCAGTAGCAGCTTCATTAATATTAGATGGATTAGAACTACAGCACATTTCTCATTCTTATCTAACTCAAGTTTTTATGTTTTAAATCAAAATTTGAATCCAATAATGCCAATTTTTATTATCAAAAAGCTGACATTTTTGAGCCATATAATATGATATGTATATTTTAGTCATTATGTTACTGCATCCTCATATCAGTTTTATGCAGTTGTTCCTAAAATTACATGTTTTTTTTTTTGTTTTTGGTGAAGAACATGATGCACAGAGAGATTATTTAACTTGCCTAAAGTAACATTTTTTATTAAATAGACAAACCAGAATTTAAACCTACGGCATCTCCAGAGTCTCTCCTTATTGAATATCTATTATCACACAAAATACTGACCAATTCCTCACTGTTTTGAATTTGAGCGTAGTCCTGTAACTTGGTTAATGAATTTGTGTATAAGCGGCACATGACACTTCTAATTAAAAGCTATAAAATCTAGCCCATAGATAGCCATGCATCATCCCATTTCCATGACACTGATAATATTCTAGATGCAGGTCTTCAGCCAGTCTGCATTCCCCCATGACATTTAGAGCAGAATTTGCACCAACCTGAGAGGAACTCATAAAATAAAACGTTCATGGTCATGCACAACTAGGATGGTTTATTGTTGGTTACTACAAGATAATTGAGCATATCTCAACCGATACAGCTCATAACTACTATATTACTTCACTTTTTAGCATATAGTATTTTTATACCTGGTGCCAAATCACATTCTAGATTTTATAATTTGATACTTCTATCAGATAAGAAGGCTGCTTATTTTTTATTGGAAAAAATACCACAAATTATTCATCAGTGTTAACTAGGGTAAATGTCCAGATTCTTTTCTTGATCTACTGTTCAAAAATAGAGAAACTGAAATAAATTGAGCGAATCCAGAAAAGACAGTGTAATGTTACATGGAAAAAAAAGTGTTCCAACCACTCAAAACAACCAGATTAGGCTCTGTAGCTGAATCTCAGGAACAACTGGCTCATTCTTGCTTCTCATTGTACATCAATTTGGTTTTCCTTCATCTGTACATGTATTACCTGTAAGCGTTATGATTTCCAAGCCTGGGGAGATACTGGCTTGCTTTAACATATTTAGTTTTAAAAACTCCTCAGAAAGACTCTGGATTGGATCAGCTGTATAACTCTGGACTACTCAATTGTGTTATTGAGGATGGAGTACTCTGGACGACAGACACACTTAAAGTCCGTCTCCCTTCAAAACACGCACAGAACAGCTCTCTGTGCCCAGATATGTGGATCTACAAAAAAACGCTGAAGCATTCACAGTAGTCATGTAAGTACAACTGAAATTCTGAATCCCAAGTAGGCAGATCCTAAAGCAAATACTTCACCATTGGATAAATTCATCAAAGAGTAATTTTGCAATGGTTTTTAGTAATTTAGAAGTTTTTTATTATGACACATAATGATCATTTATAAGATTATCTTGTCATTAATTGGAGCTCCATGATTTTATTTCCTAAGTGGGCAATTATTGCAATTATGAATAGTATTTCATTAAATTTTAAATCTCCACTTTGCCTCTACTAAATGAACTTCAGTATTTCATGGTTGCAATTTTTGCAGTTAGCAATATCTTTCCAGACCCTACATTCAACAAAGATTTAACTTGGGTCTCTGACACAATTCTGGACAAAATGATGTAAGTTACTAGAAGAAACTTGATGAAAACACCCAAACAAGTATATATTTTGCATAGACTCTAGTATTTTGAAAATTTCATTATATTCCTCCCTGCAATGTGTATACAGAACCTGGAGAGGATAAAGGACTTTGGTACTTTGAGAATGAAGTAATTATATTGCCTATAATTCTATGCAATAAAATTATAGTGGAAACCTATTCCAAGAAAGAAAAAGTTTAACCTCAATGTATTAGTGCATTTTCATGCTGCTGATAAAGACATACCTGAGACTGGGCAATTTATGAAAGAAAGACATTTAATTGGACTTACGGTTCCACGTGGCTGGGGAAGCCTCACAATCATGGCAGAAGGCAAGGAACAGCAAGTCATGTCTTACATGGATGGCTGCAGACAAAGAGAGAGAGAGCTTGTGTGGGGGAACTCCTTTTTTTAAAACCATCAGATCTAGTGAGATTTATTCATTATTAGGAGAACAGCACAGGAAAGACTTACCCCCATTATTCAATTACCTCTCACCAGGTCCCTCCCACAACACTTGGGAATTCAAGATGAGATTTGGATGGGGACATAGACAATATATCTCACTCAGTACTAGTCCAGACCTGCCTACTCATCTCAGAGACTTTTAGTTAAATGAGACATATAAATACCAATGTGTTTAAGTCACACTTTTACTTACAACCAGATGAAAATCCAGCTGAAACAGTTGCTTATGTGTAATTTACACATTAAATTACAAATGTGTTTCTCTTTTTCCCAAGAAAAGCAATCTTAAAAACATGTCCAGTTACTATATCTACAGATGATTATCTAATAGTCTTTTTCTTTGAGTTTATAATTCTCCAGATGACATTTTTTTCTTTAGTGTCATCATAATCCCAATATAGACATTCTATAGTCCTTAAACTAAGTGGTACATTTAACACATCCTAATAGACACTACACTAAAAAGGGATAACAAAGCCATTATGTTATAAATTTCCATTTAAGAAAAGGATAAACAGAAAAGAACAGAGAGTGGGCACAATTCCATAGCATGTAGTATATTGTACTAGAGTGGAAACAGCAGGGTCTTTAATCTACAATGCAAAGTGAATGCCATCATCAGAAATCTGCCTAGCCTTTGTAATTCTCTCTGACTGAATATTTTTTGTCATTTTCCTTCAAGTTTATGTCCAAAAAGAACATAAAGGAGGACTTTGCTTTTCAGAGCTCTGTAATTAAGAGTAAGCCTTTTATTTTTTCCACAGTCACAAGAACTGGGTTATATTCAGAGATAGAAAAATCATAGATTCCTGCTTGCCAGCTTACTGTGTCAATAATTTTTAAAGACACATGCACACGTATGTTTATTGCGGCACTATTCACAATAGCAAAGACTTGGAACCAACCCAAATGTCCAACAATGATAGACTGGATTAAGAAAATGTGGCACATATACACCATGGAATACTATGCAGCCATAAAAAATGATGAGTTCATCTCCTTTGTAGGGACATGGATGAAATTGGAAAGCATCATTCTCAGTAAACTATTGCAAGGACAAAAAACCAAACACCACATCTTCTCACTCATAGATGGGAATTGAACAATGAGAACACATGGACACAGGAAGGGGAACATCACACTCTGGGGACTGTTGTGGGGTGGGGGGAGGGGGGAGGGATAGCATTAGGAGATATACCTAATGCTAAATGACGAGTTAATGGGTGCAGCACACCAGCATGGCACATGTATACATATGTAACTAACCTGCACATTGTGCACATGTACCCTAAAACTTAAAGTATAATAATAATAATAATAATAAATATTCATTAGCTACTAGTAAATTTTATTTCAAATAATTTAGAACTAGTAAATGCAATGATAGGAGCTATCCATTTGTATTTTGAATATAGACTTTTAAAAAATGCTTCACCGTTATCAACAGACATGCCCATTTTACCATAAGCAGTGAGTAAATTCGTTTGCTAGTCCAGTCTGAGAACAAAAGCTCTTAACATTTTAAACTGAGAGCTAGGTTATAGCAGAATTGGCAGAGTATAAAACTAAATTGACAGAACAAGAGAATCCTCACCATCCTCTGTTCTACTTTAATGTAGTTAATTGTCATTTATAGTGACCCAATTTTGAGATCCAAATTCTGAGTTATTAAGTACTCTGTGTACCATACATAGTATAAACAACAATCAAAGATAGTTTTCTGAATAATGAAATGTAGGTCTTGTAACAGCATCTGATGAGGATGTCTACTCATGTGCGACTAGATTCAGAGTTCAAGTAATTTTATTAGAGGTTTAACTCTCTATTTTATGTTTGCCCTTGTCACTCCTTGCCCTGAATTTGATTATAGATTCTCTCAAATTGGATGGAAACGTGGCTGCCATCACCTTTGCATTCCTCTCAATACAGAATTTCAAACCTAAAACAGAATTTATCATTTGCAATGTCTATCTATCCATTCATTCCAAGAAAGATTTGAATTGTCTTTTCTTGTATTGCATATCTACCCCTGTAGAGGGGATTGTGAAGAGCATAATTTATGACCTGTCCAAACTGCAAGCATCGGTGTCTCTGTAGGTGATCCTCAGAAAAGATAGGAAACACAGAGTTTCTTTAAATAACAAAAAATATATCAAGTCATCACTGGAACAAGGAAGAATACCAAGGACTCCAGGCTACATATCTATCATATTATTGGCTTGTAATCCTTTATGTAATCATGATGAAATTATAATAGTGGTATCTAGACATCTATTTCATTTTTATTGCTGATAACAATACAGCATTTAGTATAATCTCATAGGAGATTTGTGTAATGAATCTAATAAAGCTATGATGATTATCAGCCCCCCCCAAATATTAGTAACAATAATTTATACTTCAGGTATAGACTATTAGGTATTAGAATAAGTAGTAAATTTAATTAAGAAGCAGGAAAAAAATGACTAAAGTGAAATATTTACCTTAGAGAATTTGAAAGCTAAACATTGCTAATTCAAAAGGATTAGTTCAAATTTTGTTTTAATTATTTTATAATAGTGAGAACTTCTGTGATAGTCACAAATAGCCAAATTATATAGAACTGGAGGGAAAATTTTTCAGGATAGAGGCAAAATCTCTGGGATAAAAATCAGGGGACATAATTTTTCATCATGGCTTTGTCACTGACATGTTTATCTATCTGATTATGAGTAGAACTCTCTCTCCCTCAATATATTTTATTCTGAAAAATGACAAATCAGCAGCAATAATAATTTAAAAACTACATAGAAGTTATATATGCTGTTCAATTTGGCTCAACAACTAACATATATACATATGTATACATGCACACACATATAAATTGTCTTCTTTGCATGTGTGTATATTGCCAACATTCTTTTTACTAAGTCATTTAAAAATGAGTTGCAGACATGCTGACTGCTCTCTCACCACTTCAATATTTATCTCCTAAGAACAAGGATTTTCTTCTACCTAACTGCTAATATTGATTCAGTTATAATATACCATCCTTAATAAAATGTCCTAAGTTGCTGAAAACATGTCTTCATAACATCTTGTCTATTTTATAATGCAGGTAAATCTCTTAATCAACAACAATTTCTAATACCTTCTGTTTGTTTTGTTTAGTTTTGCTTATGACCTTTCAAAGGGCCCAGGCATGGTATCTATTGTTTCCTTATGATTATGTTTGAGTTACATGTATTTTATGAGAACACAATGGAATTAATATTGTGTACCTCTTATGGCACAAAATCAGGGGCACATAATATCAGTTGCTCATAATTTGGGGGAGGCTAAATTTGATCACTTGTTCAAGGTTAGGTAGGTCATATCATTATAAATATCCCTTGTTCTTTTGAAATTAAGTAGTAATATGAGATGTTGAAAACTTGGGATCATCCTTTTACAAAACAACTTTTCCTCCAAGGGTTTAAGTATCCATTGATGATCATTTTATTAACTTATTATTACATCAGAACTCATGAAACCTTTATTAAAAAAATCTAGCATTGACCTCCCATAATAATAAGCTGGCATTCTTCTATTTAAAAACATCTTTTATTTTATTTTATTTTTCTATCTTTTATTATTTTATTTTTTAAGACATAGTATCTTGCTCTGTCACTCAGGCTGAAATGCAGGGGCCCAATCAGTTCACTGTACCCTCCAATTCCTGGGCTCAAGCAATCCCCCAGCTTTAGCCTCCCAAGTAGCTGGGAATACGTGAGTGCCACCATGCTTAGCTAACTTATAAAAAGTTTGATTAATGGGCTCTCACTATATTGCCCAGGCTGGCCTCGAACTCCTGGCCTCAAGTGATTCTCCCTCCTTAGTCTCCCTAATCACTGGGATGACAGGCAGTAGCCACTGTGCCCAGCTAATTTTGTTGTTCTTGAGTAGCGTTAAGAATTTATGAAATGTTTTTCAATTTAATGTGATATAAAATACTGATTTAATTGTTGTTTTTAGATGGTCAGAATTTTCCACTTTTGACCAAGCTGACTCTTTGGTCTTCCTGAAGTGCCATCGTAAGGCTTTGAATACTTCCTTACTTTCTGACATGAAATGTCCCAGACTCACTTTTCACTTTCACTTTCTTTCCACAGAGCAATAATTGGCCATTTCTCAAAGGTCCCTAATTGTTTTTGATGGAGAATGACATTTAGAAATGAAGATTTATGTAATAGAGTATCTAATTATAGGAGGATGTCACTGAATGTAGATCTTTTCAGTGGACAGAGTCATGACATGCATTTAACAGGTAACATTAGTAAATATTGGTATGTACAAACCAAATCCAATATTTTTTTAGTTTTTCTTATATTCCAACACTTTATTTTGTATTTTTTCCCTTAGTAAGAGACCTTATTCTCTGCTAAAACAGTATATTTATTCATTTTATCTATTTTTCTGTCACACATTAGATGATAAAAAATAGATACTTAACAACTGCATACTGATAGGACAACAATAACTTACCAACATACAATTTAAGATTTTCTTCAGTCGTTTTTTCCTTGTAATACCTCACACATTAATAATATTAATAATAACAGGATAATAATAGTGGCATATTAATGTATCTTACTAAAGGTACACAGTGTACACTGTTCAGAATAGTCAACCTTCAGTATCCATTGGTTTCAGGACCCCTAAAATCCATATATGCTCAAGTCCCTGATATAAGATGGCATAGACTTTGCACATAATCTATCCACTCCCTGCCATACATTTAAAGTTACCTCTATATTATTTATAATACCTAATATAATGTAAATGGGATGTAAATAGTTTTTATAATGTATTAGTTGGGGAATAGTGAAAAGAAAAAAGCCTGTTCATGTTCAGTACAGACACAACTATTATTAATTAATTATGTATGTATTATTGTTATTGTTATTTTGCGACAGAGTGTTGCTCTGTCACCAAGGCTGGAGTGCAGTGGTGTGATGTCGGCTCACTGTAACCTCTGCATCCCAGGTTCAAGAAATTCTTTTGCCTCAGTCTCCCAAGTAGCTGAGATTACAGGTGCCAGCCACCACACCCAACTAATTTTTGTATTTTTATAGAGATGGGTTTTCACCATGTTGGCCAGGCTCTCAAACTGCCAACCTTCAGTGATCCTTCCATGTCGGTCTCCCAAAGTGCTGGGATTGCAGGCATGAGCCACCACGCCTGCCCCACAATCATATTTTTTTTTTTCCTGAATGTTTTCAGTCTTCAGTTAGTTGAATGCACTGATGCAAAACCCACGGATACAGGTCAATCATACTGTAATTTCCATGGTCATGTTATCAACTTAATATTCAATTAGATTAATTTGTTTCTGTTTCTATTTAATTTTAAAGATTGTGTTTGCTTGGCTACATGTGTTTATTGTGCATTTTTTAGTTTTGTTTCCAAAAAACAGTTCTTTCTTATTATCAGTTGGACATTTTTGGTTCTTTGAATTTACAGATTCCTTTCTTATGTTTTACCTGTTTTCTTATGCTTTACAAAATGTTTTTATCAATATCATTGTAATCAGTATTTTATAAATATATAGTTCACCAATTTATTAAATCAAATAAATACTATATCAAAATGATATATCTGTATTTCAGTATTTTCAACAGTGATTTTTAAAAATCAGCAAGTCTCTACCTCAGATGAACCCACAACCTGCCCATTCTTTAGAAGGAAAACTCCTATCTCTTTTTCTTGTTTTCCCTACCCCACAAACTTTCTCTGTAGTGGCTCTTGAGGTATTTCACTTAGATCTCTCTTCAAGAAACAACTTGTTATAAAACTTCAAAGAGAACATTTAGCTACAGCTTCTATATATTAGAGTCTTCAGAGTTATCCTTCCTTGAGCTAAGGTCATATTCTTGAATATTTCTATAAAGTCCCAGATAATGTCTTAGCATAGTGGCATGTTTCTCTCTAAACTAATAACCTTGTGATAATTTTTGAATATTTATATTGTTTGCACAAATATGTAATTTTACAATAACCAAAGGTTCATCTCTCCTAATTATTAATTGTTTAAAGAGGATAATTCCAGATAACAGAGACTATGCAATAATCTGAAGGCAATTATTTAATAATTTAATGGTCTCTTACCATTTCTGCCCCCATGTAAGTCATCTCTAGTAGTTGATCTTTGTTCCAGAGCTCCCAGAATTGACCAGGAGTTTATTATGTCTGCATTATTGTTTGGAAGCTTTTCCTTTCCAATCCTCTTCCTCCCTCTTTTAACTATACAAGTGTTACTCTTCAATAAATCTTCTGCACTCCTAAATTTATCTCATAGTCTGTGACCTAGGAGGCCTAAACACACACACACACACACACACACACACACACACAAATGTGTACACTGCCAGTTGTACATATATGAATTCTAGACTTAATGTGTATGGTAGATAAGTTTGTATGTCATTAGAACTCTTCATTCTACCTCTAATGTAGTTATATTGTACCTGTTTATTATTATAAATACATAAATATTGTCATCTAAGCAGACACTAAGCCTAATTGCTTGGGGTTTTTGTATACATGATTTTGTGCTATCTGGAATAAATATGTACATTATACCTATATATAACTTTCATCATAACTTTTCTACATGGCTAATTTTATCTCATAATCTATAATTTCTATTTATTTTTAACCTAGAAAGATCTCTCCTGGTGCTTCCTGTTTATTAGCTCAAGACTCTGACCAAATTTCATAAAGTTCATAGAAATAGCCCTCCTTTAATATTATAAACTTATTAGAATAAATGTTTTAATTATCACAGACTTTACCAAAGTAATCCATCATTTTTTGTTATTTTCTGATTAAAACTACAGTAACCAGCTCACAGTATATAGTGATCACTTGCAATTGCAGGCTGCATTAAGAACAAATGTTTAATATACTGGGTCCAGTTACAAAGCACACTAAACTTACATATGCTTATAATTTATATATGTTGGTTCAACTGGCTTTGAATTATCGCATAGTCTCTTTTTTCTGGAATTTTGCTCATTAAGTGTTTAATAAAAATTAGGAGGGATAAGACTTCAGGATTTATGAAATTATATATTTATACTAATAATATAAATATTATAAATATACTATATCAAAATGATATATCTGTATTTCAGTATTTAATAGTATAATATAAATATTATATATTATACCATTATACTAATAATATAAATATTCAAAAATTATCACAATTGTATCTGTTTTGAGAGAAACATGATGCAGAAGTTACCACCCCACCCTTCCCCAGACATTTCTCATAAATAGCCCTTTAACCTGCATGTTATTAAAAATGAGTATAAATATGACTGCAAAACTGTCCTAAGCTGCTACTGTCTGCCTACGGGGTGGCCCTTCTCTGCAGTAGCCACTTCACTAATGCTGCTTTCTACCTCTGGAATGCCCTCAAATTCTTTTCCTGGGCAAAGCCAAGAACCCTCAAAGGCTGAGACCCACTTTGGTGCTTACCTGCCCTGCATCAGCATCATTTAGTTTCCAATATTTATTATAAGAATAGAAATCTCAGTTTGTTAAAATATAGACACATAGCTCCTTGGAAGTGCAATAGACCCAAAATATTCTATGGTAACTGTAACTAGAGGATGAAGGGGGCACTTTGAAGTTTCTAGAACCAAAAGCTGACAGAAGTGGCTGGAAGTTCATTTCTCATCAATTAAAAACTAAAATTTCTTTAATAAAAGCAAGCTCAAAAAGATACTGCTGCCTTTGTGAGTACATGCTAAAACTTCTACTACCAATACCAGGGATGTGGCCGCCATGAAGCTGTTGCCAGGGCTAAATGGTAAGAATTGAATGGATCTTCCTTCTGGGTCATAAAGTGACTCTGTAACATCTCTACGAAGAAGCAACTTGAGCCTGCACTCCAATACCTGATTTTGAGCTAGGAGGCCAGGGGACCAGGTACAACCCACTCAGCTTGAGGATTTTTCTCAACTTGAGGCATTTTTGAAACTGGAGAAAGGTTTTTCTCAAGAATTCTTGAAGATTTCTCTCCACTTGAAGATGTTCAAATGAGCAGAAGGAAATACATAATACCATGAAGCTCTCAATCAGATAAACTTGCAGATTTCAATTTCACAGTTGATGAGAAAAACTGAGCCATGAAAATACAAGATTTATAAGAAATACAAAGATAGGGTCCATATGCAGAGATAGAGTCTCTTTTCTAGGGACTACACAAATGGGTCTCTATGATACTCGTGACATTCCAGTTTTGAGCTCTATCTTACTTTTTTGTATGTGATCCAAGGATACAACAATCTTGCATGGCAATATTAAATTTCTCTTTCTTCTCAACCAGACTCAATCTGTTACTTCTAATCAAATCAGTCATAACAAAACCTAAAGGAAATAAAAAAATTAAAATAATTAAAAATAACAGTAAAATATAACAAAAACAATATATGGATATATTTCCAATAAAACATTCAACCTAATGATATATTTGACTTGCACTTTATATATAACTTTACATATGACTTATGTTCTCCAAAACTTAAAAGGAAAAAAATGTATAAAAGCAACAAATAATAATGAACCTGTTAAATTAGTTACAAAACAGAAGCTATAAAATAATTCTGGACAAAAAGTAACTCAAATTTATAATATAATATTGCAAAAGTTTCTCTGTCACTGATTATTTATAAAATATATTCTACAGAATGAAATAACTAATGAAATTATATTTTGTTTAAATTTGAGGAGGCAAGAAACATGCATCATGATACAGTATACACTATAGAAATTGCACATTCTGCAATAAAATTAGGCCATAATTTCTACTTCAAAATTATTATCAATTTATCAAGATCCATGAGAATTACAAACATGTGCATAGTTAGCCATCCTGGATTTAATTAAATATGTTCCATACATTATGCATTTAGGACAGCCACATACACAAAAAATGTTTCATATAATAAAAAGCAGTTAAATGCAGTATAATAAAATTTTCTTCCTGGTGTGTTTTGTTACAAAATAAGAGGTACCAGTAGCAGTAACCCAAACTATGAATAATGTATATTTTAATGTGTTGGTATATTTGTAAATAAGCTCAATCATATGTCAGGAGATATCTCTGCAAAACATCGTGCTTGGAATAGCTTTGCATATCATTAAATATCTTTAATTTTAATTGAGAAAAAAATGTGAGTAATACTTCACACAAAGTGCTTTTCTCTTGAAATTAAAATATTAGTTTTTCTCAGAAGTGATAAACCTGGGTCAACATATGTATATGCATTATATTATAATTAAACATCATTCTATTTACACAATTAAAATGTAAAGAAAAAGAAGTCACTGAGAAAAGTGACTACAAATTATATAAAACATAAATAACATATCATTGGCATGTGTAAAATAAGAAAATGAGACTTTGATCTGGATCTCCACAGAACAGACATTTTCTGCACTAATAGAGGAAAGAAATCTTATGATCTATTTGTATGCAGTTCTGCAGAAGATTTAATGTCAAATTCCCTAAACAGTGAGTAGTCAGGGCATTTTGGAGAGACTCTCATTCTTTAGTCATCTTTTTTCAGATTGTTTCTTACATAATTTTACTTGCTCTGTATTATCTCTACAAATGAAGGAAAAGCAAGTAGCAACAAGTATTGCACTTCTCTCGTGGGGTAGCAAACACAATAGTAAGAAAATAAATTGCCTTCACTGTGCTATCTTTTGATGTACTGCTTAACGGTAGGTGGCCCTCCTCTGATCATCGGTTGAATGCCTTTAGGAACAGTTTGTGGCAGTTCAGAAGACAGACTCCTAGGAATTCTATAATTGCAGCAGAATACAAGAGCTCTAAGTGTGTTACCCTGAGGAAAGCCTGCGAGGACTGGAGTAGTCAGGGTCTATTTATTAAAGTGAACAAAAAAATCTGAGACATAACCCAAAGTGATCATTTCTTAATACATTGTCCCCTCAAGTACACCACATCATTGTATATACATAAAGTTAGACAGGCACTTTTTATGGTAAGGCTATTATGATCTTCATTTTATAATTCATTTATTTTTTATAAGGCTGTAAACAAATTTAGTCAATGACATGTGTATACACCAAGCTGAGAACCACCCTTTAGGTACTCTTGAATAGTATTCGCTTTTTTTCTTAATTTTACTTCAGATCTTCTTTTTCCTCCATAACCCTTAACCATCTTTGCAACTCTCAGATTTCAGAAAATTAATCAGGAAAATACAAAAGTAGTATAAAGGATTAACATTTTGATTCCCAGCATATAAAATATTGATTATCATCTTTTTTTGCTAAGCTCTCTACTAAGAATTTTAAATATATTATTTTACTCAATTTGAACATTGTTGTTTTAGTTTGAGAAAACTGGGGTAGATACAAAATTGTCCAGCTAGCAACTGCCAAAATCAGGCTATGAAACTTAATAAATCTGACTATAGGATTTATATTCTTGTCACATTAAACAAATTAAAGAATGCAATACTTCAATATGTATCACTAAAATGGGATAATTGATTATATACATATTTAAATCACATATTTATATTCATATATATGTGTATATTCATATATACATATATATGTAAATTGTACTCACAGTAAAAATTTTTAAATTTTCTTCCACTTTAAGAAAAACATTGAATTATAATATTTTTTGAATTTTTAATATTTTTGAATTTGACTATAAGTATAGTCAAATTCACAGACAATAAATCTGTGTTGATTAATTGCTTGTTCCTTGCTTTGTCTGAGAAGAAGCTCAAACCCTCCATTATTACCTAACCATTGATTAAAAAATAAATTGTGGTATGCTCTTTGTGTGGTTTTATTTGGTGTAGAATGCGTAACATTAACTTATTTAACTTAAAAAATATTTGAACTTTTATTTTCTTCTTATATTCCCTTTGGAAATGTGACATCAATTTATTTTGCAGTATTGCATTTTAGAAAAAAATACATAGGAGATTATATTTGGGAAGTAGAGGTTGGCATTGAATTCTTAGATATGACACCAAAAGTATAATTTATAAAAGGAAATAGTGATATATTGTACCTCAAAATTACAAGATTTTTCTATGAAAAGACCACTTAAGAGGATGAAAATAAAAACTGCAACAGGGAGAAAATATTTGCAAACCACGTATGCAACAAAAAGCTGGCATCAAGTTCTAGTCCTGGTCCCAGTTCTCAAAACTCAAGAGTAAAAAACAATACAATTAGACAATTGGCAATAAATATAAAAAGGCATTTCTTCTAAGTGGATATAGAGATAATGAATAAATACATTAAAAAGCATTTAGCCTCATTAGCTTTTGGGAAATGCAAATAAACCCACAATGAGAAATCACTAACACAACTATCAAATGGCTTTCAAAAATAATGACAACACCAAATGTGGGTGAGCATGCACAGAAATTGGGTTATGCATATATTGCTGGTAGGATCATAAAATGTATAACTCCTCTGAAAACAATTTAGCAGTTTCAGAAAAATAGTTACATATGCAACTAACATACAATCTAGTAACTACCCAATTAAAATTCATATCAAAATTTGAATTGCTGAGAAAAGTCCTTACTATATATTACATAAAATATAAAGAGCATGTATTTTCCACTACCTAGCATCTTTAAAATGGCAAAATTATAGAAATATAAAACATACAAGTGATTGGCAGAGTTTAAGAAGATGGAGGTCAGGGAGGAAGTCTAGGAAATATAAAAGCCAACTTTCAATACTCTTATTCATCATAGTACTGGAAGTCATAGCCAGAGCAATCAGGCAAGAGAAAGAAATAAAAGGCATTCAAATTGAAAAAGATAAAGTCAAGTTATCTCAGTTTGCTGTTGATATAATTTTATACCTAGAAAAACCTAAAGACTCCTCCCTAAAACTCTTAGATTTGATAAACAAATTTAGTAATGTTTCAGAATACAAAATTAACATACAAAAATCAATGACATTTGTATACACCAAAATGAGAAGCACACCAAGAAGGCAATCCTATTTATAGTAAATAAAAATAAAATAAAAAAATAGGATAAAATAATATACGATAGTAGGAGTATATTTAACCAAGGATGTAAAAGGTCTCTACAGGAAAACTACAAAACATTGACAAAAGAAATCATAGATGACACAAATAAATAGAAAAACACCCCAGGTTCATGGATTGAAAGAATTAACATCATTAAAATTACCATACTGCCCAAAGCAATCTCTGAGGATTCAACCCAATCTCTATCTAAATACATCATTTTTCACAGAATTAGAAAAAAAAAAAAAATCTAAAGTTCATATGGAACTGAAAAAGAGCTGCAATAGCCAATGCCATTGTAAGCAACAAGAACAAACCTGAAAGCATCACATTACCTGACCCCAAATTATACTACAAGTCCAAACTAAAACAGGATAGTACTGGTATACAAATAGATATCAATACCATTCAGTTCCATTCTTATCAATAGAACCAAATAGAGGACCCAGAAATAGAGCCACAGATCTATAGACATCTCATCTTTGAGAAAGTCAACAAAAACATACACTGGAGAAAGAACAACTTTTTCAAAAAATGGTGCAGAGAAAATTGGATTGTCATATGCAGAAAATGAAGCTGGACCCCTATCACTCACCGTATAAAAACATCAACTCAAGATGCATCGAAGACTTAAATGTAAGACCTGAAAGTATAAAAATCCTGGAAGAGAACCTAGAAAAACTTTTCTGAACATTGGTCTTCTTGCAGTCTGCTTAGTCTCTAGTTCAGGTAGTTTTGAATTCTTGTCTCATCACCAAGAAGAATAAGGCATGTGACCATCAGAGAGTGAGTAGAGTAGGATTTATTAAGGAAAAGGAAAGCTCTAAACAAAGAAGGGGGTGCTGAAAGCAGGTTTCCAGAAATGGGACAGAGTTCTAGAACTTTATGTGACAGAAGCCAGGAAGTCTTCTGCGGGTTTTGCCCAAATAGGAAGGGTAAAGTTCCCTCCTAGGGGTGCCACACCTGCATATGCCTAGGGTTGGCCAGAGTGACTCCATCTTGTTTATTACCCATGAGCACTAAGCAAAATCCATGGGGTGGGGGAACTCAGGTAAAGACAAAAACACAATGCTAATGTCATGTTAGTGATATTATAATGAGCTGGATTAAGATAAGGAAATTTAGGTTGATTCATTGTACCTATACCAAAGTTGGGACCATCCCTTCTGAGCAACATCCTAGCACAAGGAGAATTTCTTAACCATATTCCATCCTATTACCAGCAGAGGCAGTGTAGGTGCTGTCCTGTGGTTTTTCCTTTGCTCTTCTCTGTCCTTCTTCTGAGACCCTCCCTCTCTGTCTGCCTAACCAGACCCTAACTGCCTCCTCTCTCAGTCTAGGCAAATAATTCATGAATAAGACCTCCAAAGCACAAGCAAAAAAAAAAATTAACAAATGGGACTTAAAATATAAATATTCTACACAGAAATAAAAAATAATCAACAGAGTGAAGAGAAAACCTGCAGAATGGTAGAAAATGTATGCAAACTCTGAATCTGACAGGGGACTGATAATTGAGAGTTTACAGGAAACTCAAACAAGCCACCAACAATAATACACAAAAAAACTCCATTAAAAAGTGGGCAAAGGACCTGAATAGACATTTTAAAAAAGAAGACATACACATGGTTAACAAGGATATAAAAAAGAAAACACTCAACATCCTAATAATAAAAGAAATGCAAATCAAAACTGCAATGAGATACCATCTTACACCAGTGACTATTATTAAGCAAGAAAATTCACAATTGCAAATATAAGAACCAACCTAAGTGCCCATCAATTGATGAATGGATAAAAAATATGGTATATATACACCATGGAATACTACTCTGCATAAAAATAATTAAATATTTTTTTTTGCAGCAACCTAGATAGAGCTGGAGGCTATTATTCTAAGTGAAGTAACTCAGGAATAGAAAACCAAGTACCGTATGTTCTCATTTATTAGTGATAGCTAAGCGATGGGTATACAAAGGAACGCAAAGAGATATAATGAACTTTGGAGACCCGGTAGGGGAACAGTGGGAGGTGGGTGAGGGATAAAAAACTACATATTGGATACAATGTATACTACTTAGGTGATGGGTACACTAAAATCTCAGACTTCACCACTATACAATTCATTCGTATAATAAAAAAACACTTGTACCCCAAGAGCTATTGAAATGAAAAAAAGAGAAAAATAAAAGCCAAAAATTAGCATGTCAGGATGCAGAGAAAAGGGAATTCATATGCACTTTTGGTGGGAATGTAATTTAATGCAACATCCATGGACAATAGTATGTAAGTATCTCAAAGAACTCAAAATAGAACTACCTTTCAATTCAGCAGTTCCACTACTGGATGTATATCCAATGGAAAAGAAATTATTAAATCAAAATGATACCTACACTCATGTTTATCGCAGCACTATCTACAATATCAAAGTCTTGGAATCAATCCAAGTGTCCCTCAACAGATGATTGAATAAATAAAATGTGGTATATATGCACCATGTAATACTGCACAGCCATAAAAAAAGAACAAAAACATGTCTTTTGCAACAACGTGAATGGAATTGGAGGCCCTTATCTTAAATGAAACAACTCAGAAGCAGAAAGTCAAATACCAGGTTCTCACTTATACGTGGGAGCTAAATAATGTGCACATGTGGACATAGAGTATGAAATAATAGTCATTGGAGGCTCAGAAAGGTGGGAGGGTGAGGAATGAGAAATTACTTTTTGTGTGCAATGTATACTAATCAAGTGATGGTTAAACTAAAAGCACAGATTTCACCTCTAGGAAATATATCCATGTAATACAATTGCACTTATACCTATACTCTATGCAAATAATAAATAAAGAAGCAACATGAGGGATCCTTGTGGTTGTCTGGTTTGTACTACACTACTAAAGTGTCTCAAGAAGTTATTATTGAGGAAACCTGAGTAAATAATACACATAATCTCTTTCTGTTATTTCTTACAACTAATTTCTTACAACTAATTATGAATCTACATTATCTAAAATAAAAGTAATTAAAATACATGGAGTCAAATTAAAAATGATTAAACTTATATTTTAGATTTGTACAAAGTAAATACTAGTTCCTAGCAATTTTAAGTCCAGGTATTATCTCTATATCCTATTATATATTATATACCTTGCATGAGGTAATATTGAAATTGCTCACGTTTGTATTATCATGGAGTTTGTATCAATCATAATATTCTCTACCTCTCTTTTCTAAATATGTCCTGAAATTATATTCTAGATTGAAAAATATATTATGAAACATAGTATTTAATAAAAGCACCCCAAATGAGAACTAAAACAAGATGAGTTTTTGGCAAACCGCAGAAAATTAGAACAAAGCAACATTCATTACTTTAAATTCTAATCTGTAATTTGTAAAATCAATAAGTTCAAAATATGCATCTTTGTACAATTTTGATGATTGAAAATTACAGTGAACTTCTTTAGTCACTGTTAAAAACTATCAAGTATAGTGTCTGTAAGTCATTTATAACACATCTTTTTTTTGAGACAGAGTCTCGCTGTGTCGCCAGGCTGAAGTGCAGTGGCGTGATAGCAGCACACTGCAACCTCCGCCTCCCGGGTTCAAGTGAATCTCCTGCCTCAGCCTCCCGAGTAGCTGGGACTACAGGCACACGCCACCATGCCCAGCTAATTTTTGTATTTTTAGTAGAGATGGGGTTTCACTGTGTCAGCCAGGATGGTATCGATCTCTTGACCTCCTGATCTGCCTGCCTCAGCCTCCCAAAGTATTGTGATTACAGGCATGAGCCACCGTACCCAGCCATAACACATCTTAAAAAATAAAATCCACAATATTAATTTAAAAATTAACCAATCTTTTGAACAGTCATTCAAAATTGTCATAGAGATTGTTTCATTTTGGAATTAATTGTATATTCTCTCACAACAAGCGATTTTTATTCAGGATGACTGAGCATTAACAGGATGACTGTACTTTAAAATTATGCCTAGAACATTTATAATCTACATACTCAAAATTTAAATGCTCAGTATAGAAAATAAGAATTTGCTTCCTACAGAAAATAAAATCTTATCTACACAATGAAGATATAAAACAAGGTAATCTTCAAGTTCTCTTCTAGCATGAATATTTTATTCTGTTCAGAGCTGTAGAATATATCTTAAAGAATAATTGGATTTACATTTTAAGCATTGGTTAATTGGCATAAACAAACATTTTAAACACTAAGAAGACACTAATCACATGTAATTCTTAAGGGTACTATGTATCTAAATAAAATTTCATAAATAAGATTTCTCTGAATGAATAGCCATTTAAAGTTTATTACATGTAAATATAATACAATTTAAATATTAATATACACAAAATTATGGTTTCTTATGAAATTATAATTTCAAATAAATGTAAAACTTGAAAAGAATTAATGAATCCATTTAAGATAATGTATTATTCTTAATAGATTCTAAGCCACTGTGTTAAATATTTGTAATCTAGTATTAATATTATCTAACTGCTGAGGCCATACAGAAAAATAATGTAGGAAATAGACGCATTGACAAACAGCAATACCTATTATGAAGTCACATGTGTTAGTACAGTAGGATAATATAATAAAAAATGAATCTGAATCTACTTCTGAGAGTCAGATAAAACATAACATAACATAGGAAAAGACATTTCAAAGTGTTTACAAAAGAAGAGTAGAATGATATTAGCAGAAAACCAGAAGACAGTCCAGGTCAAGGAAACATTTAAGCAGACACATTTAGTGTGAAGGAGCATTTCACGTGTAAAAAGTAATCTAAGTTCTTCACCGGACTAGATTATATGTTCCACGACTTAAATGAAAGAACTAAGATAGTTGTCTACATCTCTGTATTCTAGAGATGTTCAAAATGGGTTGCAGCATAATAAAGTGCTCAAAATTATCAATTATGGCTGAGGAAGAATATTTGTATTTATTTTGTTCAAATTTAAATATTATTAATAAGAAATTTATGATTTTATAGCTGCACACTCTGGCCACATGTCAATTTGTCTTGCATTACATATAGTATTTGAGAGGAGACAGAATATTCCACTATATGCAGAGGGTAGAAAATTTGACCTTTCCCTTATTTATTAATGTCCCACACATTTCCTTGGTTTACCTATGCTGGATTAAGTGGATTCATATTTAAATAATTAATTTTTAGTGAAATTAAATCTCACTACAGTTTTGAGAAAAGTTTAAATATTAACCTAAATGAATTATAGAAATCATAGGTAATTGATTATGGATTAGTGTGCTCAATATAATTGACATATTGTCTTTCCATATTAATATATACATGTAATGATTTTCAATTAAATGGATTATGTTGAAATTTTTGTCATTCTAAAGTGAATATAAGAAGATGAGAGATTAAAAATAGTCAAAATGATAATTTAAGAGAACAAAGTTAGGGGTGGTGGAAGGGACTTGCCTTATCAAATTAGAAAAATGTAGTGAAAATTATAGTACATAATTAAGACAGTTACGTATTTGCACAAAATAGAAAAGTTAATTAACAGAACAGAAAATAGAGCCTAAGAACCATATCTACTCTGATGTGTGAACTTGTTTTATGACATAGATGATATTTCAGATAAAAGTGGAAAGAGTAGGTGAAATTTCACTAGATTTTCTCGAGCAACTGGCTTTTTATATAAAGAAAAAAGGAACTACGATCATTCACAACACATAATAATCTTAGGAGAGAATATGATTTCAGGGTCAGAGAGCAGAAAACATGATAACATATTTACATCATAAATATAAAGTACACTATAAGTAATAATTCATAATGATCAAAGACACAATTATGACAAGCTACACACTGGGAGAAACCATTTGGAACACTAACAACCAACAGAGAGTTAAACGTAAAGAATATGTGGAACTCCTCCAGATGAATAGGAAAAATACAAATAACCCACTGGAAAATAAGAGAAAAAGAACAGGAATTTTAAAAAGATGAAACAAAGTGAGCATTAATTCATGAAAACATTTCATTACTCATTAACTATTTAGAAAATACAGAGAAAAAAACATTATGATGTGTTACTTTCTCACAAAAATATCCAAGTCTGTTAACTAAGTGGAACAAAGATAACCCTCATTTTCTGCTGGTGGTAATATAAATATGTAGAAGCCATCTGGAATTATTTAATAATTATTAACACATTTGTATCCATGAACAAGTCTGTTTCCACACTTGAACAGTGTAGTAAGTTGTTGGCTTCTATTCTATTAGGGCATTGCCCTTGACCTTACTTTGGCTAAATATTTTGAATATCATTCCTTTTAAAATTTCACAACATAGTTTGTCCATTCCCAGTTGAATATTTAAGAAAGTCTTGAACTTGTCTAAAGTAGACATTCCCAAATTATTTACAACAGGGTCTTTTTTTTTTTTTATAATAGCAAGCATTGGAAACAAAAGGATTGTCTAAGATGATATAAAATTAAGTCGTTGTGTTGAAGGACTTTTCCTTAGTTTAGCTAAAGACGGGATCTTTGTCCCACAGCCACAGAAGTTTGGGCTCGCAGACAGTTTGTAGGGTAAGGCAGGGTTTTACTGAGTGTAAAGGGGAAAAAAAGGGGAAACAGGGATCTTTTGCAAGGCCAGAGTCCCTGCTAGAATGCTTCCTGCCCACAGCTTGAATTCCAGGTTTCACACAGGAAGAGGAGGGGCCAGGCTCTTTCCCACTGCAAAGGGCAAGAACTTCCAGAGGCTCCACCACAGGGTGCATTCCCAGCACACAAGCTGGTTGGAATTTTCCAGGTACTCCCTCCCACCTGTCTGTCCCATTCCCCCCTCTAAAGATGTACATCTAACTGTTAGAATAAGGATAAGGACAAGACCGATCTTAACTGCTTCCTGCTGACAAGGGGTGCTGTTTTGGGGAAATAGCAGTTAGAGCTCCCTCAGAGGCCTATTTAAGGGCTCCCAGCAGAAATGGCCATTGTCAGAGGCTCCGGTTGCATGACCGTTTGGAGTCTGATGGCCTGAAGGCAGGAACAGACAAACCAGGTTATTAGAAAACGTATACCAAAACAAAACAAGGGGGAAGTAGGGACAGCTCAAACATTCTGGGGCCTTCTAGTAGTTTACACAGGAGAGGGAGCCAAAAGCCTGAATGGGAAAGAAACTTTACCCTTTTGCCAGCATGTTGGGCTTCTGGGTTCCCTTCCCCTGAGCCCAATCCTAAGCCAACCAGTTTAAGGTTTGAATAATTAACTCTTTCCAGTTTGGAGGATGCACCTGAGGGGAGTGTCCCATAGTATGGAGACACAATTACCTATCTGTGAAGAGAGAAGTGGGGAGGAGAAAGGAAAAAAGAAGCTATTTTCATTCAGGGGTTCAGGATGCATTTGAAAGGTGTATAGACTGAAGATGAATGGCTACCCATCTAGAAAGAGGCGAGAAGGTGTCCCTGGTTCCCTTCCTACCAGATACCTAAGGTACATGAGGGAGAGATGGAAGAGTGTCCTCTTTCCTCTTCTGTCCTGGCATCCCTGAGTCCCAGCGACCTTGGCAGGTGCCACCTTGGGTGTAAAAGTGGCTTGCACCCATGGCGGGGAGGGGCGTGTTGGCAGTGGGAATCATCTGCTTTTACCCACGTATGACCTATCTCCCCTGCTATCAGTAGCCTTGGATTTCTCTAGACCTCATTTATGCCATGGATATTAACGTGGCCTTTATCCATGAAACATGAAGCTTGGGGTTAGCTTATTCAGCATAAATCAGCCACACTCACCTGCACTGTGCCTTTTAATCTCTGTTGTCATCTGCCTCTGGATCCCTTAGATCCAGTTTTCTTTCCTAGGGCTTTGACCCCAAGTTTGGAATGGAATCTGGGACAAAAATGTGTCGGTGGGGGGATTGCATGGATTCCTTATGATAAGCCAAATGCTAAGGTGCAACTGTAGAACTGAATCCTCCTCCACAAGGGAGAAGAAAGGATGTCTTGTGACACACCCAGATAACTGGTGGCTATAGGTATGCTTGCTAGGATTTGGGTGCTTGGTGCTTGGCTTTAGTTAGTTCCATTGGTTTTACTTTCCCAAAAGGAAACCTCTGAGTGATAGGCATCCTATTTTTTTCCCATCACCTGGCAGGATTTGCAGGATAATTAATCAGTAGAATACTGATCAGGATTTCTTAATTACCCATCCCTGATGTTCTTTCTGAGCTGCAGCTGGAGGTTGCTGGTTGGTTCACAGGAACAAGCAGGGTTAGTCTAAAATGTAGGCTAAAACTTAAAAACAACTAGTGAGTTTAGAATGTAATGATAAATGTATGATAAGTTTTGGAACATAGTTTCTCTCTTTCCAGTCCTCAGATTTGTTTAAAAACAAATCATGGGGCAGGGCGCGGTGGCTCACGCATGTAATCCCAGCACTTTGGGGGCCGAGGTGGGTGGATCACGAGGCCAGGAGATCGAAACTATCCTGGCTAACATGGTGAAACCTCGTCTCTACTAAAAATACAAAAAATTAGCTGGGCGTGGTGGCAGGCGCCTGTAGTCCCAGCTACTCGGGAGGCTGAGGCAGGAGAATCGCTTGAACCTGGGAGGCAGAGCTTGCAGTGAGCCGATATCGTGCCACTGCATTCCAGCCTGGGTGACAGAGCGAGACTCCGTCTCAAACAAACAAACAAACAAACAAACAAAAACAAATCATGATAGGACCAGGTTGTTTGCAAAAATAGACTTTAGTCTTATATTTGGCTTGATTATTTGCATAAAGTGCAGCAAGAATAATTATTTCTACATAGGCCTTTTGGATTGGCTCTGATGGAACTCTGTTTCCCAAGGAATCTCAGATAAGACCTTTTAAAGCCAACCCCAGCCATAGGTTTATCCTAAAATACCTGTGAGTTGGGTGATTCTCTCCTCTTAAGATCTCAAGATAAATTTGGAGCTCCTGGACCTGTTAGAAAGTAACATTCTTTACTAACCATAGGTCAGGAACCCTTTCCAGGCACTCCGTAGGCAAGGTTATAATGCCAGTTTCTCCCATGGTTTTTTTTTTTTTTTTTAATCAGCTCTGCAAGTCGAATTTGACTCCTTAAAGGGAAGCATACATTTCCAGTCAAGGCCTTGGTAAAATAACCACTTTCTGCAATTGGGTCCTGTTGCAAAAGAAAAATGGATTCTTATTGCACTGATGCAAACAACAATATTGCCATAAGAATACTCACAAAGTTTCCAAATTCTAAAGGAACCAGGCAGAGAGAAACAAACATGCTCCAAATTTTGTTCACGGGAGAATAACTTACTCAATTATTAAAGGCTGTAAATAGTTCAAAATAAGTTTTCTTGACTCTGAAAAACAAAACAAGGATCAGCAATATTCCAAGTAAAGGTCAAAAAGATTTTCTTCAGCTTTCTGAGTTCAGTCTATCTAGTTAGCCCTTGTTTTGCTTGGCATTTGTAAACATTTCAGCTCTTTATGAGTCCTGTATATTTTCCTTTATTCCAATGTTACGATCTCTAAAGTTATCAGAAGCCTGTATTGAAGAGCACCAGTTAAAGTTCTATAGTTAATTAAAAACCATTTTTCAAAAGGATTAAAACAAGACAATTGTCTGTGAATAGCAAAATGTCCAGTATAGTTATAGTTAGAAAGATGATTGACATAGAAGTTCAGTTCTCTCCGTGGTTTACAATGTCTTACCATAAAAACCTTAATTGTGATTGATAGCATATACTCAGACATTAGAATTTTAGAAATCCCACACAACTTTGGAGAATATGTTTGCATTATTTACAATAATGTAACATAAAGAAGACTGAGCATCACTGTGACAATCCCATGTGCCTAAACATGTCAAATAATCCTGTTTACCTCTTTTCTGGAAACTGCCAGGGCCCTCTGAAGTACTCCAAAAGCCAGGTGCCAGGGAAGACAATTTTGAAACTGAAGTTTGATTTTCAGAAGGCTGTTAAATGCTCCAGGTTTAAAACACTTGGTATTATTAAATAGAATTCCAGATTACCATAAGTTATTTATTTTGCCAAAATGATTACTCAGAAATCTTAAAGGAGCAAAAAGCTTCATAACCCATTACAAATTTTGCCAAAGAGCAGATTAGCGCCTTAGGAAAACCTTGTTATGCTTTTATTTCAATGCTCAACTTACAGAAAAACCATATAATACCCTTTTTGGAATTTAGCCAATATGTCCACACAGAGAACCTCTTCTGCAAGATTAATTTCCACAATTCTTCCATCACTTCTTTGAACCTTCAGCTTTTTCCTACTTTAATTCAAAATAATCCTTTAACCCTAGGCCAAAGTTTACATTTCCATGACTTATTATAACCTTTTACTAAAAAACATAATTTACTGTTCTTACACACCTGACATGTAAATCAATTTCTAGTAGTTTCAATTAACTCCTAGCAATTTTAAATTTTAAGGTAAAACCTGGTAAGTTGCTGTAATTGTGTGCTACCTGCAGCCAAGGTTTACCTTCTTAGTTAAGGGCATGGTTAGTTCCATATGTCCTCAGGTCTCAAAAGCCACAAAGCAGTTTATAACCTCAAAACACTTAGCAAACCTTGCATCTGACCTGCATTTTACCAATAATCTTTAGGGCTGTTTTTATTTCTCAGGGGAAAAGGAAGCAGGTGAAGGCTTGTGGCTGGGAACCAGCCAGCCGGCTGTGTGGGACCCTTGGGCCATGCGTCCCAGCCCTGGCACAGAGGGGAGGGGCAGCAAGGAGCCCCACTAGCCTGTCTGTCCTGAAAAAGTAAGGAAAGGGTATTTCCCCCGAATCTGGGGGTGACAGGGTTGGGGGGCATGTTTTCTCTACCCTGTGAAATACCAGGATGGAAGGCTTAGAAGCCGCAGTGATAGGTTTTGAGTCTCTATTTCACTCACTGCTTCTCGAGCCCCCACGTTGCATGCCAAAAATGTTACAGGACTCTTCCTCAGTTTAGCTAAAGACAAAGTCCTTGTCCGTCCCATGGTCACAAAATTTTAGGCTCCTAGACTGAAGGGTGAGTAAGACAGGGTTTTATTCGGTGGAAAGGGTAAAAAAGGGGGAAACGGGGCACGGCGTGGTGGCTCACACCTGTAATCCTAGCACTTTAGGAGGCCGAGGCAGGTGGATCACCTGAGTTCAGGTGTGGTAGTGGGCGCCTGTAATCCCAGCTACCTGGGAGGCTGAGGCAGGAGAATCGCTTGAACCTAGGAGGTGGAGGTTGCAGTGAGCCAAGGTAGCGCCATTGCGCTCCAGCCTGGGCAACAAGAGTGAAACTTCATCTCAAAAAGAAAAAAAAAAAGGAGGGAGCGAAACAGGGATCCTCCACAAGGCCAGAGTCCTGGCTAGAATGCTTCCCCGCTGCAGCTGAAATTCCAGGTTTCACATAGGAAGGGGAGGGGCCAGGTTCCTCCCCACTGCAAATGCCACATACTTCTCAAGGCTTCTCCACAGTGCTCATTCCCAGTGCGCAGGCCCGTTGGAGTTTTTCTGTGGAGCCCCCTCCCACCTGGCTGTCTCAGTTGCATATCTCTAACCAAAATGCCAGATGTTCAGTCTAGTTTCTGCTGCTCACCAAACAGAAAAGTAATCTCTGAGACAATGAGTATTGACAAGGAAGAAGGCTTTAATTGGGTGCTATAGTAGAGGAGATGGGAGATCAGTCTCAAATCCATCTCCCTGACCAATTAAAATTATGGTTTTATATAACAGGGAAGAAATGTAACTACATGCAGGAAAACAGGAATTAGGGAGGGGTAAGGAAGAGGAGTTTGTCAACAGGAGGCAGGTGGTTGCTTAGACCCTCATGATGGGTGAGAAATCGTGTCTCATTGTCCAGATGTGGTGATCTAGTAAGTCTCAGTTCCTTGATACTATCTGGGAGTCCTGATGGTTGGCTTCTTGAGAAAGGAATTCAGATAAAACACATGTAATTTTCTCAAGTTTCAAGACTGTGAGGGTCAATTTCTACATTCAATCAAATTAAAACATAAACATCATTTTATGGGACAATTGGGTGAGATTCATATTTATATGCTGAAATACTATACAAAAGAAATAGGATAGAAAAATGTAAACACTACATTATTTTAAAAAACTATTCTAAAACAAAAAAGAACATTGTGAGTTTTTTTAAGGATACACACATAATTAGAAAGTCTATAAATAGTAAGTAAAAATTGAAATATAGCACAGGGAATACTTTTGGGACTAGAAGGGACCTACAGAAGACTTTTAAAATGTACTTCTTTTAAGTTTAAAACCTAACAAGCATATATATGCATGTTCATTATATTGTTATTCCTTAAATTGTCCAGATATTGTGCACTCTCCTTAGTATGCATGCTGTATTTCATAAAAAAAAACAAGAGCATAAAAATACCCTCAAAAACCCCTGTCTTTTAAAGGAAATACGAATGAGTTGGCAAGAAGAATACTTGACATCAAGACATCAGATGACATCACTTTTATCCTGGTACATCCCAGGTGAAAAACAGTCAAGAAGTAATATCATTGTCAGAAAATATGCCCAGTTGTTTATAAATCATCATAGAGGCTATTTGAAAGTGGAATTTTCATATGTAGTTAATGATTACTTTGGCTCTACGTGTTATAAGCCAGGATTATAGCCTATATAATCACATATAGACTGTGAAAAGATATACAAGTTTGCATAATTAAATAAATTTGAATACATGTTTACAAACAAGTGTATTCATTAAAATATTTTTAAGGAAAAGAGTGTATCTAATTTAATCTAAATTTTGATGTTGAGTGTGGAGAACAGGGAGAACTAGAGGCAAAGAGACAAGTTGGGAAGCTATTTTGGCAGTCCCAACAATGAAGAGTTATTTATTAGAGTAATAACTGTGAAAATATTGTTCGTATGTATGTTAATATGTTATAGGATAAAAGAAAACAATTTGCATTCAAATTTGCAGGTCTGTATATATCCAACTGGGCACAGCTATGCTGGAAAAAAAACAACAAAATTATATATTTGAACCTCAGCATAGAATCACAATATATGATACAATAAAAAACAGAGACTGATTTATTTAGCATTCTGTAATGAGTGATAGTATCATTCTTGGTGTGATATGCTTTTTTAAATTGCAAGAAGCTTTCAGTAAAGATTCAAATCAAACAGCGTGCAAATGTCTTTTATTGCAAATAATCATTGAATTCCTGAAAAACTCAGTGTATATCAAAGCTCTACAAAAACGTGTTGTTTTTATAGGTTAAATAAAATTAGGATCTAGTATGAAAAACTTATAAACAATATTTTACCATTTTGGTATATATACACACGTATGTGTGTACATATTCATATACATATATTAATGAATGATTCTTTGGAGCACATGGAAATCAGAACATATAGCCCTTGCCAACTCAATGCCAATAATCATCCTCATTATTTGTGGATCCCTACTGTTAAACACAAAGTCTCTCTAAGCTTTTCAACATGGTTCAGGTGATGTCACCATCGTTGTGGAGAACCACCATCCTAGTGGTTAAATAAAATCTAGGTGATTTAGGATTTTTGATGAATATAATATGGTGACTAGTGATCCAGGTAGACTGGAAAACAAAAAGGCAAGAAAAGGCTTATGGATAAGCTAAACATTAGATATTTTTCTCAGGCATTTCTTATTTGGGGTTGCTATGGAAATAAAACTAGAGAAGATACTTTAAGATTTGCAAAGCATGTGCAAGTTAGACTCTCTGAGACTAATTTGTACCGGACATTGCTTGATATCCATGGTTTAGTGGCTGGAATGCAGGCAATAATATATCCTGACATTCTTTGAGCCAAATAATGTCTGTCTACTCTATATTACCCTGAGATCTTAAGGTGTCATTGTTCATAGCAGGATGAGTACTGCTAGCAACACCTGGGTTTTCCACCCTCTGGAATCTGGTAAGACTGACCTAATGATTTTGAGGAAATCATATCTATTCCACTTAGCAATTTTAAAAACTAAAAGAAAAATGTCATGATATTACTTTATGTCCTTGAAAGTAAAAATTATTTAAAGAAAATGTAGGCACAAAAAATCAAGACTGAAACATGAAAAAATGGCAGTTATATTTTAGGAATGGCAGAATGGCAAGCTGAAAATAATTGAAGTCTCTGTTGACTTATGCCATACCAGTTTTAGACAGTCAACTTCTGGACTTTTAATGAAGAAATTTAAACCATATTTGATTCATTCATGTTATCTGGCCTTCTATTTCCCCCACTCATAGACAAACTTAACCCTAATTAATATGATTAATATGGAATTCCATAAGTGGACACAGGTTATAATAAATGACTATATTTTACATAATTATTCTGTATTCTACATATTAATCTACACTTACATAAGAATATGTGACATTAAATTAGTAGTTGCAAATCAGCTATCAAGGATTTAAATATTGCAAGCTGAAATAATAATAACCTTATTGCATTACAGAAAAAATATTTGATAAAAACTATAATCAGCACTACCATGGAAAGCAGACGCACATATCTTATCGTAAAGGAAAGTGATAGAAATATGTAGAATGTAGATGCATGTTGGCTTTTACCCTATCTTTACCCTATATTTGCAAAATCCTACAACTGGTCAGTTTGCAAACAGAGATAGAACATGTCTGCTCTGGTGACCTCTATCTACAGGTCACCTTTCTACACTAAGAACTTTGTACACAGTTCTACAATCTGAGTTTTGCTATTTTAAACCAGCCTATATCAGTAATCAAAACAATAATAATCAGTGGCTTGTATTGACATCATTAGCATAATTGTGCTGCAGAATCTTTTTAAGCACTTTCACAAAAATTCTACACCAGATCAGCAGCCAGCATACTAGTAAAGATCAGATTAAGAGTGTTTTTGCTTCAGGTGGTCTCAAAACAGTCATCGGTCAGGTGGTGGTGATGGTGGGCATAACACTGAGCCCAGTAAGTAAAGGACCAGAGTGTTCAGACTTTAACTGTCTACACCATTATTTGCTTATAGGAGCTTGCTTACAGAACTGAGAAACAAATAAGAAACCTATAAATTTGATGAAAAATTTATTGCCACAGAGACTGCAAATTTGACATGAAATTTCCTATAATTTATATATCCTGAAAAATATACACCAGCCCTCAAAAATGTATTAGCAGGACATAGGTTATACGGGTTATGTAACCATCAAGACAGTCATACTTCTCAGTGCCCACCTTAGATACAGCCACGAAGCTTACTGAGCAAGTATAACAGGTAATGAATATGTTAATTAGCTTGATTTAGTCATATCACAATATATACATATATCAAAATATGTTATACACCATAAATGTATGTAATTTTTATTTGCCATTTAAAAATTATTTTTAAAAAGGGAAAGAGAGAGACAGACCCTCCCAAAAGACAGTCATGATTCGGGGAGGATATTGGTGAAAAGATTTCTTTTCAGGAAGCAGAAGTAGACAGCCCAAATGGGCTAAACAAGGAAATTCCTCTGCCATAATCAAAAAGGGCCTTTACTAATTCACTTGAATTGTATTTCATAAGTGCTACAGACCACTAGTTGCTATGTTTTCCAATTACCCTCTTCCAAACAGGTATTTCTAGATGCTGTTATTTTTTTTTCTCTTTGTTTGGAACAAATGACCTGCCCTTTATTTTATAGATTACAAGACCATAAGGACTTAACATTTTATAAGGAAGGAGGTTAAATATTATCCTTATATCATGAACTTGAAGACTTTGGTTCTTCAAAACATGAGCTGAAGACTTTGGGTAGTCTTCCCTGGGGAAATGATGAATGCATTCTATGTGTGTAAAAAGGTGACGGCAGAAATTTGTGGGTATCTAATTAAACTGGCTGTGGCAGAAATTGCTAATTGTTTCACATTATCTGTTCTTTTTTTCTGCATCAAAACACTAGAATCTTATGGCTGTGCCAAATAAGAGTATATTCTTTGACCTTAGCAACAGGGTGTCATCATGTGACAAAAATCTGGCAAATCACACGTGAGCAAAATTGATGGAAATTCTAGGAAGTGTTCTTAAAACAAGAGGAAATGCATTTGTCTTCCCTTTATGCCTTCATGGTGGCTGGAATGTGGCTATGATGTTGGGCACTGCCACACTCATTTGAAGCAAAATAACCATGACAGATTAGTTATTACATAGAAGAAACATAGAAAGTCTTGGTTGTCTACATCTTTGTGGAACTGCTATACCCAGCCATAGAAGAGCAGTCTCTGGACATTAACATGAAATAATATTTTTCAGAGGCGTTGTTCTGCAATTTCCAACCAAATAGTAAATAGCATTTTTTTCATTTCTCATGATGTGTATAGACCCTAAAGAAATTCTTTAAAAAACATCAACAAGAGACAGCTACTCAAATAATTTGACATCTGTTGATATTTATAAACTTCAGCTTTCATTAGCTAGGAATATTTTTTAAGGATATATAAATGAAGTGTGACATGCTCCCTGTGGCTATTATTGAAAAGCAGTTTTGAAAATCTTGCATTTTCATTATGTGGTGCTAAACCACCAAAAATCAGTGAACGTCTCTAACATAATGTGTCATTTGAATTGAAAGAATAGTGTGGGGCTTAACGTGATTTGTGTGTGCATTTATATTTCTCATTTAACAAAATGATGGTGTCCTGGATATTAATTATATATGATACATTCCCAAAACAATCACAATAGAAATATATAACAAAATGATATCATTTTCATTAAAATATTAATCTATTTCAGGGAGTAAATAAATAGTTAAAAGCACAGAACAATCTCTACAGCCTCTCTTGGTTATGCTACTCAACTCTAACACATTTCTTCTTTGCCTGCCTCTTTGTCTTTCTAGTCTTAGATTCTCCCTCTAGCTTCAGTATGAAAATGAATCCATAGATCTATGACTAGCCCAAAAGGAACTGTCAGTAGCACTTATCGTATTAAAAGACACTAAAGTACAACAGAAAGTTTCATAAAAACTCAAATGCTCCAAACTTATTATTTCGATAGCTTGACTTTAAAGAGGATGGGGCCAAAGCAGTATAATGAGCAGCTTTGAAACAAAATATACTATAGAAATCACTCTTTTAGATGGTTTTTATTACCATGAAGTATTTCCCTTCTATGCCAATTTTGCTGACAGTTTTAATCATAAAGTGATGCTGGATTTTGTCAAATGCTTTTTCTGCTTCTATTGAGATGATCGTATGATTTTTAATTTTGTTTATGTGCTGTATCACATTTATTGACTTGCATATATTAAACCATGTCTGCATCCCTGGTATGAAACCCACTTGATCATGGAGTATTATCTTTTTAATACACTGTTGGATTCAGTTAACTAGTATTTTTTGATGATATTTTGCATCTATGTTCATCAAAGATATTGGTCTGTAGTTTTCTTTTTTTTGTTGTTATGTCTTTTCCTGGTTTTGGTATTACAGTGATACTAGATTCATAGAATGATTTAGGGAGGATTCCCTCCTTCTCTATCTTTTGAAATAGTTCAGTAAGATTGGTACTAATTCATCTTTGAATGCCTGGTAGAAGCTGTGAATTTATTTGGTCCCGGGCTTTTTTGGTTGGCATTTTTTTAATTACTATTTCAATCACTACTTGTTATTGGTCTGTTCAGTTTCTATTTCTTCCTGAACTAATTTAGGAGAGTTGAATGTTTCCAGGAATTTGTCCATATCCTCTAGAATTCCTAGTTTATGCACATAAAGGTGTCTGTAGTAGCCTTGAATGATATTTTGTATTTCTGTGGTATTGTTTGTAATATCTCCCATTTCATTTCTAATTGAGCTTATTTGGATCTTCTCTCTTCTTTCCTTGGTTAATCTTACCAATGGTCTATCAATTTTATCATTTCAAATAATCAGCTTTTTGTTTCATTTATCTTTTGTATTGTTTTTTGGTTTGTTTCTTTCAATTTCATTTAGTCCTGCTCTGATCTTTGTTATTTATTTTCTTCTGCCTGGTTTGGGTTTGGTTTCTTCGTGTTTCTCTACTTCCTCAAGGTGTGACCTTAGGTTGTCTATTTGTGCTCTTTCAGATTTTTTGATGTAGGCATTTATGCTATGAACTTTCCTCTTAACACTGCTTTTGTTGTATCCCTGAGGTTTTGCTAAATTGTGTCACTTTTATTATCCAATTCAAAGAATTTTTAAATTTCCATCTTGATTTTATTGTTGACCCAAAGATCACTCAGGAGCATATTATTTAATTTCTATGTATTTGCATAGTTTTGAAGGTTCCTTTTGGAATTAATTTGCAGTTTTGTTCCACTGTGGTCTGAGACAATTCTTAATGTAATTTTGATTGCTTTACATTTATTGAGACTTGTTTTGTGGCCTATGATATTATCTATCTTGGAGGAAGTTTCATGTGCTGTTCAATAGAAGGTGTATTCTGCGATTGTTAGATGGAATGTTCTGTATATATCTTTTAAGTCAATTTGTTTCAAGGTATAATTTAAATCCATTGTTTCTTTGTTGACTTTCTGTTTTAATGACCTGTCTAATGCTGTCAGTGGAGTATTGAGGTCCCCCGCTATTATTGTGCTGCTGTCTATCTCATTTCTTACATCTAGAAGTAATTGTTTTATAAATTTGGGAGCTTCAGTGTTAGGTGAATATATATTTGGAACTGTGATATTTTCCTGTTGGACTAATTTTTTTATCAGCATATAATCTCCCTGTTTGTCTTTTTATTGTTGTTGTTTTGAAGTCTGTTTTGTCTGATATAAGAATAGTTCCTCCTGCTCACTTTTGGTTTTCATTTGCATAGAATATCTTTTTCCACCCCTATAACCTTAAGTTTATGTGAGTCCTTATGTGTTAGGTGAGTTTCTTGAAGAAGCTTGGTTGGTGGATTTTTCTCCATTCTGACATTCTGTATCTTTTAAGTGGAGGATCTAGGCCATTTAAATTCAATATTAGTATTGAGACGTGAGTTACTGTTCTATTATCATGCTAGTTGTTCACTAATACCTTTTTTTTCATTGTGTTATTGTTTTATAGGCCTTGTGATATTTATGCCTTAAGGAGGTTCTGTTTTGGTGTATTTTGTGGTTTTGTTTCAAATTTAGAACTCCTTTTAGTATTTCTTGCAGTGCTGGCTTGGTAGTGGTGAATTTTGTTGGTATTTGTTTGTCTGAAGAAGACTTTACCTCTCCTTCATTTACGAAGCTTAGTTTTGCTGGATACAAAACACTTGGCTGACAATTATTTTGTTTAAGGAGCCTAATGATACAACCCTAATCTGTTCTGGCTTGTAAGATTTCTGCTGAAAAGTTAGCTGTTAATCTGATAGGTCTTCCTTTATAGGTTACCTGTTGTTTTTGTCTCACAGCTCTTAGTCTTTCCTTCATCTTCACTTTAGATAATCTGATGATAACGTGCTTAGGTGATTATCTTTTTGTGATGAATTTACCAGGTGTTCTTTGAACTTCCTGTATTTGGATGTCTATATCTCTAGCAAGGCCAGGGAAGCTTTCCTCAATTATTCCCTCGAATAAGTTTCCAAACTTGGATTTATCTTCTTCCTCAGGAACACCAATTATTCTTAGGTTTGGCTGTTTAACATAATCCCAAATTTCTTGGAGGCTTTGTTTATTTTTACTTTTTTTCTTTGTCTTTTTCTGATTGGGTTAATTCAAAAGCCTTTTCTTCAAGCTCCGAAGTTATTTGTTTTATTTGTTCTAGTCTATTGTTAAAATTTTTCAGTGCATTTTGTATTTCTCTAAGTGTGTCTTCCATTTCCAGAAGTTATGATTTGTTTTCCTTTATGATACCTATTTCACTGGAGAATTTTCTATTCATATCCTGTTATTGTTTTTTTAAATTTCTTTTTTTTTGAATTTTTTTATTATACTTTAAGTTTTAGGGTACATGTGCAAAACATGCAGGTTAGTTACGTATGTATACATGTGCCATGTTGGTGTGCTGAACCTGGTAACTCGTCATTTAGCATTAGGTATATCTCCAAATGCTATCCCTCCCCCTTCCCCCACTCCACAACAGGCCCTGGTGTGTGATGTTCCCCTTCCTGTGTCCATGTGTTCTCATTGTTCAATTCCCACCTATGAGTGAGAACATGTGGTGTTAATTTTTTGTCCTTGCGATAGTTTGCTGAGAATGATGGTTTCCAGCTTCATCCATGTCCCTATAAAGGACATGAACTCATCATTTTTTATGGCTGCATAGTATATTCCATGGTGTATATGTGCCACATTTTCTTAATCCAGTCTATCATTGTTGGACATTTGGCTTGGTTCCCAGTCTTTGGTATTGTGAATAGTGCTGCAATAAACATACGTGCACATGTGTCTTCATAGCAGCATGATTTATAATCCTTTGGGTATATACCCAGTAATGGGATTGCTGGGTCAAATGGTATTTCTAGTTCTAGATCCCTGAGGAATCGCCACACTGACTTCCACAATGGTTGAACTAGTTTACAGTCCCACCAACAGTGTAAAAGTGTTCCTATTTCTCCACATCCTCTCCAGCATCTGTTGTTTCCTGACTTTTTAATGATGGCCATTCTAACTGGTGCGAGATGGTATCTCATTGTGGTTCTGATTTGCATTTCTCTGATGGCCAGTGATGATGAGCATTTTTTCATGGGTCTTTTGGATGCATAAATGTCTTCTTTTGAGAAGTGTCTGTTCATATCCTTCGCCCTTGGCTTTCATCTTTCTCTGTATGTCAATTAGTAGCTTAATAATCAACCTTATGAATTATTTATCTGGCAATTCAGAGATTTATTCTTGGTTTGGATCCATTGCTGGGGAGCCAGTGTGATTATGGGAGTGTTATAAGACCACGTTTTGCTATATTACCAGATTTACTTTTCTGGTTCCTTCTTATTTGGGTAGACTTTTTCCATGGAAATATTTGGAACTCAGAGTATGCTGTTCAGACTATTTTGCCCCACAAGGTAATCCCTTGATGTGGTGCTCTCCCTCTTCCCCTAGGGATGGGGCTTCCTGACAGCCATACTGCAGTGACTGTTATTGGGTGTCTGACCACCCAGCAAGGCTACTAGGTTCTGGGCTGGTGCTAGGGAATTTCTGCAAAGAGTCCCGTGATGTGATGTGTTTTCAGGTCTCTCAGCCATAGAAACCAGCACCTGCTCTGGTGGAGGTGGCAGGAGAGTGAAGTAGCTTGTGAGAATCCTTGGTTGTAGATATGTTTGGTGTGCTGGCTTTCTCGAATGCTGGTTATGCTAGCAGTGAAGTTGTCACATGGACAGACTCAGGATCTTTGGTTAGCCAGGATGTTGCTGGCAGTGATATTAGCTGTGTTTTCTTCTTCCTAGAAGCAGGTTTTTTCTGTCATGAGTTGCTGTAAGGTCTGAGTTCGTTGGCCTCAAGCCAGGAGGTGGCGCTTTCAAGAGTGTACCAGCTGCAGTAGTAGTAGGGGGATATAAGCTTGCCCTGTGTTGGCCAGGGTAGGTGTTCTGGTTTCTCAGGCAATGGGTGGAGCCATAAAGCCCCCAAGACTTTATGACTTTTGTGTTTGGCTACCAGGATGGGTGGAAAAATACCATCAGGTGGGGGCAGGGATATATGGGTCTCAGCTCAGAATCTTCTTGGGTGGGGCTTGCTGTGGTCACTGTGGTGGATGGAGGGGTGGTTCTCAGGCCAATGAGGTTATGTTTCAGTGGTGATTATGGCTGCGTCTGCTGTGCCATACAGTTCACCAGGGAAGTGGGGGATATCCCATAGTGAAAGGCCTCACCCAGCTCCAAAAACCACCTGTTCACCACAAGTTATTGGAATAAAATACAAAGAAAGAAAATCACTCTTTTATTCATCTAGAAAATTCTTACTGATGGTTTTAAAATTTCTTCTGTTTCCCAAGTAAAATTATTTCTGAAATTTCCAGTAAGTGTTTTCACAACTCCAGGCCTTTAAAATCATAAAGATGATGTAGACTGGGACAAGAAAAATATAAGCATAATATAGTTTGTTCTTATTTCATATATATGTACATATGCTGACTGGATACATATATATATAGTTCATAACATAAATCTTTCTGTGGGAAGTTTTAAATAGCGTAAATGAATGTGAATGTGTGTATTTTGAGATCCCACGTGGTATAACTGAGAAAGGTTAGAATTCTGGGGAGCGGAACTATACATTATGAAAACTTAATTTTTAATTCAGACTTGCTTAATGCTAAAATTGAAACCTGGAATCAAACAATTTTAAGTAACAGTTTCCTTGAGAGAATGAGAATCTTAACATTTTAAGCACAAGTAATTTAACACATATAAATAAAGGTAAAAGCTGGAAAATAAGTCATCTTAAATTTAAAATATAAATATTAGCCAAAAAGGATTGAAAATATTTGCTTACATTATTATTGACTATAGGTACAATGTCATACAGCAGATCTCTAGAGCTTATTTATCTTGCTTGACTGAGACTTTATGCCTACTGATTAGTAACTCCTACTTTCCTCTCCTGTCAGTCCATGGCAAACACAATTCCACAATTTCATACCATGAATTTGACTATTTTAGATACCTCATGTAAATGAAATCATGTAGTATTTATTTTCCTGTGGCTGGCTTATTGCACTTAGCTCCCCCTCCTCAAGGTTCATCCGTACTGCAGAGTATTGTAGATTTGCCTTCTTTTTTTAAAGCCTGATATCAGCTCACACATGTTCTGATAGCTTCTATCAAAAAAGAGTGAGAGAGAGAAGTGTTGCTGAAAATGTTGAAGAAATTGGAACCCTTTGCATACTGTGTGAATGCTAAGTAGTACAGTAACTATGGAAAACAGTACAGAAGCTCTTCAAAATAATAAATATATAACGTTTTTACAATCCAGAAATCCCACTTTGGGGTACTTATCTAAAAGAATCAAAATCAGTATTTTGAAGAGATGTTATCAATCCTATGTTGATTGAAGCACTGGGCATAATAGCCAAGATGTGGAAACAAATGTCCATCAATAGATAGACACAGAAAATGTAGTGTGTGTGTGTATATATATATATATATATATATATATATATATATATATATATATATACACACACATACATATATATACATACATATATATATACACATATATATGGAATTTGCCATTGTCTTAAATAAAAGCAGGCTCCATGAATTAAAATAGAGATGTTTTTAATGGAAAACTGTATAATCGTGTAATCCATAATAGAAGTTTACATGTAATGATAGTTAATATTTCCCTTTACTGTTTTCACTTTTCACAAAAATTAAAAATAATTGGTGTTTATCTTTATTTATCTATGAAACTGACTTTATAAACAAATTTTTTATTTAACAATGATAAAATGTATTCAGTTTTGTCTTTAGAGGTACCATGTCCACGGAATATCAATAGAACTGTTTACAATTTCTCTCTCCAATTAAATCAAAGTAGACAGCCAGACTGAATAATTTGTGCAATGTTTGTCTGGTAATATACATAAATACATGGATTTTCAGCTGCTGAAATGCTTACATCATGGGCTATTTGAAAACAGCAGCTATATTTTAAGGCAAATAATTTAAGTAAGACCATTTTAAATATTTTTTAAAACTCACCTGGCTATCCATATATACTAATATAGGTGCAAGACAACTTCTCTTTCTTTGTGTAGTCTGAATTAAATTTCAAAATTCGATTTCCATAAAGGCTAGCCTTTTTGACCTTTCTCAAGCTGTCTAACCAAAAGGTTGTCTGCCTCATTACCATTAATAAAAAGAATGTGCTTTTAAAGTTTAACTAAATTATCTTAAGGGCAAAAACTGAATATAACTGTGATCTGTGGTTTTTCAACTAACTGGGTTTCTAAGACTTAGAATGGTTGATTGTTCAGCAAATATGAAGATTATTTTTACATATATATGTGTGTTATATGATTTCTCTTTTTTGTTAATCTTTGTTAGTTTTATTTATTGAATTACGAAAAACATGTTATTAGTCATTTTCAAACCTGAGCTCATAACATTAACCGAATTACTTAATAAAACAAAATATAATTTAATAATAATGAACATGACTGTTTACATGTATAGTTATTGTTATATATTATGTAAATAAATATATAGTATGTTATTAATATTGTATATATGATACATGTAATAAATGTAATATTTTTAATAAACATATGTTGAATTTACCAATAGAGGCCAGGGAGTTGAGTGCTGTTCTATATTAATTAAACACTAATTTAGAGAAAAACTTTAAAATTCTAATTCAGGACTTTCCACATACAGAACAATTTCATAAAATGTATGAGTTGTGAAGTATTTTTTCAACACAAAGAGATTAAGTCCTATGCCACTTGCTTATTTGTAAGCACATATTATAAATGCCTACTTATGTTTTAATGCTTAACAGGTATATCATTTTAGTAGCCATACTAGTGTTTTAATACATTTCTTTAATTTATCATACTTAATATTATACCTCAATATTGGGTAAATAAATGACCTTTACATCTGGATATGGCAGTTTCTGTCAGGTTGTTAATGTGAAAGTTGGAGTCAACGTAGTTGGAAGTTGAAAGTTGAAGTTAAGCTGAGTTTGTAATTCGTCATTGCTATAATTATCTCCAGTGCAGCCCATAATTCCATATCCTCTAATAGTTATCTCCTCTTGCCTTGAGTTCAGGGTGGGGGGTCCTGAAGGTTTCCTCTCAGTTTACCTGCTGCTCACTAACTTTCACTATTTATTGCTCACTTATAATACAGATAGGGTCTGTCTTCATGCTTTTGCTCCTCCTCCAGGGGTAGGTAAGTGTTTATTACTCAGTGCAAAACTTTATTGCAGGAACAGGGGTATTCTCTGTTGTC
This sequence comes from Homo sapiens, assembly GCF_000001405.40. Lineage (NCBI taxonomy): Eukaryota > Metazoa > Chordata > Mammalia > Primates > Hominidae > Homo > Homo sapiens. The sequence continues at coordinate 195,499,639 of NC_000001.11, forward strand.
ATAGGACAACTACAATCTTAGATGAATTCAAGTCTTTATGGCCTTGAAACTGAGGCTATTTTCAGATTTCCCTTCATACACCCCATCCCAGTCCAAATTCTTATTTTATTTTTAATTTTTTTTTAATCTTGAGAATGAGTTTTCTGCTCCTCTACAGGGATAGAAATCTACTTGGTTTAGATTTAGAGTTTTTTTGTTCAAGATCTCTGTTGTCTCTTACCCAAGATAGGGATTTCATTCCCTTTCTCCCTTTGAGCTTCAAAGGAAGTTTGACTTCATCTTGGGTATCACAGAGTTATTATTATTATTATATTTTATCTCTCCCATAGACCAGTTTTGTTTTTGCTCCTCTTGTAGAATCAACTGAATCAACTGACTTTTTTTTCTTTTGGGTTCTGAAGGACAAATATTTGCTGCTTCTTCCTCCACAGTTTATTTTCACTTCTTAGAAGAAAAGGTCACAGGTATATCAGCAGAGGTCTGTGCTCATTTGTAGCAACTGTCAATCATTTTGTGAACATTTGTCTTACAGAGGGAAGCTCTCTATGGACGACTGCCCCAGCCACATTGTTTTGTGAGAACACCCGATGGAAAACAATATAGAAGATCTTGTGAGTGTTTGGGACCCTCATCTTACATTTGAGACCCTCAGTTTTTCCAAACTTATATAGCAGCCCAACCTTTAGCTTTGACATTATTTTTTTAGGGTTTTACTGATTTTTTTTCTAATTTGTTTTTAAGAGTCTATCAGTTTCTTCTTCGCTTTGGCAAAACTGAAACAATTCATTTACACTATCATTATTCCAAGAGCATTTCTCTCTTTGAAAGTCTGGATAGTTATCTGTTGTGTGAGCTCAACTCTCTGATATGCTCAAGATATTTTATGATTTTGGAGATGATTTTTTCCTCATGGTTATGTTGGAAGCAGTATTATTTGCATTGTTCTACAACTTAAATGACTGGTTACCTTCTATTTTTATGCTTTCTCTTTGATTTTAGCAACTGGATTATGGTGTGTCTTTCTTCATGTTTCTTCTGCTTAAAATATGTTGAACTTCTTGGATTTATAGGTGTAGGAGGCAAAATAATGGGCTCCCAAAGATGTCCAAGTCCAAATCCGCAGAATCTGTTAATGTCTTATGGTACATGGAAAAGGAGAAGTAAGATTGCAAATGAAATTAAGATTGGTAATAAACCAACCTTAATATAACAGGTTATCATAGATCATTCCATAAGGCACAATGCAATTACAAGCATCCTTAAAAATGAAAGCTGGGGGCAGAAGAGTCAGCATCAGAGTTATGCTATGTAAAAAAGCCTTAAAAGGCCCATTATCGGTTTGAAGATGAAAGGGAGGCACATGCAAAGAAATGCAGGCAGCCTTTAGAAGCTGCGTAAGACAAGAAAACAGATTATACCCGGAACATCCAAAAATAAATGTGGTACTGCTGATACTTTGGCTTTAGTCTGATGAGACCCATTACAGACTTCTGACCTCAAGAACTTTAATATAACACGTTTGTGTCATTTTAAGCCACTAACTTCTGGTAATTGGTTACTGTAGTAGAGTGAAACTAATAGAGTGGGTTTATAATTTTGTCAAAAATGTATCAATTCTTTCTCAAATAATTCAAATTCTACATTTTAAAAAATAATTATTCAATAATTTAAATAAGCAATAATATTCAAATAATAAATATTCATTATTAATTCAAGTATATTTTGCCCTCTCCTCCTACCACTTTCTCCTCTTCTTCTGAGATTCAACTTACAGGCATCTCAGAGATATTGAAAGTTAGGTTCCGGACTACTGTAATAAATATTGCAATAAAGCAAGTCACACAAATAGTTGGTTTCCCAGTGCATATAAATGTTTTTCTTGCACTGTACCATAGCCTACTAAATGTACAACAGCGTTATGTCTAAACAAAGTACATATTTTAATTACAAAATAATTTATTGCTAAAAATGCTAATGATCATCTGACTCTTCAGCAATTTGGAGTATTTTTGCTGGAGGATCTTGCCTTGTTGATAGCTACTGACTGAACAGGGTGGTGGTTGCTGAAGGTTGGCATGGCTGTGACAATTCCTCTAAATAAGACATCAATGACATTTGCTGCCTTGCTTGACTCTCCCATTCACAAAAAATTTCTCTGTAGCTGGCAATGCTGTTTAATAGCATTTTGCCCACAGTGGAACCTCTTTCAAAATTGGAGTCTATCCTCTCAAACCTTGCTGCTTTCTAAAGTAAGTTTATGAAACAGTCTAAATCCTTTATTTGCATTTCAACAAAGAGCATCTTCACAAGGAGTAGATTCCATCTGAAGAAACCACTTTCTTTGCTTGTCCATAAGAAACAACCCTTTATCCATTCAATTCTTATCATATGCTTGTTGCAGTTAAGTCACATCTTCAGGCTTCATTTATAATTCTAGTTTTGCTATTTCCACACATCTGTAGTTATTTCCTCCACTGAAGACTTGAACCCTCAAAGTCATTTATGAGTGTGGAGTCAGCCTCTTCCAAACTCCTGTTAATGCTGATATTTTTATCTTCTCTCATGAATCACAAATGTTCTTAATGGCATTTACAATAAGGAATTTTTTTCAGAGAGTTTTTAAATTCACTAGGCCGAGATCCACCAAAGGAATCACTATCTATGGCATCTCCAACCTTACACAAGGTATTTCTAATATATTTATAAGACTAGAAAGTCAAAATTACTCCTTAATCCATGGACTTCAGATGTGGTGTTAGCAAACATAAAAATATTAATCTTGTACTTCTTCATCAGAGCTCTTGGGTGACCATTTACCTTGTCAATAAGCAGATTATATTTTTCTTTCTTTTTCCTGAGCAATAGGTCTCAACAGTGGGCTTAAAATATTCAGCAAACCATGCTATAAACAAATGTGCTGTCATCCAGGGTTTGTTGCTCCATTTATAGAGGACAGGCAGAGTAGACTTAGCATAATTCTTAAAGGCCCTAGGATTTTCAGAATGGCAAGCAAACACTGGCTTCAACTTAAAGTCATCAGGTACATTAAACACTAACATGAGAGTCCATCTATCTTTTGAAGCTTTGAAGACAGACGCTGACTTCTCCTATCTAGCCCCCAACCAACGGGGGCTGGATACCCACGGACCAATACTGGTCCATGGCCTGTTAGGAACTGGGCTGCACAGCAGGAGGTAAGTGGCCCACAAAGCTTCATCTGTTTTTACAGCCGCTCCCCATCACTCACATTACTGCCTGAGTTCCATCTCTTGTCAGATCAGTGGTAGCATTAGATTCTCATAGTAATGCAAACCCTACTGTGAACTGTGCATGCAAAGGATCTAGGTCACATGCTCCTTGTGAGAATCTAATGCCTGAAGATCTGTCACTATCTTCTATCGCCTTCTGATGAGAATGTCTAGTTGCAGGAAAACAAGCTCAGGACTCCCACTGATTATACATTATGGAGAGTTGTATAATTATTTCATTATATATTACAATGAAGTAATATGAGAAATAAAGTGCACAATAAATTTAATGTGCTTGAAACATTCCAGAATCATCCCCCTCACCCCTGTCTGTGCGTAAAAATTGTCTTCCATGAAACTGGTCCCTGGTGCCAAAAAAAGGTTGGGGACCACTGTTATATGGCATCTTCTTCTAATAGAAGGCTATTTTGTATGTGTTAAAAATCTGTTGTTTAGTGTAGCCATTTTATCAATGATCTTAGCTAAATCCTCTGGATGACTTGCTGCAGCTTCTGACTTGGTACTTGCTGCAGCTTCTGACTTGGTACTTGCTGCTTCACCTTGCACTTTTATGTTACAGAGATGGTTTCTTTCTTTAAAGCTCATGAGCCAACATCTGCTAGCTTCCCACTTTACTTTTGCAGCTTCCTCACCTGTCAGCCTTTTTAGAATTAGACAGAGTTAGGACCTTGCTCTGAATTAGGCTTTGGCTTAAGAGAATGCTGTTACTGGTTTGATCTTCTATTCAGACCACTCACATTTTCTCCATATAAGCAATAAGGCTGTTTTGCTTTCTTATCGTTTGTGTGTGTGTGGGAGTAGCACTTTTAATTTTCTTCAAGAACTTCTGGCATTCACAACTTGGCTAACTATTTCATGCAAGAGGCCCAAATTTTTGGCCTATCTCAGTTTTAGGCATTAAATCATTTCTACCTTTTGATTTAAAGTGAAAGAGGTGCAACCCTTCCTTTCCCTTGAATACTTAGAAGCCATTGTAGGGTTATTAATTGGCCTACTTTCAATATTGTTGTGGCTGAGAAATAGGGAGGCCTGAGGAGAGAAAGAATGACAAGAGAATTGCTAATCAGCAGAGCCATAACACACAAAATAATGAAAACGTTTGAAATATTGGAAGAATTATTCAAATGTCACACAGAGACATGAAGTGAGCACATGGTGTTGGAAAAATGATACCAATAGACTTGAGCAACTCAGGGTTACCACATTTCATCCTTTTGTCGAAAACATAATATCTGCGAAGAGTGATAAAGCAAAGTACAGTGCAAAAGGTATGTCTGCATATGATGTTAGACAAATTGAGAATAACTCACAACTTATTGGTGCTCTATTTAGTTTTTATTTTTCTGTTTTGCAGTCTTGTATTTATGCTATTAGGCTAATTTATTTTATTATGTCCTTTAAATGCAGTAATCTTGTTTCCTAAAGTGTTTAAGATACTCTTAGCCTTATAAAATGTATTTCTCATTTTTGATATGTTTTTCTCCACTAGCAGTTTTATTTCTCTCCTTATCACAGCTGTGTTTTCTTCTACTTTCCCAAACACATGGAAGATACTTGCATAGGCATTTTAATATCTGTGTTTACCTTTTCTATCATTTGGGTTATATCTGTGCCTGTTTCAATTGACTGATTATTTCTCTTGGTGATAAATGTATTTTATATTATTTTAGAATGCCTGGTGATTTTTGATTGGATGCTACACATTGTGAATTTTACTCTGATTGGTGTTAAATTTTGTTATGTCTCTAGGAATATCATTGAACTTTATTTAGATACAGTTAGTTTACATAGAATCCTCTGAAGTTTTAGAGACTTGTGTTTAAACCTTATCATGGTATATCCAGAGCAGTCTTTAGTTTAGGACTAATTTTGCACCACTTGTAAAACAGACTATTCTAAAGATTCTATGTGGTGTCCCACATTTGGGGAGGCTTTTTACCCTGGCTGGTTAAAGTATGACCTATTGGCCAATTTGTATGAGCTCCAGGGATTGTTCTACACATTCATTTACAGTGGTTTATTGCCTGGCTGCCGTATTGTATCACATTCATACATAGTTCAGGCACTCAGACAAAGCTTCAAGAGGGCACTTTTACAGAACTCCTGGCTTCTTCTATCATTACAGTGTTTTCCTCTCCATTATTTCACCCTCTAAATTGTACTAACCTCTGGATCTCTAAACTCTGGATCCTCAACACAGCTTGTGTTTGAGCTCCCTTATCTGTTTTTCAACTTGGAAACTTTCTCCAAGCAATAAGCTGGGTCAATTGAGAGCTTACCTCAATTCATTTTCCTTTTCTCAAGGATTTTTTGTGTTGTTTGTTTTCCAGTATTTGAGAACTTTATATCATATATTTTATTGATTGCCTATTTGAAGAAAAAAACCCAAATTTTAGTCTTTGTTACTACGTTGTCACCAGAAGCACAAATTCTTGTATATAAATTAGTTTCCTTTTTTTGTCTTTCCTCTTGTTTACCTAGAGAATATGAGTTTCAAAGAGCCAAAACAGAAACAAATAGAGATTATAAATCTCTAATTGTTATCAAAAGTCTTAATATGTTTAAAATTCAGTATAATTATTTCATAAAAGTCTAGATTAGAAACTAAAGAAATGTAGTGTTCTAGGGTTACATATATGCTAATTTATGTTATAAAATGCATCATATTAATGAGTCCTGAGTGTGTCTCTTTCCCAGAAAGAACAGAAAATGATATACAATGACACTAAAAAAAAACCTATTATGTTTTTATACAAACCATACTATGTAATATAAAGTTGTTTTAACAGCTAATATTTATTATAATAATTTCCATTATGAATAAAATAAATACTAATTTTAAACAAACCTTTACAAAATATCTCATTATATAAGGTATTTCTCTTATTTGATAAATGCAGGCAAAATAACTACTGATGTGATACTATTGGCAGATAAAATTTTGTTATTAAAACAAAAACTAAGTTTTACATTTCCCTATTATATTGCTTATAATTATTATAGAATTTGACAAAGGTAATAACCTCACCAATAAAATAATCGTATAAAAATAAACAGTTTAGTAAATCTATCTAAATTTATCTAAATAAATAAAAAAGAGTGTATAAAAATTATTCATAATAGGTATATTGGCCTGTAGTCCCAACTACTTAGGAGACTGAGATGGGAGAACTGCTTCAGTCCAGGAGTTCGAGTCCAGACTGGGCAAGATAGCAAGACCCTATCATTAAAAACAAACAAAAATAATTCTTTATAAATCTAGAAATTAGGAGTGCAGACAGAAAAGAATAATGGTCTATGAGAAGCATTCTTCCATATATACTAATAAGAAAATCATTCACAGAGGGAAAACAATCCTAAAATTTGTTTGAATCTTTCTTTACCTCTCAATTCTCATTATGACTGCATATGAATCAAAATAAAGGAATAAACAACTTAACTCATTAGGATTTAAAAAGTCCGATGGTTTTCTAGCCATTGGACTTAAATTAGAGCCAACTGATCTATCCTTTTGTTGTTAAAGAAACACAGGACTACTATGTTTAATCATTAATGCCCAAACCATTTGAGTTACTTTTTACTATGTGTAAAGGCTCCTAATGCTTTGGCAATGTCTAAACATTTGTTAAATATATAGTGCTGCTATAAACCTAAATAGTCATATGAACAAGAAAAAGAAATAAGTTATTCTGATTATAAATCTTAGTGATGAATATATTTTTTCTTGTCTGTTCTCTTTTTTGTACTCATAAAAATATTTATTTTCAAGTGAATTGTAAATATATTCATTAAAGACAGATAATTGTGCTTTCAGCCTTCTTAAAATAAAACTGGTAAAATTATTTTGGAAGTCCTGAGTGGGAAGGTGGGGGGACAGCAGGGCAAAAATGACTCCAAGGTTAAAAATAACATTAAAAGATGTTCTCAAGCCTGAATTCTTTTTCAAGAATCAGGTTTTTCAATTCTTCACAGACATAATTTGTGAAAATTTATTTTATGAATACTTTCCCTTAAGAAAAATGTTATCATCAGCCCCAGGCAAAATGTGCATTTACATGACATTGTTTGAGAGAAATTGGTAAAGCTTTAATGAATGAACATATATCATCCTTAGAATTACAAAAAGTTTTACTATTAATAAATGTTGTCATTCTTATCTCATTTAATTGTAAAATTGTATAGCCTCTATCATGGGTATATTTTCAGCCTATCCCTTGGATCAGTCCCTCTGGGGAAAGCACGCTGACATTTTTGAGCAGCCCTTGGAAGAAGATTTCATGCCGAAAACTGGTCTCTACCTAAAACCGGAGAAGACAAAAGCCCTTGGACAACCACATGAGTGACCTAAGCTATTCCCTTATTCCTGACACTCAGAAACTAAGATTGTAAATGATTGTTTTAAGCTCTTGAATTTTGTGATCTCTTTTATGTACCAGTAGATAACTAATGCAGTCTATAATGAATTTATAAAGAGACTGAGACAAAGGAGTACGTGACTTCGTAAAGCTACTCAGGCAGCTAATGACTATGCTACACACTCTTGCTTGCCTAAAAATGTTTATCCGCCAACATATCGCTTATTAATATAAACCCAATTAAGTTATCCTTCAGTGAAGAATGAACCTTTCACTAATCCCAGGTAAAGAATCTTTGTTGTTCGATATCAGTCATGGTAATTCAATTTTCTTGACATTAATTGTGAAACCAACCCAACAGTCCCATGGATGTTTCTTTGGATAATATAGAAATTGATCTTTCTGATCTTAAAGCTTGAAGCTTACATTTGTTTTATCACTATTCCTTCCTCAGGAAAGACCACCAGACCTCTGAAAAAGTATCAAAGAACTGAGACTCTCCAGGTCATCACATCTAGACAATAGGAGACCTCAGGCCCCTTATTCATCACGATTGCTGTCTTCCCTTCCTTAGTTCTTGTTTTCCCACACATAGTTAGATTACTTCCCTGCTATATAAATCCCTAATTTTAGTTGGTTAGGGATATAGATTTGAGCCTGATCTCTCATCTCTTTATAGCTGCAACATCCAGTTAAAGCCTTCTTCTTTGGCAATAATCATTGGCCCAGTGATTGGCTTTCTGTGTGGCAAGCAGCAGGACCTAGACCAAACCCCTGGTGTTTCAGTAACAACTGGCTGATATTTTAGAGAACAGTGTATAGCAAAACACTGGCCACCAAGGGAACATTATTGAAGCGCATCAAGTAAGTTCTTTTCCAATTATAAGAGATGTTGGATGCAAAATATATTTTTAATGTTTATTTATTTATTTACTTCTGCTTGGCATTATCATATCTGCATCTAATACCTGAAATTATTGGATCCATCTTGGGGACAAGAGAAGTAGTAGGCATGTTATAGACTTAATGTTTGTATCCTCTCAACATTGATATGTTTAAGCTCTAACCCCAGTGTGTTGGTTTTGAAGGTGGAGACTTTGGGAAGTAATTAGGTTTAGATGAAGGGTGTGTGGGTGGCCTTTATGAATTAGTGTCTTATAAAAGGAGAAGAAATTGGAGATCCTTCTCCCTTCTACTCCCTCCCACTTGCTGATATCAGGAAAGGCCATGTGAGGCTGCAGTGAGAAGGTGGCCACTTGCAAACCAAGAAGTTGGCCCTCGACAAGAACTGAATTGGCTGAAACCATAATCTTAGACTTTCCAGCCTTCAGAACTCTGAGAAATAAATGTCTGTTGTCTAAGCTACCCAGTTTTTGATATTTTATTGTGGCAGCGTGGACTGATTATAGCAAGGTTAACTGGAAAAGCAGAGAAAAATATGCAAAAATTATAAAATAACTCTATATCTCTCATATAGCACACTTGGCATACTGTTTAAGCTATTTCTGTTTATGTCTTTTGTCACCTGAAAGTATTTTCATGGATAAAAACATCAGAGTCAAGAGTAGAAGTAGCTAGTCAATCCTACTACAATTTTCTCTATAATTCATTTTTCTGGGTCCCAGCATGCTCTTGTTATGGCAAGCAATTGCCAATTTTCTCTAAAATTCAGGAATTACATGCAAGAACAGACATGGACAAGTATTATGTGTCATTGACTCATCAGCTAGCCAGGCTATTACTTTTTTTTTCTTTGTTTCATTTCTTGCTTTTTTTTTTTTTTTTTCTGAGATGGAGTCTCAGTCTCATTCTGTAGCCCAGGCTGGAGTGCAGTGGCATGATCTTGGCTCACTGCAACCTCAACCTCCTGGGTTCAAGCAATTCTCCTGCCTCAGCCTCCCGAGTACCTGGGAATACAGGTGCGCATCACCACACACAGCTAATTTTTGTATTTTTAGTAGAGATGGGGTGTCATTAAGTTGGGCAGGCCAGTCTTGAACTCCTAACCTCAGGTGTTCCACCTGCCTCGGCTTCCCAAAGTGCTGGGATTACAGGTGTGAGACACCATACCCAAGAGACTATTACTTTTTTACTATTACTTTTTTAATAGACTGTCTATCATGTTTCTAATAGCTGACATCTTTGCATGTAGCTCTACTTCTATTTTCTCTTTTAGGTTTTTGTTTATCTTCAGGCTATTTTCCTTGTGTGTTTTGACTGTGAAATAACCATTTCTTTTGACATTATATGTATGTTTGGTTTTTTGTGTGTTTATCGTACTTGGTATGCAATAAAATGCTTGGATGTGTAAGTGGATGTTTTTCATCAAATTTCAGAAATATGTCTCTGTTTTGTTTTATTTTTCTCAAGAAGTCATAATTTTTTATCTGATTTATTGAAAGACCAACAAAAATACTGGGTTATGGATTTTACTTCTGTTTTGGTTTTTCCTGTTTGTTTTTCATGATTAAAGACCCTTTCACCATCTCCACATAAATATGTATTTCCACATACATACAGTAGAATAACTGGAAGGAAGGATCACCTGTGGCCAAAAAATTTTTGATGTAATTATGGCTGCAAATATTATCTAGGCATATACCTCAATGTATTATTTTTGTTTCTGTAGTCTATTTTCATTAAATAAATATAAATTTTAATGAGGGCACAACTTGTGTTACTTTTTTTCTTAATTCTGGTAATAAATTTTATCTTAACACTATACACGTTGGGAACAAGCCCTCCAAAATCTGGCTGTAAACTGGCCCCAAAACTAGCCATAAACAAAATCTCTGCAGCACTGTAACATGTTCATAAAGGCCCTAATGCCCACGCTGGAAGGTTGTGGGTTTACCAGAATGAGGGCAAGGAACACCTGGCCTGCCCAGGGCAGAAAACTGCTTAAAGGCATTCTTAAGCCACAAACAATAGCATGAGCGATCTGTGCCTTAAGGACATGCTCCTGCTGCAGTTAACTAGCCCAACCTATTCCTTTAATTTGGCCCATCCCTTCGTTTCCTATAAGGAATGCTTTTAGTTAATTTAACATCTATAGAAACAATCCTAACGACTGGTTTGCTGTTAATAAATACGTGGGTAAATCTCTGTTCAGGGCTCTCAGCTCTGAAGGCTGTGAGACCCCTGATTTCCCACTTCACACCTCTATATTTCTGTGTGTGTGTCTTTAATTCCTCTAGTGCCACTGGGTTAGGATCTCCCAAACCGAGCTGGTCTTGGCAATACATATCCACTTCATTTTGAGTGTTTTCTTTCTCTTCTATCTTGGAATCCATTATTGGCTTCAACAAACTTTGTTTTAATTTTTAACTCAATTTTGAAATAGAACATCTCTATTCAAGGTCAGCTTTCACATTTAACATGGTAATTTTTTTTCTTCAATTGATGTCATAGTCTACTGCTATGCTAATAAATTTTTTTCTTTCTGAACATTATATTAGTGGTGGTTCTGCAAAGATCTTCATTTTTTAAGGATGTAATGATTAACTGGAATTACTCTGCATAAACTGAAAAGTACAGCTAAAAATGTATTCTGAATGTATTTTGTATAGTGATGCATATCTTCTGTGCAAGAGCAAATGCAAAATAACAACTCCTGCTGTGTAAAATTCCCACAAAACTTATTTTTCCCTTAACTATTTCCAACTTGATATTTCAGCATATACTGTTTTAATACCTTTCCTTTTTTTTTTTTTTTTTTGAGACAGAGTCTTGTTTGGTCACCCAGGCTAGAGTGCAGTGGTGCAATCTCCACTCACTGCAACCTCCACCCCCAGGTTCAAGCGATTCCCCTGCCTCAGCCTCCTGAGTAGATGGGATTACAGGCACCCGCCCCCGCTCCCAGCTAATTTTTGTATTTTTAGTAGAGACTGGTTTTTCACCATCTTGGTCAGGGTGATCTCAAACTCCAGACCTCGTGATCCACCTGCCTCAGCCTCCTAAAGTGCTGGGATTTCAGGCGTGAGCCACTGTGCCCGGCCAATGCCTGTCCATTTTTATTCAAGGTTGCATTACCATATGGAGAATTATTATTTGTAATAATATTAAAATTCTGTATTTTTTCCTTACTTTTAGTGAGCATTCTTCTAAAATATAAAGGGAGAAAACTAGCATGTTATCTGAACACATAAATTTTCTTCTGATTTTTTTCAGCTGCATTTGAACAGACACTATTATATGAGTATACATTAGGAAATTAGTCATTGACTATGAATAATTGTTGCTTTCAACATTGTTGGAGTAAAATTACTGATATGAAAAGAAAAGGATAAAGAGTAAGAGGGTTGTCTCTGGAGTAGGACTCCTTCTATCTAAGTCTTTATTCCATCGCATTACTAACAGAGTAATATTCAGCAAGTTAATTAATCCTTCTCTAAGTCTGCATTTTTCATTTGTGAAATGGAGTTCATATTGAAGCCTGACTCCTGGGGCTGATGTGAAGATTAATGAGGTGAATTGTGTTCTGTGATTATAAAAGTGTGCCTGGTGGGCTCTCACCATTATTAGTTATTATTATTTTATTATTTCTAAAGCCTACCAGCCTGCATGGAAGGATCATTCTTTGCTGAGTACTGTATTTCTTTGATATTCTCATGGGTAAGCAAAAGCATAGCAAATCTTTTCAGTTAGTACATACTGATATCCTCTCATTGGCCTATTGTTATTTTTGAATAATACCTCACTTTTAAAAGTGTTGAAACAGATGCAATAGTCTCATAGACAGGTTTTTTAGAATATATATAAACATACAAATTGACCCTTATGGTCTTAAACCTTGAAATGTATATTTATCTGAGTTCCTTCCTCAGGAAAGAAACTTCCAGCCTCTCAAATAATTATAAAAGAACTGAAACTCACCCGATCACCACATCCTAACAATGAAATGCTGGACCCCTCATTTATCATGATTGCTTCCTTGCTCCTCCTAGTTGCTGTTTCCTTACACATTGTTACATTTCTTCCCTGCTATATAAACCCCTGGTTTTATTGGGTGAGAGAGATGGATATGAGACTGAGCTCCCATTTCCTCAGCTGCAGGACCCGATTAAGCCTTTTTCCTTGGCAATAATTATTGCCTCAGTGATTAGCTTTCAGTGCGGCGAGCAGCAGGACCTAAACCGAAACCCTAGTGTTTCAGGAACAGTGTTTTAGTTTGTAAGGCACTTTCAAATCTGTTTTATTTGATATTCACAACATTTAAGTTTGTTAGATATTATTGGCTTGATTAGGTAAAGTAAATGAACCTGAGTTATATGTAAAAAAAAAAAAAAGGCCATAGAAATAATACAATTAAGATGCCACAATAACCCAGGTCTTGTCACTCCAAAATTCATGCTGCTTCCATTGGGTCATTTTTTAAAACATTATTTAATCACTAAAGATAAGACCATACAAAATATTCTCTATGTAAAACATAATATGACATACTGTGCTTTTCAGGAAATATAAAACTTAGCTCCTTAACCACATAATTTTTTAAAAGGCGCTTTGCATGTGTATTATACAATGCAATTTTCAGGAAGTTTAAACCTCAAAGTACAAATGGTTGTACAGTATCAAGCTGCCTTCCATAAGACAAGTGTTTGACTTTGTAAATATTTAATATATGTTTCACTGAATGTTCCAAAACTGCCATTAAGCGTTGACTAATATTACTCAATAAAATAAATAAATATTAATTTCTGGATGATGATATAATTAGCATAATTGCTCTTTAAAATGAGCATAATGCCTTAATAAATGCTATTATTAGAAATAGACAAAAATAGTTTTAAGATCTGTAGATAGGTAGTCTATACTCTGAAGGTATGTTTCTCCTAAATCACATAATCTATCTTTATAAACAACAGAAAACAATTTTGAATGTAGTCTATACACATCTAGAGTTACATGTACCTGTAGTAAAAGAAAAAATATGAAAATTTAAATTCATATTCTACATAATGTCATATGTAAAGATTACAAACTATAAAATACTATACACGTTGGAATTAGTAAATGGTTTGTTGTTGTTCCAAGAAAAAAAACAATATTTTTATTGTTGATTGATCTACCATGTAAAATTGTTAAGGATAAAAGTGGATATATTTATCCATACTCTTGAGAAAGTTGCTCTTATATAGAGAAATGACGTTTCAAATGTTTTAATTCTATTTTCTTAACAATTATATATTTAAATTCAGATTTATAGAGGTTCAAACTACAATATTAAAAGTTGATGTTTTAACTGGTTAAAGAGAATTTAAAACTATTATTTTCTTTTATTATGAGTACAAAAATTATTTTCCATAAAGCTGTTGTCTAGTCATGTTTTGAAAACAGATCCTTCCACTTTGTTATTTGGAGTATAAATTTGAATAAATATAATCTGCATATTATTTTAACATACAGATAAAACTTGCTACAAAATATCAATGTAAGATATTGGCTTTTGTTTTGTTTTGCTTTGTGTTATTTTTTTCTGAAACGTATAAGGTACAAAGTGGAATTAAGTAAACGCATAGAATATTTCTAGCAATGTTTAAATATTTTGCTGGTAATCTGCAATTGTAAACTGTTGGTAATTAACACAAAGGGGATATCTCATAGAAACTCCAGAAGGCTAGGTTTCAATTACTTCCAAAAGTGTAGTACTTCTTTCCTTTCCCTGACAAATATTTGTTGAATATGAATATGACTACATGGTAAGCACTGTTATTGAACGTGCATACAAGGCAATGAAGAAAACAGTTTAACTTTTGAGCTCTTGGAGTTTACAATTTAATGGGGAAGAAGTGAAATATAAAAATATACATATAAATATCAGGTCCAAAATGAAATTAAATGAAATAAAGCAGGGTAAGATGATAATGAGTGCCAGAGAAGAAAATTACAATTTTATATCATGTGCTGAAACCAAGTTTTTTCATAAGTGACTATTGATAGGAGGCCTAAGAGCAGACAGAGAAAGTATGTTATGCAGAAATCTGGGAAAGGAATATTCCAACTGGAGTAACAGAAAGAACAAATATACTACAATATTCAAGATGAAAGGATGAACCTTAGCAACTTGAGTGTAAAATACAACCAGAGGAATATGCATCAGTGTATCTCTTGAAGAGGATTAATACTGTAAAACTGGTATGTTCATAGGAACTCACTGCTGGCAAAACAGGAATGTGCAGATATGGAAAATGTTAGAAGATCAAGGTCTGATGGCAGAATCAAGGGAAAAACCATGATTTGCTGGGTCATTAAACATGGTGAGTAAAGCAAGTTGCTAACTGAAAATGGCCCTCAATATCCAGGCTTCACATGCAACATGTTGTGTGAAAATCAGGTTATCTAGGAATTAAACTTCTGAATAACACCCTATGCTTAAAACTGTAAAACACTGTCATAGATATGTCCAACTTTGAACATTTGTTGGCAAAATTCACAGCCTGGGACCTTCAGAGAATAACTTTTCTCATACTCCTCATATAGAACACTCCCAAAGCAGAGAAGAATAAAAAATAAAATATGCTTAAGTATTATATTTATACATATTTGATTTCAATTTGTACTATCCAAGCAGATATAAAGTAGCCACTCTTTTATAAAGTGCATGTAACATTACAATCTATTTTTTTAACCATTAGAGTTGTTCAAATGCATTCATGTTCATCATATGAACTAAAACAATTCATGAAGATGCAGAATATTCTCTATCATGGTTTGATCTGTCATATTCACATCTCTCTAGGTCACCACGCACTGAAGTAAATTGACTTTAATGAATGAGGAGCTAAGGAGCTAACTTATTAGCTGGAAATTTCCTGAGATTAAAGGATTTCAGCTTGACTTCAAAAACTTTATTAAGCAGAGACTCATCATTTATCTTAGCTAAACTGTTGATAGAGATTTCTAGCTTTCATTTATATCTAGATTAAATTTTTTTTCTTTTTGCTTTGACTTATCAGATTCTATTTTTTGACTTATCAGATTCTATTTTTATAGAAAATAAAATTTAAATCCAATATGTCTTATTTATATAGTATCAACCCTTCCTCTGGTATGTGTTTATCACTTAGAACTTGAATATCCCAGACCCTCAGCAAATATACTGTACTATACTATATTATGTGGGAATCTATTAAAAAAATAGCAAACTGAAAACAGTGGCACAAGCCTGTGCCACTTGGGAAGCTGAGGCAGGATGATTGCTTGAGCCCAGGAGCTCAAGGCCAACCCGGACATCATAGTGAGACCCTATGTCTAAAAAAATGGTTTTGAATCTAAACTTTCAAATGTCATTATATCAGTGGGCTTGTTACCAAAGCAGAAATAACTATACTAGGAGGCTTACAGAATTTCATAACATGTCAAAATTTAGGATATATTATTATATAATTTGAAACCACAAATTTTGAAATTTTATGCAAATCAGTTGGACACTTCTTTCTCCTTAGTCTATGTCTTCCTGGATTCTCTTTCATTACCCCCAATAAGCAAGATCACAGAAACTGCATTTTAGTTTCAGCTCCACCATTTATTAGCATTATTAGTTTGAATTTCTCAACGTTTCCTCTGCAAACTGAGGTAATATTAACTGATATACAAAAATAAATTCATTCTTTACTATTCATTAGAAATCAGTACATAGTAGATAATAAACAAATGCTACCACCTCTCTTTTTTCCTTAAGCATTTAATAATTGTTCTATGAAATGTTTGTCTTTACTAGTTTCAATTTCTTTACCTTCACAGCAAATCTCAATAAATGGCTCTTGTAAATACTTCAGGGAGATAAATTTCTCTCCTCTTCACACAAAGTTTCTCTCAAACTTTTTCCATCTCTTCCTAAGGTCAGAGTTGTTTTCTGTGTAGTAACATTGAAGGTATGGTGCTTGAGAAGGAAACTGGGTTTGATTACAGACTAGACCTTAGATTATGGCTAATCACTTCAATTCTGTGAGATTCCAAGTTTAGTCATTTATGAGATTCACTCTGTAGTCATCTTAGTAATGCTTAACCTCTTATGGCTTGGTTAAATTTTAAAACTATGAGGTTGTTTCTAAGAGTTAAAGGTGTCTTTAAAGTTAACTTGATACCATATATTGTAGATGTTTGCAAAAGAATTTCATTGTCCTTCCAGGTTTGGCAATAAGTGTCAGGAGGAATCATATGTTAGAAAATAAAAGCAAAACAAATGTTTTAACTCAAATATTTTAATTATTAGCATTTAATATAATTAATATTTTAAAATTTCAATAGTATTTTTACTATTACCACAGTAAAAATTATGTAAAATATTTTATGTAAAAAATGGTGTTACTAAAAATAGTGAAATTTTCAAAAAATATTTTAACTTTTAATAATATTGTATTACTTAAATCTAACGAGAGTATTCAAAATTAAATATGCACTATAAGCTTAGTAAAAATTTACCTTGCATATTTTGCATACTTTCATTTGACACGTGGCTAATGTGTCTCAAAAGCAAATATAAGAATCTGTAAAAGTCACTTTTGAAATCAATATTTTGTAGGGCAGCTGCTTAATACTTGTTTGTATATATGATTAAAGGATAATATGATACAATGATTATATTACCAAAGTACGTGACCTAATGTTAATAAAAGGAGGAGCCTCAAAAAATAAAAGTTTATTTCTCATCATGCAGCAGTTCAATATAGATATCTGTGGTCAAGTGGTCTCCTAAAGAGTTGTACTTTTGCTCTGAATTCCTAAGTTCCTAAACATCTTAATTACTTGAGGGAAAAACGATCACTCAGGCTGAGAAAGCACAAACTCATTAAATTGCTGTAGCAGCACTTTGACTGTCCCGAATTCAGGCACAAAGCTACAACCAACCGTACAGGAAGATGGAAATTGTAAGCCAGATATATGCACAGGATGAAGAGAACATAGAAAATAGCACTAGCGGTAGCTCTTCCACACATATAAATGTATATCTCTAAAAGCTAATTTGCTGTTTTTTCCCAAGATGGCAGATTAGAGGATTTCAGCAGGTCTCAGTCACTTGGAAATAGCAAAATAGTGCATACAGGTCAATTCTCTGAGCTTTAATTCAAGAAAGAAAACAGCAATTTACCAGAATAGCCAAGGACAGCCCAGACCATGGGGAGAAGAATCTGGGCAAGCAGCCCCTGTGATGGCATTTGGTTGATAAAAGTGAGTGAAGCCCCTGTGTGTGAGAGGGATGGTAAGCCTCCCTCTGTGACTCACCTTCCCACTTGGGATCTGGGCAACCCAGGCTAAGAGAGAGCACATACTGTTATCCCAAGACCCAGAGCTAAGTTGAGGAGAGGCTGAGACACAGAGAGGGAAAGTGGTATCGTTATTTGTCCCCCTAAATCTCATGTTGTATTGTTATCCCTAGTGTTGGAGGTGGGGCCTGGTAGCAGGTGACTGGATCATGGGGGGGTATTTCTCATGAATGATATAGCGCCCATCCCCTTGGTACTGTTCTCACTATAGTGAATGAGTTCTTATGAGAGCTGGTTGTCTAAAAGTGTGCGGCACCTCCCTCCACTCTCTCTCTTGCTCGCTTTCACCAGGTAAGGTTCCTGCTGCAGCTTTCCCTTCTGCCCCGAGTAAAAGCTTTCTGAGGCCTCCCCAGAAGCCAAGCAGCTGCCAGAGCCATGCTTTCTGTATAGCCTGCAGAATGATGAGCCAATTAAACCTTGTTTCTTTATACATTGCCCAGTCTCAGGTATTTCCTTATGTCAATACAAGAATGGCCTAAAAGCAAGAAACTTGGAGCCAGGCACGGTGGCTCATGCCTATAATCCCAGCACTTTTGGGAGTCCAAGGCAGGTGGATCACCTAAGGTCAGGAGTCAAGACCAGCCTGGCCAACATGTTGAAAGCCCGCCTCTACTAAAAATACAAAAATTAGCCGGGCATGGTGGCACATGCCTGTAGTCCCAGCTACTAGGGAGGCTGAGGCAGGAAAATCACTTGAACCCTGGAGGTGGAGGTTGCAGTGAGTCAAGATTGCGCCACTGCACTCCAGCCCAGGAGAAAGAGCAAAACTCCGTCTCAGAAAAACAAAGAAAGGAAGAAAGGAAGAAAGACACTTGGAAAAGCTCCAGGCATTCTCCTAGAGGCAAGACTCAGAAAAGGATGACATTTTAAATTTGGGCTCATATAAATTCACTCATTGTTTTGTGATCTGGCAACCTCGGCCACTACCGATATTTTATGGTGAAGTCAGAGATTGGAGCGCTTTTTCTGGAGTGGGGGAAGTGCTCCCACAGCCAGAATTGAGTGGAAAATATGGAGAGCGCCCAAGCTATTGGCACTGGTATTAGGAGCTCTCCTGCCATAGTAGAGTTACTGAAGCTAAGGTTTCTACTGGGTAGTAAAGCTTGCAGACAGGGACAGCTTTGTGATTTGGAGTCTGCATCTGTCATTGTTAGATGCTCCAGACTTCTCCCTTGTTCAGCTGGGGGAGAGTGCCTTACCAGCTCCAAGGAGTGGGAGGGAGGTGAACCCCACTCCCCTGCAGATCTAACTGCTGGCACAAAGCACCCCTGAGAGAGAAGAGCACAGCCCATCAAAGCCCCCCTTGGGTTAAGGGAAACATGAGCAAGGCACCAGAAGCTGAAGGGAGGCATCACCAAAATCTGAGAAAGAGCTTGGAGTAGGAGATCATATGTCACCTCCTGCTCCCTTCCCTGGGAACGCCTGCAAACACCATAGCAGCTCTTCCCTTTGGGGCCTGGGGAAAGCATTCTGAAAGAAGCTGCTTCTCAGACATCTCCAGTGGCCCCATCCCCACAGAAGGGGAGGGTTTTTCCATGATTCTTTGCGCCCCACCCCCGCTGAAGGAAAGTATGAGCCCAGAGATTATCTGCGAACTCTTACTCTTATCTGCCATCTCCTCAAATGGAGCCTGAATTACAACACCAAACAAAAATAACATCAGTATAACAAGCGACATCTGAGAAAGCCACTATCCGAACCTATCTGCAACCAAGGAAACCATAAAAAACCTTGGCCCTCTGAAAGCACTCAGAAATGAAGCCAGTCAGTCATATACAACATACACAACACAGTAACAACTTCAAGGGAGAAAATAATTTAAAAAATCAAAAAGCCCCATCCAAATAATAATGACAACAACAACAAAAAAGCATTCACCACCTCCGATGAGAACGAACCAGTGTGAGAACTCTGGCAATACAAAAAGGCAGTGCTTTGTTACCTCTAAAGGATAACACTAGCTCCCATAGCAATAGATCCTAACCAGAATGAAATGACAGATATAGAATTCAGATTATGGATGGCAAAAAAAAAACTCATTGAAATTCAAGAGAATGTTGAAATCCTATACAAAGGAAATAGGAAAATGATCTAGCTTTTGAAAGATGATATAGATGTACAAAGAAAGAACCAACCAAAACTTCTGAAATTGAACATTTCACTACAGGAATTTCACAATACAGTTATAAGCCTTAAAAATCGACTAGACCAATCAGAAGAATTTTAGAGCTCAAAAACTAGTCCTTCAAATCAACCCAGTCAGGTAAATTTAAAGAAAAAGAATTTAAAATATTAATCCTTTAATCCTTTAAGAATATCGAATTACATGAACCAACCAAATCTGTGACTGTCATTTCTGCAAGAGAAGAAGAGAAAGTAAGTAACTTGAAAAACATATTTAAGAATATAATTCAAGAATATTTCCACAATGTTGCTAGAAGTTGACACGCAGATACAAGCCGTCCAGAGAATTCCTGCAAGATACTATACAAAATGACACTTTCCAAGGCACATGAGCCTTGGATTATTCTAGTTAAATGTGAAATTAAAATAGAAAATCTTACAGACAGCTAGAGAAAAGACTCATACTACCAATACAGAGAATCACATCAAACAAACACCAGACATTTCAGCAGAAACCTTACAAACCAGAAGAGACTGGGGACCTAAAATAGATGGTTAAGAGAGTTCTAAATATAAAAACAAAAGAACAATACTCACCACCAAAAAAGCACATATAAGCAATACCCCACAGTCCCTATAAAGCATCTACACAACTGAGACAACATAGCAACTAGGCAGCAATATTAGGACAGAAAGAAAACCTCACACATTAATATTAATCTTGAATGTAAGCAGCCAAATGATAGAATTAAAAGACATAGAGTGGAAAACTGGATTTAAAAACACGCACATCCTTCTGCTGTCTTCAGGAGACCCATCTGACATGCATAGACACATAAATCCTCAAATTAAAGGCATGGAGGAAGTTCTCGCATGAAAATGGAAAACAAAAAAAGAGCAGGGTTCACTATTCTGGTATCAGATAAAACAGACTTTAAACCAACAACAGTAAAAGGGATAAAGGAGGGCATGACATAATGATAAAGGGTTCAATTCAACACAAAGGTTTAACTGTTCTAAATATATACATGCCCAATATTGGAGCACTCAGATTTATCAAACAATCACTTCTAGACCTAAGAAAAGTTTTTGACAGCCACACAATAGTGGTGGAGGATGTTTGCATCCCATTGATAGCGTTAGACAGAACATCAAGGTACAAAACTAACAAATTCAGAACTTAACACAACCAATTGGACCTAATAGACATCCGTAAAATATCCCAACAACCACACAATATATATTCTTCTAATCTGCAAATGTAACGTAATCTACCACTGACCACATGCTCTGCCATAGGGTAAGTTTCAATACATTTTTAAAAATTGAAGTCATACCAAGCATCTTCTCAGACCACAGTGGAATAAAAATGAAAATCAATAAGAGAAACTTTCAAAACCACAAAAATACATAGAAACTAAACTTCCTCCTGAATGACTTTTGAGTAAACAACAAAATTGAGGCAGAAATGAAAAAAAAAAAAAAAAACCTTTGAAAGAAATGAAAACAGAGACAGAACATACCATAACCTCTGAGATGTGGCAAATGCAGTGTTAAGAGGAGAGTTTATAGCACTAAGCACCTACACCAAGGAGATAGAAAGATCTCAATTTAACAAAAAAATTAACAAAATAACCTAGCACCTGAAGGAACTAGAAAAACAAGAAAAAATTAACTACAAAGGCAGCAGAAGAAAATAAATTACCAAATAAGGGAAGAACTAAATAAAATTGAATGAAAAAAATACAAAGCGTCAACTAAACAAAAAGTACTTTCAAAGATTAGACAAGATAAATAGACTGCTAGCTAGATTAACAAAGAAAAAAGAGTGGAGAGCTATGTAAAGATGATCAGAAATGACAAACGGGACATTACAATCAATCCCACAGAAATACAAAATATCCTCAGAGACTACTATGAACACCTTTATGCATATTATGCATACAAACTAAAAAAATTAGAGGAAATGGATAAATTTCTGGAAACACACAAAACCTCCCATGATTAAACCAGGAAGAAACTGAAACCATGAACAGAAAATAACAAGTTATAAAATTGAATCTATAATAAAATTCTACCAACCAAGAAAAGCCCTGGACCAGATGGAATTCACAGCCAAATTCTGCCAGTCATACACAGAAAAGCTGGTACCAATCCTACAGGAATTATTATTATTTTTTATCAAGAAGGAGATATTCCTCTCTAACTTATTCTAAAAAGACCAGAGTCATTCTGATACAAAAACTTGGCAAAGACTCAACAAGAAAAGAATACTACAGGCCAAAATCCCTAAAGAACAAACATGCAAAAATCCTCAACAAAATGTCAGCAATCCAAATCCAGTAGCATATAAAAAATTAAACTCACCACAATTACCTTTACTTTATTCCTGGGGTATGAGGTTGGTTCCATATACACAAATCAATAAATGTGATTCACCACATAAACAGAACTTAAAAAGAATAATCACATGATTATCTTAATCCATGCAGAAAAAATGATACAATCCAATATCCCTTCATAATAAAAACCCTCAACAAACTAGGCATTGGGGAAACATACCTCAAAATAATACATTTATGACAAATCCACAGCCAACATCATATTGAATGGACAAAGGTTGGCAAAATTCACCCTAAGAACTGGCACAAGACAGGGATGTCCACTCATCACTCCTATTCAACATGGTACTGCAGCCAACATCATATTGAATGGACAGAGGTTGGCAAAATTCACTGGCACAAGACAAGGATGTCCACTCTTATTCAACATAGTACTGGAAGTCCTAGCCAGAACAATAAAGAAGGAAAAAGAAATAAAAGGCATCTAAATAAGAAAAGAAGAAGCTAAACCATATCTCTTCACTGACAGTATGATTCTATAGATTGAAAACCCTAAAGATTTAGTCAAAAAATTCCTAGACCTGATAAATGACTTCAATAAAGTTTGTGGACACAAATCAATGTGCAAAAATCAGTAGCATTTCTATACACCAATAATGTCTAAGCTGAGAGCCAAGTTAAGAACACACCATTTGCAATAGCCACAAAAAAAGAAAATACCCACAAATATATCCAGTCAAGAAAATGAAAGGTTTCTACAAACACAACTACAAATCACTACTGAATAAAACATAGATGACACAAACAAATGGAAAAACATCCCATGCTCATGGATTAGAAGAATAAATATTATTTAAATGTTCATACTGCCCAAAGAAATGTACGGATTTCATGCGAATCCTATCAAATTACTACCATCATTTTTCACAGAATTAGAAAAAATGATTGTGAAGTTCGACCAAAAAGACCCCAAATAACCACAACAATCCTAAGTAAAAAGAACAAAGCTGGAGGCATCACATTACCCAACTTCAGACTATACTACAAAGCTACTGTAAACAAAAATGTTACTGGTGCAAAAATAGACATTCAGACCAATGGAACAAAATAAAGAACCCAGAAATAAGACCACACACTCACAACTGATTATTGAAAAAGTTGATGGTAAACAATGGGGAAAAGACACTCTATTTAACAGATTCTGCTGAGAAAGCTGGCTAACTGTGTGCAGAATAAAGAAACTGAGCCCCTACCTCTCACGTTATACAAAAAATAACTCATGACGAGTTAAAGATTTAAATGCAAGACTTCAAACTACAACAATCCTATAAGAAAACTTAGGGAATACTTTTTTTTGACATTGCCCTATGCAGAGAATTTATAACTAAGTCCTCAATAGCAAATGCAACAAAAGCAAAAATTGACAATTGGGAACTAATTAAACTGGAGAGATTCTACACTGTAAAAGAAACCATCAACAGAGTAAACAGACAACGTACAGAATGGGAAAAAATATTCACAAACAGTGCACCCAACAAAGGACTAGTATTCAGAATATATAAGGAACCTAAACAAATCAACAAGCAAAAACAAAATGGGCAAGGGACATGAAGACACTTCTCAAGACATACAAGTAGGCAATAAACATACTAAATAATGCTCAACATCACTAATCATCAGAGATATGTAAATAAAAACCACAGTGAGATATCATCTCATGCCAGCCCAAATGGCTATTATCAGAAAGTGAAAAAGCAAAAAAATTTGGTGAGATTGCCTAGAAAAGGGAATGCTTATACACTCTTAGTGGGAATGTAAAGTAGTTCAGCCCTTGTGGAGAGCAATTGGAGATTTCTTAAAGAAGTAAAATTAGAATTACCATTCAACTCTACAATTCCATTACTGGGTATATACTTGAAGGAAAATAAATCATTCCACAAAATGTCACCTGCACTCATATGTTTATTGCAACACTATTCACAATAGCAAAGACATCAAATCAACCTAGGTGCTGGTAGATTGGATAAAGAAAATATGCAATATATATACCATGGAACACTATGCAGCCATAAAAAAGAAAAAATAGCATCCTTTGCACCAACATAGATGCAGTGGAGGCCACTATCCAAAGTGAATTAATGCACCAACAGAAAACCAAATAAGCTCAGATATATAAAACTATTATTAGCCTTGCTGTAAAATCTGCTTCTTTATTATTCCAAGTTACTTCTCGGGTCTAAATGTTTTTTGTTGTGACTTGTACAACTAGATTGTGAGCTCATCAAAAATAATATTTTATTGTGTATTATATCTTCAGTGCCTAAGTCAGGTCCTGCTGTAAAACACACATTTGTGCACACATGCATGAACATGCACACACACACAAATACAAAGTTTCTGGAAGTTAGGCTACATAACAGCTATTCAATAAACTTGTTTTTGATAAATGAGTAAATTTGAAAAAAACTCTATGACTTAAGTTATCTTTACATATAATCACTTGGCATTTTTAGTGCTAAGCTAAATACAAAAAAATTCTTATAAAAACAACAGTTTTGTATATATATATTTCTTCTGTTCGTGACTGATTTTTTGCAAAATTTTATACAACTTTGTCCTTTTATGATTATTTATGAAAGTTTAATACAGCTATAGTTATCCTCACAACTTTTTAAAAGATTCAGAGTATTATTTTTTATCTGACCAAGATTTTACAAATTTAAGAACAATCTATTGTAGTGTCCAAGATTCTATTATTATTTTTATTATCATTATTTTTATTTACTATTGAGTTAGAGATGCAATGAATGAAATACCAGTCTGAGTCCAGAAAATGTTTCTGGTTTCTGGACTTATGAAGATAATATTCTGGTGTTCTTATTATTTTGCCTATTGTTATTTTCTGATAGAGAAGTATTTTTATACAACAATTTTAAAAATTGTAGTTATATTTTATATAAAAAATCATAAATATGAGAAACAGAAATAGCTGTTATTGAAAGAAAATATTGAAAATACAAACTTTATAATGAGCTAAAATTGATATTGCTTTTTTAATTTTATGTGATAACAAGTTATTTCACTTTTTTTGTTTTTGTTTTTTGATGGTGATATAAATAGCTAACTAAGTATTCTGATTAACGCAAATGAACGCAGCATTTACAAATATAATACAATGAAAACTAAAATGATGAAAGAAGCGGTATCTCAACTTTTATACTAAAGTTAATAACTGGTATGTGTAACTTCCAATAATGTATTTTTCAGTTATTGTAGAATCATTTATATGTTTATGCTTAATCCAGCTTTACGGCTAAATATAGGTAAAAACAATATTTTCTGTAGACAGAAAATAAGTTAAGCATGTCATAACTGCTGTGATACTGCTTCTATTACTTTTAAATTCTATCAAATATTTATTTCATTTTTATTTGCCTCTTATTTAAAATTATTCTTTTTTGTGCTTTAAAATGTGATATAGGTTGTATATTAAGAATAAATAATTTACATTATACATATAATATATATTCAAAATGATTTCCAAACCAGAGAATAGATATTTACACGGAGACATATGTCAGACCAAATAGGAGACTTTGAGTGGGTGAAATTAAGTTAGGCACAATGGTGAATTAGCATTCTTATCTTAATAATCAGACATACTACACCATGTTGCAAAGCTGACAAAATGTCAGCAGGCATTTAAAAAGAAGTAGTTAAGTGGGTTTTGAGAATATCAATCATTATTCAGACAGAGGTACAACTCTAGATCAAATATAAGGAGCAAGATCAAAGGTAAATTTAGAAGGTGGAGAGGGTGGCCAAATAGAACCCTCCAACAAGGACTATAAATTGAACAATTATCCATATAAGAAAGCACCTACATGAGAAACAAACAAACAAAAAAATCAAATGACTGGTTGCAGTACCTGGTTTTAACATATTAACAAGAAAAGGGGCATTGAGGAGGGTAGGAAAGACAGTGTTGCATTGCCTATACCACCCTTCCCCAATCTCAGGCAGCAGAGCGCAGAAAGAGAATCTGTATGCCTGGGAGAGGGAGAGCAAAGTGAGTATGGTATATTGCTTTGGAACTCAGTGCTGATTTGTTACACTGAAATACAACACAAGGAAGAATTCTGCCAGTGCCCATGGAAGAATTTAGATCAGCCCTGGGTAAAATGGAAATCTTCTGTCCTAAGTGGGAGGAAACCAAGTCCTGGTTGGCTTCACTACCAGCTGAATAAAGTGGCCTGGATCCCCACGTAAATTTGATTGGCAGTCAGGCCACAATGACTGCAGTCCTAGGGCAAGCCCTGTTTTGTCACTGGCCCTAGATACAGTGGACTTGGGGTGCAACTCAGTGTGACACTGGCTGTGGCAACCATGGGAGTGCCTGCATTGACTCTGCCCCAACTCCAAGCAGCAAAGCTCAGGGAGAGACATTTTTTGCTCAGGGGAAGGAAAGGAAAGAGCAAAGACTTTGTCTTATAACTTGGGTACCAGCTCAGGCACAGTGAAATAAAGGACCTGGAAGATTCCTGAGTTCCCAAATTCCAGGCTTTTGCTCATTGATGACATTTTTAGACACACTCCAGGCCAGAAGGGAATCTACTACCCTTGGGGGCTGGACCTAAGTCCTAGCAAGATTCAGTATCTGCTGACTAAAGTGGCCTTGGGGCTTGAATTAGCAGCAGCCAAGCAGTAGTGGCCATGGGTCTTTAGTGAGCCCCAGTACTGTACTGGTCCGGGAGACTATAAGCTTCAGGTGCAACCTAGCATGTTGCCAGCTATAGTAGCCATGGAAGTGAAAGAATCACCCCTCTGCCAACTCCAAACAGCCTAGCACAAAGGCAGACTCATCTATGTCTGGGAAAGTGAGAGAAGAGAGCAGAAGACTTCACCTGGGAACTTAGGGAATCTTTTCTTACCACTGAGGCTGTGTTTCTAGGAGTTCACAAGCATTGTAGTGTTCTCAAGCTTCAGATATCTCTTAGTATTACAACAGCTGCAAAGATCAGAGTTAGGTAAGAGCATTCAGTCCCCTTTGGATTCTTGAAAAGTTCTCTCAAGAAGGACAGGTAAAAACAAAACCAGACTGCAAAGATTAAAATAAATAACAAACTCTTCAATGCCCAGACATCAAAAAACATCCACAAGAATAAAGAGTATTCAGGAAAACATGATCTCAGCAAATGGACTAAATAAGGCAGCAGTGACCATTCCAGGAGTAATGGAGACGTGTGACCTCTCAGACAAGGAATTCAAAGTAATTTTTTGTCTTGAGAAAGCTCAATGAACTGCAAGATAATACAGAAAAGGAATTTAAAATTCTATCAGCTAAATTTAACAAAGAAATTGAAATAATAAAAATATATCAAACAGAAATTTAGGGGCTTAAAAATTCAATTGGCAAATTGAAAATGGAACAAAGTCAACAGCAGAATTGATCAAGTAGAAGAAAAAAATTAGTGAACTCGAAGGCAGGCTATATGAAAATACACAGGCAGAAGAGAAAAAAGAAGAAAAGGGTAAAAAAGAATGAAGAACACCTACAAAATCTAGAAAATAGCCTCAAAAGGGAAAAAACAAGAGTTACTGGCCTTAAAGAGGATGTAGAAAAAGAGATTGGTGTAGAAAGTTTACTCAGAAAAATGATAACAGAGAACATCTGAAACATAGCAAGAAAGATATGATTATCCAGATGGAAAAATGTCAAAGTACAACAAGCAGACTCAACCAAAGTAAGACTACTTCAAGACATGTAATAATCAAACTCTCTAAGTTAAAGGACAAAGAAAGGATACTAGAAGCAGCAAGGTAAAAAGAAATAAATAACATATAAAGGAGCTTGATGTGTATGGCAACAGAGTTCTCAGCGGAAACCCTATAGTGTAGGAGGGAATGTGATGAAATTTTTAAAGTACTAAAGAAAAAAATGCAATCTAAAATTTTGTATCTAGCAAAGTTATTCTTCAAATATGAAGAAGAAATAAAGATTTCCCAAGACAAAAACTAAAAGAAAAAAGAAAAAACTGAGAAATTCCATCAATATCAGACCTGTCTTACCAGAAATATTAAAAGGAGATCCTCAATTCAAAATAAGACAGTAACAAGCAAAAAGAAATTATCTCAATAAGACCCACTGGCAAAAGTAAGTACACATTCAAATATGGAATATTCTAACATTGTAACTGTGGTGGTAAACCACATATAATATTTTTGGTATGAAGACGTAAAAACAAACCTAGCAAAAATAATAATTACAACAATTTGTTGAGATATACACAATATAAAAAATATAAATAGACACAATAAAATATGAAAAAGACCCAACTATATGATGCCTTACAAGAAACTTACTTCACCTAAAAAGATACACACTGACTTAAAATGAAGGAAAGAAAAGGGATACTCTACGCAAATGGAAGCCCTCAAAAAAGACCAGGGATTGGCTGGGTGCAGTGGCTCACGCCTGTAATCCCAGCACTTTGGGAGGCCAAGGTGGGTGGATCACTTGAAGTCAGGAGTTCGAGACCAGCCTGGCCAACATGGTGAAACCCTGTCTCTACTAAAAGTACAAAAAGTTAACTGGGCGTGGTGCCAGGCACCTGTAATCCCAGCTACTTGGGAGGCTGAGGCAGGAGAATCTCTTGAACCCAGGAGGCGAAGGTTGCAGTGAGCCAAGATCGCGCCATTGTACTCCAGCCTGGGCAACAATAGTGAAACTCTGTCTCAAAAAAAACAAAAAACAAAAAACAAACAAACAAACAAAAAAACCAAAAAAACAGGGATTGTTATTATACTTACATCAGATAAACTACATTTAAAAACTATTTAAAAATACAAAGAAGTTCATTATGTAATGATAAATGAGTCAATTCAGCAAGAAGATATAACAGTAGTCTATTTATATATACAATAGTGCAGCACTAACATATATAAAGCAAAAAGCAAATATTATTAGAGGTAATGGAGGAGAAAGAGAGAGAGACCAGTACAGTAACACTTGGGAATTTCAACTCCTCACATTTGGCATTAGACAGATCATCTAGTCCCAAAATATAAAAAGAAACATATGGCTTAATCTACATATAGACTGAATGGACTTAATAGACATTGATAGAACATTTCATTCAACAGCTATGGAACACACATTGTTTTCTTTAGCTCATGGAACATTCTCAAGGAGACACCATATGTTAGAACACAAAATGAGTCTCAAAAATTTTTTAAAAAATTAAAATTATATCAAGTATCTTTTCTGACCACATGGAATAAAACTAGAAATGAATACCAAAAAACGTTAGGAAAATATACAAATACATATAATTTAAAAATATACTCTTGCACTACCACTGGGTCAATGATGAAATTAAGAAGCTTCCTGAAACAAATACAAATAAAAACACAACATACCAAAACCTATGTAATACAGCAAAAACAGTACTAACAGGGAAGTGTAGAGCAATATATGACTAAATCAATAAAGTATAAAAACTTCAAATAACCTAATGATGCATACTAAAGAAATAGAAAAGCAAGAGCTAACCAAACCCCACATTAGCAGAAGACAAAAATTAGAGAAGAAATAAATGAAATTGAAACAAAAATATTAAAGTCAACACAATGAAAAATTAGGTTTTTGAAAAAAACCAAATTGACAAATTTTAGCCAGATGAATGAAGTAAAAAACCTCAAATAAATGAAATTAGAGATGAAATATTAGACATTACAGCTGGTACTGCAGAAATTTAAAAAATCAAAGCGACTATTATGAGCAACTGTATGCCAACCAATTTGAAAGCTTTGAAGGAACAAGTTAATTCCTAGACACATACAGCCTACTAATATTGAACCATGAAGAAATACAAAACCTGAATACACCAATAACAAGTATAGAGATAGAAGCAGTAATAAAATAGTCTCCCATCGAAGGAAAGCTCAGGATCTCAGGCCTTCATTCTGAATTCTACCAAACATTTACAGAAGAACTAATACCAATTCTACTCAAACTACTCTAAAAAAAAATGAGGAGAAACTACTTTCAAACTAATTCTACAAAGGTCAGTATTACTCTAATACTGAAACTAGAGAAAGACACACCAACAAAACCACCACCACCAACAGGCCAATATCTCTGACAAACATAAATGCAAAAATCCTCAACTAAATACTTGCAAACTGAATTCAACCCTACATTAAAAAGATAGTGTCTTATGATCAAGTGGGATTCATGCCAAGAGTGTAAGGTATATAGAACATACAGAAATCAACATCAAATCAACATATAGAAATCAATAAACATAATACATCCCATGAACAGAATGAAGGACAGGAATGATAGGGTCATTTTAACAAATGCTGAAAAAGCGTTTCTTAAAATTCAACATCTCTTCCTGATAAAAACTCAACAAACTGGGTTAAAGAAACATACCTCAGCACATTAAAGGTCATTACAACAACCCCACAGATAATATTATACTGAACAGGAAAAAAAAAACTGAAAGCCTTTTCTCAAGATCTAGGACAAGACAATTCAATTTAGTGATTGAATGGGAGGAAAAGGCAGATTAGAAATGTGCAGTTGTGTACTTTAGCCAATGTTATACAACATGGTACTGGAAGTCCTAGACAGAGCAATTAGAAAACATAAAGAAAGCACATTCAGGTTGAAAATTAGGAAGTCAAATTATCCTTGTTTGTATGTGATATGATCTTATATTTAGAAAATTGTAAAGACTTAAAAAATTTAGAACTAACAAATTCAGTAAAGTTTCAGGATACAAAATCAACATGCAAAAACCAGTAGCATTTCTAAATGCCAACAGTGAACAATCTGAAAAAGAAATCAAGAAAGTAACCCCATTTACAATACATAAAAATAAAACTAAATATCTAGGGATAAACTTTAACAAAAAGTAAAATATCTCTACAATGATAACTATATAACATTTATGCAAGAAATTGAAAACGACACAAAAAATGGAAAGATATTCCATGTTCATGGACTGGAAGAATCACTGTTGTTAAAATGTTCACATTACCCAAATCAGTCTAGAGATTTAATGCAATTGCTGCCAAAATACCAAAGACATTCTTCACAGACATAGAAAAACAATCCTAAAATTTGTATCAAACCACAAACGACCTATAACAGCCAAAGCAATCCTGAGCACAAAAGAGCAAAGCTGGAGGCCTTACAATACCTGACTTCAAGTTACAAAGCAACAGTAACCAAAATAGCATGGTAGTGGCATAAAAACAGATACATAGACCAATGAAAAAGATTCAAGAATCCAGAAATAAATCAATGAATTTCCAGTCAACTCATTTTTAACAAAGTAACCAAGAACATACATTAGAGAAAGGAAAATCTCTTCAATAAATGTTGCTAGGAAACTGGATATTCATATGCAGAAGAATGAAAGTAAGTCCCTACCTCTTACCTTATACAAAAATCAAAACAAAATGGCTTAAACACTTCAATGGAAGACCTGAAAATATGAAACTACTGGAAAAAAACGTTGAGGAAACACTCCAGGACATTGGGCTGGGCAAAGATTTCTTGAATAAGACCTCGAAAGCACAGATAATCACAGCAAAAATTGACAAAAGGGTAACATCAAGCTAAAAAACTTCTGCAGAGCAAAGGAAAAAGTCAACAAAGTTAAGAGCCCACGTACATAACAGGAAAATATTTGCAAACTACCTATCTAGCAAGGGGTTAATAAACAAAATATCTAAGGATCTCTAACAACTCAATAGCAAAAAAAAAAAAAACCAAATAATTCAATTTAAAAGATGGGCAAAAGTTCTGAATAGACATTTCTCAAAAGAAGATATACAAATGGCCAACAGATATAGGATAAAATGCTCAGCATCATTAATCTGTGGCTTTAATCAAAAAAGCAAAGAAAAAAGGCAATAACTGATGCTGTGGAGAATGTGGAGAAAGGAAACCTCCCGCACACTGCTGGTGGGAATGTAACTGAGTGAAGACACTATGGTGATCAGTATGGAGGTTCCACAAAAAACTAAAAATAGAGCTATGATATGATCCAGAAATTTTACTACTGGGTATATATCCAAGTAAAGGAATCATTGTGTCAAAGAGGTATCTGCACTGTCATGTTTCTTGCAGCACTATCAACAATAGCCAAGATATGGAATCACCCCAAGTGTCCATCAGCATATACATGGGTTAAAAGAGTAGTATAAATCTACAATGGAATATTATTCAGGCATTGAATTGAATCAAGTTTTCTAAGGGCTCTCCACCCACGCGGAACTGTGAATCAGTTAAACCTCTTTCTTTATAAATTACCCAGTTTGGGGCATTTCTTCATAGCAGCATGAGAACTGACTAATACAGCCATATAAAAGAATGGAATCCTATCATTTGTAACAATATGATAGAACTTGGAGACATTATATTAAGTGAAATTAGCCAGGCACAGAAAGACAAATATCGCCTGCCCTCACTCATATGTGGGACCTAAACAATTTTGATCTCATGGAGATAGTAGAATAATAGTTACCAGAGGATGGGAAGGGTACTGGGGAGGGAGAGATACAAAGAGGTAAATGGGTACAAAAGTACAGTTAAATAGGAGTAAGATTCAGTGTTCGGTACCACAATATGGCAACTACAGCTAACAATAATTTATCGTTTATTTCAAAGTAACTAGAAGAATGGAATTAAATGTTTCCAAAACAAAGAAATGATAAATGTTTGAGGTGATAGATATCCCATTACCCTAATTTAATCATTACTCATGGTATGCTTCTATCAAAATTTCAGATGTATTTCATAATTGTCTACAACTATTATGTATTCATAAAAATTAAATGTAAAAAAAGTAGGGAACCAGTTCAATGTGAACTCCTCAAACACCCCAGACTGGGATAGATATTGTTTTGCAGTGTAATTATTAGCCTGAGGTAGTATGCAATTCTCTTTATAGGTGGCTTTATAGGTGAGGCGATTCTTTTTATACGTGGCTTTTAAAGAACTGGCAAAAAAAAAAAAAAAGGCATATATGAGTAAAGTTGCACCCTCGGTAAGCTTAATTTTTTTGGATCAACCTGTTAGGAAAATAGAAGTACATCATTACCATAAATAGATGTGACACTCATAATTTGAAAAAAAAAAACTGTTGCTGTATATTTATTTGGGGATATTTCTACACTTTTTCTACTGGTTCCTTTTTTGTGTTTTTTCTTCTCCAGAAAATAAAGAAGTAATGTTTAATTATCTGAATGAATTTTAGCAGTATTACATATATTTCAAAATATTAACCTGCCATTTCTATTTGTTTTATATGATTTTATTTGTTTAGGGATAATTCATATTTTGATTATATTGTTTATATGCCTGAACACTTAGTGACTTTTTATTTATTCATTTAAAAAATCCTCAGACGAGTTATCTGTTTTTGATTTGGTTCCTCTACTTGTTTATTCATGGGCATTTTATAATTTTTCTAATCATATTAAATGGAATCTTGTCTTCTAATATGTGTTCGAAATTGTTCTTTAAACAGAGAAATGCTACTTATGTTCTATATTTAGTAGCCAGAAAGTTTAATAAATTTTTATTTTCAGTGTCTAACAACTAATGATATATCAATGATAACTTGTACAATATTTTTAAAATTAAAATCCTCAATTATATCTACTCTTTAACTTCACTTTCTGCTAGTTACATAACAATGTCAAAAATAATGGTAACATGGACATAGTATTGCAAGAAACTTGATTTAGGTATTAGGGCTAGATTAGCTTCAACTAGAATCCTCAGGAAATATCTATTCCTTTGCTATAACTGTCTTGGTACATGTTTTACTTATTTCTGATTCATTTTCTCTTTTGAGCTCTGCTCTCTTAAATCCCTATATATTAGCTAACAGCAATTACAACTTCTCCACCTTCTTTTTCTGTTTTTCCTGCCTATGGTGAGTTTTAGGGAGGGTCTAACTTTATTGCTTCTTTGGGTTACCACTTTACCCTTTTGTGTGATCTCGCTCCATATTTGGTAATAAGATTCTGTACAAAGTAAGATCCATTCATTCGTACAATCTGTTTCTAGAAATAATTTCTGCCATGATTACCTTTCTCCTTTTTTCAGTACCGCTGAATTTGCTTAACATGTTGGAGAGAGCCTTGAAATTTTTTTTCTATCATTCCAGTTTGTACTTCACGGTCATCTAACAAACTCTATTCTCACTTTCCGCTGAGCAAGGCTAATGTTACCCTTCTCTCTATCTATGTGTGTATATATATAAATATATAATATATACATTTATACATATATAATACATTTATATGTGTAAATATATAATATATATTTAATTGCCAGAAAGTTTAATAAATTAACTTTTATTTCTTATATTATTTTAAAATAACATAAATACATATATATGTATATAGGAGGGTACATATATATATGTATTCATTTTATATATGTGCGTTTTTTTAAAAAAAATACTTTCCTAATGTCTCAGTTAATTAGAGAGAGGACAGACAGGAGATTTTATGTCTAAATTGAGGTAAGAAATTGGTTAAAAATAATAACACAATATTCTTATGTAGTTGAGTATTTCTGAATTTTACGTTTTCTATTCTGAAGAAACATTTGAATCCATAACCTGCTGAGAAAAGAGATTATGTTGAAGGGAAATAAATTGTTTCTAGGAAGTATATCAGTTAATTAAACTACTCATTTGATTTAAATAATATTATAATAATAACAAGATAGCTAGTATCAAACTGAGTAGAAACCTGTACAACTATCAGAATACCAAAACAATGTTGTTAAAAAGCCCTTAAATATGAGGGAAAATTTAT
The DNA here is from genome assembly GCF_000001405.40 of Homo sapiens. Lineage (NCBI taxonomy): Eukaryota > Metazoa > Chordata > Mammalia > Primates > Hominidae > Homo > Homo sapiens. Next base: position 195,534,846 of record NC_000001.11, read on the forward strand.
TCTTTAATTGTAAACAATCACTTTACCAGTCTCAAAAGACATAATTTTAATATCCAATAGACATTTTGAGGGCATTATTTACTAGAAAACAAAAACTTTCACTGAGAACAAATGTAAATAGATAAATAATTTACTAATGTGCTTATCTCAGCAGACAAATGCTAGCAGAGTTACACACAACGAATATTCTTATCTCCAAGCACTTTAGCAGTTTTCTCAATGGAGGTAATAAAAACATTTGCGTAAGAAAATATTTTATTATATAGAAATATCCTGCACAGCATAAGACATTTAGTATCTGATTGACTTAAGGAAATTAATATTTGCTATCATTACAATCAGATACCTTGCCAAAAATACACTGGCAATTCTCTGCCTATTTTGTGTCCCACCCTTTTGATTTTTTTCCCCTCACAAAACTCATTGAAATCTTTGCTTCATCAGAGACAACTCAAACTCCCATTCTCTGATCTGTTTTTCCAACTGTGTGTTAATTTCAGTGTGTTAAGTTCTTACTCTACAGGGTTGAATCAGAATTGTTTTAGAGATAGGACTTATGTTAATAAGAAGCATAAAATTTATGAGTAGAATAGCAATTTTATGTAATATACGTAGCAGTTTGTGCCATTATTCAAAAACAGTCATTTGGATTCATCCATTCTAATTTCCAATATTATGATTTGAGTGAATTCCTAAAATTATATTCTACAAATTCTAGTTATAAAATATTACATCATGAAATATAATACTACTTAATGAAGCATAATACTACATCCTGAAACCGATTTATAGACACATCTATAAATCTTTAAAAACACCCACAAGAATTTTAAATAAACAAACATCCCAGAAGGTAGAAAACTAAAATAGGATCACACCTGACAAATAACTTTTAATATTGACCTGAACATGATTCTTCGATTATACAATATAATAATTTTATCGTTTAACAATATATAAATAAATCAAATGAGCATAAGTAAACCCCAGAATCAAAGTTAATCCTGTAATTCTAGCAATAATTCATTTAAAATGAAGTTATAATTAGGTTGATAGTTAAGTTTATATTCATTATGGCAGATTAAATTAAGAGTTAAATCTCTCCCCCACCCCTTTTTCACTACACCTTTAGTGTTCTCTGTTCCAAACTCACAATTAATGTGATTTTTTTCCAATTTTAAAACTTTGGATTGGCAAATATATTTATAATTAGGTTAGTTATTTGCTATCATTCTGTTCTGAATCCTTGCTCTTCATGCCTAACAATAAATCTGCAGCCTTTGCTCAGCCTCTGCAGGAAAAGAAAAGCCTTTTTCTTAGCAACTCTCTTCCAGATCTTCCATTGGCACTAGACATTGTCTACTCAAAATAGTTCCTTCTTTATAAGAATTCTAGGTATCAGATGCATCTCAATTTTCTTCCAACTGTTAACAAAAAATCCCAGTTATTTTAGTGATTGAATTGCAAGAAAAGGCAGATCAGGAATGTGCAAATTTAAACATTTTTGAAACTAGAACTTTCACAAGATTATCAGAGTAATTTTCTAAGTAGTTTCTTGTACTATTTTATAATAAAAGAATTAAATGAGTTCATCAAAGTTGTTCGATATAAGGTTAATATATAAATACAAATCTTATGTAATCTTTTAAATAAGAATTTTTTTTAAATGATCAGTTTGCCTAGTTGCAAACATCAGGTTAAACATCAACAAGCTTGAACAGAAAGAAATTTAATAAAGGATATTAGGTGTGTCACAAAATCTCTGAGAAGACCTCAAAACCAAGCATGCGTACTACACAGCCAGGAATAATAAAAACAAAACTTCATTGTCACAGTAGTGAATGCATGTCCAACCCTCCACCAGAGCTGTCCCCAAAGAACCAGTTGCCTTCACTACTGCATTGTCAAAGTCCCCAGCATCAACTTACCTTACCAATGGCATATCTGACTAGCTGAACATAGCTTTACTAAGTTTGAAAAAATGTCTACCTTTTTGTTTTCCCGAAGATTCAGAAGTATTTTATTAATGTTTCAATAATATTATTGTTAATGTATAGTATGCATAGAAAAAAGTATATAACTTATATTTTTACAGCTTGAAGACATCTTACAAAGTGAATATAACCACCTAAACATCACCTAATCAAGGAATATAATATCTCCATCATCCCTAAAGCCTCATTCTACCGTCTCCCTACTATATTTCTCTTACCCCAATTTGACTACTGCCTTAACTCCGAACTCCATAGTTTATTTTTGATTGGTTTTGAACTTTATCTAAATGGAAACATTCACGATTCACTGTTTTCTTCTGGCTTTTTTTTCTCCCACTCAACATTGTTTTTAAGTTGCATCTAGTATGTTGCACATGGCTGAAGACTATTCATTTTTATTGCTTCATTATGGGATTGGGTCATAGATTATGCCTGCTACTCAGCAGCAATAGATACAGCAAAATACAGATACAGCAAAATACAAAATACTGGGAAAGGTAGTGAGTTTTTTGTTTGTTTTGCGTTTTTACTTTTACTTCCAAAAGTCGTGATTCCTAGAGTGAGAATTTATGAAGATATTGGAGGGGATATTCAAAGGACATTGAACAACCAGAAATAGCAAATATCCATTTGTAATTATTGCACTAATTCTTAATACAAATTAGTGAATTTTTATTTTAAGAATTAAAAATTATGCAAAGGTCATGCAGCATCTAATGATTTTTAACAATAAAGTTTCTACAACTGTGTAGAAAATACAAAATAAGGACACGCATAAACACAAAAGTGTATTTTTAAAATTTTTTCTGCAATAATGCAAAGAACTCATCATGACTAAAATGTTACCATTTAAGGCAAGATGAGAGAAGTAAGAAGACATTTGCAACTAATTATCTTTTTTAAATTTATTTTGTAAACACTCTCAATGATAAACCTACTCTGTCCACAGTCAATTGCATTTTAAACACGTGTTTATTAATATTCCAAAGAAAATGTTTTAAAATTTATTGTGTACATTTGAGTACTTTTTATATAAGATTTATACTCATATAAACTAATCTTTTTTATCAGCAATGTTTATGCCAAAATTAAATAACTTTCATCTGAGAAAGACTTGAAATTCCAAGAGAAGTGATCTCAGTTTCCATAATAAATTCAATGATGTCTGCTAAAGATTCTCAGAAGCAGCTTCCCCTTTCTCTCTCAAGGAATTCTTAGTCAAGGAAAACATTAACATACTCAAGGCAATTTTAGTGAATTGAGGCAAATTTATGGCAAGTTTAAGAAGAGGAGATTGTAGCCTGAATGAAATTAGAAAATATAAACAGGTTTGATGTGTGATGAATATATCACCTCATGTATCATAGTTACACAGTGAAACCATCCGGACCCCTCTCTTTCTCAGGAAGTGTACCAATGCAGCTTTGGAATGTTTTTAAGGAAGGAATCTACAAGAGAAATAGTGTGATTATTTGGGAACGTGGCACAATATGCTTCCTTGCTTATGTTATTTTGCTTCATGAAGGAAGCAAGCAGAGAACCACACTTGAAAAAAATTTGCATGACCAGATAGACCCAGTTCAGAGTTGGAGGTGTGCCACACAGTACAGGCTTGAGAATCAGAAAGATGTGAATTCAGAATCCTTCTTCAGCTCACACTAATTCTAGAACTTTAAAAAAAGTTAACTTCTCTGAGTCTGTGTTTCATCAAAGATAATATGGCATGGAATTAACTCTGATATTATATGAAATTCATTTGGCATGGTGTGATTTCCAGTAAAAACCCTCAACTGATAGCCAAAACCCAAATCATCCAATTAAAAAATGGGTAAAAGGCCTGAATAGATATTTTTTCAAATAAGACATAAAATGGCCAACAGGCATATGAAAAACATACACTGTACGTTTTGTACACTGATGATGGAATGTAAATTGGTATGGCCATTATGGAAAACAGGATGGAGCTTTCTTTAAAAAATCAAAACACAACTGCCATATGAAAGAGCAATTCCTCTGCCAGTGATATACCCAAGGGAACTGAAATCAGTATCTTAAAGAGATATCTGCATTCCCATGTTTATTGCAAGCATTATCCCCCATAGCCAAGATATGGAAACAAGTGTCCATTGACAATAAACAGATAAATAAAATCATGTGTATGTGTGTGTGTTATACAAAATGAAATATCAGCCTTAGAAAAGAAGGAGGCCCTGCCATTTGCAACAACATAGGTAAACCTGAAGGACATTATACTAAGTAAACTAAACCAGACACAGAAACATAAATTCTGAATGATCTTACTTATATGTGGAATCTAACAAACAGAATAACTAGGCCGGGCGTGGTGGCTCACACCTGTAATCCCAGCACTTTGGGAGGCCGAGGCGGGCAGATCACAAGGTCACGAGATAGAGACCATCCTGGCTAACATGGTGAAAGCCCGGCTTTACTAAAAATACAAAAAATTAGCCGGGCGTGGTGGCGGGCGCCTGTAGTCCCAGCTCCTTGGGAGGCTGAGGCAGGAGAATAGCGTGAACCCAGGAGGCGGAGCTTGCAGTGAGCCGAGATCGCGCCACTGCACTTCAGCCTAGGCGATAGAGCGAGACTCCGTCTCAAAAACAAAACAAAACAAAAGATAGAATAACTAGCAACAAGGACTATAATGATGGTGACCAGGGCTTCCTTGACTGGATGATAATACACTCAAATTGCTCTACTCTGAATAAAATAATTGTTAAATTCTGGATCATTTGTTCTATTTCTAAATATAATTTATAGATATTTATTTAAAATAGTCATGACTTTTAATTGTTTTGGTTTAGTGCTTTATTATTATGGTGGCAATGGTGGTGAGGTGGTAGTCGTATTTAAGTGCTGAATATCAGCATCACTTACAAATTGGACTTGAGTTTCATTATAAAATTGGACCAGACAATAGACTATAGTTACCATGAGGCAGAGAGTTAATTTTTTTTTCTATTCACAATATTTATCAGATCTCTATCCCACTGCCTGGGAAAACAGCAGTTGTAAAATATCTGTTGAAAGTGTTGATGAACCTAGCACAACTATACTACTGTTTGTGAGAAAATCTGCAAAGAAATAATATTTCTGGATATTCCAAGTTATTCTTTTATCTAGCACAACTATACTACTGTTTGTGAGAAAATCTGCAAAGAAATAATATTTCTGGAAATTTCAAATTATTCTTTTAGTCTTCCTTGAAAATGTTAAAGATAAATTTTTATTTCATTTGGCTGTTTCATTTAAATACATATTATACTTTTAAAAATCACCATATGATAAAACGGTATTAATAGTTATAAATTAAAAGTAACCAAGTTATTGTTGTCTAAAGTAAAAGTATTTGTTTTATGTAAATTCTTTCATATAATATTTAAAGTAATATTATGATCCAGTTTGTATTCTATCCCCATTTTAAATTGGTATGGTATTTAGGCAAATTTTTGCATTTACACCTGTAAGTTAAATTCAATTTCATGTTACTTCAAATTAACAACCTTCATCACATCACTGCAACATTTCTGAAAGTGCTTCTAAAACTAAATACTTTTGAAGCAATATATTTCAAATTTTTATATACTCATCAATAGCTATAAAATAAATATTACTGCTAAGACTGCATTATAATTTTTAATATAAAAAATTCCTATAATCTGTAGGTCTGTTGGTGTTGATTTTTGTTACAATGTTTTTAATCAAAGAATAAATATCTACGTCATCAAAACAAAAATGTGTAACAGTTTAGTGGTTTCTAAATCCTAAGAAGATACATTCAATTGGTTTACATATGTGCAGTATTGATAAGTATTAAGGTACATAATTACTATTGTGACAAAAGTATATAATATGATTTTCTTTTTACTAAGAAAATTTATCATATTTCTTCATTTTTCTTAAAAAAAAGCTCACCTTGACTTAAGTGGGACAAAGATTTTATATAGCATAGGTACACTGGTGGCATTTTTAGGACAGCAGTATGACAAACCACCTATCAGAGAAGAGAATTCATTCTCAAGCCAGGAGACAAGTTGATTTTTCATAGGTATTTATAATAATAATAAGCAACTTGAATGAAAAACTGAAAAGGCAAATTTCTCTATCATGTTTTCTGATTATCTCCTGATTTAAAGAGATACTGTATAATAATTTTATGTAATCTTTTTTTTACTTGTCAGACTTAATCATTCTGTCTCAGCTTACCTATCTTTAAAATGATGACTTTGATGTTATGTCCAATGGGTTCAAACAAATTACTACTAGCAATAGTAGTGGAAGTAGTAGCAGCAGCAACACTAGCAGCAGTAGTAGCAAGAGCAGCATTACTTTAGCAATGAGAAACAAAAAAAGAACACTTTACATTTAAGACTTATGAAAATGCAGTTAAAACATTTAAAAATAATTTTTGTGGCTTTGCATCATCATGGAGCATGGAGTTGGAGGAAGAGAAGGCCGCTCTTCACCTAGTTCCACATGCTAAAAATGTCTTATTTTAAAAACTGTGTTTCTTAATTAATGTGAAGTGGATTCATGGGACTTCCTTTGAACTTTTGTGAATATTCTACAGGTTCATTAGACTTTCAAGGAGCTATTAAAGTGCTGCATTTGAACTCAGGGTCTCTGGTGGCGGACTTCTTTCAAAGCACCTGTGTGAAGCGACTACTCAGCTTCCCAGAGAAGTGAAACAAAACGGCACAGATTAAACAATCTGCTTATTTTGAGCCAAAAAAAAATTACATCATCCTAAGGAGAAATACCGTTTTAATATTATTTGAGATTAATAATATTGTTGCACATTCTGATATTTTTTCTAAGCTGGAAACATTGCTATAATATCATAGTTCAAACTAATTATATGTGTGAAATATGCTTTAGTTTCTCTTTTTAAACAAGACTCATTGGGTCAAAAATTTAAAGTAAGAGACTGACTAGAGAATAAGCATTTTTAGTTTGAAAATATGACATTTTAGAAAATAATTATGGCGTGGCTAAAAGATGAGTAGTATTATGGCAAATCAGGTTAATAGTATTACAAGGACTTGCTCCTTGAAACTGCACTATTATTATGTACAAAAAATAAATAAAGGGGAGGCAGGTGTGGTGGCTCATGCCTGAAACACCAGCACTCTTGGGGACAGTGGGAGGATCACTTGAGGCCAAGTGTTGAAGATCAGCCAGGGCAATATAATGGGACCCTGTCTCTACAAAATAAATAAATAAAAATTAGCTGGGTGTGGTGGTGCATGACTGTAGACCCAGACACTCTGGAAGCTGAGGCCAGACGGCATGAGCCCAGGAGTTCAAGGCTTCAGTGAGCCATGACTGTCCCACTGCACTACAGCCTGGGTGACAGAATGAGATTCCATATTTAAATAATTATAACAAAATAATTTAAATTTAAATTTTCTCCAAAAGTTTAAAAATTAAAGGGGAAAAGGGCATTCTTTTGCAAAGTGAATGTTCTTTCATTCTACAAAGTTGCCTTTGAGGAATTTAAACTAAGCTATAACTGTTATACACTTTAGCAAGAGAATACAAGTTTAGATCACAACTGTATTGGTTCATAAAACAATCTTTGAGTCCTGATAAAATCATGGCATCAATTCCCTTTGAGAGAAATATTGTGAGTTATGTAGTCCAATTCACCTCTATTTCTAGTTTCTTTTCTACTGCATGTCCAGGGATTTGTTACTTAACCGATGTTTTATGATTTTTAAAGTACACTACTTTACATCATAGCACAATTTAGTTATGTTTTTAGAAAACAAAATTACGTAACAAAAATAAATGTTAATTTTGTATTAAATGCTCATAATATATTTTTGCAATCCAGTGGAAGGATCCTTTATTTAAGAATCTTGCATGTGTAAGTTTTGCCTGTTTGCATGCAAAAAGGGAGTATTTATATTTTCTAAGGTGAAGGGACTTATAAAATGGAAAGCATAAAAAGAAATGTATTTATTCTATAAATAATTATTTCTAGCAACTTGAAATATTGTAATAGATAAAGGCAAAGTTAAAACAAAATAAAAGATATATTCGTTCATCCTAAGAGTGAATATGCTATTAATAGGATTAAATACCCACATAAGTGAAAATAACTGAAAAATACTATAGGCCATATGGGTCAAACAAGCAATTTATTAGTGAGATTTGGGGCCTGAATCAACAAAAATTCATCATGCACCCCAAATGTACTAGTATTAAATATAGTTATCTGCCTGAGTCCACACAATAAGCTTGCTAAATTGAGATCACTACTCATAAACCTAGAAGGTTAATGGCTACCTAGGAAATAACAGCTAATAACAGCACAAACATTATGATTCTAAGTCTTATGAAGTAATGTAGAAAGTCTTATGAAATAGTGTAGAAAGTTTCACGAAAGTAATTCGTTTAACCTTAAACAGGACAGGATTAAGGTGTGTGTGTGTGTGTGTGTGTGTGTGTGTGTGTGTGTGTGTGTGTGTATATATATATATATATATATATATATATATATATGTATATAGACTCATTGGGTCAAAAATTTAAAGTAAGAGACTGACTAGAAACTAAGCATTTTTAGTTTGAAAATATGACATTTTAGAAAATAATTATGGCATGGCTAAAAGATGAGTAGTAGTATGGCAAATCAGGTAATTGTATTACAAGGACTTGCTCCTTGAAAAAAAAATATATATGAGCATATTATTTTATTAAATAATGTAATAACTTACCAATAAGTTATCTAATCATTTATTAATTTAATCATAATATTACTGAATCAGTACTAAAATGTGCTTCCACAGTTTGCTAAAATTGTGGTAAACTCTGATTCTGGAGATAAAGACATGAAGATTGTGATTCCTGCAGGGCAGGGGATTGTCTTGTCCATCTTCCTATACTCCAATTTCATCAGAGATAATCGTCATTGGGGATTTGCTGACTTACTGCCTGCACTCACTTTACTAAGGAAGGTGAAATTAATTTGAAAGCACCTACCTTTAGTAAGATGTTATAGGAGAATTTTAAGTTATAGCGAAGTCAAAAGGAGAAAGTAATCATTTTACTTAAAGCATTCAGGAGAGGTAACAGAAGAGCTGAATATTGACGGATGAGTAGTTGCTGGCCAGTAAATAAAGACATTTTTGGAAATTAAGAATAACTCCAAAAAGACATGTAAGTTATGAGATATTTGTGCCTTGAAGAACTATAAATATTTCAAAAAGATTGAATTAGAGTTGTTAGAGGCAAAGCAAGAAAAGCCCTGGGTGCTTGGAGTATCCAGATCATGGAGGACTGGGCATAACACATTAAGAAGTTGAGAGTTCATCCTTAAGAAGCTGTATCTATTGAAGAGGTTGAAGCAATAGAGTGATATTCTCCATCTTGCTTCTTAGAAAGATTATTCTGGCAGTCATGGAGAGATAGTATAACAAATGCAAGTCAGTAGGCATTTTGGAGAATGTGATGTTAGATGAGAAAAGAGAAAAATGGGAGTTGGAACGAAAGCGTTAACTGTGGAGCTGAAAATGAACAAGTGAATCAAAGGTAAGAAAGAAAAGCACAAAATGTGGAACTCTTGAGAGTAGATATAAAAACAGAGTAATGATTAAAAGAGAGCTCCCAAGTTTATCTTCTGCTGACTCAATAGAGGAAAATGTCTTTAATTAGGAAAAGAAATAGAGGAATAGCAGAGAAATACCTATGAAACTTTTTAGTGGGGTTGTCCAGTAAGCAGTATGATATAGAGGACAAAACTTTTGAAGATTCTATGGGCTGAAGAAATAATCTTTAAAATCACCCACAAAGATAGAGCTTAAAATGATGACAGAGGACAAGTTCAAAAGTGCATTAGAATAGAGGGAGAGAATGGTATTAGGAAGGAATATAAGGTGTAGCAATACATAAGAAGCAAGCAAAGGAAGAATATGCAGTGAGTGAGACTGAAAATAAAAATGAGAGATAGTAGGAGATAAGGCAGAATATTTTGTCATAGAAGCCAAGCAAGAGAATGACTTTAGGAGGATGATTTTAACATTTTTTGAGGCATCTGCTGACCAGCCATAGGCAATAGTTGATTAAGGCATCTGAAAGTGAAATTCTGTGTAAAGAGAATTCGTGAGATATTTTAGACTAGAATCCACTAACATCTCATCGATTTGTCAAACCCCTCTGAAATTAAATGGGTCCCTTTCATCATCAATAAAGTAGAATAGAACAAGAAGAGGCTCCATTATTGCAAATGCCTAACTTATCATCTGATTAGGTAATTTGATTAGCAATTTCTTAATAAAGTAAAAACAACAGGACATTATTAAATGGCAAAATGTGTTATGCGGAAATTTTTGTGGAAGCCCCAGGGCCTGGTAAGTCATTATCAGATAAACTGAGTTTAACAAAAATAAGAAGTGTATACCATGATTACCTAGGTGATAGTGTTCAGTAAATTTATGGGGTCAGAAACCTGGTATTAGTGAGCAGAATAATGAAAATGAGCTCATGAAATGGGCATATGGAATTTATGCTATATTTTCAAAAACCTAGGTAATGGAATAATGAAGATCAAGAGTAGTCCTGAGAGGCCAATGCAAATCTAAGTTAGATTTCTAGATGGATAAATCTTAAATATATTGCGACTGAAACAGAAGAAAACAGTGGAAAAGACATTGAAGCATAAGGAAAATTATTCTGAGTAAGATGAAGACTTAGATTCAAGTGGTAGTCAGAGCTCCCTTATTTTTATATTCATTGAAATGAGATAAGGTTCACCATATTCAAATGTGAAGTATGGAGAATTCCTCATTGATGCTTGAAACTACACATTTTTGCGTAGCTCACATCAAATAAACTTAAAGAATGATACCAAGTTTGACTTACAATTTGGCATCCTGAGATAGGATATTGTTACTGTAAAATAGTTGAGAAACACTTTGTAAGAATTCCACCAACAAAAAGATTTCACAGCTGAGGCTATGGGGTCAAACAGCCAACGTGCAGGCAAATGCAAAAACATGACTTGAATTCCCTTATGCTATAGAGTGAGAAACACAAAATCAGTGGTCTTGAATGACCTAGGGTTTGCTCAGGAACTTCTCCAAGCGGTAACTGGACAGAGGAAAGTCTGGACAGTTTTATTCTTTAAAGAATAGGAGACTATAACTAAAAGAAAACTAGATTGTCAAGGAGTTTAGATCTGGTGGGCAAAGAAGTTTTAAAATAAGGTTGTGCACAGAAACGGTGTACAGCATAAAATTCTGCAGAATAAGAGAAAAATATGTAATAGAGATAAACTTTTCTAACATCTTTAAACTATCTGTGCCCTAAATTTTTTTTCTAAGATTACTTAAGACCTTACCAAGCAATTTTAAAAAGTATTAACCAATCTCCTATCCAGAAACGATGGTGTTATTCTTGAATTTTACTTTAAAAAAGATGTTTGTTATTTTATGATCTAAGTATATTCCCCTGCCACCCAAAGCCAGGACTTGGTATCTAGCAATTTTAATACAGAATCAACCTTATAAATAATCATTCTGTTTTTATTCTTAAATCCCTACAGTACACTGAGCATATAAACTAAGGAAATTTCCATGAGCATAATAAGGAGATTATTTATCTGCTTAAAATCTTTCAGTTATTCTGTGATGCTCTCAGGGTTAAAGCCCAAACTGCTTAAAATTGTTGAGAAATCCCTCCCTGATTTTGTCCCTGAATATCTTTGTAGCCTTATTCTTACTAACTGTGCTCTTCGAATTTTAACCTTTAACCATATATAAATCTCCTTATGGATCAGTAAGAAGCCATGCCCTTATCTCTCTTCATGCCTTTACACATTCTATTATTACTTCATGAGACACTCTCTTCATATTCTCAGTCTCCTAAGCTAGACTAATTTCTACTCTTTAAAGGTAGTATGGAATTGTTTGAGAATGGAAGCTATTGGAGCAGTCAGATTCAGTTTCAATTTCTAGGTCTTCCATGTGCTGGATATAGGACCAATCTATGTTTTATTGTGAGGGTTAAAATATATTTTATTTGATAATGTAGCATAGTATCTACCACAAAGCAATTACTCAATAAGCTATTTTCTAGTAGTAGTAAAACTATTCATACTAATTGTTTTTGTGAAATGTGATGATATTTATTGAAGTACAATAATGTATTACATGTTGACTTATGTTGTTTGAGTTTCTGGAGAACTTGAGGGAAATTATGTAGTTCAGTTTAACTTTTTTAAAAAAATAATTTAAATATTCACCAAGAGCCCTGTCCACACACTCTTTCATATAGTTTAAAACATGGGAAAGTAAAAAGAAAAAAACTCCATTAGCTATTATAAATCAATTTTTATTACTTCTATCAGTGCAAGATTGATATACTGCTTTCTGAAGTTGTATTTATCTCTACTGAGGAATGAACTGTTTGTGACTTTTAAAGTCATTGTCATCAGCATCAGTAAAGCACACAGCAACACTATTTGTTGAAATGAAAAATAGGAGAAATATTTTTCTTCTAAATTCGTTAATAATGTTATTTCTATTAAGCTATCCTTTCTGTAAAGCAGAATTTTTATATGGTAGCTTTCTCTTTCATTGGTTCTCCCAGGTGAACTATTCTAGTTATGAAAAGACAGAAATATGTTTGTGTGAAACATAATGACAGCTTATTTCACAGAGCAGAAATAATGATGGGTCCAGACAGTCCAGTGCAGCTGGTCTAAATTACTACCCGAAAGCTGTCATTATTAAGTGATTAACAAATGGCTCACAGTTTGCCCACCATTACCAATCAAGAGACTCTCGCTCAAGCCACATTCCTTTAGACAAAAATGAAAGGAATTTTTTAATGAACTCACATTAATTTCACCACAATAAAAGTTACGAATATGGAGGAGAGAGATTTTGCTCTAATGTTTGTGCAGTTGTTATTTATTATGCAAATATACATGAGTAAGATATAAGGAAATTCAAAATCTCCAATTCTGTTAATAGTTAACATGTACTTGTGTGTATACACACACGCACACAGAGAGAAAGAGACAGAGAAAGAGAGAGAAGAAAGCTAAATTAAAACACCAATTTACTGATAAATAATTATCTTCTAAATTTCTTTTCAAAAATTCATTCATTCAAAGAGGCAAAACTCAACTAAATAAATTATCATATTTTACAATGTTTGAAATAGTATTGAGAACAAGGAAATCTAAAATATCTAATATTCAAATATCGAGTTTATTAAACAAGTTTAATATTTATGTTTAACCAGTCATTTTCCAAAAGAGGCATCAGTGCCCCCAAAGACACGTAAAAATTTCGGACATAAATTTGCTTGCAAAATAATGTGATAAACTACTGGCATTTAGGGGACAGAAGACCCAGATGCTAGACATCCTCTAATGCACAGAACAATTACACAACAAAGAATTGATCTGCATGATTTAGCAATGCTTTCATCTTCCAAGATAGATCACATTCTAGGTCACAAGATGAATCTTATTAAATTTAAGAATGGAAATTACTCACACTGTGTTCTCTGATCAAAATAAAACTAAACGTAAAATAAATAGAAGGATGTTTGATAAATCTAAAAATACTTTAAAAAGTAATCAATGTTGTACTAAGTAATCCACAGATTAAAGCAGAAGTTTCAAGGGAAAATAGAAAATATTTTAAGCTAAATGAAAATGAAAATTAAACATGTCAAATTATAAGAAACATATTTAAAGCAAGATTAGAGGGAAATTTACAGCATTATTTGCTCATGTTACAAAAGAATGAAGTTCTCAAGTTTATAATATAAGCTTCCACCTCCAGAAACTAGGGAAAAAAAAAAAACGAATAGGAGACCAAACCCAAAGTAAACAACAGAAGGAAGAAAAAGATACAATTATAAATTAATGAAATTGAGAATATACAAAAGCACAGAAAATCTGTGAAACTAGAAGCTGCTTATGTTATCCAAAATGAACAAACAAAATTGATTACACTTTCAGGTAGTTTGAACAAGAAATAAAAGAGAAGGCACACATTACTTTATTAGAAGAAAAGATATATTATCACAACTGACCTCATAGATATTATAAGGATAAAGAGGGAATATTACAACAAAACTCTATGGACAAAATTTAACAGCTTATATGAAATGGATCAGTTACTTGAAAGACACTACCAAAACTCTCTCAATAATAAATAGATAATGTAATGAGTATTAAATTTGTAGCTAAGATCTTTTTAAAAATGAAAATATCAGACCTAAATGGACTTAATTGTGAATTATGCCAAGGATTTAAAGAAGAATTAAAGCCAGTTCTTAACAATGTCTTCCAGAAAATTTAAAAGAAAGCAACACTTTTCATCTCCATGAAATCAGCATATCCGGATACACAAGGCAGAGATTTTAAAAGGACCCATAACACTCATATAAATGTAAACATCATTAACAAAATACTAGACAATTGTAATAACATATAAAAACTGTAACACTTCAGAATCAAGAGGTGTTATAGTAGAGATACAAAGCTAGTTCAACATTTGAAAATCAGTTAATGCAATCTATCATGTTTGCAGAGTAAATAAGAAAAAATATAATTATAGCAGTAAGTAAAGAAAAAGTTACAAAATTCAACATCCATTCATGATTTTAAAAATTACTGGCCAATTTTGAATAAAAGGAAACTTCTTTAACTTGAGATATGAAAACTGCAAAAACCTACAGCTAATATTATACTTAATTTTGAAAGACAATGTCTTTCTTGAATAAGTCATGTCTAGACAAAGATATCATCTGTAAACTTTCCTATTTAGACCTAAAAAAAGTCTGAACCTAAATATATATATTTATATATAAATGTTTACATATAATATAAATATGTTTACATATAAATATGTTTACATATAATATAAATGTTTACATATAAATGTTTACATATAATATAAATGTTTATATATAATATAAATAATGTTTATATATGTTTATATATAATATAAATAATGTATTTATATATAGAATAATGTATTCATATATATATATGCTATATATATATTTTTTTTTTTAATTCAAAGAACTCCAGAAATAATATATGGACCCAACTCAGTCTATACCTTTATCATCTCAGTTTTAGATGTCTCGTTATAGGATATGAAAATGTCACATGTGCCTCTTCAGCCCTTACAGCTAAAGAGTTCAAGTCATGTGTCTAGACTCTCACAATCAGACCAAAGACTAATTTTGGAGTCAGAAGCTCACTTTTTACAATTCTAGGAGATATGATTCATATGGGTTACCCCTGTCCTGGAGCTTTTGATGAAAATAATCCATGCAGTGGAGCTCTTAGTACTTCCACGGTAGCAGAAAATAGTGTAGGATGGGTTCCAGGCCCCAGCTTGGAGTGTATCAAACCACAGCACTCAGAATTTAGTGAGGCGTGGTTTCCTCACTAGACCAGTTCTGCAGATTTGTTAGTGTTGTTACTGTTGTTATTGTACTGGGACTTTGCTCCTAATTGGAGTGTATTGCACCTGGTTCTCCATGAAGTTACCTAGATTCCTTTCAGTAAACTTCTATTCTGTTCCAGTAATGACCCTAAGCAACATACATATTCCATTTATTTTTAATAGCCACCTGAAGTATTTGAAGACAGCTTTAAGACTTTACAAAGGTATCTATTGCACAAAGAAATATAGGCATGCACTGCACACGGACACATTGATGAATGGCAGACTGAATACATGCCAGTGGCCCCAACAATTATAAAGGAGCTGAAAAACTCCTATTGGCTAGTGACATCGCAGCTGTTGTAATGTCATAGGGCAATGCATCCCTCAGGTAAGCAAATGTGCTTTGCTGCCAGTTGTGTAATAGTATGACACATACTATTATGCACTGTATATAATAGTTGGTAATGATATTAAACTATTCTGTTAGTGGTTATGTATTTGCTACACTATGTTCTTTCGCATTATTTTAGAATGTACTCCTCCTCCTTATTAAAACCAAGTTAAGGGTAAAAGAGCCTCAGTCAGATCCTTAGGAGATATGTTAGAAGGCATTGTTTTACAGGAGATGACAGCTTCATGCCTGTTACTACCCCCAAAGACTTCTCAGTGGGATAAGTCACACATGTAAAAGACAGTGATATTGATGATCCTGACCCTGTATAGGGCTAGATTTAAGTGTGTGCTTGTGTCTTAGATTTTATTTATTTATTTATTTATTTTTTTACTTTTCAATTGATTCATCTTTTTTTTTCTTTTCCTTTTTCTTTTTTTTTTATTATACTTTAAGTTTTAGGGTACATGTGCACATTGTGCAGGTTAGTTACATATGTATACATGTGCCATGCTGGTGCTCTGCACCAACTAACTCGTCATCTAGCATTAGGTATAACTCCCAGTGCTATCCCTCCCCCCTCCCCCCACCCCACAACAGTCCCCAGAGTGTGATATTCCCCTTCCTGTGTCCATGTGATCTCATTGTTCAATTCCCACCTATGAGTGAGAATATGCGGTGTTTGGTTTTTTGTTCTTGCGATAGTTTACTGAGAATGATGATTTCCAATTTCATCCATGTCCCTACAAAGGACATGAACTCATCATTTTTTATGGCTGCATAGTATTCCATGGTGTATATGTGCCACATTTTCTTAATCCAGTCTATCATTGTTGGACACTTGGGTTGGTTCCAAGTCTTTGCTATTGTGAATAATGCCACAATAAACATACATGTGCATGTGTCTTTATAGCAGCATGATTTATAGTCCTTTGGGTATATACCCAGTAATGGGATGGCTGGGTCAAATGGTATTTCTAGTTCTAGATCCCTGAGGAATCGCCACACTGACTTCCACAATGGTTGAACTAGTTTACAGTCTCACCAACAGTGTAAAAGTCTTCCTAATCTCCACATCCTCTCCAGCACCTGTTGTTTCCTGACTTTTTAATGATTGCCATTCTAACTGGTGTGAGATGGTATCTCATAGTGGTTTTGATTTGCATTTCTCTGATGGCTAGTGATGATGAGCATTTTTTCATGTGTTTTTTGGCTGCATAAATGTCATACTGAATGGGCAAAAACTGGAAGCATTCCCTTTGAAAACTGGCACAAGACAGGGATGCCCTCTCTCACTGCTCCTATTCAACATAGTGTTGGAAGTTCTGGCCAGGGCAATTAGGCAGGAGAAGGAAATAAAGGGTATTCAATTAGGAAAAGAGGAAGTCAAATTGTCCCTGTTTGCAGATGACATGATTGTATATCTAGAAAACCCCATTGTCTCAGCCCAAAATCTCCTTAAGCTGCTAAGCAACTTCAGCAGTCTCAGGATACAAAATCAATGTACAAAAATCACAAGCATTCTTATACACCAACAACAGACAAACAGAGAGCCAAATCATGAGTGAACTCCCATTCACAATTGCTTCAAAGAGAATAAAATACAGAGGAATCCAACTTACAAGGGATGTGAAGGACCTCTTCAAGGAGAACTACAAACCACTGCTCAAGGAAATAAAAGAGGATACAAACAAATGGAAGAACATTCCATGCTCATGGGTAGGAAGAATCAATATCGTGAAAATGGCCATACTGCCCAAGGTAATTTACAGATTCAATGCCATCCCCATCAAGCTACCAATGACTTTCTTCACAGAACTGGAAAAAACTACTTTAAAGTTCATATGGAACCAAAAAAGAGCCCGCATCGCCAAGTCAATCCTAAGTCAAAAGAACAAAGCTGGAGGCATCACACTACCTGACTTCAAACTATACTACAAGGCTACAGTAACCAAAACAGCATGGTACTGGTTCCAAAACAGAGATATAGATCAATGGAACAGAACAGAGCCCTCAGAAATAACGCTGCATACCTACAACTATCTGATCTTTGACAAACCTGAGAAAAGTAAGCAATGGGGAAAGGATTCCCTATTTAATAAATGGTGCTGGGAAAACTGGCTAGCCATATGTAGAAAGCTGAAACTGGATCCCTTCCTTACACCTTATACAAAAATCAATTCAAGATGGATTAAAGATTTAAATGTTAGACCTAAAACCATAAAAACCCTGGAAGAAAACCTAGGCATTACCATTCAGGACATAGGCATGGGCAAGGACTTCATGTCCAAAACACCAAAAGCAATGGCAACAAAAGCCAAAATTGACAAATGGGATCTAATTCAACTAAAGAGCTTCTGCACAGCAAAAGAAACTACCATCAGAGTGAACAGGCAACCTACAAAATGGGAGAAAATTTTCGCAACCTACTCATCTGACAAAGGGCTAATATCCAGAATCTACGATGAACTCAAACAAATTTACAAGAAAAAAACAAACAACCCCATCAAAAAGTGGGTGAAGGACATGAACAGACACTTCTCAAAAGAAGACATTTATGCAGCCAAAAAACACGTGTCTTAGATTTTAACAAAAAAATTTAAAAATAGAAAAATTGAAAAATGCTTGTAGAATAACAATATAAAGACAGAACACACACAGACATATAGATATAGATATAGATAGATAGATAGATAGATAGATAGATAGATAAATAGATAGATGAATAGAGAGAGAGAGAGAGAGATGGAGTCTCGCTCTGTCATCCAGGATGGAGTGCAGTGGTGAGATCTCGGCTCACTGCAACCTATGCTCCTGAGTTCACGCCATTCTCCTGCCTCAGCCTCCCTAGTGGCTGGGACTACAGGTGCCTGCCACCATGCTCGGCAAATTTTTTGTATTTTTAGTAGAGATGGGGTTTCACCATGTTAGCCACCATGGTCTCGATCTCCTGACCTCGTGATCTGCCCGCCTCGGCCTCCCAAAGTGCTGGGATTACAGGTGTGAGCCATGGCGCCCGGCCAACAGAACATATTTTTATACATTTGTACAATGTATTTGTGTTTTAAGCTAAGTGTTATTAAAAAATAAAAATATTACAAAAATTAAAATATTTATGACATGAACACTTTACAGTAAGCCAATGTTAATTTATTATTGAAGAATTTTTTAAATAAATTTAGTGTAGCCTACATGTACATTGTTTATAAAGCCTACCTACAGTAGTGTACAGCAATTTCCTAGCCCTTCATATTTACTCAAAACTCAACTCACTCACGGACTCACCCAGAGCAACTTCTAGTCCTGCAAGCTTAATTCATAATAAGTGCCCTATACCAGTGGACCAATTTTTATTTTTTATTGTATTTTACTGTATCTATTCTATGTTTAGACATGTTTAGATACACAAATACTTACCATTGTGTTACAGTTGCCTACAGCGTTCAGTAAAGTAACATGCTGTATGGGTATCTGGCCTGGAAGCAATAGGCTATAATATACAGCCTAGGTATTTAGTAGTAGTAGCCTAGGTATTTTATCGTCTGCAGGACAATATCTATAATTGGAATCATAGTCCATGAATCGCTATCCTATGTAAACCTCATTTTTCACATCTGTGAAAAGAAACAGAGTAAGTAGCCTGTAAGATTGTTAAAAGAGAAATAATCCTTTTATACATTGTGATAATGTGTTATACAAAAGAAAAATGAAGTTATTTTTATGTGAAAGTTCTATTATAAGAACTCTCAAGTTCAGAGCAACATTATGTTTCTCACACTGGAAAAGTCATGATGAAAAAGAAAATTAAATGTTTTTCGTCAAATATTGATTGTACTTGCTCCATTGCCAATTAAAATGAAGGAGAATTAAATTCTCCATGTTGGTAGAGTAGCAGACATGTGGGTTAGAAAGGAGAAAATTATCTATTTTACTTCAAAGTTAAAAATTCAGGGGAAAAATTACCTCTGGTATGTCAATAGTTTAAAAACCTGGCTCACTGTTTTAGATATATGGAAGATATAAAACATATTGAATATATTATCATTGAAATCTACAAAATATGGTAAAGTTGTAAAGTTAATATGAGTGTATTTGCAATTGATATATTTTTTCCCAAATTGAACAAATATCCCCACGTGCTTGGGAAAAATATAGTTGCTTAAAGTTTTCAGAATGATAACAAAAATAATTTCAATCAACAAATACAGGTTAGTGCCTTGAATTTTCCCTAGGCAAATACAATTTGATCATTTTAATAAAATATTTGGAAATCTTCAGTGTTGTGCATTGTACCCTAATTAAAACCTTAGGAGAAAACACAATAAAAAATGTGACATCATTTATCATTTTCACATTGACAAATTTTCAACAGAAAGTATCATAATTTTAATTTTGAGGAATATAGACATTCTTAAACCAGAAGTTCTAAATACAATCTCCTACCTTGCATTGCTTTACATTGAATATGTATTTTAAAGCATGATTTTTCTTTTAAAAATTGTCAAATGTGTTTATTTTAGCATATAAGAAATTATGAAACGACATTCGGCAGGGGCCCACAAAATTGTGAAACAGATACGTAACATAGAAGATTATTTTTTTCTTGAAAAAAAAATATAAGGACACTCTACATCTACACTTAGTGCAATCATTTTAGAATATTTATTATACATGATTTCCTTACAGTTTAATTTTTATTATATACATTGACTATTTTTATCTCCTATGGTTAAGAAAAGTATTAAGCAAATCTTGAGTAAGTGATAACTCCAATTTGAGAACTTCTAATTTATTAAAAATTACTTCTTTTTAATGCTGATCAAGTCAACTAAAATTTCAATAATATAGGGATAATGGATAGGCTATATAACTCATTTACAATGATAATCAAAATTTTGACATAAAGCTTTAAGCTTGAAAACTGACAGTAAACAGTTTCAAATCATATGCAATAATAAATGTGTTATATCTTATGTTTGAAACTCAGTTTTGAATAAAGAGACACTTAACTAGAAATATGTAACATGGTGAATGATACAGATTGAGTAATCCTTATGTAAAAATTCTTGGGACCAGATATGTTTTAGATTTCAGATTTTTTCATATTTTGGAATATTTGCATAACAACAATGAGATATCTTGGGGATGGGACTTAAGTGTAAGCAAAAAATCCATTTATGTTTTATATACACCTACTATACATAGCTTACAGATAATTTTATACAATATTTTTAATGAATTTGTGCACAAAATGCAGTTTGTATACATTGAACCATCAGAAAACACAGTCACTATCACTATCTCAGCCACCCATGTGGACAATCTGTTTGTTTGGCATCACCATCATTCCTGTCTCTAAATTTACACAGTACTGATAAGCAATCATTTTCTTTGGCTTATTCACACATAAGTACATAGCATAAAAATGTGACATACCATTATTCCAGTGAAAAATAATGTGTTCTGAGTAACAAAACAGCATAGTAACATCAACAGAATACTTACATCAGTTGTTAGACAGCAGCAACATCAAACAATGGCAGGTTTCCGGTCTCCACCACGATGCTGTATTTTGATTAGAAGGTTTTTGTACAACTTATTTTATTTTGGGGGAGTCAGTAGAAACATCAAACCAGTTGAGGGACCAGGAAGTGGGTCTTCCAAAAAATGAGGAGGGCTTCTGGTGGATGGCTTTTTAAATGTCTCCCCGAGGGTCATTTGCTCATTAACTACATTTTTTTTCTCCTTTAATAAGCCCATCACACCTTTTCACCACATTATCTATAGTTTCTTTTTTTGTGCAGTGTTAATAACATCAACTTCATCATCATTATTATCATCGTCTCAATTCATTATAGTTTTAGCTAATTCACCATCATTCAAAGAATTAACAACTGGAGCCTTATTATTGATGTTAAAAACATCTTCAGCATTTACTTCTTACTTGTCAGCGTACTGACAGACTCTGAAGGTATATTATGTCTGCATATGTAAGGAGGTCAGATATAATTGTGTACACAATTGACATACAGAATTCTTCAAAGTCACCATCTTGTTCATCATCAACACTGAACATATTTGCAGGCCAGAGATTGTGCCAGGCATGCACAACTTGTGCCTTTAGTCACTGTATTCCAAGGATTGGCAACACCAATAGAGTTTCCTTCACGTTAAACTCCCTTTGAAAACCTCCCATTTCCACTATTCTGTATTCTGTTCACTGCTGCTAGCATGCTGTTTAGGAAAGCATGCTTTCATATTTACTCTTTATTGATTTTCGGATAATCTCATCACATGACTGAATTAATGATGTCACATTTGGGAGAAAGTACATAACATAAAGATTATTTTGATGAGAATTTCAACGGGAGGAGGAGCAGATCAGTTGTCAAGGAATAACCAAATCTTGCAGTGCTCTTGTAGTTCAGATTCCCTTCAGTGAGTATAAACTGCTGGTACAAAATATGAAACCAATCAGAAAAGATGTTCCTACTGATCCATGGCTAGCATAATATTTGGTTAGCATAATAGACTGGTAAATTCATGTCTTGATAACAATGATGACAAAAGCTTTTCCTGTCACAGCAAGTTTACACTTATGCATGCCTGCTGCATTAGCATACTGCAGCACAGTTATTCTGTCCTTGGCATCTTTTTTTTGAGACAGAGTCTCGCTCTGTCGCCCAGGCTGGAGTGCAGTGGCGTGATCTGGGCTCACTGCAAGCTCTGCCTCCTGGGTTCACACCATTCTCCTGCCTCAGCCTCCCGAGTAGCTGGGACTACAGGCACCCACCACCATGCCTGGCTAATTTTTTGTATTTTTAGTAAAGACGGGGTTTCACCGTGTTAGCCAGGATGGTCTCGATCTCCTGACCTTGTGATCTGCCCGCCTTGGCCTCCCAAAGTGCTGAGATTACAGGCATAGCCACTGCGGCTGGCCTGTCCTTGCCATCTTTAATTCCTGTAGGAGCTGTCTTATCCATTATAATCCATATCTTTCTGGGGCAATAACACCAAAACAGTAATGTTTCCTCACCCTTATAGATTTGTTCTATCAGCAATTAGCTTGGCAAACTTGTCAATGGATTTGCTGCTTTGTAGTTAGCAGATGCTTTATTCCACAAATATTTAAAAAACTTAATCCCATGTATAGTCTAATATTCCTGTGGCTACATTGTTGAATAATCAGTTCCCTTCAATTTTCATGATGAATTTTCACTTGCTTCTTGATTCCACCAAACCTTTAAATAGTACGTCTTCACTGTGATGCTGATGTACCCACTGTTTCAATAAACAATCACAATCTTGAATCTTAGCTTTACACAATGGTTTTGTATTTTTCAGTAACTTCTAATAAACTGTTAGCATAGAATTTCAAAAGTTTATTATTCTGCTTCTTCAGACAATATATATAGAGGTCTTTTCAACATTGTACACCATACTCCTCTGTAAGATGTTTCACACTTACACTGCTGTCCAGTTTCTCCAATAGCTTACTTTCTGCAACATAGAAAAACAAATGCTTCCTATTTTTCTCATCACTGTTGCTCATAGAAATCTCTGCAGGCCTTTTTGATATTTTTTTTCCTTTCTTTCTTTCTTTTTTTTTTTTTTTTTTTTTGAAACAGAGTCTTGCTCTGTCGCCTAGGCTGGAGTGCAGTGGTGCAATCTTGGCTCACTGCATCCTCTTCCTCCTGGTTCAAGCGATTCTCGTGCCTCAGCCTGCCAAGTAGCTGGGACAACAGGCACACACCACCACGCCTGGCTAAATTTTGTATTTTTAGTAGAGACGTGGTTTCACCATGTTGGCTAAGCTGGTCTGGAACTCCTGACGTGAAGTGATCCACGTATCTCAGCTTCCCAAACTGCTGAGATTACAGGCCTGAGTTACCGCACCCAGCCAATATTTTCAATAATATATTTACACCGGAGCAGAGAATTAAAAAAAAAAATACAGTGAGTAATGCACTTAAGTTTTGGCTTCAAGTGGGGCAGCTTGAAGAAGGAACCTGAGGAACCTGCTGTTGGCTTACCTGATCTGCACATGTGTTATTTTATTATCCTTTTTGAGCGGGTTTACGTCGGCGAATCTGGGCATGTAAGGAAAATACAGTATAGCTAAAGGAGGCTGGGAGGGACTTTTTTCCTTTGTGGATGCTAAATAAAGTGTGTGTTGTTTACTGTGTTTTGACTGTAACCTGGAACATGCGATCAGATGAAGAACTTTCCGTTTGTGGCATTATGTTGGTAGTCAAAAATGTTTAATTTTGGATTTGGGGTTTTCATATTAAGGATGCCCAACTTGTATATTGTTAAAACCGCGGAATACATTATCAGTTTTTTAGATAAATGTTAAGTGCAAGAAATAATTAGTGTACTGCAGAAAGGCAGTGAATAATTTATTTTCATGCCTATCCCAAACTTAAGTGTACTAAACAAAATTACAGTTGTCTCGTTTAAAAATTATTGCTTAAAAGACATAAGGCATGTGAATTTAAGACTGCATCATTTCCCCGATAATCAGAGGCATTATATATATCACTAATTGATATGTCCATCCCTGGAAGAAAATTGGATGAAAGTAGCTCAAAATTTTCATTTGTTTTCTGAGTGAAAATTGTGACAAGTTTAATAAATAAATAAATAGTGCTAATTGCATTTTTAAACATCAGCATGTTACGTTTTACTGCCAAGACAATGCAGTGGGTTGAAGGGAAAATGTTCAAAATATTTTTCACATACAATTTATCCAATTTTATTACACGTTTTTTCACAACTAAAGAAGGTGGCAGTTGTTATGGGATTAAAATGAAGAGAAATCTGGGAAAAGTATTATTCAAATAATTCAAAAATATAGAAACATCCATTTTATTTGCATAAAACTAGCCTAAAAACTTCATGGTTGTATTTAGGCATTTGCTTTTATTGTATCCTGAAATAAGAACATCCCTTAACCTATTCAGGGCTGGACACAAAGTGTACAAATAAAGGCCAACATACCTTGTGTAACACTTAAAATAGATCAATAAAACAAAGCATTAAATGGTTTTGTTTTTCTACCTTGAAAACCATAATTTATAACAACCTGGAAGGCTATGTTAGGGTGTAGAATTCTTGGACTCTCTGAGTTCTGCACCAGAATTGGAAGCAAAAGAGAGCCAATCAGGGTTGGTCTATCTTTTTAACCCGAGAGGACAGAGTTTCATTTATAAGGAATGGGGCCAGAGGTAAACCCATTAAGTCACAGCTGCCTAAAAGATTGGTAATTTTACGTGAGTAATTTACTAGATAACTGTGAAGGATAGATAAAAAATTACATTTAATGAGGATTTGATATTGGGTTAAAAAGAAATGAATCATTTCTAGTTTTAGTAACATGGTGCTCTGATTTATACTTTCATCATTCCACTCTAATTAAAATTCCTAAAAATAGTTGATGGAATATTATCAAATTTGTTTACAGATTACTCGGAGCAAGAGTGTGCAGAAACAATAAAGATAATTAATATCTTAAGATAAAGGATTCCCTATTGAATAAATGGTGCTGGGAAAACTGGCTAGCCATATGTAGAAAGCTGAAACTGGATCCCTTCCTTACACCTTATACAAAAATTAATTCAAGATGGTTTAAAGACTTAAACGTTAGACCTAAAACCATAAAAACTCTAGAAGAAAACCTAGGCATTACCATTCAGGACACAGGCATGGGCAAGGACTTTATGTCTAAAACACCAAAGCAATGGCAACAAAAGCCAAAATTGACAAATGGGATCTAATTCAACTAAAGAGCTTCTGCACAGCAAAAGAAACTACCATCAGAGTGAACAGGCAACCTACAGAATGGGAGAAAATTTTTACAACCTACTCATCTGACAAAGGGCTAATATCCAGAATCTACAATGAACTCAAACTAATTTACAAGAAAAAAACAAACAACCCCATCAAAAAGTGGGCGAAGGACATGAACAGACACTTCTCAAAAGAAAACATTTATGCAGCCAAAAAAACACATGAAAAAATGCTCACCATCACTGGCCATCAGAGAAACGCAAATCAAAACCACAATGAGATACCATCTCACACCAGTTAGAATGGCAATCATTAAAAAGTCAGGAAACAACAGGTACTGGAGAGGTTGGGGAGAAATAGGAACACTTTTACACTGTTGGTGGGTCTGTAAACTAGTTCAACCATTGTGGAAGTCAGTGTGGCGATTCCTCAGGGATCTAGAACTAGAAACACCATTTGACCCAGCCATCCCATTACTGGGTATATACCCAAAGGACTATAAAATCATGCTGCTATAAAGACACATGCACACGTATGTTTATTGGGGCACTATTCACAATAGCAAAGACTTGGAACCAACCCAAATGTCCAACAATGATAGACTGGATTAAGAAAATGTGGCACATATACACCATGGAATACTATGCAGCCATAAAAAATGATGAGTTCATGTCCTTTGTAGGGACATGGATGAAATTGGAAATCATCATTCTCAGTAACCTATCACAAGAACAAAAAACCAAACACAGCATATTCTCACTCATAGGTGGAATTGAACAATGAGAACACATGGACACAGGAAGGGGAACATCACACTCTGGGGACTGTTGTGGGGTGGGGGTAGCGGGGATGGATAGCTTTAGGAGATATACCTAATGCTAAATGACGAGTTAATGGGTGCAGCACACCAGCATGGCACATGTATACATATGTAACTAACCTGCACATTGTGCACATGTACCCTAAAACTTAAAGTATAATAATAATAAAAGTAAAAAAAATAAAATAAAAATAAAAAAATAAAGTGCAGTTACTTAATATGTTTTCCTTTGGAACAAAAATTATATAATATGCAACTTCACACTTGTGATTCCTTATTTCACTAATTTTCATTGAGAATATGACCTTTTTTTTCAAGGATTAAATGTTAATATACTGTGAAAAAAAAAGATATTTACATAAAAAACTATCGGAAATACACGTGGGTAAACCTAAATAAAAATAAACTAAATACATAACAGTAATACAAAAGAAGACATAAATTTCAGATCTAATCTAACTGCAGAAACAATGTCAAAGGATGCCAAAGATACCAGAGGAATGGTTTAACAACTTCACTGCACTCCAGTGTTAAGAACAACTAAGGAATTATTTATCCTTAATTAAAATTCTTGAAATATTAATTGATATTGTGTATCCAGTTGAAGACAAATGAGCATCCTACTGAGGTTACTAAGTATTGACTATTGATTTGAGAACATTTACAAATTTTAAATTTTTTAAATAAGATTTGTTTTTACATAATGTATAATTTATGAACTTCAGCAGAACTAAAACAGAAGTTAGACTCATACCTCTTCAGGTGCAACTTGACTAAAAAATTGTTTAAGCCAGAAGTCTCTAGACCCTTCAGTTTTCCTGTGTTAATGTGATGCTCACTTTCATCAGCTCTTGTCTCAAAACTGCGCATATCCCAACTGGCGACAATGACATTAGGACCCATATTTATTGTATGACAGCTCCATGATACTGTTGCTGTGTATACTGCTCTGCTCTGGAGTCTGTAACATGTCTTGAAATTGTTCTTGGGTGAGGCTACTGTGAGTTTGATTGACACTCTGAAGCTAAAATACACCCCAGTGATCTAATTACTTCCTTGCTGCTTTAAAGAAAATCCTAAAGACATTAGAGAAATACCACCCTTTTAAGAAAGGTGATGAAGTCACTGAAGATGATAACCTGTGGAAAGCATCAGAATTAGCTTTAAGTCATAAATTATTCAAGTTTTTAAAATTTTTAAGAAACAACCATACTGGTGACATTTATAGCTGTACTAATTTATAGCTCCCACAAAAAGTGTATGAGTTTCATTCTTGCTAGTATTTGTCTTCATTCTTGCTAGTGTTTGTTATTTTTTTGTATTTTTCATAATAGGTATTCTAACCAGGATAAAGTTATATCTCAGTGTGTTTCAGTTTGCATTTCCCTGATGATTAGTGATGTTGACCACTTTTTCATATACCTGTTGGCTGTTGATATGTCTTCTAAGAAATGTCTATTCAGGTCATTAGCCCATTTTAAAAATAAAGTACTTTTATTTTTGCTATTGAGTTGTTTGAGTTCCTTATATATCCTATATATTAATACTTTGTCAGCTGCATTGTCTGAAAATATTTTCTCTCATTCTGTAGGTTGTCTTTTCACTATGTTGATTATTTCCTCTGCTGTGCAGAATCTATAGAAATAACTACCATATCATCTAACAATCCCACTACTGGGTATATATTCAAGGGAAATGAAATTAGTGTGTCAAAGAGATTTCTGCATTCCCATGTTTATTATAGCACTATTCACAGTAGCCAAGATATGGAATCAACCTAAATGTCCATCAACAAATGAATGGTTAAGCATGGTGTCTCATGCCTGCAATCCCAGTATTTTCAGAGGCTGAGGAGGGAGGAGTGCTTGAGCCCAGCAGTTTGAAACTAGACCAGACAACACAGTGAGATCCTGTCTCTACAAAAAATAAAATAAAACAAATTAGCTGGGCATAATGGTGTATTCCAGTGGTCCCAGCTACTGTGGTCCAGGTTGCAGTGAGCCGTGATAGCACCACTGCACTCCAGCCTGGGGGATAGGGCAAGAGCCTGTATTTAAAAAAATAAAATCAATCGATGGATTTTTAAAATGTGGTATGCATACAAGATGGAAGATTATTCAGCCATAAACAGAGCAAAATCCTGTCATTTGCAATGAAATGGATGAACCTAGAGGACATTATATTAAGGGAAATAAGCTAGGGACAGAAATACAAATAGCACATGATCTCATTCATACGTGAAATCTTAAATGACTGAAGTCATAGGCTTACAGAGTAGAATAGTGGTTATCATAGGTGGGGAATGTAGGGGAAGGGGGATGGAAAGAGGCCAATTAACAGGTACAAAGTACAATTAGATAGAAGCAAAAGTTCTGGTGTTCCGTTACACAGTAAGGTACCTAAGTCAACGATATGTATTGTATAATTCAAAATAGGTAGAAGAAAGCAGTTTGAATGTTCTTACCAAAAAAACGTATTTGAGGTGGTTAATATACTAATCACTTTAAGTTAATCATTACACAATGTGTACATATATGTGTGTGTGTGTGTGTATATATATATATATATACACTGAAACATCACAGTATACCTCATATGTACATACAATTCTTATGTATAAATTAAAACATAACAAAATATTAAACTATCTAGAAGACAAGTTTGTGCATGCATTTTCAAAAAATTTACTTCAATTTTTTTCTTTTTGCAAAAAATTCTAAATAACTAAAAAAATTACATTCAATGTGTATCAAATTTAAAAAAATAGTAACAAAGCAATCTCACATTGTTTAATTGGCAACAGGTTTCAGTTTGTAGTGTACATAAAATAATGACACATCCTATACCTCTGGTGTTTAGAGCAAATGAAATATGACACAGTCTATTCACAAGCACAATCTGAATACTTTACTTTCAAAGAGCACAATGATTCTCTGGTTTTGATTGTCAGCCCTTCTAGAAAGAATTAGGTAAAAATATAACCTGCTTATATGAATATACCATTAGTCCTCAGCACTGTACCCTTTAAAGTTCTGTGTATTTTTTCTGTCTTTTTCCATCTTGACACACTTTAGACTCACTGTGTGGGATAGAATGAATCAATCAAGTTCATAAAAATACTGACTAGCTTTGTGTTCACAGAACAATAGTCACTGATAGAGTTCAAATTGCCATATTAGGAAGATAAAAATGAAATTAAAGATGAACATAAATAACTTGAAATAAGTCTTATTTTAATTATTTAAGTGAACAGTATAATGTTTTTGATGAATACTTGAAACTATATTCTATATTGTTAAGACTATATTACCTTAAGGCTGTGTATTACCGTGTTTTTTATAATAAAAAACATTTAGGATTTTTAATGGAAAGTTGTTTATTTTCAGTGAAAATAAATGAGGAACACACTGTCATTTCACAGCATTTCTGCTACTCTATTAATTTGTTAAACCATTTAAAGATTTTTAAAAATCAAACACATGCCCATTTATCCATGTAACCTATCCATTAATCTAAAAGATAATAATTCTAGCTATTAATTGTTATGATAAACTAACATTTCTTAAAAATGTTATTTTTATGGCCTTTTATTTAAAAATCATGAAAATTTAAAACTACACTACATTAATTTGCAAATGAATTCACTCAAACCAAAATGAACATATTTTAATTTTCAATACAGTTTAACTCTCTGTATAGGATAAGAACGTAAAATCTTTAAAATTGGAACGTGCAGAAAAATGTTTTCAGAATGATCAAAGCATATGTATTGTCTTTTTCATTCTTAGACATTTCTTGCTATGGGGCATTTATCATGTGATTTATCTGCAATACTGACAATTTCATGAAATCATCAAGTAGTTTCTATAATATTTAAAGTAAATTACCAATATTCATGCAGTAACACCAAAATGAGTTCGTGATGTAACTGCAGCAGTTGAAAAACATGGCACTAAAATTCCTTGACACTCCACCCATTCAGGTGTCTCCAATTCCCTTGATTATAATTCAAGTTTACAATTGCTTCAACCCACAGAATACAGTGGAAGAAATGCTGTGTGACCTCTGAGGCCATTTGGATAGCACAGCTGGTGATGTCTATAAATACTCTTGTGTTGTGTTTTTCTAGTATAGGTGGTCAGAACAGGCACTACTGCTAGCCCTCTGTAAACACTGGGCACTATTCTAGATAATTCCATCTCATAAGTATTTCTTCTCAAGCTCAACATTCTTTGGTTGACTATCACCATCTGAAACACAAGTGTTTCATATATTTTACTACTTTTTGTTTATTTCAAGCAGTAGAGTAATTCTCATGCGTGCTAGTTCATTTTTGCCAGAAGTAGAAAGAAGTCTCTGCAGTATTTGTTTGGTTCTTGGTTTCACCTATCTCTTGATACACATATTAATAAAAAGAAGCAGAACTATGAAAAAACAATTTTAATAACAATGTTTTGCAGTAATTGGACCACATTACACTAATATTATTAAATAATTAGTTAATAATTTTTAAATACTGTTTTCACTGTGTGTATGTGTGTGTATACATAGATATTTTAATACATCAAATTTCATGAATCATACTTCATGGCAATATAATGGCCAAATAAACAGGTGTTTATTAAGCTCAAGCCAAGATCAGTGGGTCTCATTTTACATAAAAGTTATTAAGAAACTTGCTGAAAATATGCACTCTGAAATTCAAACCCAGAAATTATGACTTAATTGTTATGAGGACTCAAAAGTTTACGTTCATACCCTGGGAATTCTGATGCGAGTATTCAGTGGATCAGATTTTGAGAAAACCTCTAAACACTGTGAGTTAAATAGAAGAAGACTGAGAAAATTTGTACCATACCCCAAAATAAACTGTGATCTTGCTTGAAAGATTATATTGTTATTCCAAAGAGTTAGAGATCAACATATGATAGAATAAAATAAGTCCCTATAATATTTGTAAACACATTGGTAAATGACCTTTGATGTGACCATCAGCTTGTTCTTTTCTCTGTTTCAGTGTAACCCTTCTTTATAGTCCTTCAAAGCTTCCTATTGCTAATATTCCATTATTTCCTCCCTAATCCACTAAAAGAAGAGGAAGAACTGGAAGGAATGGAAAGCTTGATGCTAAAAAAGAGTAGAAAAATGTGTGTTAAATAAATCTTATTATATTATAAATGTGTCCTTGTTTAAAACAAAATTGCGGACACCTCACTATAAATATATAATTTAAAAATTCCTATCTTTTTGAAATGCTACCTATAATACAGGACAAAACAACTTAGGTATGATAAGCACATTTATATAGAGCAGTTATAGAAAAACCGTAGGTCACATTAAAGTCAGTACAAGCCAATGCAACCATATTTTTATGTGCCCCTTAAGGCCTTCGGCTAGCAATAAAGAGTTCTTTGCTCTGGAGTTTTTCTATATATTTATTCATAAAATAATGCCTAAACAAATTATACTGATTTGATTTTACTGTCCTTGTGAATGTCGCAGCTTAATATGTCACAAGTCCTACAAGTTATTTTCTAAACTTCATAAATAAGTAGACTATGATATTAAAAATTATAATAAAGTGATACATTGTAATATTTAAACAAAAATAAGAAATTACACAATAAAGAATATTACTTTTTCATTTTTGTCAGGTTGAGTAACAGAATATCATATATGTTTGATCTATAACATTAATAATTACATTGTTAAGTTCTTAAAAGAAAATCTATTTAAGTTACTCTTTACTTACCACATTTTAAGTACCTACTATGTCAATTTATGATTGCATAACTAATAATTTAGAGCCTCTGCCTTAAGTTTTTGCAGTCAAGTCGGAAAGACAGATTAGTAGGCAGATGATGAAAATGTAGGTTAAAAATTGCCCAAGGAGCCAGATGGTGGAACAGGACTCACCAGTGATCATTCTCCACACAGAAACATCAATCTGAACAACTATCCATAAGTAAAAATACCTTCATAAGAGCTAAGGAGACCAGACGAGTGGTCACAGTATCTGTTTATAACACAATCATAAGAAAAGGGTAGAAAAAGTAGTTTTACATTACCTGTCTCTCCTTCCTTCAACCTTGGGTAGCACAGCAAGGATAGTGATACTTCCCAAATGGGAAAAGAGAGGGAAGTGAGCATAGGATTTTTCCTTGGAAACAGGTACTGGGCCTACACCGGTAAAACTCAGCAAAGCAGATATAGCTCCTGACTCCACGCTGGTAACCATGGGCTTACAGATATGTCCTGGACCCAGGTGGAAATACATAACACCGGTGGAGTAGACTCAATCTCCAGTCGGCATCACTGCCAGCTAACTACAGCAGCCTTAGGCAACCCCAGTGGCAGACAGACCTCAAAAAGACTCCAGGCATGCCCCAGCTCCAAACTAGCCTGAACATCCATGGGATTGCAGCCCAGTACAGCATCAGCCTCAGAAGTCTTTGTCTAAGGGAACCCCTCAGTGCTGCAATGATCAATGTGGCCCTGGGTTAAGGGACCACACCAGATAGTCTATTCAGAAACTCTGGACAGGCTTACTGTTGAAGGGCATACCTAGAAAAAAGTCAGTCTGTAAGGACTAGAATAAGTATCCACTTCTCCACATGTGCAGACATTGATGTATGGCCACAAGGATCAAGAATAATCAAAATCACGGTACCACCAAATGAAAAAAATAAAATAACAGTGACTTATCTTAAAGAAAGGAAGATAAGAAGCATTTGACAAATAATTTAAAGTAACTGTTTCAAATAATCTTAGCAAACTTCCAAAAATTACTGAAAAACAATTCAGTGAAATAAGAAAAATTATAAGTGAACAGGAAAAGAAACTTAACAGAAAGATTGACATTTTAAAAATATGAAACAAAAATTTGGAGCTAAATAATACAATGAAAAACATGAAAATGCAATATAGAAAGCATCAACAGCAGAAATGATTAAGCAGAAGAAAAAATTATAATACAGGTTCTTTAAAAATATGCAGTCAGAAGCAAAAGAGAAAGAAGAAAGCTTATAGGATTTATAGTACAGTATTAAATAAGTAAAGATTTGAGTCATAGGAGTTTAAGAAAGAGAAGAGAAAAATAAACAGATAGAAAGCTTGTTTAAAGAAATAATAGGTGAAAACTTTCCAAACCTGGAGAAAGATATAAAGAATCCAGATATAGGAATGTCTCTGGTCAGATTCAATCCAAATAAGACTACATCAAGACATAGTGTAATTAAATTGTCAAAAGTCAAAGATAAAAAAAACCTGGAAAGAAGCCACAGAAAAAGAAGCAAATAACACATGAAAGAGTTCCAATGTGCTTAGCAGCAGACTTCTCACCAGAAACTTTACAGACCAGATGGAATGACATGATACATTTAAAGTGGCAAACAAGAATA
Source organism: Homo sapiens (assembly GCF_000001405.40). Taxonomy (NCBI): domain Eukaryota; kingdom Metazoa; phylum Chordata; class Mammalia; order Primates; family Hominidae; genus Homo; species Homo sapiens. Next base: position 195,568,682 of record NC_000001.11, read on the forward strand.
CTGTCCTGAATAAAGCTCTCTTTTAGAAATTAGGGAGAGGCCAAGTGTGGTGGCTCACACCTGTAATCCCAGCACTTTGAGAGGCCAAGGCAGGTGGACCACTTGAAGTCAGGAGTTTGAGACCAGTCTGGCCAACATGTTGAAATCTGGTCTCTACTAAAAATACAAAAATTAGCCAGGCACAGAGGTGCGTACCTGTAATTCCAGCTACTTGGGAAGCTGAGGCGGGAGAATCGCTTGAACCCTGGAGGTAGAGGTTGCCATAAGCATAGATTGTGCCACTGTACTCCAGCCTGGAGTACACAGCGAGAGTCCTTTTAAAAAAAGAAAAAAAAGAAATTAAGGAGATAGAAAGACTTGCCCAGACAAACCAAAGCTGAGATTTCATCATTACCAGATCTATCTTACATGGAATGCTAAAGTTGTTTAAGGTGAAAAAAAAGAGAACACTAATGAATACCATGAAAACATAAGAAAATATAAAACTTACTGGTTAAAAGTACAGTCAACTTGAAAATACTATATTATGGTGGTGTGTAAACCACTGATTCCCATTACTTATTACTATGAAGATTAAAAGACAAAATATTAAAAATCATCATAATATAATAATTAGTTAAAGGATATTCTATATAAAAATATGTAAATTGTGACATCAACAATTCCAAAAGTGGGGGGGAACTGGAGTAAAAATATAGATTTGTGTGTGATCAAAGTTCAGTTGTTATCAGTGTAAAATAATTTGTTAGGACTATAATATTTTTTGTAAGCCTCATAATAACCACAAAGCAAAAAAACTATAGAAGACACACAAAAAACAAAAGCAAGGAATCAAAACACACCATGAGAGAAAATTACTTAATCACAAAGGAAGACAATAAAAGAGGTTGAAAGAAACAAAAGATCTACAGAACAACTAGAAAACAATGTTTTAAAATGGCAACAGTATGCTCTTTCCTATCAGTAATTACCTTGAATATATATGGAATAAATTATCCAATCAAAATACAGAGTAGCTGAATGGATAAAAGAAATACAGTTCAACTATATGCTGTTTATAAGACACTCACTTTACCTGTAAGGACACACATAGAAAGAAAGTGAAAAGATGGGAAAAGATCTTTTCCCACAAAATTGGAAACCAAAGGAGAATAGGAGTAGTTATATGTATATGAGATTAAACAGAATTTAAGTCAAAAATTAAAAAGAGAGAAAAATGGCATTATATAATTATAAAGGGGTCAAACCAGCAAAAGGATATGACGAATTCAAATATATATGCACTGAATATTGAAGACGGTAAATATATAGAGCAAAGATTAATAGGTCTCAAGGAAAAGAAAAACAGCAATACAACATTAATAGGAAATTTTAACATGCCACATTCCTAAAAGAAGAGATCATCTGCACAGAAAATTAAAAAATAAACACTGGGATTACACTACATGCTAGACCATATAGACCTAACAGGCATTTAAGGAATATGCTATCCAACAGCAACAGGGTACACTTTCTTCTCAAGCTCACATGGAACATTCTCTATGATAGGTCATTTTTTAGGTCACAAAATAAGTCTTAATAATTTAAAAATTATATAAAGTATCCTTTCTGTTCCCAACAGTATAAAAACGAAAATCAATAATATGAGAAACTGGAAAATTCACAAACACAAATAAATTAGACAACATGTGACCAAACAACCAATACATTGATGAAAGAATTTAAAAGGAAAATACTTTTAACAAACTGAGATAAAACTGAAAACCCAACATATGAAAACTAATAGGATGCAGCAAAAGCAGTTGTAAGAGGAAAGTTTACAGCAATAAACATCTACACCATAAAAACATGAAAGATCTAAAAAAAAAAAAATGCTCTTAAGTTTCACCACAATGAACTAGAAAAACAGGAAAAAAAAAAAAAACTAAGTCCAACATTAGCAGAAGGAAGATCAGAGTAAACCTAAATAAACTAGCAACTAGAAAAATATTGGAAAAAATAAAAATAGGAAGAGTTGTTTCGTGAAAAGATAAAACTGACAAAAATATAATAGACTGAAAAAAAGAGAAGACTCAAATACATTTTTAAGATGAAAAAAGAGACATTACAGCTGATACCACAGAAAAACAAAGCATCATAATAGACTGTTATGAAAAATTATATCAACAAATTGAATAATACAGAGAAAAAATATGTTCCTTGACATACACAATCTGAGATGAAATTATAAAGAAATAGAAAATCTTTACAGTTCAATAATTAATAAGAGTTTGAAATTACGAATAAAGATTCTCCCATCAATATAAAGCTGAAGATCCAATGATTTTCGAGAATTCTACCAAAACTTAAAAAACTAATACCAATACTTCTCAAATTCTTCCAAATAAATTGAAAAACAGGAAATACTTTCAAACTAATTTTATGGGGCCAGAATTACCCTGACACCAAGCTCAGACAAAAACCTTACAAGAAAATAAAGCTACAGGTTAATATCCTTGATGAACAGAGATGCGAAAATCCTCAACAAAGTGCTAGAACACTGAATTCAAATGCACATTAAAAATTTAATTCACTGGCCAGGTGCGGTGGCTTATGCCTGTAATCCCAGCACTTTCGGAGGCTGAGGCAGGCAGATCACGAGGTCAGGAATTCAAGACAAGCCTGACCAACATGGTGAAACCCCATCTCTACTGAAAGTACAAAAATTAGCTGGGCATGGTGGCACGCACCTGTAATCCCTGCTATTCCAGAGGCTGAGACAGAAGAATCACTTGAATCTGGGAGGCGGAGGTTGCAGTGAGCCGAGATTGCACCACTGCACTCCAGCCTGGGCGACACAGGAAGACTCCATCTCAAAAAAAGAAAACAAAATTTATATATATTATATATATGTGATTCATATCATATATTATATATGTGATTCATATCATATATTATATATGTGATTCATATCATATATTATATATGTGATTCATATCATATATTATATGTGATTCATATCATATATTATATATGTGATTCATATCATATATTATATATGTGATTCATATCGTATATATGTGATTCATATCATATATTATATATGTGATTCATATCATATATTATATATGTGATTCATATCATATATTATATATGTGATTCATATATATTATATATGTGATTCATATCATATATTATATATGTGATTCATATCATATATTATATGTGATTCATATCATATATTATATGTGATTCATATCATATATTATATGTGATTCATATCATATATTATATGTGATTTATATCATATATAATATGTGATTTATATCATATATAATATATGATTTATATCATATATAATATATGATTTATATCATATATAATATATGATATATATCATATATAATATATGATTTATATAATTCACCATGATAAAGTGAAATTCATACAAAGGATTCAATAATGTTTCAATATATGTAAATCAATAAACATGATACATCAAATTGATAGAATGAAAGCCAAAAACCGTATGATTACTTCAGTAGATGCAGAAAAAGTGACTGACAAAATTCAGTGTTGTTTCAAAGTAAAAATTCTAAACAAATTAGGTATGGATGGAACGTACATCAACATAATAAAGACCTTAACGGATGAACCCACAGTTAACATCATACTCAGTGAGGACAAATTGGAAGATTTTCACTATGATGTGAAATAAGACAAGGATGCCCACTCTCACCCCTTCTATTCTACAAAGTACTGGACCTCCTAGCCAGAGCAATTGGGCAGGAGAAATAAATAAAAGACATCTAAACTGGAAAGAAAGAAGATAAATTGTCCTTGTTTACACATGACATGAGCTTATCTATACAAAACCCTAAGGATATCATTAAAAACATTCAGAACTAATAAAACATACTTAATACAGTAACAGGATACAAAGTTACCATACAGAAACTAGCAATACTTCCATACACTAACATCAAACTATCCTGAAAAGAAATAAAGAAACAATCTCATTTACAATAGCTACAAAATGATAGAATTATTTAAGAATAAATTTAACCAATGTGCTAAAAGACTTCTACACTGGAAACTATAAAATATTGATTTAAAAATTGTAGAAGATACAAATAAATGGAAATATATGCCTTGTTCATGAATTACAATAGTTAATATTATTTAAACATCTATACTACCTAAAGCAATCTACAAAGTCAGCGCATTCCTTATCAAAATACCAACGACATTCTTTACCAAAATAGAAAAAGTGACCCTAAAATTTCTGTGGAAATGCAAAAGATCCTGAATAGCTAAACCAATCTTGAGCAAGAGAAGCAAAGCTGGAATTACCAGACTATCTGACTTCAAAATATGTCACAAAGCTATAGTAATTAAAACAGTATGATACTGGCATAAAAAAACAGACACATAGACTGATAGAACAGAATAGAGAGCTCAGAAATAGATCCACAAACCTACAAGTCAACTGATTTTCAATAAAAGTGACCAGAACACACATTGTAGAAGGGACAATCTCTTCAATAAATGGTGCTGGGTAAATTGGATATCCACATGCAGAAGAATGATATCAGAACTCTACCTCTCATCACATACACAAATGGATTAAAGATTTAAATGTAAAACTTGAAACTATGAAACTACCGAAGAAAACACAGGAAAAAAAAAAACTTCATGACATTAGTCTGGGCAGTAATTTTTCCAATGTGATCTCAAAAGTACAGGCAACAAAAGCAAAAATAGACAGATTGAATTACATTAAACTCAAAGCTCTGCATAGCAAAGGAAACAATCAGCAGAGTAAAGAGACAACCTACAGAAATGGAAAACAAATCCTTAGAAGCTATATATTTAATATTTTAGTATCTCAAATATATAAAGAACTAGGAACCACTCAATAGCAAAGAAAGAAAAAATAATAACCCAATTGGAAAATGGGCAAAGGATCTGAGTAGATATTTCTCAAAAGAAGACATACAAATGACTAATGACTACATATCACTAATTGTCAGGGAAATATAAACTATAATGAGCTATGACCTCACATCTGTTGAAGTGACTGTTACCCAAAAAATGAAAAGAAAAAGAAAAAAATAATAAATGTTGTCAAGGATGTAGAGAAAAAGGAAACTTTTTTTTTTTTTTTTTTTTTGAGACGGAGTCTTGCTCTGTCACCCAGGCTGGAGTGCAGTGGCGCAGTGGCGCGATCTCGGCTCACTGCAAGCTCCGCCTTGTGGGTTCACGCCATTCTCCTGCCTCAGCCTCCCGAGTAGCTGGGACTACAGGCACCCACCACCACGCCTGGCTAATTTTTTGTATTTTTAGTAGAGACGGGGTTTCACCATGTTAGCCAGGATGGTCTCGATCTCCTGACCTCGTGATCCACCTGCCTCAGCCTCCCACAAGTGCCAGAATTACAAGCGTGAGCCACCATGCCCCAACAGGAAACTCTTATATACTGTTGGTAGGAATATAAATTAGTACAGCCATTATAGAAAACAGTATAGAGGTTCCCCCCAAAATTAAACACTGAACTATCTTATGATCTAGCAGTCTCACTCCTGGGTATATAGCCAAAGAAAATGAAATCACCATGTCAAAGATACCATTTATTACAGTATTATTCACAAGATATAGCATCAACCTAAGTGTCCATCAAAAGATGCATGGATAAAGAAATTGTGCTGTATATATATGATGGAATACTTTACAGCCATAGAAAAGAAGGAAATCTTTTCATTTTTGACAAATGGATGAACCTGGAGGACATTCTGCTAACTAAAATAAGTCAGAAACAGACAAACACCACATAATCTCATTCATCTGTAGAATCTAATAAAGTTATCTCAGAAATGGAGTAGAATGGCAATTACCAGAGGCTGGGGCAGATGGGTAAGGGTAGGTTGGTAAGATATTAATCAAAATACATAGTATTATTGTAAATGGGAAGAATAACTTTCAAAGATCTGTTGTACAGCATAGTGAGTATAGTTAATGAGGATATACTGTATTCTTGAAAAATGCTGAGGTAGGAGAATCCCTTAAGCCCAGGAATTTGAGGTGGCAGTGAGCTGTGATCAACACCACTGCACTCCAGACAGCTCAGCAAAGTGAGAACCAGTCTCTGAAACAAAAAGAAAAAGAAAAATGCTAAGAGAGTGAATGTTAAATGTTCTCAATATAAAAATGACAAATATGTGAAGTATCATATTTGTTAATTAGGTAGATTGAACCATTACACAATGCATATATATGTTAAGACATCTAGCTGTAGGTGACTAATATATACAGTCTCATCTGTCAACTTAAAAATAAATATATTTAAATAATCATATACTAGATAGTATGTGCTGAACATAACAGTATCCCACAATATGAAATTGTCAATAACTTGACATTTTGGAAAATTTGAAATTAGAATGATAATTAAAAGTTATTCTGGTGGAGACACAAGGAATGGGATGAGAGAAAGTTTTCAGAAAGAATAAGCTTCTTGTACAAAGGAAATATGCATAAAAGAGTAAGGCACATTTTCGTAAGGACAGGTTTTAAAATGTTTAGTATGTAATGTAAAATAAAGTAATTTAAAAAGCTTGAAATATAGCTGAGATTATGAACAACCATAAAGCCAATGGCTAATAAGTTGACAATATCTCATAAAGTCTAGAGTGAACCATTTTCAACATTCTGTTTTCTAGAGTTTGTTTTCCCTTCTGTCCATCCATATTTTTTATTGTATGCTCATTTATCCACAACGATAATTCTTTCACTGGTTTTGATCAGAACTCCATGTATATAAAAAATCCTCAATTATCACATATTTTCCTGAAAATTGTGTACTAACAGGATGAAGTCATTTCACCTATTTTAACAGCGCTCTGCCACTTTCCTTCTCATTTTTTCTCTATCTTCCTCCCCAAACTTGTTTCCCTCTGTTATACAAATGAGTTTCCTTTGGAAATCTGGTACAAGTTATCCTTGGATCTAGAAACTTCATAACTAGAAGAGTTACCAAAGTATTCTTCCTCAAAGGTAAGTCTCTAATTAAAGGAAATATTTGAGCCACCTGCTCAGAGAACAGTTTCTATTGGCAAAAATTGCAATTACCTTTGCATCAACCTAATAATCCATTTTATTATATACTATCCTGATGAGAACAAATACTACACACACTTATTGAGGAAAACCTACTCTTTTCCTTACTATTACTTTAACATATGTAAATTAGGGTTTGGTGTGATTAAAAATTGTATAATTAACTGTTATGATTTCTTCTTTAAAATGAAGTAAAAGTAATTATCAAATAACTATTTATTTTGCAGAAAGAAATCTAACTCTTGGATCTTGCGAAACATGCCCTGTTTTCAAACACATAAAAATAAACAGTTTGTACCAATCATTTAACTGAGTGTTTTATCTTTTAAAAATCATTCTTCTATGCAAACAGACATGGGTTCTCATGACCCTAGTATACATTTATTGTTACCTAATTTCAGATCCTTGCTTTCTATATTTGTAATATTATATAACACCTACACAGTAGAGCTATTATAGGAATTATTGATAAAATATGCATAGTGCCTAAGACAGGTGGTAATCAATATTTGAATCAAAATAATGCTCTCTCCTTGAAAACTGCAACACACACACACACGCATACATACATACATCCATAATATTTTAATGTATACATTTTGGGGTAAATGGAATAAGCAAAATAAGTAATTGAACACATGCTCAAAGAAAAATATTTTATTTCAAAATCATATTCATATCAAATATGGTGGTTTTCCAATTCACTATTCCAAATATAGGCCATTCAATACAATGATATATTAAGGCTCAGTTATTCTACATATATACAGTGACTATCTTTTTCCATGTGTTTTAGTTCTGCTTCTGTATTTAGCTGTCAATAAACCAACAGATTAAAGCTGTAGCTGTTACATAGCATTAGAGCTATTCTTTAGAGAGGCTAATAATTTTAATTCTAGGCTTCAGATTTGCCTGTCTAAAGTAAACCATTTTCCATTCTTATTGCAGGTTCATTTCCATTCTGAAGTAGTGGCCATTCATTTTCCCTTTCACCCTCTGAACAGAGCTGTTTGAGTGTATTTAGTTCAATTGACTTTACATGTGCTCCAGGTGCCATTCTCTGCTACAGCTCTGCTTCACTGCTTACAGATGAAGCTCAGCCTAAGCAGTGTTTAATTCCCTAACAAGCTGTCATCTGTGACTTGCATATATTTTTAACTGGGCTACCACAGTACACACAAAGCAATGTAATATTAAATAAAGGTCCATTCTAACTTGAATTGGGTTGGGTATTTCCACAAAGCAAAATAGAAACTAAATAACAGGCTTCCAATCTCTTAGGCCATATAAACGTCTGGACAATGATTTAAAAAGTGATGCTAGAGCAGAGTCTTATTTTCATAAAACAGCTAAAAATTCGTAAACTCATTCATCCCTTTAAAAGATGAATCAATGCACTGAATTCCAATCAATGAACACACAGTCAATAAAAAGCTTCATTGCATTTTTTTTTTTTGACTGAGTCTCGCTCTGTCACCCAGGCTGAAGTGCAAGTGCAGTGGCGTGATCTCAGCTCACTGCAACTTCTGCCTCCCTGGTTCCAGCGATTCTCCTGCCTCAGCTTCCTGAGTAGCTGAGATTACAGGAGTCTTCGTCCATGCCTGCCTAATTATTTTATTTTTAGTAGAGACAGGGTTTAGCCATGTTGCCCAGGCTAGTCTCGAACTCCTGACCTCAGGTCATCCACCCGCCTCAACCTCCCAAAGTGCTGGGATTACAGGCATGAGCCACCGAGCCCTGCCCATTGCTTTTTAAAGGACTGAAAATATTACCTTTACAAGGTGCTTTTTGCATCACAATTATTTCACTGTAAGCCCATTAAAAACTAGAAACAAAACACCATTCATTATTGTTTTGTGTACCTCCATGAGCTAATTTGACATTATAAAGTGGTATATTGTTATATGGGAATTTTTCATTTTCTCACAGACAGTGAAATTCCACTAAGATACACATGCTCCCTTATTGTAGCAATTTTAATTTTCACACCAAAATAAGCCATGCATTTTGTTGTTCTTGTTAAAACCAAACACAGAGAAAATAGTATGTTTGTTGCCATGTTTCCTGGGCCTGCCTGACCTCACTTCCATTACTCAATGTTCACTTGTTTGGCTGTCTAAACAGGGTCAACATGTCCAAGACGCAGTCTTCAGGCTCCAGTGTTATCTGCTTTCCAGCTCAGTCCACCACAGGCATTGCTGACAGGAGATTAGAGTGTACAATGAGAAATAAGCTATAGCATTTTTCCTTCTCCTCTTAAATAAGGTGATGTTTCTGGCAGCAGTTCTGACTCTTCATGGCTCCAGTTTCTCTGCTCTACAGGCCACGCTGCTAGATCCTATTTGGTGATTCCTGCTCTTGGCATCTTATAACCCATAGTGGTACACTGAACAATGCCCCCCCACCAAAAATGTCCACACCTTAATCCCTGGAACCTAAGAATTTGTTACCTTACATAGCAAAAGGGACTTTATACATGTGATTACGTTGAAAGTGTATAAATAGAGAGATTATCCTTGATTATTTGGGTGGGTTCAGTATAATAGGAGAGTCAGAGTTAGAGAAAATGATGCGACCGCAACCACAGAGATTGGAGACATTCAGAGCCAGGCATGAATCAAGAAATATGGGGAGCCTCTAGAAGCTGGACAAAGAAAAGAAATTTTTTCTTCCCTAGAACCTCCAAAGGAACCCATCTCTGCTGACATATTTTGAACTTTTGACTTCTACAATTGTGAGTTAATAAACCTGTGTTGATTTAAGCCATATCATTTGTGGTATTATGCTACAATAACAATAAAACTCAAACATCCATTTATTTCCTTTGCCTCTAAATCCACTTGTAATACTATTTTCCTGTACCTGTTAAACTCTACTGGGCTTTCTACTTTTGACCCTTGAATTCCATTGTAAGAATGTAACCAAACACCTACATTAAATATCTTGTGTGATCCACTTCCAATATTGACCATGACTGAATAACTTGTGTCACTGTAAAACTCTTATCAATATCAACTACAATAGCCAAGAATTTTTTTTTAACCTGAAGTAACAACTGTTTGAAAGCTCTTGAAAGCAACTAAGGTATCCAGGATTTGAAGTCCAATATTCTGAAGAGTGGGAAAGTAACTAGAAGCTTTATTTTTCTCTACAAATTTTTTCTTCAAGGCATTTGCCTGTTCCTCACAGGTGAAACAGAAGTTTAGCACAAAGAGGTAGCCTGGAACCCATTGTATCTCACTAGGCTGAGAAGTCCAGTGTGGGTTTCTGGCCTTACAAAATAAATAAGCATAAGAGTACAAGTTTCTACCTATGTCGGCAAAGGCCATGTGGGAAGTGTAGAGTTCAAACCTTTCCAGGCATGTTATGTCCACCACATGCCAGGGTGGTGTCAGAGAAGGCTAAGTAGTGAACCAGGACTGAATACAGCCAGGCAATAACAAGGCCTCCTCCCAGTGGTATCAATGGAGACCACCAGGAGATCCTGGAGTTATCCATACCCTCTGCTGGTACCAAAGCACCAATGCCCCTCTTATCTGGGATGGAGTCACAGGAGACCTGGTGAAGAGTTAAGACATTTTCCATAGACCGGTGATAACAAGAGCACTCTAGCCTATGTAGGGAATAGTAATTAGGCAATACTATTCCTTCAATAAAGGCAGGTATCACTAGAGGCCTGGGGAAAAGCCAGAACTTTTATTTTAGCTAGGCTGTGTGGAGGAGACCTACCCCACTTGTGTCAATTGCAGCAGTACTTAGAAACTAGACTTTCAACTCCGCTTAACAGTAATTATTCAGGGCCCCCTCTTTCTGCTGAAGTGATATAAGCAGCAGCTAGCTAAACAAAAGATTTAAATAATACTGAAAGCATAAAAACATAATACCTAAAATGTATAGAACTCACTTGAAAATCAATCATCATACCAAGATCCAGAAAAATATAACTTTCAATAAAAAGAGACAATCAGTAGATGCCAGCACCAAGAAGTCAGAGGCTTTAGAATTCTTTGACAATGATTTATAAAAACCATGATGAAAATGATTCACTCATCAGTTAAAATCTACTTTAAACACATAAAATAACTTGAAACAGAGATAGTCTTAGCAAAAATTAAAGATGTAAAAAAGAACCAAATGGTATTTTAAAACTGAAAAGTACAATAAGCAAAATATCCAAGTATTAGAGTTATCGAAGGAGAGAAAAAAGCAGGTAGGGCTCAGCAGTATTCAAAGAAATAATGGCAAAAACTACCCATATTTTGTAAAGGATATAAACCTACATATTCAAGAAATTGAGTGAAGCCCAAACATGAGAAACTCAAAGAAATCTAAATGGAGAAACAATAAAATCAAACTTCTATAGGATAGAGACAAAGGAAAAACCTTGAAAGCAGTCAGAGAGACATGACACCCTCTCTACAGGGAATACTATCCTAAAGACATCAAATTTCTTATTGAAAACCAAAAAGACCATGGGGAAATGACACATCATTTTTCAAAGATTGAAGGAAATGATTTATCAAGTTAAAATTCTACATGCAGTAAAAAGTATGCTTCATGGAAGAGAATACAGAGCCCAGAAATGAACACTTGAACATTTGGTCAATTATTTTTAACAGTGGGGTAAGCATATTCAATGGAGGAAAGGATCAACATGCAAAAGGATGAAGTTAGATCCTTATCTTACACTATATACCAGCATTAACTCAAAAGGTATCAAAAACTTAAACGTAGTATATAAAACTGTAAACCATCTGGCCGGGCGTGGTAGCTCACACCTGTAATCCCAGCACTTTGGGAGGCCGAGGCGGTTGGATCACAAGGTCAGGAAATCGAGACCATCCTGGCTAAGACAGTGAAAACCTGTCTCTACTAAAAATATAAAAAATTAGCTGGGTGTGGTGGCGGGCGCCTGTAGTCCCAGCTATTCAGGAGGCTGAGGCAGGAGAATCGCTTGAACCCGGGAGGCGGAGGTTGCAGCGAGCCGAGATCGCACCACTGCACTCCAGCCTGGGTGACAGAGCAAGACTCCGTCTCAAAAAAAAAAAAAAAAAAAAAAAAAAAAAAAGCTGTAAACCATCGTAGAAATGAATATTAGGAAGTGTTTCATGACACAATAATTTCTTAAATATGAAACCAAAAGCACAAACAACAAAAGAATAAATAAACTGGACTGCATTCTAATTTCAAACTTTTGTCCATCAAAAGATGCAGTTGGTTTATGTTTTTTTTTATTCCTCGCTCCCAATTCCCATTTTTTAATTGAGGTATTTAGAATAGTTACATAGACTGTAGTTATTAATATGCCAGCTCTTAAATCTGACATTTAATCTTGTATTTTTTTATTTTGTTTTCCTTTTTCTGCCTTTTTGTGCATTATTTCAATTCATTTTGGTTTAAATGTGGTGTTTCTGAGCGTTGATATTGGTATTAATGTGTCAGTGGTGGCTTTGGGTATTACATCATATATACAACCTATCACAGCCTACTGGTAGTCATGTTTCCACTTTGAGTGAATTGCAGAAACCTGATCTCCCTTTGTATCCTATTACTTTTCACTATTGAAAATTATTTAAAATACATACTTGATGTAAAATTATTTAAAATATACACTTAACATCCCAGCAGTGCTGTCGTTTTTGTATCAACCTTTAACCATAATTTAGACAACTCAAGAAGCTAGTTGTTTATATTTATCTACATTTGTACTTTGTAATTTGTTCTTTCTCCCTTTCTGATGTTCCAATATTCCTTTTCTTGTAATTTCTTTTCCGTCTATACTACTTTCTTCTTTCCAGGTAGAGCTGCTGGCAACAGATTCTCTTAGTTTTCCATCATCTGAGCTTATTTAGATTTTCCCTTCATTCTTGCAGTTATTTTTTAGTTGCGGTAAAAATGTACGTAAAATAAAATATGCCATCTTAACAATTTTAAGAGTACAGTCCAGTGCTATTAATTGCATTTATGATGTTGTGCAACCATCAACATTGTCCATCTCCAGAACTATTCTATCTTCACAAACTGAAAAAATACATTATATATTAAAGATACATAAAAAATACATAATATATTAAAGAAAGTTCTTCGGACACAACATACTTACGAAATAATAACTTCCCATTCCCCCTCTTTCAAGTCCACCATTCTACTTTCTGTTTCTATGAATCTGATGATACTAGATATCTCATATTAATGGAAACATACAGTATTTGTCTTTTTCAACTGGCTTATTTGACTTAGCATAACTTCTTCAAGGTTTATCCATGTCATGACATATGTCAAAATTTCATTTCTTTTGAAAGCTGAATAATATTATTATGTAACACCACAACTTGTTTATCCATTCATTTGTGGATGGACGCACATTTGGCTCTTTCCACTTTTTGTCTATTGTTACTAAAACTACTATGAACATTCGTGTGCAAATATCTGTTTGAGTCTGCTTTTACTCTTGGGTAGATATGTCAGAAGTGGAATTGCTGGATCACATGATAATTCTACATTTAAATTTTGGAGAAGCCACCATACTATTTTCCAGAGTAGCTGCACCATTTTACATTTACATTTCCACCAGCAATTCACAAGAGTTTTAAACTGAACTAATTTACATTCTCACCAACAGTGTATAAACACTCATTTTGTCTGCATCCTCACCAATATCTGTTATTTTTGACTTTTCAATAATGCCCATTCTGACTGGTTTGACATGGTATCTCATTGTGGTTTTGATTTGTGTTCCTCTAATGATTAGTGATGCTGCGCATTTTTTCATGTGTTTATTTACTGCATGTATATCTTCTTTTAAGAAGTGTCTGTTCATGTCCTTTAATATAGGACCCAAATAACACGAATTGCCAAAGCAATCCTATGCAAAAAGAGCAAAGCCAGAGGAATCACATGACCAGACGTCAAGCTATAGTACAAGTCTACAATAACCAAAACAGCATGGTACTGGTATAAAAAGAGACACAATAGGCCGGGCATGATGGCTCATGCCTGTAATCCCAGCACTTTGGGAAGCCAAGGTGGGCGGATCACCTGAGGTCAGGAGTTCGAGACCAGTCTGGCCAACATGGTGAAATCCTATCTCTACTAAAAATACAATAATTAGCTGGGCATGTGGCGGGCGCCTGTAATCCCAGCTATCTGGGAGGCTGAGGCAGGAGAATCACTGGGAGGCAGAGGTTGCAGTGAGCTGAGATCATGCCACTGCACTCCAGCCTGGGCGATAAAATGAGACTCCCTCTCAAAAAAAAAATAAAATAAAAAATAGACACGATAAACACAAAGACCAATGGAACAGGATATAGAACCCAGAAATAAAGCTGCACACCTACAACCATCTGATCTTTGACAAAGTCAACAAAAACAAGCAATGGGGAAATGACTCCCTATTCAATAAATGGTGCTGAGAAAACTGACTAGCCATATACAGATGAAACTAGAGCCCTAACTTCTTACGTTTTATTAATTATATATATATACACACACACACACACATCAACATATATTTTAAATTTAAAATTATATATTATACTATTACTTATGCATTTTATATATGTTATACTATAACATTATATATTATTTTATTATATATTATAATATAACATATATATTTTATATATGTGTGTGTGTGTGTGTGTGTGTGTGTGTGTCAAGGTGGATTAAAGACTTAAATGTATGACTTGAAACTATAAAATTCCTAAAAGAAAACCTAGGAAAACCATTCTGGACATTGGCATTGGCAAAGAACTTATGACTGAGTCTTCAAAAGTAATTGTAACAAAAATAAAATTTGACAAGGGACCTAATTAAACTAAAGAGCTTCTATATAGCAAACCAAACTATCAACAAAGTGAAAAGATCACCCACAGAATGGGAGAAAATATTTGCAAACTATGCATCTGACAAAGATCTAATAACCAGAATCTATGAGAAAGTTAAACAATTCAAAAAGCCAAAACAAAAATCATTAAATGTTTCTGTCTTAATATAACATTACTAAAATTGTAAAACTGTAGAAGAACAGGTGAAAGGGAAATAGGTGTGGGAATCCTTGTGGTGATGAAAATTTTCTGTATCTTCAATATAATAAGGTCAATTATATTATAGTTTTGCAAGATGGTTTCAGTGGAGAAAATTAATAAAGGATATTTGAAATCACTCAGTATTATTTCTTACAAATGCATGTAAATCTATATGAAAACTTGTCTTAAAGATTATTTGTGACAAAAATGTAATATCTGACTTGGAAAAAATAATGGAAATAATGAAACATTTTCAGAGAAACCAAATTTAAGAAAATGTGTTATCAAAAACCTGCACTAAAAATATATTAAAGAAAGTTCTTCAGACATAACTAAAATAATTTTAGATTAAAAAATTTTAAATTCAGTCTGGTAATGCAGAAGTTTGATGTATATGACTTTTTCATTTGTTTAGTGACTACATTTTATTTATGTCATGTCTTTCTTTTTTCTTCTACTTTTAAAATAATATTCAGTTTTTAAATTCTCACTTTTAACTGAAATATTTAGTCCTATTTACATTTTTCTGATATGTTTGAAATAATATTATCATAACATTATTTATTCTATTCATTCCTTTTTTTTGTTCTTCCCATTGGATTTTTTGCCTTCTTTAGAATAAATTAAATCATCTTTTTATATCATTTCTTTCTCTCTACCTTATTTATTATATCATCTTTTAATAATTATACCTAAGATTACAGTAGTCATTATAAATACATGATATACTGGTGCTTCACCACTTCAAAGCACAGGAAGCAATTTACAATGAATTAAATCTATTTACTCTTTCTCTTGCATTGTTTTGCTACTGTTATCTGGCTTTTAATGCCAGATAAACTCTATACCCCCAAACACATTATTATTTTTAATAGGTTATTATGTTAGTTTTACACATACATTACTTCATTTAGAGTTATTCATTCCTCCCTGCAAGGTTAAGCTGAATTCTAAGAATTTAAATGAGCCACTACGTAGCTGCTACAGAGCAAAAGTCCTTCTGCTTGAGCAAAGTAGAACACAAAGTAAAGGGGACTTTGTCTTACCTTAGGTACCAACACAGCCACAAAAGGGTAAAAAACCAAGCAGACTCTTGAGATCCCTGATTCCAGGACTTGACTCTTAGATGGCATTTTTGGACCTTTTCTGGGACAGAGGACAGCCCACTGCCCTGAAGGGTGAGTCCCAGGCTAGGCAATATTCATGACAAGTGGACTCAAGAGACCTTGGGCCTTGAGGGAGCATCAGCAGTAGCCTGGCAGTACTCCTCATGGCCTGGGGTGGCGGTGGCTGCAGTTTGAGGCTCATCTGTCTTTGGAAAATGGAGAGAGGAGTGGGACAACTGCACCTTGTGGTTTGAGTGCCAGTTCAACCACAGTAGACAAGAACAGCAGTTAGACTTCTAAGGTTTTTGACTCTAATCCCTGAATCCTAAATTATACCTATGGACCCACCTGGGGCCAGGGGGAGCTTGCTGCCCTGAAAGGAAGGACACAGGCCTGGCTGACTTTGTACATTGGCTGACTGTAGAGCCCCAGGTCCTTGAGCAAACACAAGCAGTAGCCAGGGTGTGGTTACAGCAGGCCTTGGGGACCCAGTGCTGTGCTAGCTTCAGGTCTGACTCAGCACAGCCATTAAGGCAGTGACCAAAGGGCCACTACACCCCCAGCTTTAGGTGACTCAGAACAGAGAGAGAGAAAGGCTCTGGTTTTTTTGGAGAAAGTAAGGGAAGAAAACAAGAGTCTCTGCCTCGTGATCCAGAGAATTCTCTCAGATCTTGTCCAAGACCATCAATGTGGACCACTGAGTCTGTAAGAACAGCAGTGTTAGTGGGCTTTGGGTGCCCCTAAAACAGATACGGTTTAGCTCAAAATACCCAAGTCCTTTCAAATATTTAGAAAGCCTTCCCAAGAAGGATAGGTACATGTAAGACCAGACAGTGAAGACTACAATAAATACCTAACTCTTCAATGCCTAGACACTGAAGAACATTTCCTAGCATCAACACCATCCATGAAAATTGACCTCACCAAATGAATTAAATAAGGTACCAGGGACCAATCCTGAAGAAACAGAGATATATGAACATTCAGACAGATAATTCAAAATAACTATGTTGAGGAAAATGAAAATTTCAAGATAACACACAGAAGGAGTTCAGAATTCTACTTTAGTAGCAGAATAGATCAATCCGAAGAAAGAATTAGCTTGAAGACAGGCTACTTGAAAACACATAGTCAGAGGAGACTAAAGAAAAAAGAACAAAAAACAATGAAGCATGCCCACAGGCTTTAGAAAATAGCCTCAAAAGGGGAAATCTAAGAGTCATTAGTCTTAAAAAGAAGGTAGAGAAAGAGATGGGGTAGAAAGTTTCTTCAAAAAGATAATAACAAAGAACTTCCCAAACACAGGGAAAGATACCAATATCCAAACACCAAGCAGATGTAACCCAAAAAATACTACCTTAAGGCATTTAATAATCAAACTCCCCAAAGTCAAGGATAGAGAACGGATTTTAAAAGCAAGAGAAAAGAAACAACATACAATGGCACTCCAATCCATCTGGCAACAAAATTTTCAGTGGAAACCTTACAGGCCAGGAAAGAGTGGCATAACATATTTAAAATGCTGAAGAAAATGTCCTATATTTAAAATGCTGAAGAAAATGTCCTATAATAGTATATCCAGTGAAAATATCCTTCAAACACGAAGGAGAAATAAAGACTTTCCCAGACAAACAAAACCTAAGGGATGTCATCAACATCAGACCTATCCCAGAAGAAATGCTAAAGGAAGTACTTCAATCAGAAAGGAAAGGATGTTAATGAGCAATAATAAATGATCTGAAGGTACAATATTCACTGGTAATAGTAAGCACGCAGAAAAACACAGAATATTGTAACACTGCAACCGTGGTGTGTAAACTACTCATATACTAAGTAGAAAGACTAAACAATGCACCAATCAAAAATAATAACTATAAAAATTTTTAAGACATATTTAATACAGTAAGATATAAACAGAAACAACAAAAAGTTAAAAAGCAAGGAGATGAAGTTAAGGTATATAGTTTGTATTAGTATTATTTTTGCTTATTTGTTTGTTTATGCAAACAGTGTTAAGTTGTCATCAAGTTAAAATAATGGGTTATATGATAGTATATGCAACCTCATGGTAACCTAAAACAAAAAAATACAATAGATACATAAAAAATTCAAAGTAAGAAACTAAACCTTATCACCAAGAAAATCACCTTCATTAAAGGAAGACAAGAATGAAAGAAAGAAAGAAGACCACAAAACAACCAAAAAAAATAGCAGAAATACGTTCTTACTCATCAATAATAACATTAAGTGTAAATTAACTAAACTCTCTAATCAAAAGATATAGAGTACCTGAATAGATGAAATAACGAGGCCCATTGTTCTGTTGCCTACCAGAAACACACTTCACCTGTAAAGACACATATAAACTAAAAATAAAGGGATGGAAAAGTTATTCTATCTTTTTGGAATATCTTGGACAATGGAAACCAGAAAAGAGCAGGAGGTGCTATGCTTATATAAGAAAAAAATGAATTTCAAGACAAAAGCTATAAGAAGAGACAAATAAGGTCACAATATGATGAGAAAGGGGTCGATTCAGCAAGAGAAAATAACAGTTTTAAGTATATATGCACCCAACACTGGACTATATAAAGGAAATATTATTAGAGCTAAAGAGAGAGGTCTCAATACAATAATAGCTGGAGACTTCAACACCTATTTTTAGCATTGGACAGAACTTTCAGACAGACAATCAACAAAGAAACCTTAGACTTGATCTTCACTATTGACCAACTGGATCTGATAGATATTTACAGAACATTTCACTGAACAGCTACAGGGTACGTTCTTTTCCTCAGTTCGTGTATCATTCTCATTGATAGGCGATATGTTAAGACACATAACAAGTCATAAAACATTAAAAAACACTGGAATAATATCAAGCATCTTCTCTGACCACAATGGAATAAAACTAAAAATTAATAACAACAGGAACTTTGGAAACTATACAAACACATGAAAATAAAACAAAATGCTCCTGAATGACAAGTGAGTCAATGAAAAAGTTAAGAAGAAAATAGAAAATACTCTTGAAACAAATGGTAATGGAAACACAACATAGCAAAACCTATGAGATACAGCAAAAGCAGTACTCAGAGGGAAATTTATAGCTATACATGCCTGCATAAAAAAAACAGGAATCATTTAAATAAACAATCTAATATGCATTTTAAAGAACTAAAAAAGCCATAGCAAACTGAACACAAAATTAGTAGAATAAAAGAAATAATAAAGATCAGAGCAGAAATATATGAAATTGAAATAAAAAACAAAAGATATAAAACAAAAAGTTATTTAGTTGCAAAGTTAAACAAAATTGACAAACCTTTAGCCAAAGAAATATGAAAGAAAAAATAAATAAAATCAGAAATTAAAAAGGAGATGTTACAACTGATACTGTGGAAATTCAGTATCAGGATAACTATAATCATAGTGGTTACTATGAGCAACTATATGCCAGTAAATTGGAAAATCTAGAAAAATGGAAACATTCCTAGCACATACAACCTACCAAGATAAAACCAGGAAGAAATTCAAAACCTGAGCAGACCAATTACAAGAAATGAGATTTAAGTGATAATAAAAAGTCTCCCATTAAAGAAAAGCCTGGGACCCGATGTCTTTACTGCTGAATTCTACCAAACACTTAAAGAACTAACACCAGTCATACTAATACTATTCTGAAAAATGGAGGAGGAGGAAATGCTTCCAAACTCATTCTATGAGGCCAGTATTACCCTGATACTGGAACCAGACAAAGATACATAAAAAAAAAAAAGAAAGAAAGAAAGGAAGAAAGGAAGGGAGGAAGGAAGGAAAGAAGAAAGGAAGGAAGGAAAACTACAGACCAACATCTCTGATAAATATTGATGTGAAAATCCTCAATAAAATACTAGCAAATCATATTCAACAATATATTAGAATGATTATTCCTCATGACCTAGTGGAATTTATCTCTGGGATGCAAGGATAGTTCAACATATGCAAATCAATCAATGTGATACATCATATCAACAGAATGAAGGATAAAAACCACATGATCATTACAATTGGTACTGAACAATCACTTTATAAAATACTACATCCTTTCCGATAAAAACTCTCCAAAAACTGGGATAGAAGACACATACATCAACATAATAAAAGCCATATACCACAAAACCACAGCTAGTGACATATTACATGGGGGAAAAAAAGAAAGCGTTTTCTTTAAGATCTGGAACATGACAGGTGTGCCCACTGTCACCACCGTTATTCAACCTTGTGCTGGAAGTCCTAGCTAGATCCATCAGACAAGATAAGGATACAAAGGTATCCAAAATGGAAAGGAAAAAGTCAAATTATTCTTGTTTGCAAATGATATGATTTTATATTTGAAAAACAACTAGAGTCTATGAGAAGACAATTAGAACTAAAAAAATTCAGTAAAGTTGCAAGATAGAAAATCAACATACAAAAATCAGTAGCATTACTGTATGCCAACAGTGAACAATGTCAAAAAGAAATAAAAAAGTAAGCCCATTTACAATCGACACACACAAAATTTAATACTTAGAAATTAACCAAAAAAGTGAAAGAGCTCTATAATGAAACCTATAAAATACCGACAAAAGAATTGAAGAGAACACTAAAAACAAAGAAAAATGTTCCATGTTAATGGGTTGGAAGAGTAAGTATTGTTAAAATGTCCATACTACCAAAAGCAATCTACAGAGTTAATGCAATTTCTATCAAAATACCAATGACATTCTTCACATAAAGAGATAAAAAAGAGGATTCACATTACCTGACTTCAAATTAAAATACAGAGCTGTAGCAACCAAAACAACATGGTCCTCGCTTAGAAACAGACACATGGGCCAATGGAACAGAATAGAGAACTCAGAAACAAATCCACACACCTACAGTGAACTGATTTTCAACAAAGTTTCCAAGAACATACACTGGGGAAAAGACAGTCTCTTCAATAAATTGTGCTGGGAAAACTGCATTTCCATATGCAGAATAACGAAACTAGTATATGGCCATATACAAAAAAAAATCAAAGTGGATTAAAGACTTAAATCTAATACCTGAAACTATTAAACTACTACAAAAAAGCACTGGGGAAATCTTCAGGACATTGGTCTGGGCCAAAATTTCTTGAGTAATACCCCACAAACACAGGCAAACAAAGCAAAAATGGATAAATGAGATCACATCAAGTTAAAAAGCTTCTGCACAGCAAAGTAAACAATCAGTAAATTAAAAGGACAGCTCACAGAAAGGGAGAAAATATTTGCAAACTACGCATCTGACAGGGGACTAATAACCAGAATATATAAGGAACTCAGACTCCTCTACAGAAAAAAATCTAATAATCTGAAAAAAAAAATGGGCAACAGATCTGAATAGAGATTTCTAAAAAGGATACATACAAATGGCAACAGGCATATGAAAAAGTGCTCAATATCACTGATCATCAGAGAAATGCATATCAAAACTGCAATGAGATATTTTCTCACCTCAGTTAAAATGGCTTATATCCAAAAAACAGGCAATAACGAATGCTGGTGAGGATGCGGAGAAAAGAGAACACTTGTACACTGTTGGTGGGAATGTAAATTAGTGCATCCACTATAGAAACAGTTTGGAGGTTTCTCAAAAAACTAAAAAGTTAGTTACCATAAGATCCAGCAATCCCACTGCTGGGTATATATAAAAAAGAAAGGTAATCAGTATATGAAAGAGATATCTGCACTCCTATGTTTGCTGCAGCACTGTTTATAATAGCTAAGATTTGGAAGCAACTAAACGTTCATCAGCAGAATGAAGAAAATGTAGTACATATACACAATGAAGTATCATTCAGCCATAAAAATGAATGAGATCCAGTAATCTGCAATAACATGGATGAAACTGGAGATTATTATGTTAAGTAAAGTAAGCCAGGCACAGAAAGACAAACATCACATGTTCTTACTTATATGTGGGTTATCAAAATCAAAACAGTTGAACTCATGGACTTAGAAAATAGAAGGATGATTATCGGAGGCTGGGAAAGTTAGTGGAGGGCTGGAGGATGGGGGAGGAGAGGATGGTTAACAGGAAAGAAAATATTTGAAAAGAATGAATAAGACCTACTATTTGATCGCACAACAGGGTGACTATAATTGGTAACAACTTAATCGTACATTTTAAAATAACTTAAAGAGCATAATTGGATTGTTTATAACTCAAATAATAAATGCTTGAGGGGAGAGATACCCCATTCCTCATGATGTGCTTATTTCACATTGCATGCCGATAACAAAACATTTTGTTTAGTCCCATAAATAGGTACACCTACTGTGTACCCACATTTTTTAATCTAAAAAATAATTAAATGAGCCACTATATTGAATGAATGTGCTAATATTTACAGTATATCTCAAATAATACTAAAAAGTAAACATGAAGAGGGTAAGTGGAGGGCAAGAAAAGGTGAGAAAACCAAGCGAACTAATACAAATATCTAATGAAAATAGCAGCAAAGAAATTAGTGTGAAAATAGGGTGGGAAGGGAATATAGTGATGGACATTACTTAAGGAGTAAAACCTCACTAGACTAAAGATGTTATGTAAATAGTCTTGATACATTATATATTATGATACTTTTATCACAATGATATTTGCATGTTTACAGCTGTCAATTTATTAGAAACCCAAGTTGTAGAAAAACTGTAATGGAAAACATCTTAGATAACTAAAAATAAGGATTTACAGACTTAAATTATATAATCAGAGCAATCAACTCTGATTTTATTTGATTTATATTTGAATGACAATGGTTTCAGAGCTCTGAATTATAGCTGAAAATTGTTTAGAAGCACTGATTAAAGTTTTAAGCACTTACATAAAAATATATTTTGGAAGATCTTTATTTTTTAAAAAGAATTTAGGTGTCTTCAAAAACATTATAGGAATTCTTGATAGAGATTTGAAGGTAAAAAAAATGTTTTTGAACAACATTTTTTTCTAAGCTTTATAAAATATCGTATTCCACCAGAATTTAATATACTAGAAAATCCCTGTGGAGTGCAACAAAAAGATTTGTATGTAGTTCTTATGTCTTTTTTTCTGACTAATGGAAAACAAATGAAATGATGAAAAAGTCACATTAGATTCAGTCACACATCATAAATTGCCTTTCTTAGTGTGTCATTGTATAAAATGACTCAACGTGCCCCAGGGGAGAATTCCATTAGAACACATACCCTTTTCATTTAGAACCTAAGCTTCAAAAAGCAGAGAGGATAGAAAGTTAGTAACTTCATCTGAACAATTGATGTTATAATAAATGTAGGTAACTGTGGTTGGAAAACAAAGTGAAAACTTACAAAGAACGGAAAATTTCCTTTCTGTAATACTCTCTATGTAACAAGAGGATTGATCAATATCTAAAGGCCTATTTTCTTTATTTGACCACTTAAAAATAGTATAGCCATTATGGAACACATTATGGTAGTTAGTCAGAAAATTAAAAATAGAACTATCATATGATCCAAAAATCCCACACCTGGTATTTATTCAAAGGAAAATAAATCAGTACAGGCATGCCTCAGAGACTGCTGTTTTGGTTCTTAATCCCCACAATGTAGTGAGTCACACAAATACTTTGGTTTTCCAGTGTGTGCAAAAGTTATATTTACACTATAGTGTAGTTTAGGTGTACAAAAACATTATATCTAAAAACAATGTACATGCTTTAATTTCAAAACATATTTTATTGCTTAAAAATACTAACCGTCATCTGAGCCTTAAGTGAGTAGTAATCTTTTTACTGATAGAAGGTCTTGTCTTAATGTTAATGGCTGCTAACTGATTAGAGTGGTAGTTGCTGAAGGTTGGGGTGGCTGTGGCAATTTTTAAAAAATAAGACAACAATAAATATGTAATTACTTCAAATAAAAACTTTACTTAAAAAAGGTTTGTGACAAAAATTTAATATCTGACTTGAGAAAAAATAATGAAAACATTAAACAATTTTTTTGGGGGGCACATTAATTGACTTTTTCTTTCATGAAAGATTTCTCTATAGCATCTGATGTTCTTTGATAGCATTACTCACAGTGGAACTTCTTTCAAAATTAGAGTCAGTCTTCTCAAACCTTGCCACTGCTTTATCAACTAAGTTTATATAATATTCTAAATTATGCGTTGTCGTTTTAACAAAGTTCACAGCATCTTCATCAGGAGTAGATTCCATCTCAAGAAACCACTTTTATTTCCTCATTCATAAGAAACAACTCCTCATCAATTTTATCATGAGTTTGTAGCAATTAAGTCACATCTCATGGATCACTTCTAATTCAAGTTATCTTGCCATTTCCACCACATCTGCAATTGCTTCCTTTACTGGAGTTTTGAACCCTCAGTGTCATCCATGAGGGCTGGAATCAATTTCTTCGAAATTTCTGTTAATATTGATATTTTTACCTCCTCCCGTGTATCATGAATTTCCTTCATGGCATCTGGAATGGTGAATCCTATGCAGAAGGTTTTCTACTTACTTTGCCCAGATCTGTCAGAGGAATCACTATCTACGGCAGGTCTAGCCTTACAAATGATAAGACCTGAAAGTCTAAATTACTCTTTGATCCATAGATTGCAGAATAGGTGTTGTGTTAGCAGGCATGAAGACAACATAAATCTCCTTGTA
This sequence comes from Homo sapiens, assembly GCF_000001405.40. NCBI lineage: Eukaryota > Metazoa > Chordata > Mammalia > Primates > Hominidae > Homo > Homo sapiens. The sequence goes on from NC_000001.11 coordinate 195,593,590, forward strand.
CATCTTCACTGGAGCTCTTGCATGACCAGATACATTGTCAATGCGCATTTTCTTACCAATAGGTATCAAAAGTGGGCTGAAAGTGTTCAGTAAACCATACTACAGACAGATGTCCTGTTAGCCAGGCTTTATTGTTCTTAATGTAGAGCACAGGCAGAGTTGATTTAGAGTAATTCTTAAGAGCCCTAGGATTTTTGGAATGGTAAATGAATATTAGCTTCAACTTAAAGCCACCAGGTGCATTAATTTTGAAAAAGAGTGTTAACCTGCCTTTGAAGCTTTGAAGGAAGACATTGCCATCATTTATTTTAACTGTGAAAGTCCTAGATGGCATCTTCCTCCAATACAGGGCTGTCTACATTAAAAAAAAATACATTAAAAATGTCATTAAGTGTAGCCTCCTTCATCGATGATGTTAGCTAAATCCTCTGGATAGAACTTGTTGCAGCTTTAAACCTCAGAACTTGTGACTTCCACTTTTGGGTTATGAAGATGTCTTCTTTCCTTAAAGCTCATTAATTAAGCTCTGCTAGCTTCACACTTTCCTTTCACAGTTCCTTACCTCTCTTAGCCTCCACAGAATTGGACAGGGTTAGGGCCTTGCTCTGGATTAGGCTTTGGCTTAAGGAAATGTTTTGGCTGGGTTGATCTTCTATCCAGGCCACACAAACTTTATCCATATCACAATAAGGCTGTTTCACTTTCTTATCATTCGTGTGTTCACTGGAGTAGCACTTTTAATTTCCTTCAAGAATTGTCCTTGGCGTTCACAATTTGGCAAACTGCATGGCACAAGAGGCCTATCTTTAACTTATCTTAGCTTTTGAGGTGCCTTCTTTATTAAGCTTAATTATTTCTATTTGTTGATTTAAAGTAGAGACAGATCACTTTTCCTTTCACTTTAACATGTAGAGGCCACTGTATGGTTATCAAATGGCCTAATTTCAATATTGCTGTGTCTTAGGGACCAGACAGCCTCAAGGAGAGGGAGAAACACAGTGAAATTGCCAGTTGGTGGAGCAGTTAGAACACACACAATATTTATCAATTAAGTTTGTTGTCTTATATTGGTGTGCTAAGTGGCATCCAAAAACAATTACGAAAGTAGCATCAAAGATCCCTGATCACAGAACACCATAACATATAGAACAGTAATAATTTGAAATATTGCAAGAATTAGCAAAATTTGACACAGAGACATGAAATGAGCACATACTTTTAGACAAATGACACCAATAGATTTGTTCAATGTAGAGTTGTGACAAACCTTTATTTTCTAAGACAGAAAATATATGTGAGGTATAATAAAGTTCCATAAAACTAGGTGTGCCAGTGTATTGAAGTTATATATGCACACACACCCGTATTTATTGCAGCACTATTCACAATAGCCAAGATATGGAATGGACCTAAGCCAAGATATAATGGAGATATATATATATACACACACACACAATGGAATACCATTCGGCCATAATAAAGAATGAAATCATTTTATTCAGGGCAACACGGATAAGCCTGGAGGATATTATTTTAAGTAAAATAATTCAGGCATGGAAAGATAAATACTGTATGTTCTTACTCATATGTGGGGGCTAAAATGTTGAGCTTATACATGTAAAGAGTAGAATAGTGGGTAATAGAAATGGGGAAGTGGAGGACAGAGAGGGGTTTGTTGACAGTCATAAAATTACATCTAGATAGAAAGAACCAGTTCTAGTCTTCCATACCCCTGTGGAGTGACTGTAGTTAACAATTTATTGTGTATTGTCAAATACCTAAAGGACAATTTTGAGTGTTCCCAACTCAAATAAACAGCAAATATTTGAGATAATAAAATTATTAATTACTCTAATTTCATCACTATATATTGCAGGTATGCACTGAAATATTATTCTGTACCCCAGAAATATGTACAAGTATTACATGTCAATTAAAAATAAAATTAGAAAAATATCCAACAATTATTTTAAAAAGTATATACAAGTTCTTTTGTTAAGTAAATGGTGGCAACATTTGGGGACACAGGTCACAAAAAGTTAAATTTTCTTTTTCCATAAACTGATTATGTGAATTATTTCAAGTGATGGGCTTAATTTTACTACATATTTTAAAATAACGGTCCATGTAGACCCATGCTAAATACCAATAAACCTTCAATTAAATACTATGTTTGTCTGATTCTAAATGATTCTCTGTCTTTGAAACACACACACACACAATTAAAAATTCTCTCAAAATGAAAAAGAATGAAAAGTGTTTTTGCATTCATGCCCTGCTACATAATACTTATAATCCACTTACCGTAACAACCCTCTCAGCTTTGCAAATGATATGTAGTAATTGGTGCACAATCCAAAACCGGTAGGCACTATTCACATAGAATATAATTTGACTGGTACATCCTGTAGCTTTGGTATTTGCCCAAGTATTTACTTTTCATTATAAGGACAAAGAATTTTCATATTGATAATGATGGGCACATATAGACAAAAAAGGATTTTAAAAACAGTGTCCATAATGTTGTCAGTAAAATTAAGATGCTTGCTAGGCGTGGTCTTTATCATTGCTTAATCCCTTTATCATCTAAACTACGTGTGGAGTTTCTCCTTATTTGAGGTTATTTTTTAAACTTTTTATTGATAGCTATTATTTAGAAAAAAAGTGTTAGTATTGAAAGACACAAAAATAAGGACACTATATTTGTTATATGAGCATATATTATCATCCTCATTTCTACTTCTACACCATATCCACCCCTTCATTTTTATAGAATCTCAACTCTTTAAAAGAACCTATTTTTATTTTTTCACTCTCAATTTGTCTCAGCTTTTAGCTGTTGTGTAGTAACAACATTTATAACTTGAGTATCTAGTTTACTCTCTTTTTGTCCATCAAAACTCGTGGACGTTTTGATTTTATTGCATAAACACATTTTCAACACAGTAATTTTTCCAGCCCTTTCTAAGTTCTAGAGCTAAGTTCTTTTCCTTCATCTTTTTCTTTTTTTCTTTTTTTTTTTTTAAGCTTTCCACACTCATGGTTGGTCAAATTCTAGTCAAACACTATCTAATAGTAATACAATACAACTACACTAAGTATAGAGTAGGTCACTTACACACTCATGCAGTATAAAGAAAAAGGTGAAATTAATTGGATTTGTATAATATATTTAAACCATTATGTTCAAAGTATTTTGGACATTGATAAACAGTCCTCAGCAGATAAATGGCATGACTTAACATTATGCACTGTTCATAGTCAAGATGTTAACAAAAAATATATATAGTGTATAAGCAACCTGGAAATTAGCAAAACCTGAGGAAATTGCAAGAATTACAAGTAGCATAAAATATATCTCAGCATCCTAATAAAAAGGTTTTTTGAAACAGTAATCAACTAAGTTACCGAAAAATTAAGAATGACACTTTTCTTGCACGAGAGGAATGAGATTATACCTAATACGCTATTAACAATAAAAACATTTATTTTAATAAAATTATTTTTGATAAGCCAGCAAAATTATAATTTGAAATAATTTTAATAAAATAATTATAGAATATGGCTGTCAAAAAGAGCTCATGATTTTAAAGAGATGACTTGAACCATGCAAATTATAACAAATAATATTATTGTTTTTCCATTGGTTACACTTTCACTTATGTTTTTCACACAGTGTCTAATCTAATATCATTTTTGGAAAGCTGCTGGTATGCTTACTACTGCTTTCTTCTTCTCTTAAAGTAATTAAAAACGACTTTGTTTTTCTGTTTTGATAATTTCAAAACTCTGTGTTACAACCATAATTTCTACATGTCCATTAGCAATTCCCTTTGTAACAAAAGTTATATGCTTTGTCTTTTAAACTAAAATTTATTTTATTTTCTGCCAAAAAATTTTACTAAATCAGAAAATAATATTCTATTTAAAAGAAACACAACTAAAAAGAGATGGTCAAAAACTGAAAGTTCTGGTTTATTCAAAGCTGTTGAACATCATGAGAAAACGTTGGAATTAAAATAAAATGGAATAAAATTAAATATAATACAGATGTAGAAATACAGATATCTCAATTTAAAAAAAAGTCCCTCTAGGCATATCTTCATTGTAGAATTAAAAATATAGACGTAAAATCTATATAAGTGTTTATATGTACATTTATCTCTATCCAAGACTGAAGAAAAAGGCAAATTCATGAGTGGGAAGAAAAAGGCAGACATCTTATCTGCAGCTCATTCTTCTACCTTTGAGGATGCTTGAGGAGAAAGAAAAATAAAAACATGATTTTGTCAAAATTATTTGTAAATATGCTAATCAATCATCTGATGGTCTCTAACAGAAAAATATAATAGAGATTCTTAATCTGTGAAATGTTTTTAGCATGGTCTGTCTGGGCTGCTTATGGTAAATGAACCTAGAATGTATGTATTTATGGGGTGTGGCCAGTTGTACAGTTGACTTGGTGCAAACTTGCTGTTGAGCATGAATAGTGTGCATTTCTTTTCTATTTAGAGTCCAATGACATCACATCAATTGTTCAAAATCATCCACAAGGCACTGACATGACAAAAAGTAGCTTACAGATCAAATCAGGGCTTTCATCTCTCCCTTCCTCCACCAGAGAGCAAAATGTTAAGCATTTTACAGCATATCATTTTCATCATCCCCCTTATATTTATTTTCATTATAAACAAAAAGCCCCTCCCTTCCCTTCCCTTCTCTTCCCCTCCCCTCCCCTCTCCTCCTCTTTCTCTTCCCTTCTCTTCCCTCCTCTCCTCTCCTCTCCCCTACCTTCCCCTCTCCTCTCTTTTCTTTCTTTTATTTTTTCTTTTCTTTCCTGACAGAGTCTTGCTCTGTTGCCTAGGCTAGAGTGCAGTGGCATGATCTCAGCTCACTGCAGCCTCTACCACCCGGGTTCAAGCAAGTCTCCTGCCTCAGCCTCCCAAGTAGCTGCAATTACAGGCTTTTGCCACCACACACAGCTAATTTTTTTTTTTTTTTTTTTTTTCTGTAGAGATGGTGTTTCACCATGTTGGCCAAGTTGGTCTTCAACTCCTGACCTCAAGTGATCTGCCTGCCTGGACCTCCGAAAGTGCTGGGATTACAGGCATGAGCCACCACCATGCCCAGCCAAAAAGCTCCATCTTTAAAGAGTTTCTCTCCTTTCTTTGTCTGATCTAAAATATGCATCTTTTGTTAGGTCGCTGCTTCTCATATAGTATCGTGAGCATTTGCTAATTTTAACATAGCCCATGCTCACTGGACGAGGCCTGCTAGAAAATGCCAGGTTTAGCTATGTAATTATTGAAGTATATAATGGAGATGCTTCACTGTGTAATTATTGGAGTATATAATTGGAGATGCTTCAAGATCAGTATTGTTCCCTTTCTGTAAAATAATTTTCACATGCATCACTGAGGGCTCTGTTGTTTTAAATACGAAGCAGGGAGCTTACCAAAAAAGAACCCAGGAATCTGTGTTGATGTTTCTCAGATTCTAGCATGACTTACCTGTGACACATGTTTACATGCATTTATTTCTTTCTTTTTGGATTTTAAGAACAGTCTGAAAATGGGCAGCATCTCAAATTCTTTGGGTCAAATTTGACAATCTGAATCAGTATATTCTCAACAAATAATGAAGAGTGAACACATTTAGTAGCATGGCTACTGCTTCTTCCACCCTGCAGTTCACTAATCTAAAAAATAAATACATTACATAAATCATAAACAAATTTAAAAAATATTTTTATAAAAAAGTTATTAAATTAAATAATAAAATTTTAAAAATGTAAAGTCCAAATAGGAGCAGGAATATGAGGATTTAATAAGAACTATAAAATGCTCAAAAAAATCAATAAAGAAATCGGTAAAGGCCTCTGGAAGTAGTAAGAATCATGAATTGGTGTTTGTGTGTGTAAAAGTGAGGACTGCAACATGGGGCAGAGGTGGTTGTGAAGCAATGCTGAAAAGACAAGTTAGGGAACACAAGTAAGCTGGATTTTTCCTCTCCAAGGCAAATATTGCCTCAACTTACACCGACAGCACAAGCCATCAGGAACTGTGGGACAAGATAAGGATATTGTGAAAGCACTGCTGAGGTGAGGACTGAATGCTACCAGGCAGGGGTTTACCCACTCACCATTGGGAATTAATTCCCAAAGTCTGTTTTCTTCCAAAATCACAAGCTTTTTGTCCAGGAATAAGTCTTTGACCAAAAGAGTTTCCTGATGGAGATGCAATAAAGGGAAATGGCTACAGGTTGGGACTTTGAGGATAGCTGAGTAAGGAGCCCAGCAGATCCTCTCTCGAACAGGCAAAAGAAAAAATGAACAATATTGTCAAAAACATAATTTAAAGACTGCAAAGTGACAAGGCAAATTTAGCAACACATCTTCAAAATATCTGCTAAATGTCAGAACAATTGTAGTGTGTACTCTGTTAATCACAGGCTACTCTCCCTGTTGCTTCCCTTCTCCACTGTGAAGAAATTCCACATGGCCAAGCAGAGCAGGAATAGCAGCTCCCTTGTCTGACTGCACAAGGTTGACTTTTGTTGGACCAAAATGCAAAGAAAATCCATGCTCAGATTTTAAAAGTCTCATCTAAGGCCACGTAGTCAGTTAGTGGACCAATCTGGCTGAAAGCTCTAAGAATTCTTGCACTTCAGAGGGTCTTAACAGCAAGCCATGCATTTTTTAAATTTTCACATTTGGTTCCCCAACCTGAATCTGCCTGATATCTCTCATTCCTCCTACTTTTTGGAATATTCCTAAATGCAAATCTTACCTATAATCTGTCTTTCATAGAATTTTATACCCAGATACTTTAGTTACATTGTAAAGAACCTCCCCCATCCTCATCATATGCAACATTTTTTACAAATAATTTGTCTCTCCGCTTCGCCTGAACTAAAATATTGGATCTCTTCTGAGATCACTCTTTCTTCTATGTCATCTATAGAAGGTTGCTAATTTTCCTGTAGCCCATGGCCCTAATGTCCCAAGGTGATATAGTGCTATCATTCATATGCTTTGTTCCCATTTCTAGGTTTATATCTTTAGGCAATAACATCTTCAATTGATTTTCATTAGCAGAATTTCCTAAACCTACAGAAATGAGTCCAAATTGACTGAAAATCTGGACTCTGGGTCACAATTTACTTTCTAGACATCATCCTAGATGACTTCTATATCTTCGTAGATGATCAAGTGAATACATTTGTTTCATAATCTCAATACCAAACTGACTTCTATGGCCTGTTTTCCTCACCTTCCTAGAATTTTCCCACCTTAGACAGCTCATTTGGTCATATCATAACCTAGAATTTGGTCGCACCATAATTGTATTAGTCTGTTTTCACACTGCTGAAAAAGGCATAACCAAGACTGGGAAGGAAAAGAGGTTTTAATTGGACTTACAGTTCCACATGACTGGGAGGCCTCTGAATCACGGTGCAAGGTGAAAGGCATGTCTTACATGGCAGTGGCAAGAGAAAATGAGGAAGAAGCAAAAGCAGAAACCCATGATAAAACCATCAAATCACGTAAGACTTATTCACTAGCACGAGAATAGCACAGGAAAGATCAGCTCCCATGATTCAATTACCTCTGCCTGAGTGCCTCCTACAACACATGGGAATTCTGGAAGATACAATTCAAGCTGAGATTTGGGTGGGGACACAGGCAAACCATATCAATAATTTTTTATATAATTTAAAAAACCTCCCCTAATCTTCATAATAAATTAACTTCTACTTTTCTCAATCCCTTATTTCTACCTCTGTTGTGCTTTGGCTTTCTTAAGCTTTTAAATATTCTCTTTCTTTCCTATGATACCCTTTTACTTTTAGCTTCTAGTCCCTTTTTCTTTCTTTCCTTTTTTTTCTTTCTTTTTTTTTTTTTTTCACAGAGTCTCGCTCTGTCTCCAGGCTGGATTGCAGTGGCGCAATCTCCGCTCACTACAACCTCCGCCTTCTGGGTTGAAGAGATTCTCCTGCCTCAGCCTCCCAAGTAGCTAGGACTACAGGCAAGTACCACCATGCCAAACTAATGTTTGTATTTTTAGTAGAGATGGGGTTTCACCATGTGGGCCAGGATGGTCTTGATCTCTTGACCTCATGATCCACCCACCTGGGCGTCCCAAAGTGTTGGGATTACAGGCGTGAGCCACCACGCCCAGCCAGTCCCTTTTTTTAACCAAAATGTTTTTTATTCAACCACAATTGCACTTAACCCATTTAACCACCTTATTTTTTTAAAACTGTTTCTATATTCGTAGAATTATACGTATTAATAGTTAGCCTTTTGCTAATCCTAACATTCATTTTTTTTTCCTGGTGTTTTTGGAGCCTAGATAATCATGATACAGTTTAAATTTGTGGTTTCTAGTCTCCAGTTGTTTATCAATCTTTCTTTGTACTATTTATTCTTTTTAAATAGTCTGATTTTTAATGTTTCTGGGTACACAATAGGTGTATACATTTATGGGGTAGATGAGATATTCTGATACAGGCATGCAATGTGAAATAATCACATCATGAAGAATGGAGTATCCATTCATCCCATCAAGCATTTATCATTTGTATAAAAAGCAATCTAATTGTACTCTTTTGGTTATTTTTAAATGTACAATTAAATTATCATTGACTATAGTCATGCTGTCATGTTATCAAATCGTATGTCTTATTCATTCTTTCTAAATATTAGCCATCTACACCTCTCCCTGCCAGCACCCCACTACCCTTCCCAGCCTCTAGTAACTATCCTTATACTTTATATGTCCATGAGTTTGTTTTGATTTTTAGATCCCACAATTAAGTGAGAAGATGTGATCTTTGTCTCTGTGCTGGACTTATTTCACTTAGCATAGTGACCTCCAGTTCCCTCCATGTTGTTGCAAATGACAGAATCTCATTTGAGTAGTACTCCATTGTGTATATGTACCACATTTTCTTTATTCATTCATCTGCTGATAGACACTTATATTGCTTCCAAATCTCAGTTATTGTGAACAGTGCTACAACAAACATGGGAGTACAAATATCTCTTTCATATACTGATTTTCTTTCTTTTGAGTACGTACCCAGCAGTGGAAATGCTAGATCATATGGTAGCTCAATTTTTAGTTTTCTGAGGAAGCTCCAAACTGTTTCCATAGTGATTGTGCTAATTTACCTTCTCACCAACAGTGTACAAGGGTTGACTTTTCTCCACATCCTCACCAGTACTTGTTATCGCCTGTCTTTTGGATGTAAATCATTTTACCAGGGGTGAGAGGATATCCCATTCTTAGATACATTTCTTAGAAATGCTTAGGATTTTCATTTCTCTGAAGATCAGTGGTGTTGATCACCTTTTCAGATGCCTGTTTGCATTTGTATGTCTTCTTTTGAGAAATATCTATTCAAATATTTTGCCTACTTTTTGATTGGATTATTAGATATTTTCCTATAGAGTTGTTTAAGCTCTTTACTCTAGTTATTAATCCCTCATCAGAGGGGTAGTTGTCTTTTCACTTTGATTATAATTTCCTTTGCTAGGCAAAAGCTTTTTAACTTGATGTGATCCCATTTGTCCATTTTTGCTTTGGTTGCCTGTGCTTGCAGGGTATTGTTCAAGAAATCTTTGCCCAGACTAATGTCCTGGAGAATTTCCCCGATGTTATCTTGTAGTAGTTTCACAGTTTGAAGTCTCAGATTTAAGTCTTTAATTGATTTTGATTTGATTTTTGTATAAGGTGAGAGATAAAGGTCTAGTTTCATTCTTCTGCATATGGAGATCCAGTTTTCCCAGTATCATTTATTGAAGAGACTTTCTTTTCCCCAATGTATGTTCTTGGAAACTTTATTGAAATGAGCTCCCTGTAAGTACGTGGATTTATTTCTGGGTTTTCTATTCTGTTTCATTGGTCTATGTTTGTTTATTTATTTATGTACTATTTTTTATCATTCCAGTACCATGCTGTTTTGGTTACTACAGCTCTGCAGTATAATTTGAAGTCAGGTAATGTGATTAGTCCAGTTTTGTTCTTTTTACTTAGGATATCTTTGGTTATGCTGAGTCTCTTATGGTTCCATATATATATTAGGATTTTTTTTCTATTTCTGTGCAGAATGTCATTGATCTTTTGATAGGGATTGCTTTGAATCTATATATTGCTTTGGGTAGTAGAGACATTTTAACAATATTTAATCTTCCAAACCATGAACATGAAATACCTTTCCATTTTTTGTTGTCCTCTTCAATTTTTTTTCCTCAGTACTTTATAGTTTTCCTTATAGGGATCTTTCACTTTTTTGGTTAGTTAATTCCTAGGTATCTAATTTTATTTGTGGTTATTGTAAGTAGGATTTAAAAAAAATTTTTTTCAGATTGCTCACTGTTGGCATTTAAAAATGCTACTGACGTTTGATTTTATATCCTGCAACTTTACTGACTTTTTAAAATTAGTTCTAATAGGTTTTGTGGGTATCTTTAGGTTTTTTCAAATGTAAGATCATGTCTACAAACAAGGATATTTTGACTTCTTCCATTTCAGTTTGGATGTCCTTTATTTCTTTCTCTTGACTGATTGCTCTAGTTAGGACTGCCAGTACTGTGTCGAATAACACAGGGGTAAAAATGGGTGTCTTTATCATGTTCTAGTTCTTAGAGGAAAGTCTTTCAGTTTTTTCCACATTCAGTGTGATTCTAGCTGTGGGTCTGTCATATATGGCTTTTAATTATGTTGAAGTATGTTCCTTCCATCTCCAGTTTTTTGGCAGTTTTATAATGAAGCAATGTTGAATTTTATCAAATGCTTTTTCAGCATCAATGGAAATGATCTCATGGTTTTACCCTTCATTCTGTTGATGTGATGCGTCACATTTAATGATTTATGTATGTTGAATCATCCTTGCATCCCAGGGAAAAATTTCTACCAATCTTTCTTTGTAACCCTTGAAAATGCCAATGGTCAATGTCATCTCATACTTCCTATGGGATCTCACTGAAATAATCATTACCAATCTTAACCCTAAGCACACTAACCTTTGTCTCAGCTTCTCTCAATCTTTGTCTCTGTCTCTCACAATCTGTCTTTATCTCCTTCCCTAAGAACCCAGGCCTCTTACTTCACAGAGAAAATGAATATTATAAAATAGCAACTCCCTTATGTTTCCATAATATAAAAAGAAAATACTTTGTACATATGTTCCCTTCCTGTAATCCTATATTAGAGTAGTAGGTTTCTTTCCTGTTTAACTTTAATCTGATCTATTCTAGTCTGGATCCTATTACATTTTATATTTTGGGGGAATCTATGTAATTAAATGTTTCCTTTCTCCAAATTCTGTATTTTTATATTTTCTCTCTTCACTATTTTCTTTAGCATACACTTGGCTCAACCCCTTCCCAGCTTACAAATATATACAAACAAACAATATAATCTGAGAAAACTACTCTCCCCTATCTAATTTGGGTTTCTTTTTAGGTGTCACTTTTTCTTTCCTTCATTCCACTATAATTTTCCTAGAGATAAAATATATACAAACTATCTTGCATTAATATTTTATAATAAAAATAGGAAAATTGATAATTTAATAACAAATAAAATATTTACAAAAGAGTCAATGATTTTCCTTAGGACTCAACTCATTAGTTTTTTGCATTTATTTAAACAACTATGGAGAATATATTATTCCTAGTGTCACACATAAATAATTTATACATTAACAATTTTCTTCTCAGTCTCACAGATACCCAGTTTCCCTTTGCTTCCAGAGCCTACATGGAAGGTCGTGATTGGTCTGGCCACTGTGATATGAAGGTAAGTAATGTGTGACATATTGGAGCTGAGGCAGTGAAGATGCCCGCATAATTATCCAGTCTCTGTTCTTTTTGTCAACATAATGGTAGAAGCCTTCTGTAGAGAATACGGAGCTGCAATATGAAGGCCAACAAGTTCACTGAGTCACTGCATGCAGTATAGATGTCCTTAAGAATTTCCTTGTCTTGCAGAGGATTTTGCATGTGTTAGGAACTAATTATTCTGCATAATCCAGGTTGACTGGCAGATTGTTGCCTCTCTTGGGGTTGATACCTTTTCTGAACCAGTATACTTCTCTTTTTGGTGATCTTTCTCTTTAGCCTCTGACACAATTGATTCCATTTGTATTTCTGAGGCGCTTTTCCCCTTGACTTCCATCATTGCCTTCTGGCCTGCTTCCTTGGATCAGCTCATTCTACACATCAGAATTTGTTGTTTATCATATGGACTTTATCTCCTGTTAACAATTTTATGTGAAATAGGATGTTTGGTTTAAATATAACAGACAACACATTTTAACTGGCATGAGCTACCAGTGGATGATAGTTCAGGTATGTTTCTCTTTTCTTAAAAAATTATTTATTTATTTTAAATTAAACAAAATTTTATTTATCATGTAAGACATGTTTTAATCAATATTTCTGTGGTAGTTTCTACACATAATTTAACTACACTCTTTGCTATATGCCCACTTTTGCCCTCCTGATAGTAAACTGACATCAGCTGTTACATACAGGTCCCATATGAAATTCTCAGAGGAAATGTGTATACTGGGATTTCCAGAGCAGGACTATGGCTGACCAATCCTTAGGGATATGAGGGGGTAGTAAGTTTGGTTATGTGGATCAATCATGGGTGCCAAAGGTAAAATATTTGCTCTTAATGACTTCTTTCAGCCAATATTCAAACAAATGTAATGGTGCTCTAAAGTGAAGGGAAGAAGTTTTGTAAGGAAGACCCTGAACGTTACTAGAAAAAGCAAAGAAGGTGAATAGACTGTGACATAGATGCATCCTGTACTTTAATTTGTGTTTTCTTTTTAATTAAGTGTAAACATAATTAACCTGAAGAAATAGATGTTACTCAAATTCAAGAAATTTTGCACTTCATAAAATAATTCTATAATAAATTTAGATTTATCTAAATTTATATTTTCTAATAAATGCTTTTAATTTTTGTTTATAAAATAAACATCAAAATTATAAAATAATTTTAAAATTATACTAGTATATATTTGATTCTGAAAAGTAGCACAGTTTTGATTACATCATCAATTCTGTCACGTCACACTGTTTTGATAGATTAAAAATGGGTAAAACTAATGTGACAAAGCAAAAAAAGATATCAATCTTAATATTTTAATAAGGAAACTTTTGAAGAGTTTAAGCCAAACATTGTTTAAATGAACTTTAAAGTTACAGTTTGTCTCAACATAAAGACAGACACCTATTCCTTATGCAAAGGGCCTTAACACAATGAAGAACAACTGAGGAGAGTATTTTTTCTTCTAACATATCAGAAATATTCACTTAGGTCTGTACATTATACTAATTAAACTTATATTTTTTAATTTCTTTCTCTATAAGGAATGCATTAAAATAATGGAAATGTATCTCAATATTATACCATAATAGGCCAGCAGTAAGTACTTCTTAAATAAATGAATCAATAATATTTTGCTTATTTATATTACAGTGCACACTATCTCAAGTATAAAGTAATTTTTACTTCAATTGTAATAAGAAAATAAGCTCTATAAAATGAGTTTTAGAATAATGTTGTTTATTGAGAATCATGTATAAGCATTATCATTAAAGAAAAAGCTATATATACTATTATTTTAATACTTTCCTGTTTGTGTTTGCATATCTGTGGGCATTATATTACAGACTTTCTCTTGAAGGCTTTGTGGTAACACATGAAAATGGAGAGAAATATAATTTTAAAACCCTCAGGTGATTTTAGAGGGAGTCTGCAGCATATTAAGTAATTATTGAAGATATAGGAAAAATAATATTAAAATATGTACATGCCAACAGGGATTTTTTTTACATAAACAGAATTTTGATAAGATATCTAAAATAAACAGTGGCTTTCTGTGTTCACAAACGTTATGTTTTTGGTGATATTAACAAGGCTAAAATAATCTGTTTAATGAAGAAAGTTTACATATTGCAATGGCAACAGAATTCATTTTAAATTTAAGGAGAACATATGGGAAAGAATTTAGTTTTCTGTACATACTCTCATTTCTTTTCAGTTATCAAATCCAAATGTTGCTTTTTTCATTTAATGTAGGAAACTGACTGGATTCTGTTCTCTTTGTCATGAATAAGTAATTGCGCTTATCTGCCATGGGATTTTTTAACTAAATAGACCAAGAGTTTTCTGCGGGAGTTCTTTAATATATTTTCTATAGGCATGTAATTTAACATCAGCCAATATCAAGTAATCAAATTTCTAGAAATTGATCTCAAAAATAATGTTGAATATTTACTTAGAAAAGAGAAACAGGATTTCTACACATATAAAGCACAGCTGAAAATAGAGGTCAGCATTTTTTGATGTATAGTGTACATAAGCTGCTCAATATATAAATAAATCAATTTTGAAAAGCAAAAAATACCCTAAATATATCAAGCTTAATTCATGTTATCAGAAATCTACAATGGTTGTATGCTGTCAAAACAGTGGCTCTGAAGAAAATTATGAAAATCACCTAGATTAAACACGTACAAAGTGTATTAAAAAGGCAGTATGTGCTATTTTGGTGTACTGATTATATACACAATAACAGAGAAATAAAAGTTACAGTATTTGAAGCTGTTTTTATAGAAGAGGTAGTACTGGAATTAATTCTGGATGAGCGATTAGAATACCCATAGGCAGAGTGTTTGGACAAATATTCTGCTATTTTTTGAGTAAATTATTTTTTGAAGGAAATGAGCATATTAGTAAGACTAAGACGGGAGATCAGGAATGTATTCATTTACTCTTTCAACAAATATTTATGCTTAAAAGAGAAGATGCACAATATATAATCCTTGTGGATGGTTAAAAAGAATAAAAAGAAAAAATGCTTCCTGGTTGCTATATAGTATGAAATGGAGGAAAGAAAATTATTGGAATCGAGCAAGTATATAATATTGGACAGGGGTCAGTAAAAATGCCCTGTGGGCCAAATTTGAACCACCACGTTTTCATAAAGTTTTATTTGATCACAGCCATACTCGTAGGTATGTATTTTCTGTGACTGCTTTCATATAACAATGGCAGAGTTGAGTAGTTTTGACAAAGTCCACATGGTTGACAAAGTCTAATTTTTTTTTTTTTTAAATCTCATCCATGCCAGAAACAGTTTGCCAACTAGTAGAATAAAATATATACAGTTTGGAGCAAGCCAAAATTATGGGTGCCTTAGTGGCAATCCAAAGAATACTAATTTCAATCCCTGGATTGGTAGACCACAGAAAGCTGTTAATGAATGTATTAATCTCTTGTGGCTGCAGTAACCAATTACCACAAATTTGGTGGCTTAAAAAGACAGAAATATATTTTCTCAGTTCCGGAGGCAAAATGTCTGAAATCAGTATCAGTGGGCCAAAATCAAGGTTTTCCAAATTCTGCTCCCTCTAGAGGAGAATCCATTCCTTGCTTCTTTCAGCTGCTGATGGCTGTCTGCACACATTGGTCTAGGTCACATCACTACAATTTTCAAGGTCAGTATCTTCAAATATCTTTCTGCTTAGTCTTCACATTACCTATTCCTGTGTATGTTCATGTGCATGTAAAATCTCTCTCTGCATTCCTTCTTATAAAGGATACATGTGGTAGAAGTCAGGGCCCACATGGATAATCAAGGATAATCTCCCTATCTGAAGACCTTTAACTTAATCATATCTGCAAAACTTTTCCAAATGAGGTAGCATTCCTAGCTTCCAGGGGTTAAAACGGATCTCTTTTTTGAGCGGAGAGGGGATGGGCATTGGCTATTGTCTGAAATAGGATTTTGAAAGTATGAAGAAAAAGAGAGAGAAAGATTTGGAACTGTGAAGAAAAAATAGTGTGATAGTTTCTGTTATTATCTTTTAAGACTCACAAACAGGCCAGGCGCAGTGGCTCACGCTTGTAATCCCAGCACTTTGGGAGGCCGAGGCGGGCGGATCACGAGGTCAGGAGATCTAGACCACGGTGAAACCCCGTCTCTACTAAAAATACAAAAAAAAAAAAAAAAATTAGCCGGGTGTGGTGGCGGGCGCCTGTAGTCCCAGCTACTCGAAGAGGCGGAGGCAGGAGAATGGCGTGAACTCGGGAGGCGGAGCTTGCAGTGAGCCGAGATTGCGCCACTGCACTCCAGCCTGGGCGACAGAGACTCCGTCCCAACAAAAAAAAAAAAAAAAAAAAAAAGGCTTACAAATAGCACTCAAGTAATTTACTGAATCCAGGGATTCTCTACTCATTGTCTTGCCATTGTTTTCCTAATCTTAATAATTACTTTATAAATAATAACCACTGTATAAATAAAAATATTACTGATGTAAGTAAATTGTACAGGGAAAAATTATGGAAAGAAAAAGAAACAAAAAAGATTGAGATCCATTATTTTCATCTAATCTTTACTATATCAGAATGATATAGATGGTTAGACATTATTATATGCACCTCTCAGAAGAGGGATCTATGGCTTGGAGACCTTAAATGATGTTCTTCTGGTTCTTAACTCAAGATACAAGTTTTCTATTTTAGAAACAAATATTTGATGGTGCTCTAAAATGCATGCACTGTGATGTTTCTCTTTCTGGTCAATTTCAATATTCCCAGCTCCTAACACAGATTAGTCCTACAGTAAGTAGTTAATTATCTAACCAAA
Source organism: Homo sapiens (assembly GCF_000001405.40). NCBI lineage: Eukaryota > Metazoa > Chordata > Mammalia > Primates > Hominidae > Homo > Homo sapiens. The sequence goes on from NC_000001.11 coordinate 195,610,267, forward strand.
GGAGTTAAGGACTCTACTCACCTGGACAAGATTCTGGACTTCAAATTGATACTGTTACAGATAAGATATTTGGGAACTTTGGAGGAGATGAGTGTATTTTGCATGTGGGAAGAACATGACACATCGTGAGCCAATGGACAAACTGTAGTAGCTGGCCTCCATAATGACCTCTGGGTTCACTTGTCTGTTTTCACACCCTTGCATGCTTACCTCCCATATTGTACCAGGTTGCTCTGCATGAACAACAATAATATGTAACAGAATTTATTTTTTAAAAAATTTCAACTTCTATTTTAAATTCAGAGGGCACCTGTTCAGGTTTGGTACAAAGGAATATTGGATGATGCTGAGGTTTGGGGATACAAATTGAACCCATCACTCAGGTAGTGAGCATAGTACCTAATTTGTAGTTTTTCAGCCCTTGATCCTCTCCCTGCCTCCTCTCTCCTGTAGTTCTCAGTGTCTATTGTTCCCATCTATATGTCCATGTGTATCCAATGTTAAGCTCCCAATTAAAAGTGAGAACATACAGTATTTGGTTTCTGTTTCTGCATTAATTCACTAGGATAATGGCCTCCAGATGCATGCATGTTGAATTAATATTATGTCACTTCCAAGATTAAGTTGTTAAAAACTGTGACTTCCATCTTGTGTTCTGTATTCCTCAGGTCACTCACTCTGGGCAGTATGAGCTGCCATGTTTTGAGCAACCCTATGAAAAGGCCCACCTGGCAGGGAACTGAGGCCCCAGGCCAACAGCCAGCAAGAAACTGAGGCCTGCCAGCAACCATGTGAATGGTCCTGGAAGTGGAATTCTTCATCCCCAGTTGACTTTTCAGATGTCTGTAGCCCTGGCTGACAGCCTAACTGCCACCCAACAAGACTCCACATATAGGACTCTGGTTTCCAGATATACAGAAAACGCTGAGTGAGATGATAAATGTTTGTTGTTTTTAAGATGCCAAGGTTTAGTATATTTTTATGTAGTAACAGATAATATAGATACACATACACTCATACATACACATATACTAACACGAAATTTTTAACGAACCAAGTTCTGTTTAAAAATTATGGAAGACAGTGTGGCGATTCCTCAAGGATCTAGAGATACCATCTGACCCAGCCATCCCATTACTGGGTATATACCCAAAGGATTATAAATCATGCTGCTATAAAGACACATGCACCCATATGTTTATTGTGGCACTATTCACAATAGCAAAGACTTGGAACCAACCCAAATGTCCATCAATGATAGACTAGATTAAGAAAATGTGGCACATATACACCATGGAATACTATGCAGCCATAAAAAAGGATGAGTTCATGTCCTTTGTAGGGACACGGATGAAACTGGAAATCATCATTCTGAGCAAACTATCACAAGAACAGAAAACCAAACACCGCACATTCTCACTCATAGGTGGGAATTGAACAATGAGAACACTTGGACACAGGAAGGAGAACATCACACACCGGGGCCTGTTGTGGGGTTGGGGGAGTGGGGAGGGATAGTATTAGGAGATAAACCTAATGTAAATGACCAGTTAATGGGTGCAGCACACCAACATGGCACATGTATACATATATAACAAACTTGCACATTGTGCACATGTACCCTAGAACTTAAAGTAAAATAAAAAAAGAAAAATAAAGAAAAATAAAAATTACATTAAAATAAGCATGCATAAAAGGATAGTTCAGAAAGGATAATGAAGAATTCCTAATCTTCCTTAATATTTAAACATATAACAAAATCATAACATTTAGAATAGAGTGATTCTAGTGCATGAATACAAAGATAAAACAATGGAAAGAAGGAAGGCAAATTTAAAAACACAGCGAACTTGATGTTTTCAATGATTGGGGAAATACAGATTTTTTAACAGATCGTATTGCTATGTCTCACTAAAAAATTGAGTAAAGAATTAAATTTCATTTTTACCAAACATCTGACCAAATTCATTCATATCAAAGATCCACTGTAGAAAATTAAATTGGACTAACTTTTGAGAACACAAGAAGAGGGACTGCTTTTGTTTTCCTATTTTTTTCTGTTTTTATAGATGTAAGGGGTACAAGTGCAGTTTTGTTACACAATATATTGCATAATGGTGAAGTATGGGCTGTTTTTAGTGCTCCCATTGCCCGAATTGTCTACATGCCCAGTGATTTCTCATTCCTCGCTCCTCTCCTATACCTGGGCCTCCAGCATCTATTATTACACTATCTCTGTTCATGTCTACATATTATTTAACTCTTGCTTATCAGTGAGAACAAGCGGTACTTGACTTTCTGTTTATGAATTATTTTACTTAAATAATGGCCTCTGGGTTCATCCACATTGCCGTAAAAACATTACATCGTTCTTATGTCTGAGTAGTATTTTGTGGGATATATATATATATATATATATACATATATATAATATTTTCTTCATCCAGTCATCCATTGATGGGCACCTAGGTTGATTCTATGTCTTTGCTATTGTGAATAGTGCGGCAACAAACATATGAGTGCAGGTATCTTTCTAGAATAATGGTTTCTTTTAATTTGGGTAGATAGCCAGTAGAGGAATTGCAGTGTCTAAAGGTAGTTCTATTTTTAGTTCTTTGAAAAATCTTCATAATGTTTTCCATAGAGGTTTACTAATTTACACTCTCATGAACAGTGTTATAAGCTTTCCTTTTCTCTGCATCCTCTCCAACATCTTTTGTTTTTTGACTTTTTAATAATCGCCATTCTGACTGGTGTAAGAGACATTTTGATGGTAAAAGTACTTTGAAAAATAATTGAAAACTGAGAAACCAAAGAAATTTTAGACAGTAAAATTTTTTTGTTATTTTCACATTTCTAGGATTGAAATTAATGAAAATTTAATGAGTGGTAATTAAGAAGGCCTACTGAAACTAGAGTATAGCTTTTTATCTAAAAATTCCATAGTTTGCTTATTTCCTACAGATATAATTGAATGTCTGCATAATATATGCATAAATTTATAGAAAGTTTCTTTTCTAAAAAAAATCAGAAGCAATATGACTAGCTACATGAATCACATGACATCCATAAGAACACTTCCATAGCCATATAGAATAATAAAGAAGCTACATATGTTCTAGTTTAGAAAAATCTACAAGAGAGAGCATTAAAAACAAAAAAGTTTAGAACAATATGTATACTCTAGTACAACTTGTTCGAAACAAAATAAACAACAATTATATGTGTTAATATCTATAACCATGTAAGGCATGAAATTGAGTTCAAAGGATAGAGGCAAAGTCAGATCAGCAGCTGTCTCTTGAGAATGAAATAGAGTATTTAGAGATAAACTTCAAAAGAAATATATTTTGGTAGTATATTATATTATAAATATATTTGGAAATAAATTTTGAGTTTTGTAACATGAGCATTATTATCTATTAGTATTAAATAAATATTTTTGGTTTTATTTTTTTGAGACAGGGTCTCACTCTGTAGACCAGGCTGGAGTTTAGTGGAGTTTGGTGGCACCATCTCATCTCACTGCAGCCTCAACCTCCCACCTCAGCCTCCCAAATAGCTGTGACTACCCACACAGCACGCCACCACACCAGGCTAATTTTTGTACTTTTTGTAGAGACAGGGTTTTGCCATGTTGCCCAGGCTGGTCTGGAACTCCTGGGCTCAAGCAATCTGCCTGCCTCTGTGGCCTCCCAAAGTTACAGGCCTGCGCCATCGTGCCATGCCCATAAATATTTTATTTTTATTTTTATTTTTTTTAATTTTATTATTATAATACTTTAAGTTTTAGGGTACATGTGCACAACGTGCAGGTTTGTTACATATGTATACATGTGCCATGTTGGTGTGCTGCACCCATTAACTCGTCATTTAGCATTAGGTATATCTCCTAATGCTATCCTTCCCCCCTCCCCTCACCCAACAACAGTCCTCGGTGTGTGATGTTCCCCTTCCTGTGCCCATGTGTTCTCATTGTTCAATTCCCACCTATAAGTGAGAATATGCGCTGTTTGGTTTTTTGTCCTTGTGATAGTTTGCTGAGAATGATGGTTTCCAGTTTCATCCATGTCCCTACAAAGGACATGAACTCATCATTTTTTATGGCTGCATAGTATTCCATGGTGTATATATGCCACATTTTCTTAATCCAGTCTATCATTGTTGGACATTTAGGTTGGTTCCAAGTCTTTGCTATTGTGAATAGTGACGCTATAAACATACGTGTGCATGCGTCTTCACAGCAGCATGATTTATAATCCTTTGGGTATATAGCCAGTAATGAGATGGCTGGGTCAAATGGTATTTCTAGTTCTAGATCCCTGAGGAATTGCCACACTGACTTCCACAATGGTTGAACTAGTTTACAGTCCCACCAACAGTGTAAAAGTGTTCCAATTTCTCCACATCCTCTCCAGCACCTGTTGTTTCCTGACTTTTTAATTATCGCCATTCTAACTGGTGTGAGATGGTATCTCATTGTGGTTTTGAATTGCATTTCTCTGATGGCCAGTGATGATGAGCATTTTTTCATGTGTTTTTTTGGCTGCATAAATGTCTTCTTTTGAGAAGTGTCTGTTCATATCCTTTGCCCACTTTTTGATGGGGTTGTTTGTTTTTTTCTTGTAAATGTGTTTGAGTTCATTGTAGATTCTGGATATTAGCCCTTTGTCAGATGAGTAGGTTGTGAAAATTTTCTCCAATTTTGTAGGTTGCCTATTCACTCTGATGGTAGTTTCTTTTGCCGTGCAGAAGCTCTTTAGTTGAATTAGATCCCATTTGTCAATTTTGGCTTTTGTTGCCATTGCTTTTGCTGTTTTAGACATAAAGTCCTTGCCCATGCCTATGTCCTGAATGGTATTGCCTAGGTTTTCTTCTAGGATTTTTATGGTTTTAGGTCTAACATGTAAGTCTTTAATCCATCTTGAATTAATTTTTGTATAAGGCGTAAGGAAGGGATCCAGTTTCAGCTTTCTACATATGGCTAGCCAGTTTTCCCAGCACCATTTATTAAATAGGGAATCCTTTCCCCATTGCTTGTTTTTGTCAGGTTTGTCAAAGATCAGATAGTTGTAGATATGCGACATTATTTCTGAGGGCTCTGTTCTGTTCCATTGGTCTATATCTCTGTTTTGGTACCAGTACCATGCTGTTTTGGTTACTGTAGCCTTGTAGTATAGTTTGAAGTCAGGTAGCGTGATGCCTCCAGCTTTGTTCTTTTGGCTTAGGAAAATATTTTAAAGTAAAAATAGAACATGCAGAGTTTGAATATAGTGTATCAAATGTATTTAATGTTCAACTGCTAAACAAGAAAGTGTGTTTTTTATTGTTGTTGTTGTTGTTGTTGAGTCAGGGTCTGGTTCTGTCACCCAGGCTGAAGTGCAGTGCTACAATCTGGTTTCACTGCAATCCCCCTGTCTCCCCTCAAGTTCAAGTGATCCTCCAACCTCAGCCTCTGGAGTAGCTGGGACTACAGGCGTCGCCCCACCAGGCCTCGCTAATCTTTATTGATTACTAGAGATGGGATCTCCCCATGTTTCTCAGGCTGGTCTCGAACTCCTGGGGTCAAGCTATCTACCCGCCTCCACCTCCCAGGCATGAGCCACCTCCTTCAGCCTTGGTTTCATATTTTAAAAAAGTCTTTCTTGGCTGGGTGTGGCAGTCATGACAACAGGCCTGAAGTCCCAGATACTTGTGAGGCTGAGACAAGATTGCCTGAGCCCAGGAGTGCAAGGCCAACCTGGGCAACATGGTGAGGCCCCATTTCTTAACAAACACTAATTAAAAAAATTTAAGATCTGTAACATAAGACTATATATTTAGATAACTATTAAAATGCAGAGTCATGTGATGAATAATTCTTTTCAGTACAAGAGAGACTCAGGACGTGGCTCATAAAGCGTAGTTTTTCACATAAAAAGTAAAATTGCCAAAATTAGTATAATTTTTAATTTTTAAAAAAGAAAAAAATAGTAACTATTATGGTTACTTATTATTTTACTTATTATAGATGAGGTCTGTCTATGTTGTCCTGGCTGGACCTGAACTCCTGATCTGAAACTATCCTCTCACCTTAGCCTCCAGAGTAGCTGGGACTGCAAGCAAGCACCATCGTACCCCAAAATTACTTATTAATGAGAAAAAAAGGTATTTGCTTGTAATTATACTTTGAGAAGTTACATGTTAACACTTCAGTGAGAAAAAGTGTCAAAAAGAAATCAAATGAGAGAAATAAGTAGCTGAAATGAAAATTTACTCTTTAAACATGGCTGTCAGCCTACATTATTTAATGCCATCACAGTACATTATAATCCACAGAGATGTTAATTAATATGAACATTTTTAATGCGTGCCTTTTAAACTGAGCATTTTTAAAACACATTCTATCAACTTCAGTTTTAGACATGTCACTAATTCATTTTATGTATTTGACAGTAGAGCAATTTAATAAAATTTTTCGAAAATACATTCTATACGTTTGCTTCCTGGAAGCCCAAAAATGGAGGAAATTTTAAAAATGAGTGGTTATAGCTATTTAAGAAAATCTAAAGGTATTAAAAAGAGCATCTTCAGGAATACTTTCGTTTGAAACACTATTAAAGATTCCACAGGAATTATGTGAGAAATTTAGCAGAATGTCAAATGATGGAAGCCTTAAAGCACGTTAGAGAGATTTCATTCCTAGCACTACCTACAATAGTTGTAAAATGAATTATAAAATTCTACTCTACAATTTTTTCAGCAAATTTTTAAAAAAGATGAATAATATGTACAATTTACAGAGAAAAATATGACTATGAAATTAATATATCATGAAATGACATGTACAGGCAAATTGCATTGATAAGTATTTTTATAGAGGAGCTAATATTCTCCACCTTTTTCATTAGTATTTCAATTCCTCACATTCTTTGCATTCTCCGTTTTTTTGTAGACATCCTTTGCATAGTCTTTTCATTCATGTATCTTTTAACTACAAAGAAGAAAAAAGTGAGTTCATAATATAGCTATTCTCCTGGCTCCTTTCACCATAGTTCCAAAGAGCTAATTGAGTGTGACACCCCTTTTCTGCTTGGAAGAAACTGCCTGCTGTCAGCATGATTTCACTTCTTATAAAATTGTCATTGCAGTTTCACCTGTCTCCTTCAGGAAGGATGCCCTGTCTTAAAGAGGAAGAAGCTAGAAAATCTCTTTGATAAGAAATTAAAAGATTTCTGGCCTCTCGTTGAATATGTGAGCCCTGGCATGATTATTTTAAACTATATACCTTAGAACACTAACTGAAGAGTTCATAATATTATATATAAATATTCCATACAGTAAGTCAGTGTTCTCAAATGTGTTTCTCAGACCAGCAAAATAAGCAGCAGCAGGGGCTTGTTAGAAATTGAAACTACGGGGTTCTACCCCAGACAAACTAAACTAGAAATTATGGGCATGGAATCCAGCAATCAGTATATAATAAACTCTCCAAGTGATTCTGATTAATGCACAAGTGTGAAGAAATAAGCTTAATAAAAATAGCCAGGGATAGTAGGAAATACCTGAGTTCTAGAATAGGAAGTACCTAATTGTGAATACTTGCTCTTCCAGAGGAAGCAGTGGAAGATAATTGTTTAATATCGTGGCCTATCAATTGCATTGAAATTGTGTCTCCAGCAATTACAAACTCTAAGAGCTTATGCAAGATACTTAATAATTTGTTTATAATTTCTATTCTCTGTAAATAAGTGATAATGTTAGTGTTTAATGGCTATTTAGTAAGAACTTAATATATACTATATTTTGTTTGCCATATTATTGATTTTATATATTTTCATAGGCAAAATGCTTAATTTTCTGAGCATCAGTCTCTAATTCAAAAAAGTTGGAAAAATTATGTTTGCCTTGTAAGACTATTATACAAACCAAATATGAAAATGTGTAGTATGAAATTTAGCACTGTACTTCAGGATACGCTAAGTAACCAATCCAAGATACCTTTGTATTTGTTTGAAATGATAATCATTTAACTAAGTTTTCACCATTTAATGCTTTTATTGCTAAACATTAATTTCAGTACTTTCTTCACATTTTCTCTTGCTTAAAGTCAGTTTCTATTTGACATTCTTCAGTAGGCTGTATAACTCGTCTTTCAAAATGAATATTTCCTAAGCTGAACTCTTGATTTGCATACTATTTCTCATCCACCAGCCGAAATTGCTGCTCTCACAAACTATTCAAGATCAGTAAATGTCAATTTCTTCTACTCGCTCAGGCCAGACCTTTGAGTCATCCTTGATTTTTCTCTCTCTCTTTTCACTTCATATGTAATCTTTCAAAACTTCCTCTTTTTCTGGTTCCAAATATATATCCAGAACCAGAACATACCTCACTTCTTCCTCCACTTCCACTGTGCCTTGATCACCATTCTCCCTCACATGTTTGTTGAGTAGCCACCTGACTCATGTCTGTGTTTCATCTCCTGCTCTACCTTTATTTTCCAACAGAAGCCAGAGGGATGCTTTTAATAAGTAACTCATCCTCTATCTCTTCTCTCCTTAAACACCAACTACTCTCCATCACACTCAAAGAAAGAGTCAATGTGTCCTAAATCAGTGCTTCTTAAACTATCTGTGGGACAAAAGATAATTTTCCCCCTAGCTTTCATAGACCAATGCTATTGTAAAGATAGATAGATAGATGATAGATAGATAGATAATAGATAGATAGATAGATAGATAGATAGATAGATAGATAAAATATTAATGGAAAAGTTTAAGCCATGCAAATTTAAGTTTAGTGATCACATGCTCGGATGTTATGGTAATATCAAATAGCTATAAAAGTGTTTAAACACATCCCTTCAGTGTCTCTATTTATCTTGGCAACTGATATATGGATCAGTTTTTGAACAGCCCTCTAGCCAGTTGTCTGTCCATACATATTTAATTCTTTGGCCTCATCTACAATTTTGCCCCTTGTTCAATCTGCGAACTGTGCTACTTGTAGGCATGTTTGTCCTCAAGATTTTGCCTTTGTTGATGTTTCTACTTGCACAGTTTTTTTTTCCCCCTGAAAACTAAACATGCAGATCCTCACTTTTTCCACTCAAATATCAACTTCTCGTTGAATCCTTTTCTAAGTGCCTTTCTTAAAGTGTGCTATCCCACACATTCCTTTTCTGTTTTGTTTCCTCGTTTATACTTATCATTATGTACCACATATCAGGTATTTTACTTAATTATGTTAGCTACTGTCTGTCTTCCCAACCAGAATGCAAGCTCCATAAAGAGAAAGCTCATTGATTTTCCTGTGTAATTTCCTGAATGCAAAATACTCGCCAAGGAATGTACTGATTCTAAATTATTTGAATTAAGATACTAAAAGAGATGGTTTAAATTCAATAGAAAGTCTTGAGGAAATGGTAACCCAGACTAGATTTCAGTCGAGATGCAATTTCTAGTTTTAATTGAAGTTGAACATGTCACATACATTTTGTTTGCTCACAATTGAATTTATTTAGCATTTCATCAGGGAATCACAACAGCCATATAACACTGGTCTGATATTCCAGTATTTGCCAGGTTAAAAATTACACACACACAAAAACAAGGCTAAACTCCTGAACCTAACAGTGCTTTTACTCTTCAATACCTCCTGCTCTACCTAGGCAATACCATTTAGGACATAGGCATGGGCAAAGGCTTCATGACTAAAACACCAAAAGCAATGGCAACAAAAGCCAAAATAGACAAATAGGATCTAATTAAACTAAAGAGCTTCTGCACAGCAAAAGAAACTATCATCAGAGAGAATAGGCAACCTACAGAATTGGATAAATTTTTGCGATCTATCCATCTGAGAAAGGGCTAATATGCAGAATCTACAAATAACTTAAACTAATTTACAAGAAAAAAACAACCCCATCAAAAAGTGGATGAAGTATATGAACAGACACTTCTCAAAAGGAGGCAGTTATGCAGCCAACAAACATATGAAGAAAAGCTCATCATTACTGGTCATTAGAGAAATGCAAATCAAAACCACAATGAGATACCGTCTCATGCCAGTTAGAATGGTAATCATTAAAAAGTCAGGAAACAACAGGTGCTGGAGAGGATGTGGAGAAGTAGCAACACTTTTACACCGTTGGTGGTAGTGTAAATTAGTTCAGCCATTGTGGAAGACAGTGTGGTGATTCCTCAAGGATCAAGAACCAGAAATACCATTTGACCCAGCAATCCCATTACTGGGTATGTACCCAAAGGATTATAAATCATTCTACCATAAAGACACATGCACACGTATGTTTATTGTGGCACTGTTCACAATAGCAAAGACTTGGAACCAACCCAAATGCCCATCAGTGATGGACTGGATAAAGAAAATGTGGCACATATACACCATGGAATACTATGCAGCCATAAAAAAGGATGAGTTCATGTCCTTCGCAGGGACATGGATGAAGCTTGAAACCATCATTCTCAGCAAACTAACACAAGAACGGAAAACCAAACACCAAATGTTCTCACTCATAAGTGGGAATTGAACAATGTGAACACATGGACACAGGGAGGGGAACATCACACACTGGGGCCTCTCAGGGGGTGGGAGCCTGGGGGTGAATAGCATTAGGGGAAATACCTAATGTAGATAATAGGTTGATGGGTGCAGCAAACCACCATGGCACATATATACCTATGTACCAAACCTGCACATTCTGCACATATACCCCAGAACTTAAAGTATAATTAAAAAAAAAAAGACTCAGGTATGTTCCAAATACTTTTTAAACATGTATTCTTAGTTCTCTATAACATTATCAAGTCACATATATATACACATATACATATGTATTATGTACATATATATACATATACATATGTATTATGTACATAATACATATACATATACATACACATACACATACATATATATATATATGCATGCCATGGAATACTATGCAGCCATATAAAAGAATGAGATCTTGTTCTTTGCAGGGACATGGATGGATCTAGAGGCCATTATACTTAGCAATCCAATACAAGGGCAGAAAACCAAATATGGCCATGGAATATTATGCAGCCATATAAAAGAATGAGATCATGTTCTTTGCATATATATATATACACACACACACACACACACATATATGTATAAAATCACATATATATATAAAATCACATATACACATAAAATCACACATATATTTTATATATATATATATATAATGTTTTATTTACCAGTCTACCATTGATGGGCGTTTAGTTTGATTCCATGTCTTCATTATTGTGAATCCTGCTGCACTGAACATATACATGCATGTGTCTTTATGACAGAACTATTTATATTCCTTTAGGTATATACCCAGTAAGGGGATTGCTGGGTCAAATAGTAGTCCTGTTTTTAGGTCTTTGAGGAATTTCTGCACTGTTTTCCACAATGTTTGAACCAATTTACACTCCCATCAACAGTGTAACCATTCCTTTTTCTCTGCAATCTCACCAACATGTGTTATTTTTTTACTTTATAATACTTTTTGATATTTCTACAACTTTTAAGTATCCCTAAAACATATTTCCTTCTTTTCAGACCAATATCTCATTGGTTAATAAATATTAATCTTATAATAACAATAAAATACAACTAACATAAGGTTGAAAAAATGCAAATGAGTATTTCCCAAAACATCATCAGTTTTGGGAAGTGTGCCAAGATATTAAAGAGTGGCCTATTGGCCATAAATAATCAGCATCCAATGAGAACCAGCAGCTGTATTTTACAATGGAAATGGATACCTTTGCTTAATTATTCAGTTATTTAAAGGAATTTTATGAAGAGTACATCTGCAGTACAGATGAACAAGTCTATATTTGTGTTAATCTCAGTTATTAAGCTAAACATTAGTGATAAGATCTTAGAAGTGGACAGGTCTATTTTGAGTATGCATTACATTGTACCATTTGTACCATTTCTGTAAAGTAGCAGAGCAGATTTCACTGTGGTGGTGATGCAAACGATTATTAACTTTCATAAGGGTTTATGTAGAGCCATATTTTATATATTAAATATATTTTTTATTATTTATTCACACACTATAAAAGGATCTCATTTACAATAATTTGAGTCTTTTATTTTGATACAAGGTGGGTATTTACAATTAAATTAACACAGGTATACCAATTTAGATATGTATGAAAGAAAACAGGTTATTTTATCTCATTTACTAATTCACTACACCTTGTGCAAATTAAAGTGTATGTGTATTTTCTGGTAGACACTAATGAACACTGAAGAAATGTCAGTTACAGGGCAGAAGTAAGGGTGGTTGGTAAAGAGCTTAAAATAATTAGAAGTTAACAGTCATATTATCTTCTTAAGGTTTTTGATGTGGTTTGGCTGTGTCCCCACCCAAATCTCATCTTGAATTGCAACTCCCACAATTCCCATGTGTTGTAGGAGGAACCTGGTGGGAGATGATTGAATTTTGGGAGTGGATCTTTTCTGTGCAGTTCTTGTGATAGCCAATGAGTCTCACCAGATCTGATGGTTTTAAAAAGTGGAGTTTCCCTGCACAACCTCTCTTCTTTTCTTGTCTGCCATCACGTGAGACGTGCCTCAGGTATGTCTTTATCAGCGTCATAAAAACAGGCTATTACAGTAAATTAGTACCAGTAGGAAAAGGTGTTAATGAAAAAGCATCCAAAAATATGGAAGTGACTTTGGAACTGGGTAACAGACAGGAGTTGAAACAGTTTGGAGGACTCAGAAGAAGATAGGAAAATGTGGGAAAGTTTGGTACTTCCTAGAGACTTGTTGAATGACTTTGAGAAATTGTTGATAGTGATATGAGCAATAATGTCCAGGCTGAGGTGGTCTCTGATGGAGAAGAGGAACTTGTTGGGAACTGAAGCAAAGTCTTGTTGTTTCAGCAAAGAGACTGGTGGTATTTTGCCCCTGCCCTAGAGATTTGTGGAACTTTGAACTTGAGAGAGATGATTTAGGATATCTGGCAGAAGATATCCTATTCAAAGCTAATCATTCAAGAGATGACTTGGGTGCTCTTAAAGGCATTCAGTTTTAAAAGAGAAACAGAGCATAAAAGTTTGGAAAACTTGCACCCTGACAAATGAAAAGAAAAATCTCATTTTCTGAGGTGAAATCCAAGCCAGCTGCAGAAATTTGCATAAGTAACAAGGAGCCAAACATTAATCGCTAAGACAATGGGAAAAATGTCTCCAGGGAATGTCAGAGGTCTTCATGTCAACCCCTCCCATCGCAAGTCACAGACCTAGAAGGAAAAAGTGGCTTACAGGGTCCCCGTGCTATGTGCAGCCAAGGGACTTGGTGCCCTGCATCCCAGTTGCTCCAACCATGGTTGAAAGAGGCCAACGTGGAGCTCAGACCGTGGCTTCAGAGGGTGCAAGCCCCAGTATTTTGCAGCTTCCACATGGTCTTGAGCCTGCAAGTGCATAGGAGTCAAGAATTGGGGTTTGGGAACCCCCACCTAGTTTTCAGAAGATGTATGGAAATGCCTGGATCCCAAGGAGGGATGGGCTTTTCATGGAAAACTTCTGCTAGGGCAGCATGGAAGAGAAATGTGGGGTTGGACTCCCACATAGAGTCCCTAATGGGGCACCACCTAGTGGAGCTGTGAAAAGGGGGCCACTCTCCTCCAGAACCCCAGAATGGTAGATCCACTGGCAGGTTGCACTGTGTTCCTGGACAAGCCACAGACGCTCAACACCAGCTCGTGAAAGCAGCCGGGGGTGAGGCTGTACCCTGCAGAGCTGCAGGGGCAGAGCTGCCCAAGACCATGGGACCCACCTCTTGCATCAGTGTGACCCTGATGTGAGACATGGAGTCAAAGAAGATCATTTTGGAGCTTTAAGATTTGACTGCCCTGCTGGATTTTGGACTTGTATGGGGACTGTAGCCTCTTTGTTTTGGCCAATTTCTCTCATTTGGAACAGCTGTATTTACCCAATGCCTGTATCCCCATTGTATCTAGCAAGTATCTAACTTGCTTTTGATTTTACAGGCTCATAGGCAGAAGGGACTTGCCCTGTCTCAGATGAGATATTGCACCGTGGACTTTTGAGTTAATGCTAAAATGAGTTGAAACTTTGGGGCACTATTGGGAAGGCATGATTGGTTTTGAAATGTGAGGACATGAGATTTGGGAAGGGACAGGGTTGGATGATATGTCTGTAACCAAGCAAAAGTTGGGTGTCCCCCACCCAAATCTTGTCTTGAATTGCAACTCCCACAATTTCCACATCATGTCATGGGAGGAACCTGGTGGGTTGTGATTGAATTATGGAGGTGGGTCTTTCCTGTGCTGTTCTTTTGATAGTGAATGAGTCTCACAAGATCTGATGGTTTTAAAAATGGGAGTTTCCATGCACAAGCTCTCTTCTTCTCTTGTCCGCTGCCACGTGAGACATGGCTTTCACCTGCCACGATTTTGAAGCCTCCCTATAGACATGGAACTATAAGTGCAATAAACCTTTTTCCTTTGTAAATTGCCCAGTCTCGGGTATGTCTTTATTAGCAGCGTGAAAACAAACTAATACAGTTTTCTTAACAAAATTCCGTATTATTTACATACATGTGTGTATATCTACTTGTGTATGTGCATATGTGTAAGAATACATGTCTGAATAATTGTGGCATTTAAATACATACCATTTTTAAATATTTTATTATAAGTTACTTGAAGTGGACACTTCCCTGAAATAGTTACTCTACTCTTTTAATATTTAATCTTATGAAGAAAGAGAGTATGCTTACTATTTTAACAAGATAAAAATGTTTGACTTTAATATGATAATTTTTTTCATGAATATTAAGAAAAACAGACCATGGTAAAGGTTTCTAACTTTGTGCCATGTGGCAAACTGGCACAACATATACCTTCTGCAAATAGAATGGCTTATAGAAAAATCCATTGAAAAGATAAATTCTTGTTCCTCCTAAACACCATCATCAGTCTCAGAATAGTGTTTTCCCTTTTTGCAAAATTATACCCAATAATTAAACAATAATAGAACAAAAAATATCTTATTGTGAACTCTCATTTTGCATTCCAGAAGCATTCTACCCAGCACCAAAGAAAATCACAATTCTAAGTAAATGATACGTCTTTTTCAATATCAAACCAAAATTATTTCTGAAGAACAAGTTAATTTAGTCTCTAGAAGTACTGATACAGCCAAGAATATTAAAATAATCAATGAGCAGCGTGTTACCGATTGGCCTCCTTTTTGTCAAGTCTTGAAATAGACTGTTTATTCTATGTGCTTTCATGATAAGCCTCTTTTTACAAGTTACAAAAGTTGAAAAGCTCTGTATAGCGTTCCTACAAAATGAGTTATTTATTTAGAGAAAAAGGTTTTTCCAAAGGAAAAAATAGATAAGGCAACATAAGTTCTTTAAGATAATTTTGGATAAATGAACTCAACAAAAATTAGTACTTTAAAAAAAATCTATTGTATAAACTTAAGATTCATGACAAAAGAAGAAAAGTCTCTGGTTGATTACATTTTAGGAAAATACAAAAAGTCCAATCCTTGAAACTTATTTTAGGAAAGGATTCCAAAAAAATTCTTTGAAAATGTATTATGAAATGTATCCAGAAAATGTCTTAAAAATAAGTTCTTTCATGTTATATAACTAATATTGTGTATTTGATTTAAGATTCTAATGTTTTCTTTATTATTTGAGGTCTACCATTTAGGTCAGATTATAAATATATAAACTCTAATTCAATACTTTTACCATATAGTTCTTCTTAGAGGCATTTACATATTATCTATGATAGTTATATATAATATAGATATCATATATATGTGTGTGTCATATATATATCATATTTATTTGTGTGGTTTTAATTTCTACTTTTATGTTTCTTCAGATAATCAATTATTTTTTCTAGACTTGCTATCTAAAGTTCATCCTCGCAATTTACTGTCTCGCCCTCTGCCAAACAATACTTGTAGAGTTTAAGCAAAATAATTGAAGCCAAACTGCATTATTGTAAAATTGTCATCCTTTTTTATTCTGAGATACGCATTTTCCATGCTAACATTTCTGAAAATACAATATGTTTTAAAATCAAAGTCATGAACATATGCCAGTTACCACCAAAGTGATAAGCTATGATGCAGTTATCATTGTCTACGCCAATTTAAAATTAGCCAAGTCTAGAAGGGATGTGAATGTCACTTCAGTTAAATTTTTGTATTGATGTTTTCTCTCCAATTTGAACATCAGGTAATGCAAGTAAAGGAAGAGAAAGTAGCCAAAATATAGACTAGATAATGATTTTCAAAATGTCAGAAATTTGTGTGGCTGAGATGCACTTGTGGAGGATTTTTTAGTAGGACGCCAACAATCTATTTGCAAAACATTTCTAGGCAGTGTTCTGAGAAGTTATGTAATTTCCTCCAATGATGCACTAGTCCAAAAGGGGAAGAAAACCCAGTTTAACCAAGCAAAAGTTTCACAGGAAACCTTAATATTCTCTATAGAATTTGTAATTTTACTATCTGTTCTAAATGTTAAGAACATAAACAGTATCAACATGCAAAAGCAAGTCACGTGTTATGTTGATAGTTTTCATAATTGCTATGTCACAAGTAAATTAAATAAAACTTTAGACTTTTGATTGAAAAACAGATTAAAATTGTAAATTTTACTTAACATTAATTGGGTTCTTACTATATCATGATATGTATTTTCAATGTATTACACTTACAAATGCTTTTTATTTTACAACAGCCTTATGATGTAGGTACCATTATTCACCCTAGTTTACTAATGAAGAAACCAATGTTCAAAGATTAAGAAAACTGCTAGTGAAGTACAAAAACAAGAATCAAACTTAGTTTAACTGGTTCTAGAGAACACCCTCTTAATATTTGCCTCTCAATATTTCCACTAAAGAATAAAGTGATAAGTTGTTTAACTTACTATGCATTTTTGTTTGTTTGTCTACTTTCTGTTGGTGAGAATTCTCTTCTTTTGGAAAATGGATTTTATGCCCACTACCATAATTTGGCTTTTTTTCAGAGCTTCCAGGTATTTCACATGATCAAGCTGGAGAAAATAATTATTCTTCTTGTTTTGATTAGAAACATGGTAGAGTTTAGATACATAGCCCTAGCTTTTTCTGGCAACCATTATTCCTGCTCTTTAAAAACAAAAACAAAAACAAAAGAAACAAAAAAACAAGTCTACCAATCTGAAACAACAACAACAACAACAACAATTGAGTTAATATGAACACATATTTTTGATGCCAGCATACTACAGGCAAACACCTCTTAAATCAATCTAGGAGTGGTCAGGAATACAGAGCCACTTTAAATATTACATAAATAAAGGAGTT
The DNA here is from genome assembly GCF_000001405.40 of Homo sapiens. Classification (NCBI taxonomy): domain Eukaryota; kingdom Metazoa; phylum Chordata; class Mammalia; order Primates; family Hominidae; genus Homo; species Homo sapiens. The sequence goes on from NC_000001.11 coordinate 195,627,641, forward strand.
GATATACATTTAATGCTTGATTTACATGAATATATAAAGAGCTGGGTGAGAGAAGATCAAGAAGGGAAATATTTCCTGAGGACCTCATTGTGAAACACTGAAGCAGGTTTCCACAGGTTATTGGAAAAATACCGCTACCACCTGTGTACGTGTCAGAAAAGAAATGCTCCCCTAGGCCCCACCAAGAGAAAACCACCTTAGCACATTTTGGCAGACAACAGGGACTAACTCTGTCACATCCATGAGTGTAAGCAGCACTCAGTGTGGCCTCAAAGCCTACCCTTGGGTCCCACCAAGGGAGTGAGATGACCACCCTGCAGCACATTTCAGCAAAGAGCAGGAGCTGATTGTGACATGCCCAGGAGTATAAAAAGCACTCAGCTAAGCCTTAAAGGCCACCCCAAGGCCCTGCCTGGGCAGGCAGTCAAAACTCAACCGTGTATTTCTACTAAGCACAATGGCTGGTCTTGCATATCTGAGCAGTGGCTCCACCCAACATTGGGGCTGCTTCCCACATCCCTATCCAACTGTTGAACTCAAATAGTGGTACCATCTGTCCAGAAAATACACCCTGTGGCCAAGCCTGATTACAGGTTACTGTAGGGTCCATTCACCTACTTATTCTAATTGCAAAGCTCAGTCAGTGGTCTCATCAAACAACAGAGCTCAGCCAGCTGCTCCACCTGAACTAAGAGCAAAGAAAACAGCCCAGCCATTTATAGAATGTGAAAGCAAGCTCTATCTGTTCAGGGTCATTACCACCTGGCCCATTCAGAACCACAGGATAGACTAAATTCATGAAGATCTATCCCCACCAAAGAACACCTATAAAAGCTAGAAGATGTAGCTGTCTCCTCAAATGCAGACAACAATGCAAGGACACAACAATGAAAAGATGCAGGAAAATCATTACCCTTCCAAAAGACACCAAAAAAAACACCAACAATGGACTCCAAATAAATAGAGATCTATAAAATTAAAGACAAAAGTTCAAAATAATTCTGTTAAGAAATTTCAGTGAACTACAAGAATAGATTTTTAAAAATTAAGTGAATTTTGGAAAATACATGAAGAAAATTAGAAGTTTGAAAAAAAATTAGAAAAACAACAAACAAAAAAACCCATCAAAATCCTACAGATGAATACAAAGACTGAACTTTAATATGCAACAGAAAGGTTTAACAATAGGCTTGATCAATTTGAAGAAAGAATCTGTGAGCTCAAAGACAAAACATTTGAAAGTATCCAACCAGAGGATCTAAGAGGAAATTAAGAAAACAACAATGAAAAGGAATGAAGGCCTATGTAAATTATGGAACACCATCAAGAGACCAAACCTTTGCATAATAGGGATTTATGAAGGGTATGATACAGCAAAAGGACCAGAGAACATATTTACAGAAATAAATGTTGAAAACATCCCTAATATAGGGAAAAAAGCCAACATCCAGGTTCTAGAAGTGTAGAAATCTCCAATCAAACTCAGCCTAAAGAAGAGTTCACCAAGACACACAATAATTTAACTCAAAAATTAAAGACTAAGAAAAATTCTGACAGGAGGAAGCAATAAGAAACTCATCACATGGAAAGGAGTGCCTATATGACTATCAGCAGATTCATTAGCAGAAATCTTACAGGTCTAGAAGAAAAATGAGATGAAGGCCAGGCACAGTGGCTCACGCCTGTAATCCCAACACTTTGGGAGGCCGAGGTGGGCGGATCACGAGGTCAAGAGATCGAGACCATCCTGGTCAACATGGTGAAACCCTGTCTCTACTTAAAATATAAAGATTAGCTGCATGTGGTAGTGCACGCCCACAGTCCCAGCCACTCAGGAGGCTGAGGAAAGAGAATCACTTGAACCTGGGAGGCAGAGGTTGCAGTGAGCCAAGATCGCGCTACTGCATTCCAGCATGGTGGCAGAGCAAGATTCTGTCTCAAAATAAAAAAAAAAAAAAAGAAAGAAAAGAAAAGAAAAATGATGTGATATAATCAAGGTGCTAAAGGAAAAAAAAAGCTGCCAACCAAATATATTTTACCCAGCAAAGTTGTCAGACAGAAATGAGACAGATTAAAAACTTTTCCGGAATGATAAAGGCTAACAGAGTTACTAACCACGAGAATTGCCTCAGAAGAATTGCTAACAGAGCCAGTTAAGCTAAAAGGCCACTAATTAATAACATAAAATTTACACAAGTAAGCACAAAACACAAAGGCAGAACCCTATTTGAAATACTGTAAGGACTGTAATGGTGTTGTGTAAAGCAATTTTCTACCTAGTATGAGGGTAAAAGACAAAACGGTTAGTAACAACTGTAGCTGAAATATATTAGTGAAGAGATAAATATTAAAACTTATGAGCTGGGCACAGTGGCTCATGCCTGAAATCCCAGAACTTTGGGAGGCCAGGGAGGGTGGATCACTTGAGGGTGGGAGTTCAAAAAAAAAAAATTCTCAAATAAAAAAAAATTAACATATTCCCCAAGGAAATGGAAAAAGAAGAACAATCTAAGCGAAAGGTTAGCAGAAGGAAAGACATAAACAAGAGCAGAAATAAATAAAATAGAAACTAGAAAATGATACAAAAAATAACAAAATTAAGTGTTCATTTTTGAAAAGATAAAATCAACCAACCTTTAGGAGGACTAAGATAAAAGAGAGAAGACCCACATAAAGAAAATAAGAAATGAAAGAGTCTATATTATAACTGATATCACAGAAATACAAAGGATTATAAGAGGCTATTATGAACAGTTGTATGCCAACAAATTGAATAATCTAGAAGAAATGAATAAATTCATAGACACATACAATCTACCAAGACTGGATCATAAAGAAATAAAAAATCTGAACAAATCAATGATAAGTAAAAAGACTGAATTAGTAATAAAAAGTCTCTCATCCAAAAACAAAACAAAACAAAACCACCTCGAGATTTGATGACTTTACTGCTGAATTCTACTAAACATTTAAAGAATACCAACCCTTCACAAACTTAAAAATCAAAGAGGAGGGAATACTTCAAACTCTTGTTATGAGGCCTGCATTACTGTGTTACTAAAGCCAGTTAAGAACATTACAAGAAAAGAAAATTAAAGGCCAATATTTTTGATGAACATAGATTCAAAAATCCTAAAATAAAAAATACTAGCAAACTGACTTCAAAAACACATTAAAAGGATCATTCAACATAAGCAAGTAGGGTTTATCCCAATGAAAGATTGTATTTCATTTATCTCTGCTCTTTATTATGGTTTTCCTTTTGCTAACTTTGGGCTTAGATCGTTCTTCTTAGATGTGATGATGGACACACACTCACAAATCAATAAACATGGTACATTACATTAATAGAATAAAAGATAAATATCATATGATCATCTCATTAGATGCAGAAAAAGCATTTGATAAAATTAAGAATCCTTTCAGTATAAAAACTCAACCAATTAGGAACAGAAGAAACGTACCTTAACACAATAAAGGCCATATATAATAGTCCACAGCTAACATTATACTCCATGGTGTAAAATTGAAATATTGTCCTCTAAGATTCATAAAAAGATAAGGATGCTCACTCTTACTATTTCTATTCAACATAATTTCAGAGTCCTTGTCAGAGCAATTATGTAATAGAAAAAATTAATAAAAGGCATCCAGTAGGAAAGAAAGAGGTAAAATTGTTACTGTTTGCTGATGACATGATTTTATAGATAGAAAATTCTAAAGATTCCACCAAGAAACTGTTAGAACTAATAAACAAATACAGCATAGTTAAAGGATAAAAAAATCAACACACAAAACCAATAGCCTTTCTATTAACAACAAACTACCCAAAGAAATCAAGAGAACAATCTCATTTACAATAGCTAACCTCCCAAAATAAATAAAATAGTTTCTAGTAAATTTAACCAAGGAGATGAAAGATCTATACACTGAAAACTTTAATGAAAGAAATCGAAGACACAAATACATAGAAAATTATTGTATGTTCAGGGTTAATGAAAATTATATTGTTAAAATATCTATACTCCCCAAAGTGGTCTACAGATTCAATGCATTTTGTATCAAAATCCCCTGTTATTTTTCATAGAAATAGAAAAATAGTCCTAAAATTTATATGAAATTACAAAAAAATCTGAATAGCCAAAGTAATAATGAGCAAAAAGAACAAAGCTGGAGACATCACACTACCTGATTTCAAACTATACTACAAAACAATAATAAAACAGCATGGTACTGACATAAAAACAGACATATTTACGAATGAGACAGAATAGAGAGCCCAGAAACGAAACTATGTATGTATGTTTAACCGATTTTTTACAAAGTTGCCAAGAATACACAGCAGGGAAAGGAAAGTTTTTTTCATATTCACATGAAAAAGAATGAAATTAAATGTTTTTCTTACACCATATATAAAAATCAATTCAAAATGGGTTTAAGACTTAAATGTAAGACCTAAGACTGCAGTACTGCTATAAGAAAACAGGGGAAAAAACTACAAAATATTGATCTGGGCAATGACTTTTTTTTTTTTTTTTTTTTTTTGGCTCCCAAAATGTAGACAACAAAAGCAGAAATAGCAAATGGGATTGCATCACTTTAAGAATCTTCCGCACAACAAAGAAAGCAATTAACAGAGTGACGAGCCAATCTAGAAATTGGGAGAAAATATTTGTAAGCCACACCTCCAATATGGGGTTAATATCCAAAATATATAAGGAACTCAAACAAAATTTTATAGTAAGAAAACAAATAACCTAATTGTATAAAATAGCAAGGGACCAGAACAGACATTTCTCAAACGATGACAGAAATGGGCAAAAGATGTAAGAAAAAAATGCTCAACATCACTAATCATTAGGAAAATGCAAGTTAAAACCATAATGAGATATCATCTCATACCTATAAGAAGGGCAATTATGAAGAAGATGAAAGATAACAAGGGTTGGCTAGGATTTGGAGAAAATGGTAACCCTTGTAATACTGTTGGTGGAAATATAAATTAGTAGAGCCATTATGGAAAATGGTACAGAGTTTCTTCTAAAAGCTAAAAATAGAAATATTATATGACTCCAAAATCTTGCTTCTGGGTATTTACCTAAAATATTTGAAATCTGTATGTCTAAGAGATGTCTGCCCTTTATGTTCACTGCAGCCATTTTCACAATAATAAAGTTATGGAATCAACCTAAGAGTCCATCGACAGATGAATGAATAAGAATAAAGACAGATGAATATGTCTATGTGTTATATATACACAATAGAATACTACTTTTCAGCCTTAAAAAAGAATTTTGGTCATTTGCAGCTACATCAATGGAATTGGAGAACATTAAGCTATGTGTAATAAGCCCGGCACAGAAAGAAAATACCACATGTTCTTAACTACATATGAAATTTAAAACCATCAAACTCATAGAAGCAGAGTGTAGAATGGTGGTTACCAGAGGCCGGGGGATAGGGGGAATGAGAAGAAGGTGGTCAAATGGCACAAAACCTCAGTTAGACAGAAGGAATTTTTTTTCTTTTTCTGAGAATCACAATGTGGTGAATATAGTCAATAATAGTGTATTGTGCCTTTCTAAATTACCAAAGGAGTAAATTTCAAATGTTCTCACCACAAAAATGAGTATTGGGAGGTAATAAATACATTATTTTGATTTAATTATTCCACATTGTATTCATATATCATAATATTACCTTGTACCTCACAAATATAAAACATAATTTGGCAATTTATAAATAAGTTTCAAAAAGAAAGAAAAATAGTGCTTACAAAGAAGTCTGAGAAGCCACTGGGTTGGCCATTGCCACCTCTCAAAATAAATAGCTTCTCCCCCTCCCACTTTCCAAATATACTGTTTGTTACTTTCAGTGGCAAACTCTAATCTAGAATCCTAGAAAGGAGTATCTTGTAAACGTAGCTTCTGGGCTAGCTATTCTCTGCAATGCAATGAGAAGGAGACGTTTCAAGTCAGTGCAAACATGCAAAATTAACAACTGGCAGAATGTCACACTATTTTTCTACAAATTGCCTTATTATGGCAAACAGTGATTTGGTGTTATTGAGTGAGATCAGAGAAAAGGAAGAGACAATAGGAAATAAAGAAATCATGGAGCTTGGAAAGAAAGATATGGTTGTCTACATTTCTTGGATAATTTAATACCTATGAAAAATCATTCCAGTAAAACTTAGGTTCATAATCGCTTGCCAACTTCATGTATAATGACATCTATCTTGAAATTTCAGCAGCAGTTACTACTATGAAGAGTTTATCTTAAGACTTCTCATTAACTGAAAATTACTTTACTTCTGGAATACCTCTGACCACAAACTTGGATGCCTCTAAAATAGTCACACTGAGATGGCTGAGGATCAACAGTATCTGATCAACTTTATTTCATCTCTATCTTTCAATATCCTTCTTATTTGTTTTTCTTACGCCAGTTATTACCTTGATTCTTTAGTGTGTGTGTGCATTCACCACTCATTTTCCAGTGAATGCACCTTAGTTCATTATTTTTCACAAATGAGTATAATGTCATTGTATGGTGTTAATCATATTGTTCCTAAGCATATGGGAAGTTTTAAAGTTTTTATTATTTAAGAAAACATTATGAACATACCTGTAGATATCTTCTAGTACATATTTGTAAACAGTTCTTTAGGACATTAACTAGGAAATAGAATTAAGGGTTAATGAGTACTGCTGCAACTTTACTGTTATAGATAATGCCAAATGGTTTCTATAACAGTTCTACTCTTTTATGTGATTATCTTTTGATATTTGTGGATTATATTTTTTAACTAAAGTTGGGGCAGCTAGGAAAGAAACACCTTTCTCTGTGTCAAGAATATAAAAATATTCTCTTAAGCAGTATTGAATTCTATTGCTATTTTATTCTAATATTATAAAGTTGCTTTCCACTTGGTATATATTCCACTTGGAATATTATATATTATATATATAAAAAAATGTATGCTTTAAGATAGTTCAATCTCATTTATTTCTACCTGAATGGCTGTTATATTTCTCTATCTTACTCAATACTGATAAAGATTCCCCTTCTCCTTTTTATGTTCTCATATAATGTTATTCCTTCTACATGATTAAAAGTTAAACATACTTTTTATATCGTTATCTTGGTTCCCCTTGAGATTTCACCATTACTTTTTCCTGAAAAATCAAAATGAATTACTGTCCCTCCAGACTGTGATACAACTTAAGTACTTTAAAATACACACATTAGGGGGTCTCTTTCTAGCGTTATATTTTTGTCCTTACACAATATAATATTATTATTACAAAAATAGGTAATATTGTAATATCATTATACACAAAGACATTAGATTTACCTATTTATTAGTTTCTTTACTCACTTTTCCTTCTTGAATCTTTGACTTTCCTTTTAGGCTTGTTTCACTAATGCACCACCTTTAACAATTACAAAGTTGTTTAGTGAAGTTATAATGGTGGTAATTTCTAAGATTTTTTTGCTCTGAAATGATTTATTTCACAATTTACTTATGGATGAAATTTTGTTACATACTTATTTTTTCTCAGTTCTTTAAAGATATAATGCCATTACCTTTTTGCTTCTGTTATTAGGGAGCAGTCTGCTGTCAGTTAAATTGTCATTTATCTGTAATTGGTTTGCCTCCCTTGTAGATTGAAATATATTATTTTTGTCTACAGTTACATAAACACACTGTAATGTGCCTAAATTTTAATTTCTGATCATTTATCTTTTTTGATATATGTTGGGTCTTTGGGTTAATGTTTTTTAAACATGAATTTGGAAAATTCATTTTTGTCTCTTGAAAAAGTTTCCTTTTTTGCTTTCATATTATCCTCTTTGGGGACTCTATTTTAAATGTATGAGAGATTTTTTCAACTTTACCTATTTTCAATTTAATATTTTTTCTCTTCCGATATGCCAAATATTCCATTTCACACATCCAGTGATATTTGCAGTATATATACATATATACCACACATGTATACACACACACACACAGATACACACATATATATATATCACAATTCTATGAGGGTGTTACTATTGTCATCTTCATTTTATAGTTGAAAAAATTCTGGAAAAGCAGGTTTAAGCGATAAACCCAAAGATTGTCTGTTCTTAAGTGTCAGAAGTAAAATTGAATAAAGGTAGTCTGAATCTAGGGTACTTTCTCTTAATCCTATGCAGCTCCAATCATGTGACTGTAAAAAGAGAAAATTGTGAATTTCAGCCCATAGGAAAATAACGTATGTAACATTCAATTTCTTTCATTCACATTTCTTTCCTTCTTTACTGATGCCTAATTAGCATATAGCTCAATTGCCCTAGATTTATTTTTAACCATGTCTGATAAAAGGTGTAAAACATAATTTAAACGTTTTTACTTTGTGTGTGTGTGTCTCATTTATTTTGTGTCTTTGGGTGGTTCTGAGAGAGGGAGGAATGGAGAAGGAGAGAGAGAGAGAGAGACTCTGTTTTGAAATGTGCTCAATAATTTAGTGATATTTAATGGCTTTATAATAAAATTCGCAATTCTTTTTAACAACAGTTATACTAATAAAATTGTTCTGACCTTTACTTATTCTAATAGAAGCCTTAAGAAAACTTTTAACTAAATCAAGAAGGTGAATTTGAAGCAAAAATGTGTTGAAAATTTATTTACCTGTGAATTTTTTTTTGGAGCCATTATGTTCAATCACAAAATATTTATTGACTATCTTGGAGAACCTTGAAGCAAGTTTAAGGTAGGCTAAAAGATTTCAAATGCTTCTTTCAGGTAGAAAAATGAGAAACAGCTCAAGCTTTCTTGAACAGCATTTATTATTACTTGAGCAATCAAATAATTCTATAAAGTACTCTGGGAAAAAATGAAGTATTAATTGCATTTTAATATTCATCATAACATATATATCTTGATGCATCAAACTTATGATAGAAGTATATAGTACCTTTTCTATTATGCATATATAAAATGCACTGTGAACCCTTTATAAATACAGTTTAAAATATGTGCATGTTTATTTCATGGTACTCACACCAAATTGTATTATTCCAGATTCTTGTAAAGCTGTAATTGTTGTAGCTTTGCTTTAAAAGCATGTTATTGATCCTATCTATGATTTTATATAGACACTAGTAAGAAATGCTAACTCCTACAATTTTATCGTTGTCCTTATGGGAAATAATCATCTACTTTACAAGAAGTAAATTATGATGCAATTTCTAGGAATGCATTGGAGTTATAAATTTAGATTGCATATAGATCAAAATTTATGTATACCTTTGATTCTACGTAGTTAACTGGTGTTTCTTTGTTAAGATATTCAGAAGGAAAACAGATTAAAATACAAGTCTTAGTGTATAAATGTTTTGAAATTGATCTCTAAGGTCTCTTAAAAAAAGTCTTGGGGCTATTTAAGCAGACATTAAATATCACATATAATGTACTGTATAATAACCCTGTCTAATTGCAATATAGCAGTTACAAACTTTACATGCAAATTAAGCTATGATCATATATATTTAATACATCTTTTAGCTGCACTTATGTCTATTGCTCAGAAAGTCAAATTTATTTAAACTCACTATTTTACTCTTAACTTTTTACATACATGTTCAGATCCCAATCTTGATTATAAGAAAAATTATAATTGTCTAGAATTAAACTCATATTAGAGTTTGACCTAGATCATGAATCTGTTTGTTAAAAAATCATATTGTATTTTGTGCTCTGGAAAACAATGCATGTCAGAATTCATGTATCTTAAATCTGTGAAAGGATTGAAACTTGAAAAGCAGATACTTATGTCCTTTCAATAATGGTATATTGAGCCATAATGGAAAGGAAGAGATGATAATATCATATTTAAAAATCCATGAAGTTCTTTAATGCAAAGGAGACTGACTTTAGCAGCATTAAGCACAGAGCTGCTGACATAGCGAAGGATTACGCTGTAATATGAAACAGTATGATTAAGTGATATGCAAACTTCCTACCAGAGGAGCATGCAGGATACCGGAACATATGGTTCTGGACGTTTTTTTTGTTTGTTTGTTTTCTCTCAATAACTACAGATTCTGGCCAGAGATTTCTGTTGATTCATACAAAATCTCTTGATTAGAATCCTCAGCCATCTGCTGTAGGATGGCAATGTACGAAAATGTCAGCAGAAAGAGCAGAACTTAAAGCTTATTTGTGGAAAGGATTTAAAGCCAGCATAACCATGAATAAGACAAGGTGATCAGCTTTAATGTGGTCAGGAGCTAACATATGTTGAGAGTAAAAAGGGGATGAAAAGTTGGATAAAAGTATTCTCCAGAAAAAGCAAAGACAACCATATAAACACATCTCTACTGTTTATAGTTCTCTATTGTTTATAGTTAACACAGCTGCTGAACCTTTGTTAGACAGAAGCAGAAAAACAATTTACACTGTAATATTCTAAAACTGAAATTTTCTGAAACATAAAACTAATAATTATTTATATTTTATTACAGAGGAAACCTGGGTACATAAATATTAACTAATATTTACATAATATTCTAAACTATTTTAGGATATTCCATAATACTTAATAATGTAGATTTGATAACTACCATGTCATTGAAATTTATTCTTTATAAGTCATCAGTAGTAATCCAAATTTCACATGCAACTTTTTTTGTCTTTATCCTTTTGACAAAATCTTTTACTCTCTCAAATTATTCTCATTTATCTTTCATTACAGTACATATATCTGATTTTCCTCCTAGTCTTTTATATTTTCTTTGGTGTCAGCACTTATTTTCACTTCCCAAAATACATAAATTCCCCCAAATATTCTATTCTTTTTTACATGTCCTGTCAGTTTCATTCACCCTGACATGATTTCAACTACTAGGGTTATTCATTGACACTCCCAGAATTTTCTCTCAAAGTTGATAATCCACCTATTAGCAGTATATTGAACATATCACCATAATCTTAAAGTATAGACTCTACAAAAACAAACCTTAAAAACGTCTCCAATAGATTTTTCCACTTAACTAAAAAAAAAAAAATTGAAAAACCACAGAATATATCAGCTTTTTTTCCTGACTTTCCTATTTTGGTAAAGTGTAAGGTAATAATCTTAGCCTAGAAGAAATGAAAAGAAAACAATTCAAGAGTTGTAGGTATTTTTAAAACACATAAACATAACTGGGCGCAGTGGCTCACGACTGTAATCCAGCAATTTGGGAGGTCAGAACTCACTTGAGTGCTAGAGTTCAACATCAGCCTGGCCAAAATGGAGAAACTGCATCTCTACAAAAAAAAAAAAAAATACAAAAAATAACTGGGCTGGTAGTGCACCTGTGGTCCAAGCTGAGACCACAGGAGCTTCAGGTGGCAGGTAAGAGTATCGCTAATCCCAGGAGGTTGAAGCTGCAGTGAGCCGTGATTGCACCGCTGCACTCCAGCCTGGGCAACAGAGCAAGACCCTGTATCTGAAAACCAAATCTAAACAAAGTACGTAAACATGAAAGTTGCTAATGCCAATATCAGTGAAACTTTTGAAACACTCCTCTCTTGTACATGGTTCATTTGGCCCAGGCTTCACATGGTTTAGACAGTAAACAGAGTGGACACTATTGCATTAGTATCCTAATTAAGTTGGATCTAAAAAGCAAGAGGTACATTAGTAATCTAGCTAAAACTAACAGGCTATCATAATTAACATTTAAAAATAATAGTAATTAAGCATGCTGAATATGAACAATATGTGCCAAATCAATAAATAATTTCTTCCCTATTACCCTTGTAATACAATAGAACACAGACTGGAAAAAATAGACATGCTTCCCTCTGAGGGACTATTCAGAGGGGAGCCTCCCTCTTTTTTCTTTTTCTTTGATTCTTTATTTACCCATCAATGAAGACTGACCCATGATTTGGTAATCCAGCCAGGAGGTCACTACTCAAGAATGGTGCTGACCATTTGACCCTTGAGTATCTTTCTTGTACTTCCCTGCATTCAACTGGAACTGCCATTTCCTGAAATCTCAGTCTCATATTTTGTCCATACTAGGGTCAAGGCAGCTTAAACCCTGGCTGCTAGAGTTATGACTGTAGCCCCATGGTCCTCCTTGACTAGGAGGGCAAGTGAAGTAGACATATCATAATCACATTTTATTATAATTAGGTTTATAGAGACATAGTATGAGGTCCCCAAACTACAAATAGATCCTTTTGCAGATTATCAGTCTAGGTTTATAAGCAATAAAAAAAATCCTATTTTGAAGAATATGTTAGAAAATCTTTGTGACAGTAGGTTAGGCCAAGATTTTTCAAAGAGAACAATATAAACACAAGTTACAATTAAAAAGATAAAAGGGAATTCAAAAAAAGGGGAATATTTTCAAAAAAATTATTAAGATAATAAGAAGGCAAGTACACTTAGAGAAAATTTTTGAAAACTTATATTTGACAAAGAGCTTATATCTGGAATACTTACAGAAGTCTTACAACTTGACAATAAGAAGATAAACAACTCTATTTCAACAAACTTTCAAAATAAATGTCATATAAAAGTCCAATAAGCACAGAAAATACAGTCAACATTGACATTCATGAGATAAATGCAAATTAAGACAAAAATGAGTTATCAATACACACCCACTAGAACAGTCAATGTTAAAGACTGACATTAGAATCAACATGGTTAAACTCCATCTCTAGTAAAAATACAAAAAAAAAAAAAAAATTAGCTGGACGTGGTGGCACATGCCTGTAATCCCAGCTACTTGGGAGGCTGAGGCAGGAGAATTGCTTGAACCTGGGAGGCGGAGGTTGCAGTGAGCCAAGATCGTGCAACTGGACTCCAGCCTGGGCAACAAGAGCGAAACTCCCTCTTAAAACAAACAAACAAACAAACAAACAAACAAAAAGACTGACATTAGAAATGTGGATGAGAAAGTGACCCAACTGGATATTTACTAGATTACTGACGTGAATGCAAAGGGGTACAGGCACTTTTGGAATAAGCATGGCAAAAGGTGAACAATGCTTTCTGTATGGTCCAAATATTCCACTTCTAGGTATTTACCCAAGAGAAATGAAATCATATACACACACAAAGATGTGCTTCCAGATAGCCAAAATCTGAAGTAGCACACGTACCCATAAGTGATAAACAAATTGAGTATTTCCATTCTATGATATAATACTCAACAATAAAAAAATTAATACATGTAACAACATGGATGAATTTTATAACAATATTTCAAGTGAAGAGTTAAACACACAAGATTATGTACTGTATAATTCCAAACAGATGCAATTCTACAAAAGCAAAATTATAGTGACTGAAGGCAGATCAGAGGATGCCTGGGGCCAGGGGTGGGGTGCAATGCTCAAGTACAATAAAAAATTAGAAAAATTTATGATAAAAAAGGCGTTATTATGATTATACAACTGTAAACTGTTATATAAATTCATCAAAGTTTGCATAGAGTGAGTGAATTTCATTGCATGAAAATAACTTAATTAAAAAATCCTCTCAGCTGGGCACAGTGGCTCACACCTGTAATCCCAGCACTTTGGGAGGCTGAGGTGGGCAGATTGCCTGCGCTCAGGAGTTCAAGATCAACCTGGACAACATGGTGAAACCCCGCCTCTACTAAAATATAAAAAAAAAATTAGCCAGGAGTGGCAGCATGTGCCTGTAGTCTCAGCTACTCGGGAGGCTGAGGCAGTATTGCTTGAACACAGGAGGCGGAGGTTGCAGTGAGCTGAGATCGCACCACTGCACTCCAACCTGGGTGACAGAGTGAGACACCATTTCAAAAAAAAAAAAAAAAAAACCTCTCTAGGCTGTTTATTATCTAAGTGTCACATATTATTTTTTACAGCTTTATTGTATGTTTGGCAAACAATAAATCCCAAATACTTAAAATATATATTTTTGTGAGTTTGACATTTGTATACACTCATGAAACAATCACAATATTCTGGATGATAAAAAAAAAAATCCATCATTCATTTCCTTGTGTCCTTGTGTCCCTTTGTTATCCATTCCTCCCCATCTGGTCCCCAGGACACTGATATGATTTGTCTCACTATGGATCAATCTGCATTTTCAAGAATTTTATATAAGTAGAATAATACAGTATGCAGCTATTTTTTTCTGTTTCTTTCAATCAGCATAAATGCTTTGAGATTATTGTAGTTGCCTAAATAAATAATTTGTTCCTTTGCACTGCTAAGAAATACTGCATTTTAGAGATATACAACTGTTAACCTAGTCAACTTTTGATGGACCATTTGTGTCACTTCCAGTTTGAAGATATTATAAATAAAGCTGTTATGAGCATTTGTAAAAGTATTTTTATTTTCTTTTCCTATTGTAAATACTTAGGTGTTGAATGATTGATTCATAGGGTAGCTACATGTTTTACCTTTTCAAGAAACTGACAACCTTATTTCTAAATAGACTATATCATTTTTTATCTCTGCTAACAATGTATAAAAGTAACAGTTCACATTTCTGACAACATTTGTTATGTTTATTCTTACTTTTTAATCTGAGTGTTGTTTCTGAAAATTGAGATTGTTGTCAGGATTAAATAGATAATTTTTTTTTTTTTTGAGATGGAGTTTTGCTCTTGTTGCCCAGGCTGGAGTGCAATGGCGCGATCTTGGCTCACCGCAACCTCCGCCTCCCAGGTTCAAGCGATTCTCCTGCCTCAGCCTTCCCAAGTAGCTAGGATTATAGGCATGCACCACCAAGCCTGGCTAATTTTGTATTTTTAGTAGGGATGGTGTTTCTCCATGTGGGTCAAGCTGGTCTTGAACTCCCAACCTCAGGTGATCTGCCCACCTCGGCCTCCCAAAGTGCTGGGATTATAGGAGTGAGCCACCACACCAGGCCAAATAGATAATATTTTTAACAAACTTAGTGTATCTGAATTTTAAAAAATCTGTGTATTAGTCAGTTTTCACATGCTGATAAAGACATACCCGAGACTGGGAAGAAATAGAGGTTTAATGGACTTACAGTTCCACATGGCTGGGGAGACCACACAATCATGGCAGAAAGCAAGGAGGAGCAAGTCACATCTACATGGATGGCAGCAGGCAAAGAGAGAGAGAGGTTTTGCAGGGAAACTCCTGTTTTTATTGCCATCAGATCTTGTGAGACTTATTCACAATCATTGGAACAGCACAGAAAATACCCATCCACATGATTCAATTACGTCCCACAGGGTTCCTCCCATGATACATGGGAATTGTGGGAGTTACAATTCAAGATGAGATTTGGGTGGTGACACAGCCAAAACATATCATTCCACAATCTGGCCCCTCCAAATTTCATGTCCTTACATTTCAAAACCAATCTTGTCTTCCCAACAGTTTCCCGAAGTCTTAACTTATTTAAGGATGAACTCAAAAGTCTACAGTCCAAAGTCTCATCTGAGACAAGGCAAGTCCCTTCCACCTATGAGCCTGTAAAATCAAAAGCAAGTTACTTACTTCCCAGCCACAATGGGGGGGAGGGGCACAGGGGGCACTGGGTATAGGCATTGGGTAAGTACAGCCATTCCAAATGAGAGAAATTATCCAAAATAAAGGGACTTCAGGCCCCATGCAAGTCCAAAATCCAGCAGGGCTGTCAAATCATAAAGCTCCAAAATGATGTCCTTTGACTCCACGTCTCACATCCAAGTCATGCTGACGCAAGAGGTAGGCTCCCATGGCCTTGGACAGCTCCGCCCCTGTATCTTTGCAGGGTATAGCTGGCTGCTTTCATGGGCTGGTGTGGAGTGTCTGTAGCTTTTCCAGGCACACAGTGCAAGCTGTTGATGGAGCTACCACTCTGGGGTCTGGAGAAGAGTGGTCCTCTTCTCACAGCCCCACTAGGCAGTGCCCCAGTAGGGACTCTGTGTGGGGGCTCTGACACTACCATTTTCCTTCTGCACAGCCCTGGCAGAGGTTCTCCATAAGGGACCCACCCCTGCAGCAAACTTATTTCTGGGCATCCAGGAATTTTCACACATCCTCTGAAATCTAGGTGGAGGTTCCCAAACCTCAATTCTTGACTTAAGTGCACCTGCAGGCTCAACACCACATTGAATCTGCCAAGGCTTGGGGCTTGCAACCCTTTGAAGTCACTGCCCAAGCTGTACCTTGGCTCCTTTTAGCCCTGGCTAGAGCACTGTGATGTAGGGCACGAAGTCTCTAGGTTGCACACAGCAGGAGGGCCCTGGGTCTGGCCCAAGAAATCATTTTTTTCTTCCTAGGCCTCTGGGCCTGTGATGGAAGGGGCTGCCTCAAAGGTCTCTGACATGCTGTGGGGACATTTTCCCCATTGTCCTGGCAATTAACCTTTTGGCTTCTCATTACTTATGCAAATTTTTGCAGCCAGCTTGAATTTCTCCTTAGAAAATGTTTTCTTTTTTGTATTGCATCATCAGGCTGCAAATTTTCCAAACTTTTATGCTCTGTTTCCTTGTTAAAACTGAATACTTTTAACAGCACCCAAGTCACCTCTTGAATGCTTTGCTATTTAGAAATTTCTTCCACCAGACACCCTAAATCATCTCCCTCAAGTTCAAAGTTCCACAGATCTCTACGGCAGGGGCAAAATGCCGCCAGTCTCTTTGACAAAACATAGCAAGAATCACCTTTACTCCAGTTCCCAACAAGTTTCTCATCTCCATCTGAGACCACTTCAGCCTGGATTTCACTGTCTATATCATTATCACCATTTTGGTCAAAGACATTCAACAAATCTCTAGGGAGTTCCAAACTTTCCCAAATTTTCCTGTCTCCTTCTGAGCCCTCCGAACGTTCCAACCTCTACCTGTTACCCAGTTCCAATGTCTCTTTCACATTTTTGGGTATCATTTCAACAGACCCCACTCCCAGTATCAATTTACTTTTTTAGTCCGTTTTCACAGGGCTGGTAAAGACATACTAAGACTGGGCAATTTACAAAAGAAAGAGGTTTAATGGACTCACAGTTCCATACTGCTTGGGAGGCCAAACAATCATGGCAGAAGGTAAAAGACACATATCATATAGCGGCAAACAAGAGAAGACAGCTCGTGCATCAAAACTCCACTTTATAAAACCATCGGACCTCATGAGACTTATTCAGTATCAGGGGAATACCATGGGAAAGACTCGCCCTCATGATTCCATTACCTCCCACCAGGTAGCTTTTGTGACACGTGGGAATTGTGGGAGCTACAATTCAAGAGGAGATTCGGGTGAGGACATAGCCCAAACCGGTATCAGGGCACTAATTTAATACATGAGGGGGTCTGCGCTGTTGACATAATGCTTCCCAAATGCCCCACCTTCTAATACCATCATAGAGGGGGATGGAATTTTACCATATGAATTTCTGGGAGACCCAAACATTGTGTCCACACATAATCCTTCTTATTACTAATCTTTTTATTTGAGTGTCAAGCTACACTAATGAAAACAGACCCAGAGTTATACCTATTTGATTAACAATACTGAACTGGTCAGGATCAATTAAGTAAATAAATAAATGTTTCCTTGCAAGCATACACCAACCAGGCACATTCGCTTACTACCTTCTGCAACACTAAATGCATGAAGATAAGGTCAAATAAATGAAAACACAAAGAAAGCAGATGGCCACATATGTATCAGCCATATACAATGCAAGGGGAAAAAAAAGCACTCAGCACAGTAATAAGAGTGATGTTTCATGCAGATAACATTAAAATTTGCAATACAGATGAACCTGTGACAATCCCTCTAATGCAAAAACTTTATAAAATGTACTCAGAAAACTTCATTCTTTCCATTTTTGTTCTGGTAAGCTAAATGGAAACAAGTCTATCAATAGTTTTCTTTTTTTTCCTTTTTTTTTTTTTTTTTGAGATGGCATCTAGCACTCTCGTCCAGGCTGGAGTGCAGTGGCGCCATCTCCGCTCACTGCAAGCTCTGCCTCCTGGGTTCACGTTGTTCTCCTGCCTCAGCCACCCGAGTAGCTGGGACTACAGGCGCCAGCCACCACGCCTGGCTAATTTTTTGTATTTTTAGTAGAGACAGGGTTTCACTGTGTTAGCCAGGATGGTCTTGATCTCCTGACCTTGTGATCCACCCATCTCAGCCTCCCAAAGTGCTGGGATTACAGGCATGAGCCAGCGCACCCGGCCGACCTATCAGTAGTTTTAATAATATTTGTGTATATATTCACATAGATCTCTCTGTTTCTTTTTCTTGATATATTTTTCAAAGCCTGTAATTCTCTGCAAGAGAAGGATCTTTTTTATAATGTCCATAAAACCTTTCAAATTTCCTTCACATATTATCATAAAAATTAAATCTCAATAAATAAAAACCACAGTTGTATAGGCTGAATTATCAGAATACAATGGTATTTAAGTAAAAGTAACAGATGGTGAGAAAGAAAGATTATGTAATACCCTAAAATTTGAGAGTAAAGATAAATGTTTAAAATTCATTTTGCATCAAAAGGAAAATCAAAATTAAGATTGCAGATTACCTAAAAATGGTGAAAATTAAAGATATAAATTTCAAAATGAGCAAAATAATGGAATAAAATAGATTAATATTTATAACTTTATTTTATTATTAAAACAGAGTATAATAATGTTAATAAAGTTTTAAAATATAAATCCTTCTTATAATGAAACAGTATAAAAATCATTTAACTCAAATTTTAAAATATTTATTTTACTGGTTAAGTTAAACTTGTAAATCAAGATAAGCATTATACAAAATGAAGAAAGCAACAGGAAACATAATAATTATAAAATATAGATTGAAAATGTTTGAAATCAATACATAAGTATAAAATACACCAGGACAAATGAATTGTGCAAAAGTTAAGAAAAAAGAGAACAAATATAAAAAATTACACAACATTAAAAATGAGTTAGCTACCAATATAAAGATTTTTCAAAATCCTAAGACTGATTCATACCTATCTTTGGGCAATAGGTAACACCAGCAGATGGAATATTTATCAGAAAATTACATATTTTCAAATACAGCGAAGAAAAAAGAAGGAAAAATAAAACTATATACACAGAAATAAAATTACATGCTTTAAAATGATTATTACCAAAAAGTAATTTACCAATAATTTTTTTAAGTAAAGGTTATTAAATTTTCAAAATAAATGATTACTCTTATGTTAGTTAAATTAATTTCTCTTATTTTACACCTACCATTTTCACTTAACTATATATAAGTAAACATATATATGGTACCACAAGTTCCTAAATATCTTTTTCTCTTTATTATAAATATAAACATCTTAATTTTCATTACATGACTATTGATAAGCAGTGATACAGTTTTCCTGCAAGAATTTCATTTGTTGAACCAGCCTTGCATCTCAGGGATGAAGCCAACTTGATCGGGGTGGATAAGCTTTTAGATGTGCTGCAGGATTCGGTTTGCCAGTATTTTATTGAGGATTTTTGCATCAATGTTCATCAGAGATATTGGTCTAAACGTCTCTTTTTTTGGTGTGTCTCTGCCAGGCTTTGATATCAGGATGATGCTGGCCTCATAAAATGAGTTAGGGAGGATTCCCTCTTTTTCTATTGATTGGAATAATTTCAGAAGGAATGGTACCAGCTCCTCTTTGTACCTCTGGTAGAATTCAGCTGTGAATCCGTCTGGTCCTGGATTTTTTTGGTTAGTAGGCTATTATTGCCTCAATTTCAGAGCTTGTTACTAGTCTATTCAGAGATTCAACTTCTTCCTGGTTTAGTCTTGGGGGGCTGTATGTGTCCAGGAATTTATCCGTTTCTTCTAGATTTTCTAATTTGCATAAAGGTGTTTACAGTATTCTCTGATGGTAGTTTGTATTTCTGTTGGATCGGTGGTGATATCCCCTTTATCATTTTTTATTGCGACTATTTGATTCTTCTCTCTTTTCTTCTTTATTAGTCTTGCTAGCGGTCTATCAATTTTGATCTTTTCAAAAAAAACAGCTCCTGTATTCAATGATTTTTGAAGGGTTTTTTGTGTCTCTATCTCCTTCGGTTCTGCTCTGATCTTAGTTATTTCTTGCCTTCTGCTAGGTTTTGAATTTGTTTGCTCTTGATTCTCTAGTTCTTTTAATTGTGATGTTAGGGTGTTGATTTTAGATCTTTCCTGCTTTCTCTTGTGGGCATTTAGTCCTATAAATTTCCCTCTACACACTGCTTTATATGTGTTCCAGAGATTCTGGTACGTTTTATCTTTGTTCTCATTGGTTTCAAAGAACATCTGTATTTCTGCCTTC
This sequence comes from Homo sapiens, assembly GCF_000001405.40. Taxonomy (NCBI): domain Eukaryota; kingdom Metazoa; phylum Chordata; class Mammalia; order Primates; family Hominidae; genus Homo; species Homo sapiens. The sequence continues at coordinate 195,647,923 of NC_000001.11, forward strand.
ATTTCGTTATTTACCCAGTAGTCATTCAGGAGCAGGTTGTTCAGTTTCCATGTAGTTGTGTGGTTTTGAGTGAGTTTCTTAATCCTGAGTTCTAATTTGATTGCATTGTGGTCTGAGAGAAAGTTTGTTGTGATTTCTCTTCTTTTTCATTTGCTAAGAAGTGTTTTACTTGCAATTATGTGGTGAATTTTAGAATAAGTGTGATGTGGTGCTGAGACACACCTGACAAAAACAAGAAATGGGGAAAAGATTCCCCATTTAATAAATCATGATGAGAAAACTGGCTAGCCATATGTAGAAAGCTGAAACTTTCGAGATGGATTAAAGACTTAAATGTTAGACCTAAAACCATAAAAACCCTAGAAGAAAACCTAGGCAATACCATTCAGGACATAGGCATGGGCAAAGACTTCATGACTAAAGCACCAAAAGCAATGGCAACAAAAGCCAAAATTGACAAATGGAATCTAATTAAAATAAAGCATTTCTGCACAATAAAACAAACTATCATCAGAGTGAACAGGCAACCTACAGAATGAAGAAAATTTTTGCAATCTATCCAACTGACAAAGGGCTAATATCCAGAATCTACAAATAACTTAAAGAAATTTACAAGAAAAAAAAAATAACCCCATCAAAAAGTGGGCAAAGGATATGAACAGACACTTCTCAAAAGAAGAAATTTATGCAGCCAATAGACACATGAAAAAATGCTCATCATCACCGGTCATCAGAGAAATGCAAATCAAAACCACATTGAGATACCATCTCACATCAGTTAAAATGGTTGATCATTAAAAATCAGGAAACAACAGATGCTGGAGAGGATGTGGAGAAATAGGAATGCTTTTACACTGTTGTTGGGAGTGTAAATTAGTTCAACCATTGTGGAAGATAGTGTGGTGATTCCTCAAGGATCTAGAACTAGAAATACCATTTGACCCAGTGATCCCATTACTGGGTATATACCCAAAGGATTATAAATCATGCTACTATAAAGACACATGCACATGTACATTTATTGCAGCACTATTCACAATAGCAAAGACTTGGAACCAAGCCAAATGTCCAACAATGATAGACTGGATGAAGAAAATGTGGCACATATACACCATGGAATACTATGCAGCCATTAAAAAGGATGAGTTCATGTCTTTGCAGGGACATGGATAAAGCTGGAAACCATCATTCTCAGTAACTATCACAAGGACAGAAAGTCAAACACCACATGTTCTCATTCATAGGTGGGAATTGAACAATGAGAACACTTGGACACAGGGCGGGGAACATCACACATCCGGGACTCTCAGGGGGTGGGGGCTGGGGGAGGGATAACATTAGGAGAAATACATAATGTAAATGATAAGTTGATGGGCGCAGCAAACCAACATGGCACATGTATACCTATGTAACTAACCTGCATGTTGTGCATATGTACCCTAGAACTTAAAGTATTATAATAATAATAAAAGAATTTCGTTAGCCAATTAAATTACTTAGTTTTTTAAACATTTCCATTTTTTTCACTTTAAAATGCCAACTGTAATTATGCAGCTTGGATGCATCAAAATTATATTTTTCACTTATTTTGTTTCATGGCTAATGCATTTATCTATTTTATCAGTATTTTATTTTACCAACCACTATTTTATTTTCAGGATTGGTGGTTATATTTTTTATTTTAAATTAAATATTTTTCCCTGTACTACTTATTGCAAGTTTTAGTAAGTAATTAATAGTTTGTTGTAAGGATATGTTTACTGCAGTGTTGCTTTCCCCTTCGCTTTTCAGATCACATAATTTGGAGAAAATATAAGGCAAATTTTAGTGTGAAAATATGATCACAGCACAGAGAGACTATTATTACTAGTTATGAACTACTGGTATTAGATTTCCCCTCCTGTTGAATAACCATAAAACTAGAAAAAATGTGTGCAGCAACTCTTTTCAGGTATTAGACAATAGATGGCATAAGACTGTAATGCCTGAGCAAAAAAAAAAAAAAAAAAAAAAGAAAAAGAAAGAAGAAAAACAACCACAAAGTGAGTTTTACATTCATTCTTGCACTCTGCCTTGAAACAATTTTCAGATATCTGCACAGGGAGCATGGGAGATAGACTCTAAGGTCATGCCATTCCCACTGAGCTAAGGAGCCAGATATTGAAGTTCAGAGCTGCTGAAGCAGCTACAACATGTAAAGTAGGTTATTTACCATTGGAAAGGGAGATGAAAGGTAGGCTTCAATAAAGATGTGTAATTATTCCCCATCATCCCTGTTGAGAGCTGGGTTGCAAATAAGGTAAAGAGCACCATAAGCCCCATAAGCCCTTGCAGAAAGTTGCTACTACAGGGTTTAGAAGAGAAAGTTAATCAAGATTGTACAGTGCTTAGGGATATTGAGGGTATACACATGCTAGAGTAAAGTGATATCCTAAATACTCAGGGAATTAGTTTTAGGAGCAAGAAAAGTCATTGAGGAGTATTGCTTTTGGCCAAAAACTGTGTGTGATCCTTCAGGCCCAAACATGGGCAATTACACAGAATTATCTGGCAGGTTTCATGAGGGAAAGCTACCCTCCCAACACCAGACTTGGTGCACAGTCAATGCACTGCAGTCTCTAAAGGGAAGCAGTGCAGCCAAGAGCTCAGGCCTCATGCTTCTCTAGCCCATCATACATTTTGCATATCTACATCCTAGCCCCTGTACCTTCTTTCCTAGGCCTCTTTATCTGAGGCCTTGGACAGAGGTATTACTCAGTCACCTGTGCTGAGGCCTCCTTTGAGGGTAGTAAGGAGATCTTTAAGGACATTTTATCTATCCTGACTCAGTACCTAGTACTTTTGCACTCCTAGCCCTCCTCCCCTTGCTGTCTCCCCAGGGCCTATAAAACTTCCAGAGCCTTTTGTTTGGGGCTCCCTGGACAGTAAGATGACCCATGAATATGGTCAACTTATCTTTGATAAAGGGGCAAATGCAATGCAATAAAGCAAATATAATTTTTGAGCAAATAGTACTAGAACAACTGGACATCTACATGAGAAAAATAATAGTCTAGGCACAGAATTTACACCATTCAGAAAAATTAACTCAATGTATACCATAGACCTAAAGGCAAAAGGAAAAGCTATAAAATTCCTTGCCAGGAGAAAACTTAGATGACCTTGGTTATGGCAATGACTTTTTAGCTACAACAGGAGAGACAAAATCTATAAAATAAACTATTGATAAGCAATAAAATTAAAAACTTCTGCTCTGTGAAAGACATTGTCAAAAGAGTGAGAAGACAAACCAAAGACTGGGAAAAATTATTTGCAAAAGACGTATCTGGTAAAGGAGGTTTATCCAAAATATATAAATAACTCAAACTCAACAATAAGAAAACTCAAAAAATAGGCAAATAAACTGAACAGACACATCTCCAAAGAAAATATATAGATGCTAAGTAGCATACGAAAAGGTATTCAATATCATATGTCACTAAGCAACTGCAAATTAAGACAACAATATGATACCACTATGTACTTATTAAGTGGCCAAAATCCAGAACACTGACAACATCAAAAGCTGACAAGGAAGTGGAGCAACAGGAACTCTCATTCACTGCTGATGAGAAGATAAATAGTATAGCCACTTTTGAAGACACTTTAAGTTTCTTATAAAACCAGACTTATTTTTATCATACAATCCAGTGATAATGTTCCTTAATACTTATTCAGATGAATGAGAACTTATGTCCACACAAAAACCTGCACATGGCTGTTTATAGCAGCTTTATATGTAAACCTGGAAGCAATACAATATTCTTAAATAGCTGAATGGATAAATAAACGGTAGTACATCAAGATAATAAAATAACTATTTGGTGCTCAAAAGAAATGAGCTATTAAGCTATGAAAAGACACTGAAGAAAGATAAATGCATATTACTAAGTGAATGAAGCCAATATAAAAAGCTACATATTGTGTGATGCCAGATACAACATTCTTGGAAAAGCAAAAGTATGCAAACAGTAAAAATATCAGTGGTTGCCAACTGGGTGGAGGAGAGAGAGGAATAAGTAGAGTACGATAATTTTTAAGGCAAAAGAATTTTCCTGTATGATATTTCAATGGTGAATACATGTCATTACACATTTGTCAACATCTATAGACAGCATATCACTAGAGTAAATCCTAATGTAAATTATGAACTTTGGGTGATAAGGGTGTAACATAACTTCATCAATTGTAACAAATGTAGCACTGTGATGGAGAATGTCAATAGTGGGGGAGATTGTGTGTGGATGGGGATGGGGTGTATGCAAATGCTCTGTACTTTCTGCTTAATTTTGCGGTTAACCTAACACTGCTCTTAGAAAGGTAAATTATTTATTATACTTAGTAATAGTTATTTATAATAACCATAATTCAGAATTATTTATTAATAAAAAATGTAAAAATGAAGACAGCTTGGGCAATCAAGAAGTTATGTCTGTGTGGTGTGTGTGTGTGTGTGTGTGTGTGTGTGTGTGTAATTGAATTTCCTAAATGAATGAAGAGAGAGAAAGAGAGAGTGAGAGAGTATAGGAATAAGGGTTAGGGAAGTACATTGAAGAAATGATAATCAAAATTTTATTATATCTGTTGAAGTAAATTCAAAGTTCCAAGAAGGCAAACAAATCTCAAAGGGAATTTTAAAAAGACTGCATGTCATAGTCAAGCTTCTGAAAAATAAAAAATAAATTTTTAAAGATCGATAGCATCTAGAGAGAAAGATCATATACTTAAAAAGTTATGAGACAGACAATTTCCTACATATTATTAGAAATCATAGAAGCCATAAGACCAAAAAAAAGCATACTTAAAGCAATAAAAAAGAAATAGAAACTGTTAACTAAGGATTCTATATCAAGTAAATATATTCTTCAAAAGTGAAAGTGAAGTAAGGCCATTTTCAGATAAAAGAAAACTAAGGGAATATTTTGCTTGCAGACCTGTTTTCAAGAACTAATGTAGAAACATCTTGATGAAGAAAGAAAATTATACCAGGTCAGAAACTTAGATGTGCAAGACAGGATAAAGAGAACCAAAAAAAGTAAATTTGTGGGTAATTATAATGGACTAGGTTTTTTTAACCTTATCTTGATATTATTAAAAGTGACATGATTGATAAAGCAAAAATACCACCACTGAAAAATGGGGAACATAATGTATCTATTTCACCGAGGATATGACAAGAAGAGATAATGAGAGTCCTAAAGACTGGAAAGGAAAAATTTTTATTAACAGACAATATTATTGTCTGTCTTAATTATTCTAATGAGTTTACCAAAAAATGTTTGAAAAACAAAATTTAGTAAACTCACAGGATAAACAATCAATATAAAATAATCAATTATATTTGAAAATAGTTGTAATCCACAATTACTATAATTTTAAAGTAAATATTTCAATTAAAGAACGCCAGTATATAAAATATTTAGGAACAAATTTAACAAAATATGTGAAAATTATCTACATGGAAACTGATAAATGTTACTGTGAGAAATTAAACACAAACAAATTGTCACTTGAAAAAAATTGAGATAGGGTAACAAGTTAGAAATCTTATAACACTAATTTTAAGAGGTATAATAATGTAGCTAAAAGTGACAATGTGTCATTGAAAAAGGATATATGTATATACATACTTGTATAAATCAGTGGAATAGAATAAAGAGCAGCAAAATAGACATAGATATTTAAGGTCAATTGATTTTCATAAAAATGCCAATGGAGCTTTTTTTTTTTTTTTTTTTTTTGAGACAGAGTCTCCCTTTTGCTGCCCAAGCTGGAGTGCAGTAGTGCAATCTCGACTTCACCACAACCTCCACCTCCCCGGATCAAGCGATTCTCCTGCCTCAGCCTCCCCAGTAGCTGGGATTACAGGGGTCTGCCATCACACCCGGCCAGTTTTTGTATTTTTAGTAGAGACGGGGTTTCACCATGTTGGCTTGACCTCAAGTGATCTGCCCGCCTCGGCCTCTGAAAGTGCTGGGATTACAGGCATGAGGCACCATGCCCGTCCGCGAAGGTAATTTTTTTTTTTTTTTTTTTTTTGAGACGGAGTCTTGCTCTGTCACCCAGGCTGGAGTGCAATGGCAAAATCTCAGCTCATTGCAACCTCTACCACCCAGCTTCAAGCGATTCTCCTGCCTCAGCCTCCAGAGTAGCTGGGATTACAGGCACCCGCCCACATGCCCGGCTAATTTTTGTATTTTTTATTAGAGACGGGTTTCACCATGTTGGTCAGGCTGGTCTCGAACTCCTGACCTCAGGTGATCCACCCGCCTAGGCCTCCCAAAGTGCTGGGATTACAGGCGTGAGCCAACACGCCTGGCCCTGTCAAGGTAATTTAAAGGAAAAAAGGATAATCATTTTAACAAATGCTACCAGTATCATTTGTTTATATCAAATGATTATCGTTTTATCCTTTAAATTCCTGAGTAGCCACATGAGAAAAACAAAATAAACTGAAACTTCATCCTCAAAGTTTACATAAAGTTTCATTCAAAGTAGATATGAACTAAAATGTGAAAGACACAAATATAAAATTTTAGAAGAAAATCAAGGAATATTTTCATGAACTCGGTATAGGCAAGAGTATATTAGATGGAAGCAAAAGTTGTTACCAACAAAAAATTAATTATAAAAATTGTTACTTCTTAAAACATTTTGCTTTTCAAATGTTAGCACTAAACAAATAAAAGACAAAAGACAGCACTCAGGCTGGGAGAAATTTATACACACACATACATACATATATGCATATGACCCAAAATATTACGTACAGATATATAACAAACACAGAAATATTAGAAGATCAGACTCTAATACAAATTATGTTTGAGATCTCAAGAGATCCTTCACAAGTTATATAAATAGCTAATGTATACACATTTAAAGATGTTCAACATAATTAGGCAATAGAAAAATGGAAATTAAAACCACTGTTAGCTATAACTACACACCCACTGTAATGCAAAAAGTTTTTAAAAAGGACAGTACTAGGCAGGGCGTGGTGGCTCAAGCCTGTAACCCCAGGACTTTGGGAGGCTGAGGTGGGCAGATCACGAGGTCAGGAGATTGAGACCATCCTGGTTAACACGGTGAAACCCCGTCTCTACTAAAAATACAAAAAAATTAGCCGGGCTTGGTGGCTGGCGCCTGTAGTCCCAGCTACTCGGGAGGCTGAGGCAGGAGAATGGCGTGAACCTGGGATGCAGAGCTTGCAGTAAGCCGAGATGGTGCCACTGCACTCCAGCCTGGGCGACAAAGCGAGATTCCGTCTCAGAAAAAAAAAAAAAAAAAAAAAAAAAAGGCCATAGTAAATGTTTGCAACTGTGTAGAACAATTGGAACTCTCATACAAATCTTATGGGAGTATAAAATGGCCAACTAGAGAAAACAATTTACAAGTTTCTTAAAATTTAAATATTTGACCTAGAGATTCCAATCTTAGGTATTTCCCCAAGATAAATTAAAACTTATATCTCCAAAAATATTATATACAAATGTTAATAGCAGTTTCATTTATAATAGCCCAATCTGTAATTAACCCAAATGTCTGTCAACAGGAGACTAAATAGGGAAAATAATGGTGAAATAATGTGAACAAATGGTGAAATGTTTGCTAATTCTAAATGGTGAAATAACGTTTACATTTATAAAATGGAATACTATTCTTATATAAAAATGAAAAATATGAGATACACAGCATCATAAAATAATCATATAGATATTATATTGAGTAAAATTATATTTTTAGCTACACAAAAAAATACATATTGGATTCTTCAGGATAATTTAAAGCACAAAAAAGAAATAAAAACTGTTAACTCAGGATTCTATATCTAATCTATTTTACTAGATATAGAATCCTGAGTTATAAAAAGTACCCTGAGTTATATAAAATATGAAATTCAAGAATGGATATGGGGAGTGGGAGAAATATTTGCAAAGCTTTAGGGAACATTCAGGGAATAAGGAGATATTCATTTTATAAAGATTCATATTGCAATGTTGTATATATTGGTCAAATCTCAATTCCATTGACAATAATAGATACATCTGTGTAACATACATTTTTCAAAAATTTAATTAATAAAGATTGTGCATTAAAAGTAGTGTCCTCTACAGGTCTATGTCCAAATTAGTAGTATTTCTAGAAAAAATATACAAAAAATAAATCCCAAATTAATTTAATGTTGATTCTGGAATAAATTCCATAAGAAAATAGTTTGGTATATTTAAAGATGTATTCATAGAAAATCTTTATACTACCAGTTGGAGTAGCAATCCAAAACTCAAAAATTTGATTAAGTGTCATAATTTATCTACATATAATTCATTACTCTTAGGCCTTCAATTCTATGCCATAATAGTTACATTATGTTAAGTGAACAAACTGGTTATATAATGATAGGTGTAATAAGAATTCAGGCAAATGTTTAGGAAAAATATTCTGAGGTTAAAAGAGTAAAGAATATTTCTTCTTTACATCCAAAAATAAGTACATATTGTCTTAAAACTAACAAAGAAAACAAACTAATAAAAAATACAGCCTGCAGTATTAGGCTTTAATTTAAAAAGAGCTTATTGATATAAATGTTCTTATATATTTTCCAATGACAGTACAAATAATAACTGCTTAAATAATACACACAAATACACATTATATATTATTAAATATGCAAATGATAATAGCCTTTAACCTTGTAGAAACTTTATAATATAGCAAATTTTCTCATTCCTTTTCCTGAGGCTATATACATTTCCATTAAAAGGGAAAATTCTTTCAAACAAGGATCACATCACTGAATTTCATGGTTTGACACAACAAAATTTTTATAGCATTCATTTGGATTTTCTTCCTAGTTAATATTATAATCCTTCCAAATGTATACAAATTATAATTAAACCAAGCATACACATTTAATCAATAATAGCACCTAGAAATGAACTCAAAATCCACTAATAAAAGTTATTAATTATTTAAGTTTTTTTATTGTGAATAACTTTAAATTCACTATATGCTGAGTCAGAAAAACACTGGCCTAGGGTTTATTATCTTTGCATTATTTATTTTAAAAGATTTGGCAAATAATAACATGAACAAGATATGAGGAAGAAAATGTTCTATTTAGGGAAACAATCTCATTTCAATGAAATTAGAAGCAATGATTTGCATACCAATATAATTAAAAATGTGCCTTATTTGTGCAATAAATACGGTTTGGCAAGATTTCTACCTGGCAGTGTTTGTACATTAACTTTAATTGCTGAATGCCCTGGGAATGACTGAAAGTCTTTCTTTAAAAATAATTGACGTTTCAGATTATGATGATGCTTCCTCTAGTTGGGCTGAATTAATAGAATTTCATCTTGTCTTTATCAGTGATTCCTAAGTATTTTTATTTTCTTTACAGAGGCTAATCCCTGTCAATAACAGATTTTAAAATGGTGCTTTTCATTGTGAAGCAGTAAGCTCACAGTCAATGTAAAAGTGAAATCAAATGCTAAGTGACTTAACAGGAAGATAATAGGCTGTGAGACATAATCTTTAGACACTAGAGTTCTATTATTTAATATTTTATTAGTAAATAAAATATAGTTTACACTATTACTGAATTCAATAATATTGTTTGAAAGTTTATTTTTTAACCAATGATTTTGCTGTAGTGAGATGCCATTCTCCTGAATCTGAATAATATACCCATGTCACACCTGTCTAAAAAGTCACATAACAAATTCAATGAATTCAGGAAAGCATTCCTACAGTTTATTGCCTTCCATAAATAAATGCAATAACTCATAATCCCCTTAGAGATACGCCCCCAAATGAAGAGGTTTGTATCATTCCGAAATGGTACAGTGGGACAGTAATTTTATTCAGAAAGATGTACTCTTCCCCTTTCAACTATCTCATTTTGCATAACATTGTTGCCTCTGGGTCAAGAATAAAAACTTGTGATTGAAAGAAAAAATAACTTGGGAAATAGTCCTGTCAGTCATGTCATTTCTGAATAATAATAATGGTGATAATGATAAATATATTTTAGAGCACTGTTCTCTCTAAAAGTTCAAAGCATCTATGAAGGTCAAGAACAGAGAGTTACACCCTTATTCATTCTACCTGATACAAGACTACAGTGGTATAATGTGGCAAAAGTATTTATATAAAAGGGCACTTTTCTCAATGATTGACAATGGTTCTCTAAGAGCTGTGTGTCTGTCATCACCAGAATAGCTACTTAGCTGAAGACCACAATTATTAAAGGCTATTGGAATCCATTTGCATGTGTGCATGCCGTGTGTGTGTCTATGCATGTGCACAACAGAGTTTCTAAATAAATGGGACAAAAGTAATACAATTTAATCAACCAGGGCAGTTTATTATAAGTATTTTAAGGAAATACACTTTTTTTCTGGGATAAGTCATAATATGTTTGATTCAGCATAGATTGGATTCCAGGTGAATCAAAAAGCTGCCTTAAATATAAAAATGCTTATTTGGGGATAGGTAAGATATCGCTGAATATTTGCAGTATAATGCTATTTAATTTCAGTTAAACATATACTTATTCTATATGTTTTTCATAAAATTGAGCTCTTTATTAATCATTTAAGAAGTGAAAGACCTTTTTTAGTATTGAAAGATAAATATGATAATTCCAACGACTCTTGTAATATTGGATGAGAATATGAATGCTCGTTATAGAATACTGTATTTGTTTTATCTGCTATAAAGTGTTCAATTACAAATGTAAATCATTTTGTCTTCATTTTGGCTTTATCACCCACTTCTGTGATCATTAATTTGTGAATGGTGATCTTACTGATCTGTATCTCTTTATCTTAATTGACTTTTTATTTCAAATATAGATCCCCCAAAATAAGCATATGGCTAATTTATTTAAAAATTTAAAAAGGTAATTAATATGTATTATGTATTTTAAGACACATACCATTATTTGAACTGATATAGAAATTGTTATAATATTCAATGCTTTTATATATTATGAAAATTTATGCATATTTTCCTCTGTCTTAGGCCAATATTCTAGAAAACAAACTGAGAAAACCTTAAGTGGCAATATTTAATTGGGTGTAATCTTTGGGTTCTGAGAGTGATGGCACAGTGATATGCGGCTGGGAGGAATGAGAAGCAAATGTATGGTGATATGTTACTGAGCTGGCTGCCACTTTGTGAAGAGCAGTGACTGTCACTGAGCCATGTGAGACAGCCCTAGGAAGTCCCTGGGAAGTGAGACAGTTATATAGAATTGGTTCCTATGGGCACTGGGATGGAGCAAGTGAACAAGGGCCCAGAAGACAGGTAAGTTTTAGCAAATATTATGAAACACAGAAGATGTGCCCTATATAGTCTGTTTTATTTGTGGTTTTCAAATGTGATTGTGCCCCACTAGTGTATCTGAATCCCATACCAACAAATGGGACACCACTTAGTAAAACATTTCTTTACTAATTGTAAAATACAAGCTAAATCAGGCAGAATCTAAGTAGACACCAATCTCAATCTTCTAGAATCTTTAAGAAAGAACATTAATTTTAAAAATAAAATGAAATAAAAGTTATAGCCTCCTGTGCTGCAACTCCATTCATCACATCACCACCCATTCTAGACTTTCTTCATCCTTGGCCAACACTCCAACTGGCAGGGGCAGTTAGACATGCGTTAGGTGAAGCTTCTAGTTCAACATCATCATTAGTATCCCCTAGAACAAAATGTTTTCCCTCTGGGAACTAGGATACCATCCCTGGCAAAACTTAAAGCTGCAAGAAAGAGAAACAATAATTGCACAAATGATTCAGTGGGTACGATGGCCAGATGTGTTTTACTGTTTGAATCCCTCATTTCCATGGATCATTTAATCTACTTATTGGAACATGCCACCATATATTGGCAAATGATTCAATGTATGTTGTCTTTCCTGGTATAACTCCACAAGGTGTTCCCCAAAAACTTACATATGCCTTCAACACTTCTAACGGTCTGGTTGTTTCTCAGTGATAAAGCATAATGTAAAGCCAGTGAGATCCATGATCCTAAGCTTATTGTTCCAATTCTTTGCATAGTATGTGCCTCCTGGTCTGAATCAACATTGCTTTTGATACCATGTTCATGAATCAGGCATTCTATAAGCCCTCAGACTGCATATAGAGACAGCACGATGAAGAAAATCATCTGTCTCTCTAGAATGTGTATTAAATCTGGTAAAATGAATAGCTACACCTCTCAAAGTGCAAGAAATATAATGTAATTGACCAGCTCTTAGGTGGCAGGCAGTTTCCTATGCATTATCAAGGGCTCAGCATCTTTCTTTTCTGCGAGCAGGTTGGGCATTGATGAGTGTCAAAAGCTAGATGCCTTGTTAAGAAGAATTCCATTTTCTTAGAACAATGCATAGTCCTCATATTTGTTACTATGTCCACCCTGCCCATGGGCCCACTTTAAATAACTTAGGTGGCACAGGAAAGAAGCTATCTAATTTCCATAGCATATACTCTTCTCCACCTGCTGGCTAAAAAAAAAAAAAACTCATCTGTGCCATTGCTATCCTTTGACATTTAAATGAAACACAAAGATTCATGCATTTTTACTCATGAACAGAAATTCATATATATATATATATTATATATATATGTATACATTTGTGTCAGAACTACCTCGCACTTATCTTCTAAGTTGTTCATGCCAGCCCACTGACCAGGTGTTTACAGTTACCTTGCACAGAAGATAGGACATACATGTATATATATTCCAGAACAATTTTCTTCCATAGGAAGTAGATAACCAAGTTTACTGATTGCACCTCTATGTACCAGAAAAGTTTTTCTCTACCTTTATCTTTTGGATCCATGCTGATGTGCCAGTAATATGGTAACAATTCATTTCCAGTTAATGCTATCATAAAGGTTTAACTCTTCATTAAATTGTTTTTGAAACTAATTCCTTTCATCTCTCCTTTATTTGGTCTTATTATTGTATTAGTCGCAGTTCCCTAGAAAAACAGAACCAATAATCTATCTATCTATCTACCTACCTACCTACCTATCTATCTATCTATCGATCAATATATTTATCTAGCTAGCTAGCTCCATCTTCTGCAAGCTGGAGAAACAGCAAACCCATTGATGTACTTCATTCTGAGTCAGAAAATCTGGCAACAAGGAGTGCTGATGTCCAAGGGCAGAAAAAGATAGAAGTCTCAGCTCAAACATAGAGAGTGAATTTGCCCTTCCTTCTTTTTGCTCTGTCCCAGCCCTCAGTGGATTGGATGATGCCCACCCATATTGTTGAGAGCAGACCTTGTTTGCTCGGTCTACTGATTCAGATGCTAATTTCTTCTGGAAACACCACATAGACACATCCAGAAATAATGTTTTACCAGCTATCTGGGCATCCCTTAGCCCAATCAAGTTGACACATAAACTAACCATCACAGGCATCATGAAGTCTTTGTTGTATATTCAGGAAGAATGTAAACAAAGGTAAGTGACATTGAGTTTTACCCACCTGTCCAGGTGCATTCCTTCTCTATCTACTAAAAGCTGTTCCCAAATGTGCTATTAATAGAGAAGAACAGAACGATGTCTTTCAAAAAGGGATTATGACCAAGTTATTCCCATATAATGTTTTAATGAGAGCTAGGCACTGCCTATAGAGCTGACTATAGTCCCAGCAAGTTGGGAGGCTGAGATGGGAGGATAATTTGCTGCCAGGAGTTTGAGATCAGCCCAGGCAACATACTGAGACCTCATCTCTAAAAAGTTTTAAAAATTAGCCCGTTGTGGTGGTACATGCCTGAAGTTCCAGTTACTCAAGGGGCTGAGGGTGAGAGGAGCGTTTGAGCTCAGGAGTTGGAAGTGCAGTGAGCTATGATCATGCCACGGCACTTCTGCCTGGGCAAAAGGGCAAGATTCTGTCTCTTAAAATGCATGTGTATGTGTATACACACACATGTACATACATGTTTGTGTGTATATATATTTTAATTAACAGCAAGAGAATAATTACAGCTAATACAGTAGCAATGTAGACAATATGGTAAAAATTTACTGTTGTCCTTACCATACAAAGATGAATTGGCTTTAATGTAAGTTGCAAAAAAAAGAATGGGCACAAACTAAATCCTAGACACAGTGTTACCATACCAGTAAATATAAAATATCATACCAGTAAATACCATACCAGTAAATATAAAAATATAGAATAGTTGAAATAAAGAATATATTCTTGTTATGTTTACAGTAGTCCACTGATTTCCACCATAACCTAGTTGTTCTATCAAGAGGCCTGACAGATAAATTGAATGGCGAATATCACCTTGTATCTTTCAATATTTGATTGTGACTCTAACTTTTGAATTCATTCAGGAGCACAGTATCTCTTCTTATTTTCTATCATAAAGATAATGTGTCACGGTGGTAGGCAGTTCCTGGGCCTTCATTTGGCCTTTTCTATTACTATAATTATCTTAATCCTTGGGTCAAAAGTGTATGTAATGATATGTTAGCTGTTAGGTTGACAGATGCATTGATAAACAGACAAAAGTGTATCAATAAATTAAACATAGTATAGATTTGTGAACAAACTGAGCCATCAATTGATTCCAAACCCAATTTATCACCTTACCTCCTTATGCCACAGCCATAGGATCAAAAATAATTTTTGGTACCCTGACATCAAAATTTACTTTCCTAAACTTACCATTTTATTACTGCAAGGTCTAAATAACATTGAAGCAGGTGAATCCAGTCCACAGTCTTCATAATTATCACTGCTACTCATATTAAGTGTTATGGCTGCTTGCCCTCTCAATGCCTTAAAGTCTACGTGTTTCTATCTTAGTTAATCACAAAAAAAGCTTTTAAAAATGCTATGTCACTTCCTGCCAAGAATAATTACTTTCTCAGTTACCAAGAGGAATGATGCCCATATTGCTTTCAAACAAGTTTGTAATTAAAATCCAAAATAATATCTTGAGCATCTATCATTTAAAATTATGTTGTATAGTGATAATCTTCGATCAAGTAAGTTCAAAAACAGAGAAACAAAAATATAAAGGAAAGCTTTGCTATTAATGTATTGATCCTTAGGAGGCCCAGGCAAGAAGAGTGATACTAAAATAAAATGTGGTAAAGAGTTGAAAGAAGATATTAGTTCATCTGTTACCAAATTCTATTTCCTTTACAAAGACTGCCACTATCCTTGGAAAAATCCATTAGATGAAGACATTAAAAAGGAGTTTACTTTATAACCACCTCCCCTGTGCACTCTTTCACTGCTCAGAATTTGTCTGACCGGTAAGTAACCCCACCACACTTCTGTGTAACTGAATTTGGTCTATAGGCAGCTTCTGGGCAAATGAACAGGCATACTCAGTGTCAGTCACAACCAGGGTGGCTCAGCTGGAATGGGGGATAAGAGTCCAGGAACAAGTTGTGCCTCAAAGAATCTGAAGCATTAATGCACAAAAGGTGCGCATTAATAATTCAGCAACACTCAACATGGATCAGTCTTAAAAATATAAAGGGGTGTTTATAACCTAAATTAAGGTTGAAGACAAATAGCTATACATGTTATCACCACTAATAGGCACTGTAACAGTTATCAATGTATTGCCCCTCATTTCCAATCTATCCTTATTTACCCTTCTTTGTGATACTGGGGCTGCACTCTGAATGCCTCCTTTGCTAGATAGGACAAAAGAAGCTATGTCAACAAAGGCTACTGGAGTGATGATGCAAGGCTATCACGAGAAGAAGGAGCTCCCCTTATCCTGGGGTTCTGTTTCTCCTTCAGCATGGTTGCCCGTTGGTGGTATGCTGGAGGGCATGTCACTGACCTCAGTAGTCCTAGCAGATCACTTCTACCTTACTCATATGTACCAGTGATTTTTTTTTTTTTGCTTACTCAGGGGCCATTCCTTTGACCAGCTTTAGCCCACCTTCACTATCCAGTAAGTTTTTCAGCACTTACTGAATCATTCCCATGGACTAACTTCAGCCCGCCTTCCAGTGAATTTCTCAGCTGCCTACTACATACTTTTTGTGAACCAGTTACAACTAAAGCTCACCATTTGGTGAATTTCTCCACCACCCTATGAGTCATTCCTTTGACTCAGCTCCAGACTGCCACACTTTCCAGCAAGTACCTCTACTACACAATATCCAGTTTCTTCAGTCCAGTTTTGGCCCAAACCTCTGGCAAGTTTCTTTGTCACCAGTACTCCATTTGTTTCTGTCAAAGCCATGACCTGACTGACAAGGTTATAATCTCAACACCGGGGAGCTGAAAAAGGGAGAAAAAGGGAATCATCTAAGTGCTTAATTTCTTTTTTATTCATTCTCTCTTGGTCCTAGAGATAGCAGCCACTTTCTTTGTTATTTATTTTTTTTTTATTCCTTAGGGTGCTCCTGTGACCAATTTCACCTCCTTTTTTCTAGCTAATAATTCCTTTAATTTTTCCCACACTTCAATTCCTGGTATAGGTGACTGTACCTTGACTAAAACAAGTACGATCTTCTTAGTACTCTGTTGGTTATTTGAATGTCTTTGGCATACAGTGATTTTATTTAAAAGCCAAATTGCATTCCATCTTGGAGCTACCGTATGAATGTGAGTGTGACTCTGGATAACTGTTGTCCGTGGTAGAATTTTACTTCAAAATTATAAGTTGTAACTTGATTTTATGGCCCTGGCTTAAACACTCTAACCTGGGATTCTTTCATCTAGGAACACTCAGGCTTAAAACTGAATGTGTGCGTGTGTGTGTGTTTGTGTGTGTAATGTGTATGTGCACACACAGTTCCAAATCAATTGACATTGTGACTCTTGCATAACAGTTTTTGTGCACTGGTGATAAACTTAGTGAGTCATTCTTCCTCTCATTCCTTCAAAGTTCTACTCAATGTCCCTTTACAGAAAGTCTTTTACTACTAGCATTACACAGGAGTCTTTTTTATTCCAATACTGCTATTTTTCAGAGGGGGTAGTATTTCTAAAGTGATAAGGTAGTTGTTCTGAAATTCAGGTTTTTATAGTAAATATCCATGATTCAAGAGAGCTGGTATGGACACCATGTCTGAAATGAGTGTCTTAAATACTGTGACCATCATTCTAGTGTTTTACTTACTAGTTGACATATAAGAAGTTAAGAGAATGAAATTTTTCAGTGCAGAGAACAGTGAAAATATTAACATGTCCTCTTTTTTTATTCAAACTATTTACTTAACATTTTGATGAAAACTTGCTCACCTCCCATCCAAGAAAATCAACTGTTGGTAAGTTACAGTATTACTAACATTACATTTTGCTTGGTATGTAGAAGTGAAATTCCCTAGATATCATTTTACAAGTACTGATTCTGCAACATGCAGTAATTGAGGTTTCATTTATTTTACAGGGCACACAATATGCTGAAATTGCATTATATAGAAATACAGTTCATTTAAATATAAATTTTCTAGGAGAGCAAAATAATCTACATTGTCTGCTAAATTTCTTCCCCACTAAAATTATATTATAATTAATCTTCAAATAATTTTAGAATAGCAACTATGACTATCAAATACTTTACAGCAATAAACATAACTGATTGAAAATGGAATTTTTCACCAATTTTCCAACTGAGGAAACTCTACTCTCTAGAATAAAATAATATGAAAATTAAATTGGATATTATATCCATAAAACTGCATTTTTGGAATGCAAATGTTAGTGTCCTGTGTACAAAATTAATTAAAACATCAGTCTTTCCCAAATTACAACTGTATAATTTCATTGCTGTTTATAATGATTCTTTCTACCAATTTATGTTCTGGAAGAAAGTAAAATTATATCCCAGAAGCAAAGATGAAAACTAGCACCAACACCATCATTTCAAAGTGTCTTCATTCAAAAATTCACTGTGTTTTTAAGATCTTGGTTTCTAAACTCTGTCCTTGTGTATAATAGTGGAGGCAACTCTAAATGGTTATTTAACTTGAAAAGACATTTGCAAAACCAACCCCAAGAATGAATAGAGTTCACTTTCTTGAAAAGCTGAATCATGAAATTAGCTGTGACAAAGTACATGCAAGCCTGAAGCATGTGATTTTTTTACATTTTTCTTCACATGCCATATAGCTTCTAAAATCAAATGATCCTATAACTTCAAAGGAAGCTGAAATCTTAAAAATTAGTAGTACAAGATGTAAAAGATGAAGGAAAACATCAGACAGTATTTAGAGAATCATACCAATAGATAAATAAATCATTATGTATGTAACTACTCCATTAAGCCCTACTAACAGTGCACTTTCCACCAGAGAGACAAAGAGGAAGGTGGACCCAAGAAGAGTCCTGTAGCCTTGGCTGTGTATAAGCTCTGTGCTAATTAATTCCTCATGTCCTTTTCCCACTTCTTACTTACTAAAATCAATCTAGTTTCTTCAGGCATTCTCACATGATCCAGGGAAATGTGGCCCCCACCTCAAGTTCCAGGAGTTAAGATTGTGATTCTTATAAAACAAATATAGTAATACTTTTCCTTCCAAGAATGAATGATTGGCTTATGAATGGGCAGGTAACCAAATAAGGGCCAATGAAAAATAAGAGAAAATTAGTCACAAGATTTATCAAAATTTTTTTCTCACGCCTAAGAAAGTCATTGAAGCACATCGTTTCTATGTGTGCTCCATAAGGGGTCACAATTTGGTTGTGACATATAAAATTACTGCAGCTACTTCCTCCAAGCCTGTAGATTAAACTAACATAGACAAGCTAATGTTACCCCTACCTCCACCTCAACTTTTGAATGTCTTTTTTTTCTGAACAATAAATTTCCACTTGTTTAATCCAGTTTAAACTGTGCTTTCTCTCTCTTACAGCTAAGAGCAGCCCAGTTTACTCAGTATATTTTAATAAGATTTATTATTTTTCACTCTGGAAATGCTTGATTTGGTCCATCTAAATAAAATCAATATAATAACTTCAAATACATATGAATGACAGTTATTAAATTTGACTGTAGGTTGAATAAAAAATAAACAACTATTTTAAAAATATAAATATCAATTCATATAGTCAGAAATGACTGCATCTTCATCTCTTATAAGAGAGGATCAATATTCGATTTTATAAAACCAAAAATGACTAAAACATGTCCTGTGTCTTCAAAGTGTCGAAATCAGCTGATAAAAGTTAAATAAGTAAAAGCATTTCATATCCACTCTGTTTTTATTTTTCAAGAATAAAATATATAATCGTTAACTACAGACTCTTATACTCATTTTTCCTGTCTAACTGTAATTATGTATCCTCTGACCAACATCTCCAAACCTCCCAACCCTGCAACCAACTAGCTTCTGGTAACCACTATTCTACTGTCCAGTCTTATAAGAATTATATGAGGTAATGCATTTGTTACTTAGCTAGATTTAACAATTTCACAATGTATATATAACTTAAAAATCATGTTGTCTATTATAAATATATACAAGGTTATCAATCAATTTTTAAAAATTAATTAAATAAGCAAAGTATGATCTAATCAGTAGACTTGGCCTTAATGGACAGAGTACAAAATAAAAGGCTTCGCTGAGCATATAAAAGTCAGGAAAGGTTTTGATGAATTAAAGTAGGCAATGTTGGAGGAAAAAGAAAGAAATAGGAAGCAATTACAATTGTTAAGGCAAGATGAAACAAGTTCCTGGAGTTTGGCAAGGCAGTAAATATTGAAAACTGTGAATGCAGTTGTTGATTTATTGATTGTATTGAATGAGAGAGATGGAAGATTCCAAGATTGCCTTAACTTGCATCACTACTTAATAGATGAAGTCACTAAATTGAAAATGATATATAAGACAAAGAATAAGTTGTGTATGTGGTTGATTATAATGAACATGTTATTTACATGTTATCTGAAACCCCCTTTATTATATTTAGGTAGAGATGTCCAGTAGCAATTAGAGTTCCGGGCTTGGAACTAAAAAGATGGAGTTTAAAATATCTAATCAGGAGTCATTGGTACATACGGTTAAAATAATGAGATTCGATGAAAAATGCTTGACGATTCTGAAAATGGGAAAAGGAAACATGAAACACTCAAAAACTGATATTTGATAATCTGTCAAAAGAAACAGATTCAATAATGAGAACTAAAAAGCTATGGGCAGAAGGTTTATAGGAAAACCAGGATGGAGTTATTGATTTCCTTTGTCAGTTAACAGAGTCCACAAATGATTGTGTTCTGAGAGGTTGTCTAGTTTTACATTTGTGTGTGTGTGGTTTTCTGGAAGAAGCAGGGTACTATAAGTGTTTCCATCCACAGTAGCCAGAAATATCAGCCCTGAGATCCCCAGATTATTTTGTTGAGGTCCAGTAGCCTAATGCCCATGGTTCTCTGGATCAATAATGATTTTTAAACATGAGTCCATGTTATTGCTGGCTTCTTTCTCAGTCCCCATGTACTGGGAAATACCCCCTACTCTTCCATTATTATTATTGTACTTTAAGTTCTGGGATACGTGTGCAGAACATGCAGGTTTGTTACACAGATATACACATGCCATGCTGGTTTGCTGCACTGATCAACCCATCAACTACATTAGGTATTTCTTCTAATGCTATCCCTCCCCTAGACCCCCACCCCCCGACAGGCCCTGGTATGTGATGTTCCCATCCCTGTGACCATGTGTTCTCATTGTTCAACTCCCACTAATGAGTGAGCACATGTGGGGTTTGGTTTTCTGTTCCTGTGTAAGTTTGCTGAGAATGATGGTTTCCAGCTTCATCCATGTTTCTGCAAAGGACATGAACTCATCCTTTTTTATGGTTGCATAGTATTCCATGGTGTATATGTGCCACATTTTCTTTATCCATTCTATCATTGATGGGCATTTGGGTTGGTTCCAAGTCTTTGATATTGTGAACAATACTGCAATGAACATATGTGTGCTTGTGTCTTTATAGTAGAATGATTTATAATCCTTTGGGTATATATATCCCAGTAATAGGATTGCTGGGTCAAATGGTATTTCTGGTTCTAGATCCTTGTGGAATCGCCACACTGTCTTCCACAATGGTTGAACTAATTTACACTCCCCACCATTCCTATTTCTCCACATCCTCTCCAGCATCTGTTGTTTCCTGACATTTTAATGATCAACCACTCTAACTGGTGTGAGGTGATATCTCAACGTGGTTTTGACTTGCATTTCTCTAATGACCAGTGATGATGAGCTTTTTTTCATATGTTTGTTGGCTACATAAAGGTCTTCTTTTGAGAAGTGTCTGTTTATATCCTTTGCCCACTTTTTGATGGGGTAGTTTTTTTTTTTCTTGTAAATTTGTGTAAGTTCCTTGTAGATTCTGGATATTAGTCCTTTGTCAAATGAATAGATTGAAAAAAATGTCTCCCATTCTGTAGGTTGCCTGTTCACTCTGATGATAGTTTATTTTGTTGTACAGAAGCTCTTTATTTTAATTAGATCCCATTTGTCAATTTTGGCTTTTGTTGCCATTGCTTTTGGTGTTTTAGTCATGAAGTCTTTGCCCATGCCTATGTCCTGAATGGTATTGCCTAGGTTTTCTTCTAGGGTTTTTATGGTTTTAGGTCTTACGTTTAAGTCATTAATCCATCTTGAGTTTTGTATAAGGTGTGAGGAAGGGGTCCAGTTTCAGTTTTCTGCATATGGCTAGCCAGTTTTCCCAACACTATTTATTGAATAGGGAATCCCTTCTCCATTGCTTGTTTTTATCAGTTTTGTCAAAGATCAGATGGTTGTAGATGTGTGGCATTATTTCTGAGGCATCTGTTCTGTTCCATTGGTCTATATATCTTTTCTGGTATTAGTACCATGCTGTTTTGGTTAGTATAGCCTTATAGTATAGCTTGAAGTCAGGTACCATGATGCCTCCAACTTTCTTCTTTTTGCTAAGGATTTTCTTGGCTATACGGACTCTTTTTTGATTCCATATGAAATTTAAAGTAGTTTTTTCTACCTCTGTGAAGAAAGTCAATGGTAGCTTGATGGGGATAGCATTGAATCTATAAATTACTTTGGGTAGTATGGCAATTTTCATGATAATGATTATTCCTATTCATGAGCATGGAATATTTTTCCATTTGTTTGTGTCTTCTGTTATTTCCTTGAGCAGTGGTTTGTAGTTCTCCTTAAAGAGGTCCTTTACATTCCTTGTAAATTGTATTCCTAGGTATTTTATTCTCTTTGTAGCAATTGTGAATGGGAGTTCACCCGTGATTTGGCTCTCTGACTCCCATATAATAATAGTGGGAACTTTAACACCCCACTGCCAATATTAGACAGGTCAACGAGACAGAAAATTAACGTGGATATTCAGGACTTGAACTCAGCTCTGGACCAAGCAGAGCTAATAGACATCTACAGAACTCTACCACCCAAATCAACAGACTGTACATTCTTCTCAGCACCACATTGCACTTGTTCTAAAATTGACCACATAGTTGGAAGTAAAACACTCCTCAGCAAACGCAAAAAACGGAAATCATAACAAACCGTCTCGCAGACCACAGTGCAATCAAATTAGAACTCAGGATTAAGAAACTCACTCAGAACCACACAACTACATGGAAACTGAACAACCTGCTCCTGAATGACTACTGGGTAAGTAAAGAAATTAAGGCAGAAATAAATAAGTTATTTGAAACCAACGAGAACAACATACCAGAATCGCTGGGACACAGCCAAAGCAGTGTTTAGAGGGAAATTTAGAGCACTAAATGCCCAAAGGAGAAAGCGGGAAAGATCTAAAATTGACACCCTAACATCACAATTAAAAGAACTAGAGAAGAAAGAGCAAACAAATTCAAAAGCTAGCAGAAGACAAGAAATAACTAAGATCAGAGCAGAACTGAAGGAGATAGAGACACGAAAACCCCTTCAGAAAAGATCAATGAATCCAGGAGCTGGTATTTGAAAAGATTAACCAAATAGATAGACTGCTAGCCAGACTAATAAAGAAGAAAAGAGGAGAATCAAATAGACACATTAAAAAATGATAAAGGGGATATCACCACTGATTTCACAGAAATACATACTACCATCAGAGAACACTATAAACACCTCTACACAAATAAACTAGATAATCTAGAGGAAATGGATAAATTCCTGGACACATACACCTCCTCCAAGACTAAACCAGGAAGAAATAGAATCCCTGAATAGACCAATAACAAATTCTGAAATTGAAGCAATAATTAATAGCCTACCAACAAAAAAAAGCCCAGGACCAAACAGATCCACAGCCAAAATCTACCAGCGGTACAAAGAGGAGCTGGTATCATTACTTCTGAAACTATTCCAAACAATAGAAAAAAAGGGACTCCTCCCTAACTCATTTTGTGAGGCCAGCATCATCCTGATACCAAAACCTGGCAGACACACAACAAAAAAAAGAATATTTCAGGCCAACATCCCTGATGAACATCAACACAAAAATCCTCAAGATAATACTGGCAGAACGAGTCCAGCAGCACATCAAAAAGCTTATCCATCATGATCAAGTTGGCTTCATCCCTAGGATGTAAGGCTGGTTCAACATATGCAAATCAATAAACATAATCCATCACATAAACAGAACCAATGACAAAAACCGCATGATTATCTCAATAGATGCACAAAAGGCCTTCAATAAAATTCAACACCCCTTCATGCTAAAAACTCTCAATAAACTAGGTATTGATGGAACGTATCTCAAAATAATCAGAGTTATTTATGACAGACCCACAGCCAATATCATACTGAATGGGCAAAAGGTGGAAGCATTCCCTTTGAAAACCGGCACAAGACAGGGATGCCCTCTCTCACCACTCCTCTTCAACATAGTATTGGAAGTTCTGGCAAAGGCAATGAGGCAAGAGAAAGAAACAAAGGTATTCAAATAGGAAGAGAGGAAGTCAAATTACCTGTTTGCAGACGACATGATTGTATATTTAGAAAACCCCATTGTCTCCACCCCAAATCTCCTTAAACTGATAAGCAACTTCAGCAAAGTCTCAGGATACAAAATCAATGTGCAAAAATCACAAGCTTTCCTATACATCTACTCTTATTTCTACTGAAGTTTTTTTACATTTTCAAGCAGCTCACTTAAAAAGAATTAATTCTGGCAAGTAAAAGCTTTCTTTCACACACAATTCTGAGCCTCAACAGAATCTAAAAATGCATTGCCATTACCAGAATCTGGGAATACATTAATTTTAAACTTCAGACTTCTTATGCCCTGTCATAGGCTATGTCAGCAAGCAATGAATTGGATCTGTATTTATTTTGTCCCCAAGCTTTCTAAGTGGATTCCATGAAGGTCTGTCCCAAGGTTTGAACTGAAATGTTGACATATACTAAAACCTTCCCCTTTATTGGGAGCTACTCACTCACTATTCTGTTTCTAAGATCCACCCTGCTGATATGTATTGCTCCAGGTTATTAATCTTAATCGCAAAATGGTATTTTGTATGAATAAACTGTTACTTATCCATGTTCTTTTGAAACATGTGTATTTTTAAATCTGATTAAGCTACCAGAAAAGCCTATTTAGTGGTTTACCATCATCAGTTAAGTTGCCTTAAAAATAATATAAATGATTATTTTCTAGTATCAGCCTTTACAAATTTATGGAATATAAAATAGAATTACTGAGTTTATTTAAGAAGTCATTTGTGAAATGACCTTAAGGAGTCCAAACCTGAACACAATCAAGTATAGGTTGTAGGTTGCAACAAACAGTAAAATGTAAGCAAATGAGTTTGAGGTAACTGTGACAAGTAATTCCAAGAGGAATAACACCATGATTTTTAAAACCATATATAAGTAATACTATTTAATCTACATAACAATGTAATATTATCGTCTTTGTTGAAACATGAGAAAATTAAGGCAGAAGGAGTTTATGCACTTTTCCAATTTTAAAAAGTGAATTGTGGACTTTGGACTTAAACCTAGACACTCAGACTCCAGTCTGTATATCTAGAGGAAATATGTAGAAAATATATTCTAGATTACAAGATAATGGAATGTTGAAAGTGCTATCTCAGTAACAATTTAAAGGCAGAAATTCTACACACATAAGGAAAGTTGTAGTAAATCTCATCAACTTCTAAGGACAATAGAATACCTGCATCAAACTACACTTATAAAGATCAGCCCAATAACCCTGAAACATTTTTTCCTCCTCTCCGATTCAATCAATTTTATATTTTATATTAGGCCTCTATCAATATAATTATCTTGCTAGATAATGATAGTAAAATTAATGTTAGAACATAGATAATATGCAGGTACAAAAGGCCACAGCAACTAGACAGTATTTCTATGCATTAAACTATAAGAGTATAAAACATGTCCAAAATAAGAAAATGAAAATCAAATAACCGAGTGAGAATCATTCAAATAATCAAGTAACCTCTCTCTGAAATAAAGGATCATAATTCTGATCTTAAATTTTAATTAGTATCTACAAATGGGTTTAGATTATTGGCACTTATTGAAATCAGGAAGCATATTCTAAGTATATCTTCTCCTGAACTTTTAGTTCAAACATTTTCTTTTCTGTTGTGTTTTAATGAAACACATTATCACATTAAAGGGCACATTTTAAACACTTCACACAGACATACAAATAGGCTTTATGTTTCAATAACACTACATGCTATTTTCCTGAAAGGCTCATTTCCAATATCCCATTAAATAATTTAATATATAAATAGTATAACTAAAGCAGTTCTAGTGCACTGGTTTTTAGCACTGCTTAAATGGCTTGATTTCCAGGTCAGTAAGTACACCTGCTAACTCTGTTCTCCTTAAGCCAAGCTATTCATCAAGGGAAGCAGCAACTTTTTCCTTAACTGTTTTTTCTTTCACCATAAATTCTACTCGGTCCCCAGAATTTTCAAAGGAATGAAGGAGGTTCATATCATCCTGATATATTAGAATGCTGCTACGCAGGTAGAAGAGACTTGTTTCACTTCTATAAGCTTTAGAGGTTAAACTTTAAATGGCTCCTAGTGTTAATAGCCTAATATTTTTATTATCATAATATGAAAAGATTAATTTGAGGAAAATATTAAGATAATAATGAAAAATTAACATCAAGTTGAACTACCGATTTTTACAAGTGAAGGGTTAAGCTTCCAATATTAAATTTTTATAACTGAGTCATACAGTTAAGTCAGTTTTATATCATTAAAACTTAGAAACATAAAGAGTAATTCAAGTAGAAAATGTAAGATAAATGGATGAGCTGAAACTTGCTTTTTAAAGGGCTGAGTTAAATTAATGTGTGTTAAATCATGTTTAATTAAGGGTAAAGGAAGACATGCTTTTTAGAGATATTTGCTTATTGTGACATTTAAAGTCAAGGTGGGCAGCATTAAAATATTCCTGCTACATAAAATAGAAGATATGATGTGTTATTGGTACAAACTGACTATCAATACTTTAAAACACCTGGGAAAATTAACATTTACTTTAATTATAATTGTTTAAAATATGATTACTTACATTTTAAAAGCTTCATAGTATACTTTTTAAAGAAGTCAAGTTATCTTAAACATATTCTTGGTGATTTGTGTTACTAAATAGAAGAGTTTCATGGTATCTATTACTTATAACAGGGTATTTCAGAAGTGATAAAAACATACAATACCATTAAGATTTCATACAGTTGCACTAGGTTTTTAATAACTGCTATTTATTGAATTGTGATTATGTGTATCACTTTAATACATCGGCCGTAATTACAGTAAAAACCCTGAAGGATGATACTGTTATCTTCCTTTTGCCAATAATAACACTGAAGCTGTGAATGAAAGCGACTGGCTGATTTCAAACACAGGTATAGCTGACCTCATAGTTTGTGTTGTTTTACATATATGGTAATCATTAGATTAGGGGCTTGAGCAATAAATAAAGGCTCCCATTTATTTTCAGAATCTATGCATGGGCACCAAAACACAGAAGAGCTTTAACAATTCCATTTAAATTTGAATAGAGGGAGGAGCCGAAATATGTGTGGGCTGACTTATGGCACCAGGGTAGAGGATGTATTAAATCCTGTATATAGTCATGCTAGAAAAAAAAATATGGCATAATTGAAACTATTGAACACTGTCTATCAAAAAGAAGGGATTCTAGTTGAAAAATTGAGATTAAATCTCTTCCAAAAACAAAATGCCAGTCTAATCTTAATCTTATCACATGTCTACCTTCTTTCAGTTTATACTATACCTTGCTACCTGTACCTTAATGATATGGTAACAGCATCAGCACAAAAAAATCACCCAATGCATCTTATTTTTCTACTATTATTTTTTGTACTCAGTCTTTCACAAATCTCCTCATCCCATTATATTTTTGTATTTGCTTCATGGTGATTGACAAATGTATATGTTTACATTTTTTCAGTGATATTCGTATTGACATACATACCAGAATTAAAGTCTAACTTTCCCAAAGTAACACCATTATCTTCAACAGTTATTTCCAAAGAATGGAGTTGGTCTCTTCCTTGCTACCCAGTGTCGTCCTTAGCTTTTATAACACTACACTTGATTTTATCATTGTTCTTTCCTTCTCCTAACTTCACTATTATTATTATTTTTATTTTTTTTTTTTTGGAGACGGAGTATTGCTCTGTCACCCAGACTGGACCATGGTGGTGTGATCTCGGCTCACTGCAACCTCCACCTCCCGAGGTTCAAGTGATTCTTCTGCCTTAGCTTCATGAGTAGCTGGGATTACAGGCGCATGCCACTGCGCTTGGCTAATTTTTGTATTTTTAGTAGAGAAGGGGTTTCACCATGTTGGCCAGGCTGGTCTCAAACTCCTGACCCTCAGGTGATCCACCCACCTCAGCCTCCCAAAGTGCTGGGATTACAGGTGTGAGCCACCATGCCCAGCCTTATTTGTTTTATACCTCTTTTATATTAGTATCTATATGCTCCAAAAATAAGTTAATTATCTTTCTGCTTTAATATCCTAAATTATTAATTCTAACTGGTTTTCCAGTCAAAAAAACATTTTTCTTATGATAATAACTAGTTTAAAATTGTAAAGTATTAATGTATATTCCAAGTCCCAGTCTATTTCCAGCTTTATATATCAATACTATCATTTATAAATCTCACTTTCCTTTCTATTGAAATAGTCATTCACAAAAAAGGCATTGTGTTTTTCATACACAATGCCTTTATTTTAACATTTTTGCTTCTCTAAAATTGCTTCACTGTACTTTAAAAAAACATACACCATGTTTCAAAATCTGAGTCACCACCTCTTCTATGATGTCTTGTTGACGTTAAATATATTCTGCCTTTTTGGACTATTATAACAATCAGTTTAATTATTATTCACAGTAGTAATCACCTTGGATTATGGTGACATGTTTGTGTCTCAAACTCTAGAAATCATTTCAAACTTCTTGGAGGAATGATCTTGATATATATACCTTTATACCTTTGTTAACACACATCTGTTTGTGTAGTGAGCATTGAGAAAATGTGCTTTGGGATAGATGAGCTACTAGAGTCCAAATAGAGTAATTTGAAGTGTAATATGGATTAAATGTGTTTATTTTGACAGCATGGAACGAGGTGCTCAAATATTCATTATTTAATTATAAAATTGAAATGTGTTAAATCGACTACTGTAATAAGTTTGATGGAATTGATTTGTAATTTGTTATGTCCCCTACTTATCAGATTAACTGGACAGAAGATTCACATATACTGACATATGTATTTCCAGTGGAATGTGTCAATCTCTTGAAACTCAATTCACAATTGAACAAAAATGGAGAGAATCAAAAATTGAGATTGCTTTGCATTCTGAAATTATGTTTTCAAAATTTAGAAGCATCAATAATGATGCAAATCTTAGGATCTGATTATACAATGCCAAAAATTAGCAAAAAAAAAAATTGAATGTTGTGCTCAACTATTCATACTGACTATTTCTAATAAATTAACTATTTTTTATTTCACCCTTATTAAATTGGTTAATTGTGGCATTATAGTTATAACTTAAAGTTGTTAAAATCAAGCACTATATGAACTATGAAGAATCTTTTACTTAAAGAGGATTAACAAAAATATAAATCCTAATTGAAAAAGACATGAATTAAATGTGAAAATATAGACCAATTATACAGATGTTTGGAAATATTAACCTAGTTGATATATTATGAGCAAAATATGGTTAATTTTTTTTTCTCTTTTCAAGCAAAGAAAAAAAATCCCTGGCCAGATTGTAAAAAGTGAATCATAATTTTACATATGGAATGGCATTTATAAAGATAAATTCTATTTTATGTGTTATTAAATTTTACTCTAAAAATACATTGTTTTCTCAAAGATGAAAAAAATCTAAGTAACTATCTATATAATTAATTTTGCCTCTGACGTTTATTTATTTGTGACCATTATTTTATTGGCTCAAACATTGTGTTTATTATCAAAAACCATTGCCATCAAAAAGCAGAAATGATTTTAAAAATAGCTAGAATATTCTCTGTATTCTACTTAGCAGAGTTATCTTTAAACCCATACTTTTAAGTAATGACTTCCAAACTTGGGACTTTGATTTTAATTCAAAATTCAGAACTAGGAAAATTAAACATTTTGATATACCTCTGCAAATGTATATCAATACGGTTGGTCCATTAAAACTTTAATCATGTATGTAGAAACTAGTCTAAATTATTTGACAGAATTGAATGTATAATCAAAGTTATTGATCTATTAGCTTTATATTGACACAGCCAAAACACTCATTTTGGCCATTATACTATTTACAGCAGTTTCTATCAAAACATCCTGATTTCTTGAGTTTTGTCCTTGAGAGCAGCTGAAACTTCTTAGACTGCAAAAGCAAAATTACCTGGAGAAGAAGGTATTTTTAAACACATGTTTTCCCAAAGAAGGCAGCTGCTCACTACATGAATTCTTTGAGCACTGCCATGCTCAGCAGTTAACTTTCTTTACTTGAAGGTACCAGGGCAAGGAAGATAACCTCAACACATTGTTCTTCTATTACTGTTACTATGTTCTCAGTACTATTAAAAGGCTGATATTTGACAGCAAAGAAATTATTTTTTTAAAACAATCTTAGAAGAAAGGAAAGGTTTTTGTGTTTTTTAGATAAAAAATATTATTACCAAATCTTCAGTCACTTTAGTTATTCTTTTTTCTTTTTCTTTTTCTTTTTCTTTTTGAGACGAAGTCTTGCTCTTGCTGCCCAGGCTGGAGTGCAGTGGTGCAATCTCGGATCACTGCAACCTCTGCCTTCCTGGGTTCAAGTGACTCTCCTGCCTCAGCCTCCTGAGTAGTTGGGATTACAGGTGCCTGCCAGCACTCCCGGCTAATTTTTTTTTTTTTTTGTATTTTCAGTAGAGATGGGTTTTCACCACATTGGCCAGGCTGGTCTAACTCCTGACCTCATGATCTGCCTGCCTCAGCCTCCCAAAGTGCTGGGATTACAGGCGTGAGCCACCACACTGGCCTAATTATAATTTTCTAAAGAGTAGCAAAGAAAGTCTATCTTGTATCTACAGAGAAAAGAAACTTCTGCCTAGAATATTCCTTTTCCTTGAGTTGTTTTATCACTTGTTTTTTAAATACTAACTTTATTTTCATTTTATCCAACAGTGCACTGATATTGCAATACTGAATATTATTTAAGTCAAAATTAAGATAAGTGTATTTTTATCATGTGCTTTGCTTTTGCATATAAGGATGTGTAAATACATTGATTACTTGATTGTTTATAGAAAATGTTAATAAGTACTGACACTTTTCTTATACATGCAAATCTGTTGCCAAGTATGATAATTATACTAGGCTAAAATCACTCTCGTATAAAATTTATCTATGTATTGGCCAAATGTGCTTCATAATTGGCAGCAATTGAGACCTGTATTGATAGATATTTGTAATTAGAATGATAATCATTTGGACTTGCAATCAAGAAGGCCCTGTATTAGGTTGGGTGGGAAAGCAGAATTTTTGGATAAGCAGAGAAAAGCAAATAAATTCCAAATTGGAGTGCCAGAGAATCTAGCAGTTAATTAAACTAAGACTGCTCTCCTATCATCTGGCCAAATAAGAAAATAATTACATTTATTTTCTTTATGTCTAACATCAAGTCATCAACTGCATAGTGCTTTTCTTCCAGCCAAGCCAAGAGGTATGTGTGAGGGTTCACTGTTGAACACAAGCTACCCCTAAAACCTGAGTCTACCCGGGTGCTTGCCTGGAAGACTGATAATGGCTTGCTAGTGGCAGGTAGCTAGAGTAACTCATTCTTCAATTATCCAAACTCCAGTCTTAGCATTTGCTTCCCGATTCTTTTTGAAAAGAACCTAACTGACATATATACAAGCATTCTTTTCAGTTGGCTGTAGCTTTCACTCTATAATACAAATAAACCTTTACCAAATAATAGCTTTTTAAAAAATTATATATATGTATATATATTTATATATATAAATTATTTCAGTGGCTAACTTTGAAAAACCGATTATTTCATTAAGATACATTAAACTGAAAAGAGTAATTATGTGTAGGAAAAAAATGCTCACACAAAATGCTTATGCCCTAATCCCGGAGCCTATGAATATGTGACCTTAAGTGGCAAAAGAGATTTGCATATATCATTATTTAAGAAACTTGAGATTGAGATATCACAGGTCCTTACAAGAGGAAGGAAGAAGGTCAGAGTACATGAGATGTGGAGATGGAATAAGATGTCGAAGTGATATACACTGAAAATGAAGGAGGATGGGGCCACAACCAAACATTGCAGTGTCCTCCAGAAGCTAGAAAAGGCAAAAAACCCAATTCTCCCTTAGAGCCACCAGAGGAAATGCAGTTTTGTAGAGTCTGATTTTAGCACAGTGAGACCTATTTCAAATTTCTAACCTCCGGAACTGCAAGTTCATACATTTGTGTTGTCTTAAGACAAGAAATTTGGGGGCAATCTATTAAAAGAGCAACTGACAACTAATGTGCCCATTAGAAAATTGTATATAGAAACTAGAAACTGTAAAAAATTCATGGAAAGAATTCCTTGGTAATATTGTTTAGGATGTTAAACTCAGGAAAGAATTAAGTTTCTCGGCTACTAATTGTTTCATATAAGCATTTACTTATTTATCCCAGTATGTGCATATTTATTCCAGTAGCACCTTTTTTGCTGCTGAATCTTTATGAATTTTCATGATTTTTTTTCACTTGTATCAACAATTGTGTCCTGTATAGTATTTGATATTGGGAACATGTTACCACTCCTCAACTGATCTTAACCAGAAATTGACATAAACCATGGTGCTCATCTACTTTTAAGTTTACATTTTTGAGTGACACAGCAAACAACCCTTGTTATACAATATATGACAATATATGAACACTTTGAGATTTATTTTCATAGACAATTATCTGTAGCTTTACTCCAATATATAGGCATAGCATGTAGTTTATATAAAGTATAAATGTTAGGTGTCCTGTGTCATTTAGGACTAAAGCATTTTAATTTGTGCTTTCAATGAGCTTTTTCCCAATCTAAGCAGTGAGCAAATTGTCCTCTCATATAATGTGACATAAAGAGTGGAAACAAAACAATAATCTCCTAGCAACACATGCAAATGGACATCGCACAAAAATCCCATAACACTAATGACTTCTAATCATAGGCAAAAAGACCTAAAGACCAAATTTATACACTTTCTGTCTTTAAGTTTTTACAATCATTGCTTTAAATTAAAATGAAAACTTTCAGATAACATGTTTCCATTTCATAATGTTGTGTTACATATAGTCTCCCTAATTTTTATTATGAAATCCTTTGAAGCTATTTTATTTTGTTACCAATAATTCATTAGTTTGATTTCGAGCACAATGCTCTTTTCAATATCCAAGAACCATTGGGAAAATGCTATATTATCTATAATTTAACCAAATAACTTTATGTTTAATTTAATAAATAAAGCCACTTGTTCTGTTTTCAAATTCAGTTATTCCATTTTCAAGCTGACATAAGTTAGATCAATGAATATGTAATTAAAAATTGGTACCAAGAGATCTCAGAACTAGTGATTATAAATCAAATAGGAAAGGTAATTTTATTAGTATCCTATTGGTGAATTAGCTTCCAAATTCTCCCGAACTTAGTGGCTTAAAACAACAGAAATTCATCATCTTACAGTTCTGTAGGTTAGATGTGTGACATGGGTCTAACCAGGCTAACATAAAGGTGTGTGTTCTGGAGGTCCTAGGAAAGAATCTGTCCTTGCCTTTTCCTGCTCCTAGAGGCTGTCCCCAATTCCTTGGCTTGTGGCCCCCTTGGTCCATATCCAAATCCAGCAACAGTTCACCTCTCTGATTATTCTTCCATACTCACATCTTCTGACTGTAGCCAGGAATGATTCTTCAGTTTTAAGGACCCATGTCCTTTTATACCAATAGAGTGGTATATAATTAGGTTGGGCCGTACTGGATAATCCAGGATCATCCCCTCATTAAGTTCCTTTACTTAGTCACATCAACAAAATCCCTTTTGCCATGGACTGTAACAGATTCACAGGTTCTGGGGATTAGGATGTGGATATCTGTGAGAGTCACTATTCTTCCTACCACAGTAATCTTCTACAGCATTTTTTAAAAAATCAGTGATTTGAGGAACTTGAGAAAGCTAAGAGGCAAAAGAAGCAAGTTTGACTGTTGACAAAATGAATGATTTTGGCAGAATATCAGCTATTCTTATAGAGATAACTATAAATTCCTGCATTAAAAACAAACAAACAAATGAAAAAACTAAACCAACCAGTAAAATGTGAAGACAAACAGAGATTTGCAAGAAATACATACCTAGAAGAGTGAAGGCTTTTAGCTAACTCTAAAAATAACATGAAGCAATATAATCTTACAATGTATCTATTCAAAAAGCTGAGACACCATTTTAGGCAGGCTTTACACGTGTACAATTTTCAGAATGTGGAGTCTGGTGATTTAACAAATTTCCGAGATGACCAGATGAGAATAGAAGGCGATAATAAATTAGAATGTATCAAAAAGAGGGTGATTACAATGACAAGTAGAATGAACGCATGCTGGATGCAAAAGAGTTAAAACAACTAGAGATGGTAAACTAGGAAATGAGAATATTGATAAAAATACAGTGATTATCATCATACTCTAGAAATACTGTAAAAGAAACTAGTATTTAGCGGGAGGCTATTCTCTTGCCACTGCAGTATCTTTATCTGATTGTTGCAAACTTATTCCATCTTTATATTTGTATAAAAGGCTTTAAAAATATTCTTGAAATAAAGTAGCAGCATACTTAAACTCCTAGCCATGAACTATAAATGATGATTTTTTATGAAAAAGTAGTCTGAACAATAATAATTTAGAGGAAACTAATATACCCAACACACTTGAATTACATATCTCTAAAATTCATTACAATTCTCATTTATAATAAATTGGTATGTAAAGCTAATGGATTTTTCAAAGAATATCTTTTCTATATTAACATTGTTGCTTTCAGTAACTTTCCATTTATTATAATTACTAGGGTTTACAGATTAGTAAATTAAAAATAGGAACTTCAATAAAATTTGAATTTAAAATAAACAAAGAAAAAGTTTTTAGTATAATTGTGCCCCATGCAATATTTGTCATTTATCTGAAATTCAAATTAAACTGTACCACCTGCATTTATCAGACAAGTCTAATTAATTTTAAAAATACAAACATAGAAAAAGAGCAGCCATTAACTGTTGCAAGAAAGGCTATTCCAAACCTTCAAGATTTATTTTAACAAAAAATAAAACTTTATGAATCAAGTAAAGTTGATGATTATTCACTTTATATTAGTCTCTGCTTTCAGTTTCTAAGTATGTTTCAAATTTATTTTTCACTTTTTATATTTATTATATTGTTGTAGATGGCTTTTGATATATTGCTACTTATTATTATCATTTACTAAAAGGAAATTAAGTAGCTCTGCAAGATCTACAAAGAATAAATTTATCTCCATGCAAAAGTTGATCCAAAAAATCAAATTAATCTGAAAGAGAAAGAAAAACTATAAGAAACTAAAATAGTTCTATTTATAGGCTTAAATGTGTAATGATGCTGCATCCAAGGTTCCCTAACTTGGGATCCAACAATTATGCCCATTACAAGGGCCTGGGATTACATCTATATTATAAAAGTGGCTGCTATTTTGGGATATTAACAAAGTTTCATTAATAACTGTATTCAAGGAAGGAAGAATTATGACAACACAGGATAATGATTTAGAGTTTAGAGGGATAATATAATCTTATTTTGTTAAAAGAACAAGAGGAAAAGAACAAAACCTGACATAATACAAATGTATTAAATCATTTTGATGATATGCTAAATCTACATAGTGTAAAATGACATAGAAAACTTGTTCTGCTGATGTGAAGTAGATAGTTAAGACCTTTGACATATGGGAAAGGGAAATGGTTTTCAGAAATGGTAGACACAAAGTTGGTAAAAGAAATGTGGTGAATAATAGAGCCCCAACATAAGGATAATTGTTTAGAGATTTTGGAGGGGTATGGGACACACTCTGAAAATGTGCTTTTAAATCTTTTGACAATAAAGCTAATGGAGAAATTTATGAATAAAGCAAGAGGGCAGCCACAAAGCCATGATAAAATATGGCTTTTCTGCAATTTGAATTTAAATACAGTACCTTAACATGTCCTACCCTAGGTTGCCTTCTTTATTCATGCTTATCTGTTTAGATCCTCCGGGCTTCCAGTATTTTTTATGTGCCTCCATTTATAATTAGCTACATAGATGAGTTTTAATGCTACTTTATAACATGAGTATAACATCTTATACTATATAAGATGAGTTTAATAGCTTTTATGCTATTGCTATCTTATTCTTTTGACTATTCTTAAAAAATAACCCTAATATATAATTGGTAGTATCTATTATCCAAATGAGTTTCTGTAGTTTTTAAACAAGTGACTATTAATAATTGTGCTAAAATATAGTTGGAAATCTCATTGAAATTAATAGCTGAGGCAAGATAAACTTCAAAACAACACAAGATGAAAGATGATGAATTTTACTTAACAATGTACACACTTAAAAATATATGATATGTTAATGAAAATGTTATCCATGAAATAACTGTTATTTTTAACACCTGTTAATTTTTAAATAATACTAATACAATAAGATAGATGTCATGACAACAAAAGTGACTGACAATCACCCAATGAGCAAAGTTCAGAATCTATTTTAGAATTTATAGGGACACAAGCTGGTCATTTGCAGTAAAAATTGCTGTGATGTAGTTTCAAATCTGTGACCTTTGCTAAGCCCCTGGGTTCATTTGCAATAGTAGTACCTAGCAATGTCAAGATCAATACATGCCAACCATTCTATTTATTTAATACATGCTACCTCATTTAATACTGAACAGTACTATAAATAAATGTTAATAATTATTTCCATTTTAGAGATAAGAAACTGAAGGTTAACTAACCTTTTCAATGTTATACAGTGAATAAATGATAAAGCTGTATTTCAGACCCAGGTTTTCTTGGTTTGGGAC